>NC_000005.10:57609807-58234807 GCF_000001405.40 Homo sapiens | reverse complement strand
GACATTTTGGGCTGGATAATTCAGCACTGTGAGGGCTGTCCTATGCATTGTAGGATATTTAACAATATCCCTGATCCCTACCAACTAGATGCCAGTAACACCCCTCCCCAAGTTGTGACAATCAAAAATATCTCTAAGCATTGTCAATATCTCTTGGGGGCCAAAATAGTCCCTAATTGAGAACAGCTAATCTAGATTGTATAATTTAAAATGTTAATAATTAATGATTATTTATATAGAGAGGCATAAAATAAAACTAGTATAGCTTTACAAAAGCAAAGTCAAAATAATTCTATGGGTTATTTTCTGTCATTTGTATACATTCAACCTCATTTCTAGAATTGGACCGTTATCATGAATAATCACATGATTACCCCTGAAGTTTGTGCCATATTCTGCATTGCCTGAGAATGAGAAAAACATTTCTATTGAATTGTATGTATTCCAGCATTATTGTTGCATCTCCCATCTTACAGATGAAAGAGGAACAGAGCAGTTAAATGCATTACTTAAGATCACCCCAAAGCAGATCAGAGCTCATAGCCTCAGGTTCCAGAGTCATTATTATTTGAAATAGATAATGATCTAGAATGATTTTTAACAGTAAGAAATTAACAAAGGTTCCCAGTCAATTAGGATATTCACTTGAAAACTTTCAGTTAATTATGTTTTCTTTAGTATCAGATAGAACCAAACTTCAGTTTACTCTTCTCTTAAACTGAACAAACTCTGTTCTCCTTTGTCTGTCTCAGTATGGCCTGCTGTAACAAATGCAATAAACTAGGTAGCTTATAAACAACAGAAATTTATTCTCACAGTTCTGGAAGCTGGACATCTGTGATTGGGGTTGCCAGCAGGTTGAGTTCTGGTAAGGACCTGTCTCCTGGCTCATAGACGGCCGTCTTCTCACTGTGTCCTCAACATGGCTGAAAAGGCAAGGTAGCTTTCTGGGGTTTCTTTTACAAGCGTACTAATCCCAATCATGAGAGCTCTGCCCTCTTGTCTTAATAACTTCCCAAAGGCTCCACCTCCAATTACACTGGGGCCAGCTTTCAGTGTATGAATTTTGGGGGAACACAAGCATTAAGTCTATAGCACCTTTTGATGGTGGAAAGTTCTTTGGAAATCTAAGCTCTAGATTGCATTGTGATGTGTAATCCTTGCAGCATCACAGCATGAGCCTAGAATAAAGCCTAATTCCAATCAGCTCTTTCCTAACCCACCACTCACAGTGCTCCCCATTCAAACAATATTATAAATATTGCATTTGTCCATAAAGTCCAAGAGAACAAAGAATAACTGCTTGCATTTGTCTTAATATAGAAGAGTACTATTCATGCACCTCACTATGGGCAATGGATCATTCATTCTTTCAGCATCCCTTTATTGAGTATTGCTGATGATGTACCAGGCATTTTTCCAGCTCCTGAGGGTATAGTCGTAAAGAAACGAGGCAAAGCATCTACCCTTATGGAGTTTACATTTGAATGCAGCAAATGGAAACTAGACATTAAAATAAAAGAATTTAGAGTGTTTAAATTAGGAAGAAACATAAAGAAGTAAAGAAGGATAAATCTGTGACTGCATTTTAAATCCGCTAGTCGTGAAAGGTCTTTCTCTCTCTCTTTTTTTTTTTTTTTTTTTTGAGACGGAGTCTCATTCTGTTCCCCAGGCTGGAGTGCAGTGGCGCGATCTCAGCCCACTGCAACCACCACCTCTCAGGTTCAAGTGATTCTCCTGCCTCAGCCTCCTGAGTAGCTGGTATTATAGGCGCATGCCACCACACCTGGCTAATTTTTGTATTTTTAGTAGAGACGGGGTTTCACCATGTTGGTCAGGCTGGTCTCGAACTCCTGACCTTGTGATCTGCCCGCCTCAGCCTCCCAAAGTGCTGGAATTACAAGCATGAGCCACTGCGCCCGGCCCATGAAAGGTTTTTCTGAGTGAGAGACATTTAAACAAAACAAGGCATGCAAAGATGAGAGTGTGAAAATTCTCTGAAAATGCTCCATGTGGAAGAAACCATAAAAATGGCAAATCCCAGAGTAGGAGCACATTTGGCCATAGTAAGGATTTTATTTTGATTGCTATGGGAAACTATTGGAGGATTTTGAGCAAGGGCAAATATTTGAGCAGATATTAAACAAAAATATATTTGAGCCATATTTTGTAAATGTCCAGCTTTTGTTTCCAATGACAGTACTGCACATTATTTATTATATTTACTTGTCTGTGACCCATTCTGAAATCTCACCACAGATAGGGGCAGTACGGTTAGTTACAGGTACAGAATTACAGCACAGACTATACCTGTAGTACAGAATATACAGACTAGAAAGAAACTTCACCGTAAAGATTGTATGTGGATGAGTAGATTAATAACACACCGCATTTTTGATTTGTATTCAGTAGTGTAGCTGATGGTTCGTGTGAAGAATTAGATTTATTACTCTATTACGTTTGTGTATGTGTGTGTGCAGAGGAGGGAAGAATGTTAGTGCTCATACAAAGAGAGGCTCACGTCACAGTTCCCTAGGCATTGTTCTGATTACCCTTGTAGGCAAAATGCATAAGATTTTGAAATCTCAGTTATGGCTGTAAAATCACCTTCAAGCATCTCTTCTAAAATAGTGGGCATTATTCTGTCTTCTAGCTAACACAGAATAATCTAAACTATAGGACCAGCCATGTCCCACTCTCTTCCCCAAAATATCCCCACTTGAGATTGAGGTTATAAAATAGATTGGAATCTTTGGGGGATAGAGGTGATTTAAAAGATAGGATATGAAGGAAGGATGATTATATTCTACCCAAATACAATTTTGGCTATGTTATATAACCATTAAAATATATTTTAAAGTTAGGCATTGACTTATTATGCCAAAAAGTTAGTGTGATCATGGCAATTTCATGTGTTTAAACCTAATATATTGCTCTGAGGATTTTTGGTGGGTTTGTGGGGGAATAAAGGATAAGTATTACCTAATCTTAAGCTATTTAATGCTATAAAATACTTACTATACCTATGAACATTAAATTGTATAACTTTGAGGGCAAAAATTGCTGCCAAGTTAGTGTTTTTGGAATGGTCTTATTTTTCATGAAACTTACTGTCAGAAAAGAAGACCAGAATATCTCTAGGTTTGAATTTGACCCTTATAAAATGATTAGAGTGGACTTCATGGGCTGCCTCTTCAAATATCTAGAAAGTTAATAAACTGATTTTATAGAAGTATTACTAATTTTCCTGATTAAGGTTTTTGCACCACATGTGTCTCTAAAGCAATGCTAAAAGAAAACACATCAAGACAAGTTAAATAGCTAGAAATTACATATTTTAGTTTTACATTTGATAATCCACTTTTGGATTTGTTTTGATGCATGAAAATTTACATACTTTGGAGGGCCTGGCTCCCTGGAACTTTGCCATTTTTAAGATCCCTCCTACAGTGGCATTTATCCACCCAGGCAGCTCTCTACCCTGACACCAACCTACACACACCTAAATACCTCTGGCTCTAAGTGACAACTTTTGGAATAGGCATGAATCATCCAAGCCCTTAAGGGATCATTTACTAATCCATATTTTTCCCCAACTTCAGAATTACCTGGGCCTTTGGGTTTGTGCCTGGCCATTCCAAAGGCTTCTCAGAGGCATGTTACTGATGGAAAATTACAGAACCTAATGGTCTATTAACAGTTAAGAAGGGAACTGCCATCGTTGTGAATCAGAGGTCTGGAAGTAAAAGAGAAAAAGCACTCTCTCTTAATTTTTCCCCAGCTATTTGTTTTCAAAACAGAAATAGCTACCGCTTTTCTCATTATGGAAAATAAACCTTTTTGTTAGAAAAATTAAGAAAAAAAACAGGGAAAAATCCATAATAACTTTTTTTTGGTACACATAACCTTTCAGTATGTATAGCTCTTTAAAATTTTTTTATGCAGTTAAATTGTGTATATATAAATAAAAATTTTTAATGGCAACAGACTGCTATTTCCATTTTATGGTCTTCAAAAAATTTGATGGCATTTTATGAGCCTTTTTACATGTCAGTAAAAATAGATTGCAATAGTTTGAATTGCAACATTTAAACTACTTTGCAGGAATATGCCATCATTTATTGAAGAAGTCTCTTATTGATTGTTGGCATTTAGTTGGTTTTTTTGGAACGAATGTCCCGAAACATTCATCTTTTGAATTGTCTATTTCCTTAGGATATATTCCTAGAAGTGGACCACCTGGTTAAAATATGCTATTTTAGGGGATTTTGACATGTTACCAAATTGTCCTCAGAAAGGGATATACCAATTTATCCCCCATCAATGGTGAATGCACGTGGGAGGCTTCCTTTTTAATTCAGCTTTCATCATGCATCTATTTTTGTTGGTTCATGACTGAATATAAACTCTATGGAGTTAGGGTAGATTTGAGAAGAAAAAAAATCTCAGAGAAGTCGGGAGTATTCTGTGGCCTTCTGTGAGTCACAAACATGAACTGTTCTTCCTACCCATGCTTTTGTGGGGAGCAGGAGGTGTTTCAGGCCATATGTAGCATGCTAATGCTGCATGGCAAATGTTTATAGCTTGAAAAAGGCATCACTGGGGTTTGATGTGGATCCAGGATGAAGTGGAGGAGTCTCATGGTGTTTATGAATCTCAGTGTGAGAAAATAATCCCCCAGCTGCAAAGTGAGTTGCAATAGTCAAGAGATGTGTGAGAGGGCAGAGGGGACTGAAAATCCCTTTCTCTGCGTCACACTTTAGGACTTGAGAAAAGCACTCTCTGATGTTCTACAAAATAAGGGCACAAAGGGAACTGGATTCTTTATTCTGCCAACATTGCTTGTCAATGTCCTAGGAAAAATGCATATAATTTCAAAGGGCTAAATTAAAATAAGAGAAAGAAACTTATTACACTGTTTACAGTCATGTATTTCTGATATAACAACAACAAAAAGCTGAGAGCTGTTAGTAGAAGGAAGCATTTAGTTAAGACCTTTCCGTTTTTCTTTGATAATCTTGATAAGTTAACATGGTATAATCAAGTTCCTGTAATAGATTAATCATTTTAATATTTCAGTTTGATACAGTCAGCTCCATCATTTAAACTATTCTATAATATCACGTTGCTGAGCTGGAAATCAGAAGTAGGCTTGTGAAAGGAAATTGCTTCTACATTCTGTTTCTTGTCTTCCTAGAAATGCCTTTATACAACAACCATATTATTTCTGATCTTGGCTAGCTAGACTGATAGGAAGTCACTTGAAGGTTACCTGGAGAGGGAGTGACATGATGTCACCATTGTCTCTATTGTTCCTTTCTTTGCAAGTGGAAGAAACCGTAGGTGTCTCCCCTCCTTATCAGCCCTGCATGTATGAGGAAAATAGACATCTTAGAATTTCCCTCATTAATTTGGTTAATATCAATAAAGTATTCATATAGTGACTCAGGTTGATCAAATATGCTAGAGTCATTCTATTGTTTCTCCATTTAAAGAGAGAGGAGGAAAAATTCACCACTAATATCCGCCAAGTAGATGTTCCAATTCCAGAGCCTGTTCTGAGGTGCACTTTCCTGGTGTTGCCAATTTGTCATTCAGATACCATGATCTGTCCCCTACCTTTTCCTATTGTTTATTTCTGTGACGTTTGTTCCTTTTATTTCTTCCTGCCCCCATGGTCTACTACCACATCCTGAAGCTAAAATTCCTGTGATTGCTTGTGCCCTTCTATATTATTTCAGGTGAAATGCTTGGCTCCATTTTTCTGGGTCCATGGTGTGACCCAAGCTATACGTCATTGCACAGAAATGTACGACCATAATTTTTTCTCTCTGAGATGGATTGACGGATTTATTCTTGGTAATGATTTTACTCTCTGGATTCCTCTTTGTTATTTTTGGAGTGTTAAGTAGGGTGAGAATAGTTGTGTTTTGATCTGTTGAAGGGTTATAAGGTGCAAATAATTTAAGTATCACTAAAAAATAGAAGGGAATTTCAATATCTAAAATGAATGATGGCTAGGTGCAGTGGCTCATGCCTGTAATCTCAGCACTTTGGGAAACTGAGGCAGGAGGATCACTTGAGCCCAGGAGCTCAAGACCAGCCTGAGCAACACAGTGACACCTTGTCTGTATAAAAAAATAAAATTAAAAAAGAAAGAAAATGAATAATACTTTTTTTATAATTCATTGTTTTCTGTTTAGATATTAAACAACCTCAGTTTACTACTCAATGGTAATAATACACTGACAGAAATTGAACAGATACAAAATTGAATCATTTTGTCTTTATCCAAATGAAAAGAGAAATATTTTAAAATTCTGCCTGCTTGGTAAATTTTCATTTACGTGAGCTCTTGAAAATGATCTATGTCATTCTCTCACAAAAAAATATGACAATAAAGGCAAAATATTTGCCTGTTCCTAGGATCCAGTGCTTTAATATCTAACCTATGTTGGCAAAAGGAAGATGATAGATAGCCTCTCTTTTAGATTCAAACACTATAATCAAATGTATTTATTTTTATATATCTAAATAAATATACTCAAGGAAATTGTCAAAATGTTTTAGCCCTGGTAACATTCCTTCAGGAAAAGGAGGACTAGAAGATGGGGCTGAAATGCAGATGAAAAGACTTGGTGGATCTTGTGTCTATACTTCCTTTGCAAGAGTTTAGAAATACAAAGTATAGCCAAGTGGTTTGCATACAGTCTATTTTTAAGGCTTACCCAGGTGAATTTAGAAAGAAGTAGTATAATACTATGGTTGAGGGCAGAGACTCTGTAGCCAGACTGCCTCGATTTGAATATGAAGTCAGGCACTTACTAGCTGAGCGATCTTGGCCAAATTATTTAACATCTTCATGCTCCAGTTTTCTCCTCTATACATTGGAGATCCTAATGAAACCTACTTCCTCAAGCACGTTGTGAATATAAAATGTAGAAATGGATGTGAAGTGCTTAGAAAAAGGCATGCCACGAATTGAATACTTAATGATGCTATCAGTATGTTCATCATTGCCGGATTTGTCATTAAGAAGGAAAAGCCAGTGTTAGCTTCGGAAGGCCCAAGATATTGGAGAAAAGGAATTATCTGTTATCTGTTAGCAGCAGAAGAATTCTTTCAAAAGAAGAAATAGTGATGAAATATGTTTTTTTAAAAAATCTCCTTTATTATTTTTATAATAAATTGTATTTAAAAAAATTACTATAGAGTAAAATTGATTTTTTTCACTTGATATACAGTTCTATGAACTTTAACACATGAGTAGATTTGTGTAACCACCCCCAAAATCAGAAGACAAAACTGATATATCATCACAAAATATTCCCCCAATGTCACCCCTCTGCAATCAAAGCTTCCTCCACTCCTAATTCTTGGAAACCACTGATCTGTTCTCTGTCACAATAGTTTTGACTTCGTGAGAATGTGATATAATATAAATGGAATCATTTACAGATAGATGTTCCTCGACTTATGATTGGGTTATATCCTGATAAATCCATCATAAATTGAAAATACTGTACATCAAAACTACATTTAATATACCTAACCTACTGAACATTATAGCTTACCCTACATGCTCAGAACACTTATATTAGCCTAAAATTGGGCAAAATAATCTAACACAAAGCCTATTTTATAATAAAATGTTGATCATCTCATGTAATTTATTGAATACTATACTGAAGTACAGTTTCTTCTTAATGCATGTCACTTTTGGACCATCGTAAAGTTGAAAAATCCTTAAGTCAAACCATTGTAAATTTGGACCTCTATCATACAATCTTTTGAGAACAGGTTCTTTCACTCAGCATAATACTGCCCCCAAAGTCTCAAAGCATAATGACTTTGAGATTTGTCTACAAATTTGCATATATTGGTAGCTTTTCCTTTTTATTCCTGAGTACTTTTCCATGGTATGGATGTGTAGTGCCACAGTGGGTTTATCCATTAACCTGTTTAGGGAAATTTGAGGATAAAGCTCTTATACATAGTTGTGTATTTTTTGTGTGGACATTAGTTTTTTTTCCAGTAAATATCCAAAGGTTCCAGGGTGCCTATGCGATTTTGCATTCCTATCAACTATGTATGAGAGTTCCAGTTGCTTCATATCCTCTCTAGCACTTGGTATTGACAGTATTCTCTTTTTTTTAAAAAAATTTGGCTCTTCTCAAAGATGTATAGTGGTATCTAATTGTGCTTTTAATTTACATTTTCCTGATGGCTAATCATTTTGAACTTTCTTTCCTCCTTTCTCTCTCTCTCTCTCTTTCTTTCAGGCCAGGCATGGTGGCTTATGCCTGTAATCCAAATAGTTTAGGAGGCCAAGTCATGCAGATCACTTGAGTCCAGGAGTTGGAGACAAGCCTGGAAAACATGGTGAGACCATGTTTCTAAAAATATATATATACAAACATCAGCCAGACTTTGTTGAACATGCCTGCAGTCCCGGCTACTTGAGAGGCTGAGGTTGGAGGATCACTGTAGTGATCTCTCTTTCTTCTTCTTTCTCCCTTTCTTTCTTTCTTTCTTTCTTTCTTTCTTTCTTTCTTTCTTTCTTTCTTTCTTTCTTTCTTTCTTTCTTTCCTTTCTTTTTCCTTCCTTCCTTCCTTCTTCCTTTCTTTCTTTTTCTTTCTTTTATTTTTTCTGAGACAGGGTCTTGCTCTGTGACCCAGGCTGGAATGCAGTGGGGTGATCTTGGCTCACTGCAGCCTCTATCTCCTGGGCTAAAGCGATCCTCCAACATCAGCCTCTCAAGTAGCTGGGACTGCAGGCATGTGCAACAAAGTCTGGCTGATTTTTGTATTTTTTTTTTTTTTTTTAGAAATGTGGTCTCACCACGTTTTCCAGGCTGGTCTCTAACTCCTGGACTCAAGCGATCTGCATGCCTTGGCCTCCTAAATTACTTGGGTTACAGGCATGAGCCACCATGCTTGGCCTGAATATATTTTCATGTTTCTATTTGCCATTCTTATATCATCTTAAGCATTTTTTTTCAGTCTTTTGGCTGTATTTTAATGTGGTTGTTTGTGTTCTTATTCTTGAGTTTTAATAATTTTTTTAATATATCCTAGATACAAGTTATTTGTTGGATATGTGACAGAAAATATTTATTTGGTATGTATAAATATTTTGTTCTCGTTTTTAGCTTATGTTTTCATTCTATGAATAGTGTTTTTCACAAAATAAAAATTTTAATTTTGATAAAGCCCACTTTATCTTTGCTTTTCTTTTATGGATCATGCTTTTAGTTTCATGCCTAAAAACTCTTTAGATCCTGAAGATTTTCTCCTGGTTTTTTCTAAAAGTTTTATACTTTCATGTATTACATTTAAGTCTATGATCCATCTTGAGACTATAGAAGGAGCTCAACAAATGTTAATAGTTTCTCCCAACCCCTCTGAACTATTATAAGACCTGAAAAGAAGTAGAGCTATGGATTCCACTTTTATTGGATGCTGTGTTTGTGATTTATACTTCTGTTGGAGGAGTAGAAACCTCAGTAGTCAGAGAAGAGAATCAGGTCAATCAGTGAATTTCAACCATATTAATGAGAGCCCAATAGAGATTGCAATAAAATGTTTAAAAATCTACTATACCCATGGACATTTTAAAAAGGGAAGATTAATAAAAACATACAGCTGATATTTTCTTTCTTAATTTTGTAAAGAGTAGATGTTTATTGTACATTTTGGATTGCTTTTTGTTTGTCTTCTCTGTTTCAAGCAGATTTTTTTTATCTAGCATTTTCAAAGGTTTAACATTGTATTGAAATTTTGATGCAATAATGCTATCATTTTCTAAGTTTGATAAAGCCTTTTTCCTTTTAGTGTTCTGAAAGCAAAACTATTTTTAACGGTTTCACCACGGCCACAAAAATAACCTTTTACAAAAACAACTTTTGACTAAGGTAATCGCTCATCTCTGTTGAGAATTGAGAAATAGAGCAAAATTGTCCACGTGTTAGGAAACTAAAATTGAATGCCATGAGAAGTCCAAATATTAGTGTTTTTTCCTGTGGGGCTAAATAAAGCTTCTGCTGATTCTTCGATGTTTCCTATAACATGTTAGAACCAGAGTGAAATGATTAAAACTCTTCCCTCCAGCAATTTGGCAGTTAAGTTTCCATCATCATTTACTGTGCTATAAAAAAGAATTTATCACAAACTGTTTTAATCTCTTGAAATATTTTCACAGGCAAATGAAGTCAAGAGTTAATGGATTTTTTATTAAAAACATAAAAAACACAATATCTATCAGTGTATGTCTAAAAACACTAGGAAACATTGTTTAGATAATAGAAACCGGTCCTAGCTAAGAGGAAGAAGATGGAGTTGGCCTGATTCAGGTCTGTAGTGTCCCCATGGACCTGAGCAGAATTTATCAGGCAATTTTTATCTGGGAAGACTGGATGGAAAACAAAACATATGCTACTTCACGGGTTCAGTTACTGTCATAACTACCATCTCGCCATGGAAATTTCATTTTGTGTGGATGAATTCTCTTGTGGAGGCTATGTCTTTGATATATATGGTTTGTTCACTTAAAAATTATTATAGAACATTATAAAGATGGCGGAAAGATGCAGAGGATAGAGAAGGAATTTTAATAATCCTGTAGTGTCTACTTTTCTACATTGAAGCTCCAGGAAAACTATTTGATATAAAAAAGATTGCCTTATAAGTCACGATCTTCATGGCAAAAGACTTGATTATCTTTGAGGATATTTTAAGCAAGCTGTGATAAACTAATAGATTTTCCTTCTCCGTGTCAGGGAAATATCTTAACGGTTATCACATTAAAATTGCACAGTTATGCTACCCGAGGACCTTATTGTTATATTTTTCTTGAATAGCTTACCTGACTGAATTCTATAAAGATTAGATTGATGACTAGTTTCTCATCTATGGAAACTCAAAGCTTTATATGCCCCCATACTTAAATATGTAGAAACTTAATAAGAATCTGCTGTGTAATATAGAGTCCTTAAGGTTTGGAAATCCTGGTTTCTAGACTGTGCTCTGCTGTGAATTAGCTTTGTAAACTTGTACCTCAGTCTTCCATAATGTGAATTTTGGAGTTAATCAAATATTGGTTTAAATCCAAGCATTATCATCTAATAACTATGATTTGGGGGCAAGTTGTTTAACTACTATGATCCTTAATGTTTTAGTTTGTTCTTGGATTGCTATAAAGAAATGCCTGATGCTGGGTAATTTACAAAGAAAAGAGGTTTAATTGGCTCACGGTTCTACAGGCTCTACAGGAAGCATGGCTGGGAGGCCTCAGGAAACTTAGAATCATGGCTGAAGGAGAAGGGGGAGCCAGCCCTTCATACGGCCAGAGCAGGAGGAAGGTCAGGGGAGGTGCTAAACACTTTTAAACAACCAGATCTGGGAGAACTCACTCACTCACTCTCAGGAGAACAGCCCCAAGGGGATGATACTAAACCATTCATGAGAAACTGCCCTTATGATCCAATCACCCCCTCACCAGGCCCCTCCTCCAACACTGGGGATTACAATTCCATGTGAGATTTGGTGGGGATACAGATAACAAATCATATTACTGTCTTATTCTTTAAAATGGCAATAATTGTCCTTGGCATGCTACCTAATAAAATAGACATAATGCATGTGAGACCACTTAGAGAAATTTCAGGTTCTATACAAATATAAGGCATTATCGTTTAAAAGTAAAACTATGCCAAAAGATAACCTATACCTATGATGCAGTGAACTATCTATGGTGATGCAATTAAAATAACCAATATTTCCAGGTTGATATTTGGATCCTTGTACAAATAAGTTCTGTTTTTTTTTTTTCTGAAAGCTATGGTCAAGTTTTGGAAATAATTTTTACTGTTAAGTGGCTAGAGACAGCTTTGATCAGAAATTCTGACTTTGGCAGATGCACTAACTTTTTATTACTATTATTATTATTTTTAAATTATACTTTAAGTTCTAGGGTACCTGTGCACAACGTGCAGGTTTGTTACATATGTATACATATGCCATGTTGGTGTGCTGCACTCATTAACTCATCATTTAGCATTAGGTATATCTCCTAATGTTATCCCTCCCCCCTACCCCCACCCCACAACAGTCCCCGGTGTGTGATGTTCCCCTTCCTGTGTCCATGTGTTCTCATTGTTCAATTCCCACCTATAAGTGAGAACATGTGGTGTTTGGTTTTTTGTTCTTGGGATAGTTTGCTGAGAATGATGGTTTCCAGCTTCATCCATGTCCTTACAAAGGACATGAACTCATCCTTTTTTATGGCTGTATAGTATTCCATGGTGTATATGTGCCACATTTTCTTAATCCAGTATATCATTGATGGATATTTGGGTTGGTTCCAAGTCTTTGCTATTGGGAATAGTGCCACAATAAACATAAATGTGCATGTGTCTTTATAGCAGCATGATTTATAATCCTTTGGGTATATACCCAGTATTGGGATGGCTGGGTCAAATGGTATTTCTAGTTCTAGATCCCTGAGGAATCGCCACACTGTCTTCCACAATGGTTGAACTAGTTTACAGTCCCACCAACAGTGTAAAAACTTTTGCATGCAGAAGTCTATCCTCCACAAACTGTTGCTTGCCAAAGAGGGGCTTGCTCACAGAGAAGGATTTGCCCTGGTGTTTCTTACACTGGAAAATTTTCCCATCTTTCTCTGGCTGGACCAACTCAAGGAGCAGTGTCTATGGCTTCATAATTGAATGGTACATTTGAGATGAAGAGAATATGAACCTTTTTAAAAAAATTTTATTATTATTATACTTTAAGTTTTAGGGTACATGTGCATGATGTGCATGTTTGTTACATATGTATACATGTGCCATGTTGGTGTGCTGCACCCATTACCTTGTCATTTAGCATTAGATATATCTCCTAATGTTATCCCTCCCCGCTCCCGCCACCCCACAACAGTCCCCGGTGTGTGATGTTCCCCTTCCTGTGTCCATGTGTTCTCATTGTTCAATTCCCACCTATGAGTGAGAATATGCGGTGTTTGGTTTTTTGTCCTAGCGATAGTTTGCTGAGAATGATGGTTTCCAGCTTCATCCATGTCCCTACAAAGGACATGAACTCATCGTTTTTTATGGTTGCATAGTATTCCATGGTGTATATGTGCCACATTTTCTTAATCCACTCTATCATTGTTGGACATTTGGGTTGTTTCCAAGTCTTTGCTATTGTGAATAGTACTGCAATAAACATACGTGTGTATGTTTATAGCAGCATGTTTTATAATCCTTTGGGTATATACCCAGTAATGGGATGGCTGGGGTCAAATGGTATTTCTAGTTCTAGATCCCTGAGGAATTGCCACACCAACTTCCACAATGGTTGAACTGGTTTACAGTCCCACCAACAGTGTAAAAGTGTTCCTATTTCTCCACATCCTCTCCAGCACCTGTTGTTTCCTGACTTTTTAGTGATCACCATTCTAACTGGTGTGAGATGGTATCTCATTGTGGTTTTGATTTGCATTTCTCTGATGGCCAGTGATGGTGAGCATTTTTTCATGTGTTTTTTGGCTGCATAAATGTCTTCTTTTGAGAAGTGTCTGTTCATGTCCTTTGCCCACTTGTTGATGGGGTTGTTTGTTTTTTCTTGTAAATTTGTTTGAGTTCATAGTAGATTCTGGATATTAGCCCTTTGTCAGATGAGTAGGTTGCAAAAATTTTCTCCCATTCTGTAGGTTGCCTGTTCACTCTGATGGTAGTTTCTTTTGCTGTGCAGAAGCTCTTTAGTTTAATTAGATCCCATTTGTCAATTTTGGCTTTTGTTGCCATTGCTTTTGGTGTTTTAGACATGAAGTCTTTGCCCATGCCTATGTCCTGAATGGTATTGCCTAGGTTTTCTTCTAGCATTTTTATGGTTTTAGGTCTAACATTTAAGTCTTTAATCCATCTTGAATTAATTTTTGTATAAGGTGTAAGGAAGGGATCCAGTTTCAGCTTTCTACATATGGCTAGCCAGTTTTCCCAGCACCATTTATTAAATAGGGAATCCTTTCCCCATTTCTTGTTTTTATCAGGTTTGTCAAAGATCAGATAGTTGTAGATATGCAGCATTATTTCTGAGGGCTCTGTTCTGTTCCATTGATCTATATCTCTGTTTTGGTACCAGTACCATGCTGTTTTGGTTACTGTAGCTTTATAGTATAGTTTGAAGTCAGGTAGCATGATGCCTCCAGCTTAGGCTTAGGATTGACTTGGCAATGCAGGTTATTTTTTGGTTCCATATGAAGTTTAAAGTAGTTTTTTCCAATTCTGTGAAGAAAGTCATTGGTAGTTTGATGGGGATGGCACTCAATCTATAAATTACTTGGGCAGTATGGCGATTTTCACGATATTGATTCTTCCTACCTATGAGCATGGAATGTTCTTCCATTTGTTTGTATCCTCTTTTATTTCATTGAACAGTGGTTTGTAGTTCTCCTTAAAGAGGTCCTTCACATCCCTTGTAAGTTGGTTTCCTAGGTATTTTATTCTCTTTGAAGCAATTGTGAATGGGAGTTCACTCATGATTTGGCTCTCTGTCTGTTATTGGTGTATAAGAATGCTTGTGATTTTTGTACATTGATTTTTGTATCCTGAGACTTTGCTGAAGTTGCTTATCAGCTTAAGGAGATTTTGGGCTGAGACCATGGGGTTTTCTAGATATACAGTCATGTCATCTGCAAACAGGGACAATTTGACTTCCTGTTTTTGTAATTGAATGCCCTTTATTTCCTTCTTCTGCCTGATTGCCCTGGCCAGAACTTCCAACACTATGTTGAATAGGAGTGTTGAGAGAGGACATCCCTGTCTTGTGCCAGTTTTCAAAGGGAATTCTTCCAGTTTTTGTCCATTCAGTGTGATGTTGGCTGTGGGTTTGTCATAGATAGCTCTTATTATTTTGAGATATGTCCCATCAATGCCTAATTTATTGAGAGTTTTTAGCATGAAGGGTTGTTGAATTTTGTCAAAGGCCTTTTCTGCATCTATTGAGATAATCATGTGGTTTTTGTTGTTGGTTCTGTTTATATGCTGGATTACATTTATTGATGTACATATGTTGAACCAGCCTTGCATCCCAGGGATGAAGCCCACTTGATCATGGTGGATAAGATTTTGATGTGCTGCTGGATTCTGTTTGCCAGTATTTTATTGAGGATTTTTGCATCGATGTTCATCAAGGATATTGGTCTAAAATTCTCTTTTTTTGTTGTGTCTCTGCCAGGCTTTGGTATCAGGATGATGCTGGCCTCATAAAATGAGTTAGGGAGGAGTCCCTCTTTTTCTATTGATTGGAATAGTTTCAGAAGGAGTGGTACCATCTCCTCCTTGTACCTGTGGTAGAATTCGGCTGTGAATCCATCTGGTCCTGGACTTATCTTGGTTGGTAAGTTATTAATTGTTGCCTCAATTTCAGAGCCTGTTATTGGTCTATTCAGAGATTCAACTTCTTCCTGGTTTAGTCTTGGGAGGGTGTTTGTGTCGAGGAATTTATCCATTTCTTCTAGATTTTCTAGTTTATTTGTGTAGAGGTGTTTATAGTATTCTCTGATGGTAGTTTGTATTTCTGTGGGATCAGTGGTGATATCCCCTTTATCATTTTTTATTGCATCTATTTGATTCTTCTCTCTTTTCTTCTTTATTAGTCTTGCTAGTGGTCTATCGATTTTGTTGATCTTTTCAAAAATACAGCTCCTGGATTCATTGATTTTTTGAAGGGTTTTTTGTGTCTCTATTTCCTTCACTTCTGCTCTGATCTTAGTTATTTCTTGCCTTCTGCTAGCTTTTGAATGTGTTTGCTCTTGCTTCTCTAGTTCTTTTAATTGTGATGTTAGGGTGTCAATTTTGGATCTTTCCTGCTTTCTCTTGTGGGCATTTAGTGCTATAAATTTCCCTCTACACACTGCTTTGAATGTGTCCCAGAGATTCTGGTAAGTTTTGTCTTTGTTCTCATTGGTTTCAAGGAACATCTTTATTTCTGCCTTCATTTCGTTATGTACTCAGTAGTCATTCAGGAGCAGGTTGTTCATTTTCCATGTAGTTGAGCGGTTTGAGTGAGTTTCTTAATCCTGAGTTCTAGTTTGATTGCACTGTGGTCTGAGAAACAGTTTGTTATAATTTCTGTTCTTTTACATTTGCTGAGGAGTGCTTTACTTCCAACTATGTGGTCAGTTTTGGAATAGGTGTGGTGTGGTGCTGCAAAGAATGTATATTCTGTTGATTTGTGGTAGAGAGTTCCATAGATGTCTGTTAGGTCCACTTGGTGCAGAGCTGAGTTCAATTCCTGGATATCCTTGTTAACTTTCTGTTTCATTGATCTGTCTAATGTTGACAGTGGGTTCTTAAAGTCTCCCATTATTATTGTGTGGGAGTCTAAGTCTCTTTGTAGGTCACTAAGGACTTGCTTTATGAATCTGGGTGCTCCTGTATTGGGTGCATATATATTTAGGATAGTTAGCTCTTCTTGTTGAATTGATCCCTTTGCCATTATGTAATGGCCTTCTTTGTCTCTTTTGATCTTTGTTGGTTTAAAGTCTGTTTTATCAGAGACTAGGATTGCAACCAACCCCTGCCTTTTTTTTGTTTTCCATTTGCTTTGTAGATCTTCCTCCATCCCTTTATTTTGAGCCTATGTGTGTCTCTGCACATGAGATGGGTCTCCTGAATACAGCACACTGATGGGTCTTGACTCTTTATCCAGTTTGCCAGTCTGTGTCTTTTAATTGGAGCATTTAGCCTATTTACATTTAAGGATAATATTGTTATGTGTGAATTTGATCCTGTCATTATGATGTTAGCTGGTTATTTTGCTCATTAGTTGATGCAGTTTCTTCCTAGCCTTGATGGTGTTTACAATTTGGCACGTTTTTGCAGTGGCTGGTGCTGGTTGTTCCTTTCCATGTTTAGTGCTTCCTTCAGGAGCTCTTTTAGGGCAGGCCTGGTGGTGACAAAATCTCTCAGCATTTGCTTGTCTGTAATGTATTTTATTTCTCCTTCACTTATGAAGCTTAGTTTGGCTGGATATGAAATTCAGGGTTGAAAATTATTTTCTTTAAGAATGTTAAATATTGGCCCCCACTCTCTTCTGGCTTGTAGAGTTTCTGCCGAGAGATCAGCTGTTAGTCTGATGGGCTTCCCTTTGTGGGTAACCTGACCTTTCTCTCTGGCTGCCCTTAACATTTTTTTCTTCATTTCAACATTGGTGAATCTGACAATTATGTGTCCTGGAGTTGCTCTTCTCAAGGAGTATCTTTGTGGCGTTCTCTGTATTTCCTGAATTTGAATGTTGGCCTGCCTTGCTAGATTGGGGAAGTTCTCCTGGATAATATCCCACAGAGTGTTTTGCAACTTGGTTCCATTCTCCCTGTCACTTTCAGGTACACCAATCAGATGTAGATTTGGTCTTTTCACATAGTCCCATATTTCTTGGAGGCTTTGTTCATTTCTTTTTATTCTTTTTTCTCTCAACTTCTCTTCTCACTTCATTTCATCTTCCATCATTGATAACCTTTCTTACAGTTGATCTCATCGGCGACTAAGGCTTATGCATTTGTCACATAGTTCTTGTGCCATGGTTTTCAGCTCCATCAGCTCCTTTAAGGACTTCTCTGCATTGGTTCTTCTAGTTATCCATTTGTCTAACTTTTTTTAAAGGTTTTTAACTTCTTTGCCATTGGTTCATACTTCCTCCTTTAGCTCGGAGTAGTTTGATCTTCTGAAGCCTTCTTCTCTCAACTCGTCAAAGTCATTCTCCATCTAGATTTCTTCCATTGCTGGTGAGGAGCTGCATTCCTTTGGAGGAGGAGAGGTGCTCTGATTTTTAGAGTTTCCAGTTTTTCTACTCTGTTTTTTCCCCATCTTTGTGGTTTTATCTACCTTTGGTCTTTGATGATGGTGACGTACAGATGGGTTTTTGGTGTGGATGTCCTTTCTGTTTGTTAGTTTTCCTTCTAACATTCAGGACCCTCAGCTGCAGGTCTGTTAAAGTTTGCTGGAGGTCCACTCCAGACCCTGTTTGCCTGGGTATCAGCAGTGGTGGCTGCAGAACAGTGGATATTGGTGAACCGCAAATGCTGCTGCCTGATCGTTCCTCTGCAAGTTTTGTCTCAGAGGAGTACCCAGATGTGTGAGGTGTCAGACCACCCCTACTGGGGGGTGCCTCCCAAGTAGGCTACTCGAGGGTCATGGACCCACTTGAGGAGGCTGTCTGCCCGTTCTCAGATCTCAAGCTGCGTGCTGGGAGAACCACTACTCTCTTCAAAGGTGTCAGACAGGGACGTTTAAGTCTGCAGATGTTACTGCTGCCTTTGTTTGTCTGTGCCCTGCCCCCATTGGTGGAGCCTACAGAGGCAGACAGGTCTCCTTGAGCTGCCGTGGGCTCCACCCAGTTGGAGCTTCCAGGCCGCTTTGTTTACCTACTCAAGCCTTGGCAATGGCGGGCGCCCCTCCCCCAGCCCACTGCCTCCTTGCAGTTTGATCTCAAACTGCTGTGCCAGCAATGAGCGAGGCTCCGTGGGCATGGGACCCTCCCAGCCAGGTGCGGGATATAATCTCCTTGTGTGCCGTTTGTTAAGCCCATTGGAAAAGCACAGTATTAGGGTGGGAGTGACCCGATTTTCCAGGTGCTGTCTGTCACCCCTTTCTTTGACCAGGAAAGGGAGTTCCCTGACCCCTTGCACTTCCCAGGTGAGGCAATGCCTCACCCTTCTTCGGCTCACGCACTGTGCGCTGCATCCACTGTCCTGCACCCACTGTCCAGCACTCCCCAGTGAGATGAACCTGGTACCTCAGTTGGAAATGCAGAAATCACCCGTCTTCTGAGTTGCTCATGCTGGGAGCTGTAGACTGGAGCTGTTCCTATTCGGCCATCTTGGCTCCAACCTCCTGAACCTTTTTTATTCTAGTGAGGTGACTGATCCTTTGTTTGGGTTTTCCAGCATGGTTTCCTGTTATGAGTTGTCCTGAAATCCCCACAGGAGCATGGAAGGACATCCTAGGCTGTCCTAGGTAAGGTAATGGTAGGTAGATACCAGGTAAGAGGGGCTAGAGTTGTCCTTGGGTCTGCTCTAGTTGGGATTTCTGAAAGATGGAGGCAGGGTGATAGGGATATTGCTGATCTTAAATCAGGAATGTGGAATTTAGGCAGGGATGTAGACTCAGGCAGCTGCAGCAGGGCCAGCCAGGAGACAGGAATACTCTGAAGGAACACTGGTTGTTTTCAACTTGATTGGCTCAGACATGCTTTTTAGATCATTTCCCTCAGCATGACTGCTGGTCTTAATGATTGGGATCAGCTCATTTAGACCTGGCTTTCCTAAAGGGGAATGAAGCATTCTTGTTCCTGAAGGTTTTTTTATTTCTCCTTGAGGGAAAGTCTCTACTTCTCTGAAAGAATTTTAGACTTTGAATTCTTTGGTTGTCAACTCCAAGAGCAGGGAGGTAATCAAAGGAGACCTTTTCCCAGCTGTGGTCTCAATCCCCAGGCCCAGGCACAAACCACACAGCTGAGGCTCAAGGCTGAACCATGAGGATCCTCATGGACAACTTCCACAGTCAGATACAATCATCTCACTAGTTAGGACGCAAGTGATTGACTTCTTTCATTAGTGTTCCTCATTATATATTCATATTTGCACCACTCATTTCTGCTCATGTTTCAGTTTGTTCTGAATAAAACACCCAGCCTTAATTTCCACTGCTACAACTTGAAATTAAATATTTTCTCTTTCAAAATATAATTTAATGTTCTTTATTTTTACCCTCCAAATTCTCATACATGGCTGGCACTGAATTATATGATTAAATAATTGGAGTGGGAGATGTGAAAAGATTGCTTGTAGAGAACACTTCAAAATTCATATCAGGGTTTATAGTTGTACACACTGAATAATTATGGCTTTTCTCCAGGTCTGAAGTAGGAGGACTCTTGAAGGATTTCTTTTCCAGTGTGTAGATGATTCAAGGGACTTTTTTTGTTCACTTCTTTTATCAGATTAATTTCATTTCTCTTTTTCTTGAACTCTAGCTTAGTAAGAAAGTAAAGATAATCAAATAGCAAAGTAAAGTTTGTTGTTGTTGTTGTTGTTATTGTTGTTGTTGTTTTTAGTTAGTCTCACTCTGTTGTCCAGGCTGGAGTGCAAGTGGCATGATCTTGTCCCACTGCAACCTCTGCCTCCCATGTTCAAGTGATTCTTGTGCCTCAGCTTCCCAAGTACCTCAGACTATAGGAGCGCACCACCACTTCAAGCTAATTTTTGTAATTTTAGTAAATACGGGGTTTCACCATAATGGCCGGGCTGATCTCAAACTTCTGACCTCAAGTGATCCACCCACCTTGGCCTCCCAAAATGCTGGGATCACAGGTGCCACTGCACCCAGCTTGCAGAAAGTTTTGATGGAAAATAACAATGCTAATAACTAAATTTAGTTATCTATATTACTTAGAAGTTGTCTTCTTTGTATTTATTAATGTGTTAATCCCATCTAGAGATCACTAGAATGCAAATACGGCATTAAATGTACACATATGGAACAACATTTTGATAGTGCTAATAGAAAAACTGGGGGAGAAAAATACTTGCTTGTGTTCATGTGTGGATTTAAGAAAAACTAACAAGATAAAGTGGCAAGATGGTTGTATTTAGAACCAGAAAATCTGGGTATGCCCCCTATCTCTTCTAGTTGCTAAAAATTTAACAACGGTCAAATGAAGGCACTTAAATTCTCTAAACCTCAGTTTACTTATGGTAAAGTGGAGCCTCAAATCCCTAGCTGTATAATTAGGTCACTGTGAAAAATGGAATAAAATAAATGTAAGTAATTTTAAAATTCAAAGGCATGAGAATGTGAAGTTATGTTATTAGAGTACCTCAGTAAAAAGTAATGTGTCCTATTTAGCTAGAAGAAACACACAGGACCTGTATGTGAAGAATGATATCCCATGTCTATTTTAGATGCTCATCCGCCTCCTTTTATATGATTAGAATTCATCCAACTCAAAATGCAATAAATGGACCCTTGGGTTTCACTTCTAACTCTTCCATTAGTTCAGGAGTAAACTTTGTCAAGATATTTGACCTCCCTGGGATTATTAGAACCAGTTACCTGATGTTCTCCAGATTTGCTCACTCCATCTTACCTTTAGTTAGTGGGCAGAGTTCTTTCTATAAACCACATACAGAGCTAGCTAGTTATCTTAGGCTGGGTTCCCCAAGAAAGCAGACTGTGAGACAAGAACTCGAGTCTTAGTGGTTCATTTGGGAGGTAATTCCCAAGAAGTGCTGATAGGGAAGTAGAGAAATGAGACAGGCAAGATCAAGAAGTCAGTATAGAGTTGCATTCATGAGGAAATTAACACTGCAGATAACTGGGGCTCAATCTATCTGGGGACTTCTGAGAGACTGTATAGAACATGAACTGTCCCATCAGAGGAGGGAGGAAGTTGGTCATTTTTTCTCCAGTTCCCTTCACAGTCATTGGCTGAAGGCTACTGTTGGAACAGCAACTCCCTCACCCTCTGGCCTGCCATGCATACTGGCCAAGCATGTCAGAGATATCATGCAGTGATGTGTCACAGGTGCCTGCACAAGAAAGCCATTGACACACATGGAGAGAGTGAGTACAGAGGAGACATGGTGGAGTCCTGACAGCATATGCTACAATACAGTGGCTGACATGGGGAGGCACTGCTCAGATGCCCCTTAGAGACCAGATAGCTGCTCAGCTAAAGGATGGTTAGCTAACAGCCTCCAACTGTTAGTGCTTCAGAATCCTCCTCAGGTTTGGAGCTGAGGTGCTGCTATCCTTGGGGCATCCCCCAGCCAATGATTGAGCAAGGCAGGGGTATAAGGGCTTGTCTATTTCTGCTCAAAGAAAGATTCCAATAGGCAATCTTTACTCCATGGCTCCCTATGGCAAAGAATTTCTTAGGTACATCTCAGCCTGACAGATCTCTACCTAGTCCAGCTTCATGCCCTTTCTCAGGGTTACTACCTAGTAAACCTTTTGCCACCTTAACTCCATCTTGATTGGCATCTGCTTCCTGGAGAGCTCAACATGCAACAAATACCAATTCTAAAGGAAGGTTTGGAAAATGTCAGTCTCTGGGCTTAAAGAAAGATCTACCTTACATAGGTCAACAGGCAAGTTGGACTGAAATTTTCCTTTCTATAGTAGGAATAGATAACACAAAGGCGCCTCTGTATCATTGGAAGTCAGCCAGACAAAAACACAATCAATGAAAACAGTATGGAAAATACATTGAACTTATGGAATAAATGGTGGATCTACACTGGAGGTTTGTTAGACATTGAATAAATACTTGAGGGGGTTGATGGAATTTTCTTTCTTTCTTTCTTTCTTTCTTTCTTTCTTTCTTTCTCTTTCTTTCTTTCTTTTTCTTTCTTTTCTTTCTTTCTTTCTCTCCCTTCCTCCTTTCCTTTCCTTTCCTTTGCTTTCCTTTCCTTTCCTTTCCCTTCCCTTCCCTTCCTTTCTTTCTTTCTTTTTCTTTCTTTCTTCTTCTTTCTCTCTCTCTCCCTCCCTTCTTTCTTTCTCTTTCTTTCTTCTTTCTTTCTCTCTCTCTCTTTCTTTCTTTCTTTTCTTTTCTTTTCTTTTCTTTTCTTTTCTTTTCTTTTCTTTTCTTTTCTTTTCTTTTCTTTTTTTGGTTTTTGAGACAAAGTCTCACTTTGTCGCCCAGGCTGGAGTGCAGTGGCACCATCTCGGCTCACTACAACAGCTGCCTCCCGGGTTCAAGCAATTCTCGTGCCTCAGCCTCCCAAGTAGCTAGGATTATAGGCGCCAGCCACCACGCCCAGATAATTTTTGTATTTTTAATAGACACGGGGTTTTACCGTGTTGGCCAGGCTGGTCTCAAACTCCTGGCTTCAGGTGATCCACATGCCTCAGCCTCCCAAACTGCTGGGATTACAGGCATGAGCCACCACGACTGGCCTGGAATTTCTTTCTTTAAGCACATTTTAAAGAATGGATTACTTATTCCATTGAGGCAGTGGTCATCTTCAAAAGTTTTATTACAAATAATATATTTTTTAAAAATCTTGCAGATGACCGTACCTCTTAAAGAAAATAGCAGAAGCATTCAGGACTCAATTGCATTAGTCATTGAATTTATCCACTTGGCAGTATAATAGGGTGAAAGCTTGAGCAATAATCTGTATTTAGATTTAGCTGCTTAAAGGGGAGGAAAGGGAAGTAATATGTTTGAGAGCTTATTATATGCAAGGGACTCTAGCAGCTTCTTTTATTTATTCACTCACCATATTTTTTTTGAACATGCACTCTTTTCCAGGCACAGTTCTAGGTACTGGAATATATCAGTGAATGAACATACTATAATTTCCTACCATCATAGATTTTATATTCTAGGGGGAGAAAATAGACAATAAATATGAAAATAAAATAAATATATGATAAAAATCTTGAAGGCAATACATAATGTGCACAAAGTGAAAAGAATAGGAAAGTAGTAGTTCAAGGTAGGGGTTGGGTTAAAATTTAAATAAGGTGGACATGATAGGCTTCATCGAGAAGATGACATTTGGGCAAAGACTTCAATAAGATGAAGGAATTAACTATGTGGATAATTACAGAAAGAGGAATCCAAGCATAGGGAATACAGAATTTAGAGACCTTTGATCCTAAAGCATGTCAGAGGAACAAAAAAAGAAATCAGTGAGGAAATAGAGGCTTTCATAAAAATTAAATTGCATTTTCAACTTTCATAGCCAGTGACCTTAGGTGCTCATTCAAATCTATCTGCCTTCAAAATCCACCCTCTTCTTGATCCTGGCTATAGCATTTTATAAATTGGAGAAAAATCACCTCCATTTTCATCTTGCTAGAGATGATTCCTTTCTTTTATAACCATCAACTAGATGGAGTTTGATAAGATAATTGCCTAGCTACAATCTATGCTCACATCTACAGATGTAAATGTACATTTTCTTTGCTCTATCAGAATATTCATAAATACATTGAGACAGATTAAAAAAATGGAGCTTAAGAGGCATCATCTGCAATCACATTGCATCTGTGGTTTTACCTATTTGATATTTTTTCCCCCAGAACACTCATTAAATGGTAAATTGTAAGCATGACTTAAGCAGGTGTCTAGGAAACCAAACAACTGGCCTGAAAGTCAGCTTCACTGAACCCACTGGAAAGCCTGACCAGCTGTTTTGGCATTGTGGAGACTAGCCTAAATTATCTGCTTTAAGGCCAATCTTCTTGTGACCATCTCAGACCAATCTTCTTGTGACCATCTCAGCCCAGGCCATTTATTTGAAGTGATGTATTTCATGATTGCCCCCAATGAATAAGGGTTTATGCTTTTCATAGAAACCGATTGCAATGACTTTAACTAGAAACTAGTAACATCTCAGCTTTCTTGTTCAGAAGTGTTCAAATGACACACATTTCCCAACATAATTAAAAATATACTGGTTGACCATCCTTGCTTGAGCAGAATTTTTATTGCAAACTGGAGAGCTCCACATCCCCATAGAAAACCCACCATTTAAATATCTTTGATCTTTTTAACCATTAGTCAAAATTCTTTTTTCCTCTCAAGGACTCCAGAATGCAATCTCTCCTAAAGAACATCCCTGGAATTAGGAATGTATTAAATTGAGATTGTTAGCATCCCTTGCTGTGAGAATAAAGCTGAAAAGCATCTAGTTATGATATGCATCTTATATAACAGGTACAATGGATTTTTTAAAATGAGATTCATTTTATGCACAAAGTAAAATTTTTGGAGTCTCTTACAAAATAGGCACTGTGTACTTTGAAATTGCATTATGTAACCTATGGAACAAATATAAGACATATTACATTTCCAAAGCACCTTTTCCCCAGGAGTTTCAAATGTGCTAATGATATGAACTCATTAATCTTCCTACTCACCTTTTAGTAGTTAAGGGTCAGATGTTATTTTCCTGATTTCACAGACAAGGACTCAGCCTCAACCTCTGGATGTTCAATGAGACAGAGGTGTCTAGAAATTAAAGCTCTACATCACACATACTGCTTTCTCTGGGTTTAAGCAGCTATCTGTCTCCTTCATCTTCCAACATTATAACTTTTTTTGTCTTTTGAAAAGCATGCAAATTCACACACATACATATACACTTTTTTCCATGACTATAAAATATGAATTTGCAGTGGAGGTTACTCTTGTGCTAAAACAAAATTGTTTTGCAAAAATGAATGGAAGTCATTTTTACTCTCAGTTTTTCAAAAAAAAAATGATAACTTGATAATATCTAATGATGGTCATAGTTTTGGATAATGGGCACACTGATGCATTATGGATGAGGAAATGAATCACTACAAAATTTTTGGAAGGTTAACTGGAAATTCATATTAAAATAAATATATTTCCATGTTTTTGCTTTGGGGATATATTCTATTCTACACAGAGGAAAGCATCAGTATGTAGCATCCATATATACAAACATGTTAATTTCAGCATTATTATTATTATTATTATTATTATTATTTGAGATGGAGTCTCACACTGTCACCCAGGCTGGAGTGCAATGGCGTGATATTGGCTCAATGCAACCTCCGCCTCCTCGGTTCAAGCGATTCTCCTGCCTCAGCCTCCCGAGTAGCTGGGATTACAGGTGCCTGCCACTATGCCCGGCTAATTTTTTGTATTTTTAGTAGAGATGGGGTTTCACTATGTTTGCCAGGCTGGTCTCGAACTCCTGACCTCGTGATCCACCCACCTAGGAGTCCCAAAGTGCTGGGATTACTGGAGTGAGCCACTGTGCCCGGCCTCAGCATTATTTATAATTCCCGTGGGCAAACAAACAAACCAAAAACACCTAGGAAAAATGTAAATGATCATCAATGATTACATGAATGAATAATTTCTAGTTTATTCATTCTATGCAGACAATTACGTAACCCTTAAAGGAACAAATTCCTTCTGTAAATATTTACCTGGAGGGATAGCCACGTAAAGTAAATTCAGGGTTCAAATGGAAGATAATATGAAGCTGAGTAGAAGAGCAGGTGCCAGGGAGATTTGGGACTTTATTTTGGTCAGCTTCTCCGTGTGAGTATGTATTATTTTTGAAACTTGAAATAAATATCTAACAAAAAACATTTTTAAGGGATCAAGTAAACAAACAAACAAACAAAATAAACAGGAGACTCATACAGCATGATGAAGTAGAAGCATGGGGTTTTGGAGACAGCCAGATTGAGTTAATAACTGCAGTTTCCTCATGTAAAATAGAAATAATACCTACCTCTACACAAAGCACAAGGCACACTTGTGCTTGGCAGTCAGTAGGCAGAAACCAAATGTCGCTGGTGTTACTGGAGGAAGAAAGTTTTCCAGGTGGGAGTAGAAAGAAACAGGGGATATAGGATGGGCAGGATGGGAAGCAGATTTTCCTTAAAATCTCCAGATCAATTCACAGAATTAGAAATTTGGAACTGTGGTACCAGAATGGAGCATGCTGAGACATACTTATGCACAATATTTGAACCACTGTTCTTCTCTCAGTAACCCTAGAATTTCAGGCTAGCAGCTGAGAGAAACTGATGGACTCTACTTCCAAAGGTTCCGTTATTCATCAGCTCTGAGAACCAAGTGCAAACTGTTGATGTCTCTGAAATTCAAGACTCTCATTGAAAGATTTTTCAGTTTGTGACTTGGAAAGGAGGGCCAATTGTGATGCTTCTAGGGTTACAATGCAAATCAGAAAGCAGAGAAGAAAGAGAGTGGGGAATAACAGAAATGTTTCAATTGGGCAAATATCCCTGTCAAGCATCAGGTAGGTAAATTACTGCTGGAAGGAATTCATTCTAACCCAGCTGTGCTCTGTCTTGATGGCTTATGGTTTTATTCTCAAAAGCAATTAACCTCAAGATAAAACACAGGGCAGAGGTAAAACCAAAGTTGTGCATAAAAAATGCACTGGTGATCTCAACTCAGAACTAGAAGGAACCGATCTGGAACGATCAGCCAATCAGGCTCAGGACTACTAGGAGGCAACCCAAGAATTGCCAGCAACTACCAGGAGAAAGAAGAGAGAAGAAAGGACCCTCCCCTAGAGGCTTCAGAGACAGGAAGACACTGCCAAAACTTGATCAAATGTCTAGCCTCCAGAATTGTAAAAGAATACATTGCTGTTGTTATAAGCCACCCAGTGTGTGGGGTTTTGTTAGGGCAGCTTTAAGAAATTAATACACATTTTAATCTAGGAGTTAAAAAAACAAATCTAGCTGTGACCTCCTTCTTTCAGAGGTAAACTTTAGGACTTAAAATTGGAGAGCCTGGTTATTGGTTAAGAAAATAAAGTTTTCTCTATCTTATTATAGACAGGACATGCATGTCATTATTCTAAAACTTACTGCACAGAGGAGGTGGGAGAATAGATGATATCATATATTTATATCCCTGTCTTATCGGTGCTAGTTTGTCAAGCTCTGGCAGGGAATTTTTTCAATTCATTAACTTACATATTTATATATTTAAATATTAAAGATCACAAGATAAACTTGCAGCAAGAATCTGGTAATTCTCCCTAATTGAATCTGGTGTCCTGTACAGTTCTATTGGCCTTCTTCTGGGTGAGCCATGGAGGTTTCCTGTCTGAGGCAGTTCTGTGGCAGAATGCATCTGGCTCATTTTAAAGTTCTCACCATTATTTGCAGATAGCTTTTTGTCTTTCTTTCAGCACACACTCAAAGTACTTTTTGTAAATAGTCTTGCAGATATTTTGCTTTCCTTCAACATATTCTGCAAAATACTGCATCTTGTTCTACTTGCTTATCTAGATGATAGCATTTTAATCTTTTCTTAAACTTGATCCTCACAGGAGCATAAATACCGTGTTTTCTTTGCCTAATGCATTATTTCTCACTATTTGCAGTTAGATTCTGTCTTTGGTAGACAGAATGCATCAAGCGACATCATGGTACTTCCTGTGTAACACATTAAATACTCTTTAGCATCCTCAGCTCAATTCATGTCTATTATACCTGTAGCAAAAGACAATCTGGATTTAGTTAACCCATCTGCCATCTTCCACTGTAGCAAATAAATAGAAAAACTGTTTATTTTCATGAAATTATCTCATATTTTGAATGACCCTTATATTTCACATGGAGGCTGTTATTTCTGCATAATTTGTTGATGTGATTAGTGCTTTGAATTCCTTTAGTTTATCATGAAATAATGTTTCAGTTAAAGTGCAAACTATTATTTATTCCAATAGAAACACCTGCAGACACAAGCTAACATGCGATCCATGAATACGGCAGTGAAATGTAACAAATTCCTGGTATCAACAGGGTTATCAGTCACCCTAATTCATAGGCGAAAATGCATTATTATTTACATTCTAAACCTGGAAAAATTTTCATTAGCAAATTTCTGTTTTTCCACTTATTGTATAGAATTCTGTCAGCATGCCCTTTTGCCAAATAAAATGGAACTATTATTACAAATTACTTGAGGTAAAAAAGATTTGCTCTTTGGGAGAAACAGCATTTATGCTTTTAAAAAGCAGAGCTATTTAGTAAAACTGATTTGTTTAACATCTGTTTGTGTAGAATTTATAACATAACCATAAGGTCTAAATATTTAAAGCAATATTGGACAAAAAAGTGGTCAGGGACCAGAATTAATTAGGGAAGACTTACTTAAACAGAACTGAACCCAGGTTTGACGGAAGTAATAAAGTAGATTGGCAGGGAGGAAAGACATCTAGGAAAAAGGAGACCAGAAGTTTTAGCTTAACTCTAATACATTAATAAGTCTGCTCTCTGGTAACTCACATAACCTATCTGGGCCCCTGCTTCCCATTGAAAAAATACATTGGCTGGAGTTCATGACTCCCACAGTTTAAATCTGTTAATATTCTATAAAGAATGGTAGAAAGACAAAAGTGGCAAAAAATGATGTTATTGGAGCAGAATTTATTATCCATTCTAAGTTACTTTCTTGAAGACAGAGAGAAAGGTACACATTTTTGTTGGTAGGGTTTGAATATTTATTTAATAATATTATAGCTATTTTATTGCATCAACTTAGCTAAGCTTTTTTATAATTTCCCCTTCTCTGTGGTTCTGGGTAAGGGTCAGCCACAAGATAAATTAGTGGGAGATTTGGAAGGAGGAAGGCAGAAGTGAAGCAGCTGTCATTGGAACCGGAAGGTCTATGTAGGGCACCAGGTGCTGCTGCTGATTTGCTGACCACTGATTGTCTTGGGGTAGGGGCAGTCTCTGCTGACTGATCTTCTATAGCATCTCTGAGTCCCAAGCCACTATGTGGAAAAGGTAAAGAAGACACATTTTTCAAATAAAAGCACAGGATGCCCAAGAAAATAGAATTTAAGATAAACAAATAATTTTTTAGTGTGTGTCTAGGCAATATTTGGGACATAATTATACTAAAATTAGTTGTTGTTTATCTTAAATTGAAATTAAATTAGGTGTGCTTGTCTGGCAATTCCCAAAGGTGTCAACTTCTGTGGATCCACCACACTCATTGTTGAAACTCAGGTCAGCGAGAACTGAGTATAGATTTCAGTTTGCTTTTGTAGGTCCTATTAGTCTTCACTCTTTCCCACTTCATATTTACATTGGCTTCCTGCTAGCTCTGCTAACCTACAGTGACTTCCAGAAACAGGAATAAGCACTTTCCATATACTTGTTCACAAGCTCTCCAACTAGACTGTGATCCTCGGCATCAAGGCTAAAAATCAGAATTTGTGGATCTCTCTTTTCCTAGCACGTATGTTAGTTTCCCAGGGCTGCTATAATAAACTACCACAAACTGGGTGACTTAAAACAACAGTCCTGGAGCCTAGAAGTCTGAAATCAAGGTGCTGGCCGGGCTGTGCTCCATCAGAAGGCTTTAGGAAAGAATTTTTCTTTACCATTCTAGCTTCCTTGGCTTGTAGCTCTGTAACTCCAATCTCTGTGTCTTCTCATGGCCTTCTCCTTTATACCTCTGCCTTTTCCTGTCTGTCTCTTGTAAGGTAACTAGTTATTATGTTTAGGGCCTACTTTTGTAATCCAGGATGATCTCACCTCAAAATAATGAATTATATCTGTAAAATTCCATTTTGCAAATAAAATCACATTCACAGGTTTCAGGGGTTAAAACATGGACGTATCTTTTGGGGATCACCATTCAATCCACTACAGCATCTAACATAAGTTTAGTCCTCAATAAATGTATGTTGATTTCATGCTTGAAATTACACTTTCTCTCCCTTTGCTGAAAACTTGCTGCCATTTTGGAAGGAGCTTTTAACTGGAAACTTAGTTTCTATATGAATTTGCAAGTCAGGATTATCAGGTTTTTTTGTTTTGTTTTATTTTTGAGACAGGGTCTCACTCTGTTGCCCAGGCTGGAGTGCAGTGGTGCCATCTCAGCTCATTGGAACTCTGCCTCTTGGGCTCAAGTGATAGCCTCAGCCTACTGAGTAGCTGGGACTATAGGCACGGACCACCATGCCTCACTAATTTTTGCATTTTTGTTGTTGTTGTTGTTGGTAGAGATGGGGTTTCACCATGTTGCCCAGGCTGGTCTCCAACTCCTGGGCTCAAGCAATCCTCCCACTTTGGCCTCTCAAAGTGCTGGGATCACAGCCATGAGCTGCCTTGCTTAGCCAAGGTTGTCAGTTTTGAAATTCTATTTTCTCACCTAAAAAAGGAAAAAGCTTTACATTTTTCATTTAGTTTTATGAGAAATACGACTACAAAATAATAAATAGTAGTGCTAGATCATCATTCTAACTTTTATAGCCTTCTCATATTTAATCCCAGTGACCCCCCTTACTGACAATGGAGTATTTCATAGATGCAGCTGTATTTTCTTCCCCACTCCCTTGCTACATATATACCTCATGTGAACTAAGAGGACCTCTGGAAAGATAATTGTGGCACTACAGTCAACACATGGGGGAGAGTAGGAGGGCCCAAATGTGAAGCAACTTAGGTTGTTTCCAAGAACAACTAAAATTGAAAATCTTTCACATTTTCAGTTGAATTTACTTAATGATCTGTTAAGTAGATGGGGAGGTAGGATCCCAATACTAGCTTGTCCTTTATCTCTCTTCTTTTCTTTTTTTTTTCCCATGGTAGGAGGAAATGCCCTGAATACCGTAAATCCAAAATTTGAAATTCTGACATGCATGAATTTTTAATACTGCTTTTTGTTATTCCCTCTATGTCTGTCAAACATGACAGTATATTGCATCTTTTAAAGAGTACTGAATGGAAGTGGCTCCTGTGTAGCATGCCAACTTCAAGATGGGAGATCTTGGTTTCTAGACTGGCTCTTCTACATTTTCACATAGGATGTTAAGTATGTCATTTAAATTGTTTGAGCTTTGATTTCCTCATCCGTTAATGGATAGTAATCAATACTTCATAGAGTTGGAATGAGAGATAACAAGATACCATATGTGTAGTAGGTGCCCACTGTGTGATGACTGAAATCTCCACCCTGTAGGTCACATATATGCAAAATTCTGCTATGCACAATTGCAATGAATGATGCAGTACCCAGTCACTGACACATTCCCATTGTTTGAACAGAAATGCTCAATGCTACTTTGGCAGAGATTTATCAGAAATTGTTTGCAAATTTGTTTTGAAGTACAAGTCTGTTACTATGGTTTTCTGGTAAAGTCTCCCACTTCTGCTTTCTCTAGGTATGCAAGAATCAGAGACTTCATTTTTCTTCTCCAAGCCCCCAAATGTACAAATCCATCTTCATGAGTTTACTGTACCAAAACCCGGGTGTTTTAACTAATCAATTATATTTTTAACCTCTCCTAACCTCAAAGGCATTGAGGGATTACTGGAAAGCACTGCTTCTTCTCTGGGAGTAAACACAATAGCACCATCTGAAGAGAATTGCCTGCACTAGAGTTCCTCGAGCTCTGGTTTCCCTGGGGTTCTCACGCAGGTCCTCTAAGGGCCCAGCCCTCTCCCTGATTTGATGAGTCTGCTGGAAGTCTTCTGCATTGCCCTCTGCATTGACTGACTTTCCAGACTTCTCATTCCATCCTGTTGTTCCTATTCCCACATCCTAATGCATGAGTCCATCAGATACAAAATGACTGCTCTCGCAGAATGGCAGGGGAAGTGGTTCATGATCATCATCCATATAATCCATGTCTCCTCACTTCACATCCTAGCACAGGACACTGCTGACCCCCAGGGGTGGGCTAATGAATGCTAGCTAACACTGTGCCCACTCTACATGTGGATGTGGCCTTAAACTCTTTAAATCTCCTTCTCTCTGAATTCACCCATGGCTTCTCATTGCTGTCCCTTGTCCTGAAAGGTAAAGAATGAGAAAGGTAAAGACACTTCCCGAGACACTACGGATGGGAGTGGTGAAGGGACAGGTGAAGGGAAGGCAATGCTAAATTATGGCTTTAACATTGCCTTTTAAGGCTGGCTCACAATTGGCTGAGGTCCCGAGGAAGAAGCTCCCAGTTTCTGATTTCTACATGCTGCATAGGTCCATCTAATCCTGCCGCTTCTTGGCTTCTTTTCTAAACCTCACTGGCTGTCTCGGCTTTGCTGCTGTGTCAGTCCATCAGAGCACAGTAATGACTGCTAATGGGCGAGGGCATGGAAGATGCCAACAACAACAAGAAAAAAATCACTTCCAATTGACAAAGCACCTTTTAAGGGCCTCAGCACATTCTGCATGAATCACCTCATTTATCTTTACCACATCCCTGGTGACAGGAGGGGAATTGCAATTATATAATTCTACTTTATAAAAGATTCAATCACAATGTAGAAGCTGTGACTTGCCCTAGACAGTACATTTCAGGAATAGAATCTACACATTCTGTTTATTATTTCTGTGTATTAGATATCTTCTTAGTGGAGACTGGAGATAGCAACTACCTCAGAGACATTGCTGTTTGGTTCTAGACCATCACAATAAAGTAAATATTGCAATGAAGCCAGCCACACATTTTTTTTGTTTTCCAGTGCATATAAAAGTTATGTTTACACTATACTACAGTCTAATAATGTGCAATAACATTATTTCTGAAAAACAATGTACGTACCTTAATTTAAAAATACTTTATTGCTAAAAAATGTTAATGATCATCTGAGCCTTCAGTGAGTCATAATGTTTTTGCTGGTGGAGGGTCTTGTCTCGACAGCAATAGCTGTTGACAAATCAGGGTGGGGGTTGTTGAAGGTTGGGGTGGCTGTGGCAATTTCTTAAAATAAGACAACAATGAAGTTTGCCATATCATCTGGCTCTTCCTTTCATTAAATACTTTTCTGTAGCATGTGATGCTATTTGATTGCATTTGACCCATAGTAGAATGTCTTTCAAATTGAAGTCTATCCTCTCAAACCCTGCTGCTGCTTTATCAACTAAGTTTATGTAATATTCTAAATCATTCATTATCATTTCAACAATGTTCATGGCATCTTCACCAGGAATAAATTCTATCTCAATAAATCACTTTCTTTGCTCATCCATAAGAAGCAACTCCACATCTGTTAAAGTTTAATTATGAGATAGCAGCAATTCAGTCGCTTCTCCAGATTCCACTTCTAATTCTAGTTCTTTTGCTATTTCTGCCACATCTACAGTTATTCCTTCACTGAAGTCTTCAATCCCTCAAAGTCATTCATGAGCGTTCAAATCAATTTCTTAAAAGCTCCTGTTAATGTTGATATTTTGACCTCTTTCCATGAATTATGAATGTTCTTAATAGCATCTAGAATGATGACTCTTTTCCAGAAGGTTTTCAACTTACTTTGCTCAGATCCATCAAAGGAGTCACTATCTATGGCAGCTATATGCTTATAAAATGTACTTCTTAAATAATAAGACTTGAAATTCAAAATTACTCCTTGATCCATGGGCTGCAGAATGGACGTTGTGTTAGCAGGCATGAAAACAACATTAATCTCCTTGTACATCTCCATCAGAGCTCATGGGTGACCAGGTGCATTGTCAATAAGCAGTAATATTTTGAAAGTAATCTTTTTTCTAAGAAGCAGGTCTCAACAGTGTGCTAAAAATATTCTGTAAGCCATACTGCAAACAGATGTGCTTTCATCCAGACTTTGTGTTTCCATTTATAGACCACAGGCAGAGAAGATCTTGCATAATTCTGAAGGGCCCTAGGATTTTGGGAATGGTAAATAAGCATTGACTGAAAGTCACCAGCTGTGTTAGTTCCTGGTAAGAGAGCCAGTCTCTCCTTTGCAGCTTTGAAGGTAGGCATTGTAGTTCCCGGCAAGAAAGTCAGCCTCTCCTTTGCAGCTTTGAAGCTAGGCATTGACTTTTCCCCAGCTAGGAAAGTTGAAGATAATTTCTTCCAATATAAGGCTGTTTTCTCTACATTGAAAATCCATCAATATTATTGATGAATATTTAACAAATATTTATTGATTGCTCCCATTACAAGCAGCTGCATTAGAATGTTCAAACCAATCATTAGAGAGAGGAAATATTTTGGTGCCCAAAGGATGCAGTAAGTAGGAGTACTCCTTTGGTCAGAAAAGCACTTAGAATAATTCTCATACTTCTAGATCATTATTTGTGTGCTCCAACATCTACAAATGAATTTCACAAACCCTGCCACCAAATTATATGCAGACATGAATATGGGAAGAGTGTTTACAACTTTATTTTAGATTCTTCCATGTTTCTATAATTTCCAAAGGTTAGGAACTGCATTCTTAGGATGTTGTCTTTTAAATGTTATTCTTATCTGGCCATGTTGGCTGTTATTTATGAACCAAAGCTTTTCAAGAAGTAGTGGTAAGTAGCTTGGGGGTGAGGTAGAGATTTGGGTCACTAGATGCAGATACTGACAATAGCAAGAAGAATATGGCATGGCATGATAGCATGGGAGAAGAAGAAGAAATCTAAAAAGCAGACCTAAAAACTTTAAAACACTCTAGTCTGGCACATTTCAGATAGGGGTAAGTGGCCTTCTATACCTCAATAGCTCATCACGATGTTACTGTCTGCCAGCACTGAAGAGTCATATATGTTCACAACTATGGCAGAATTTCATCAAGAAAACATGAGATTCTATTTTATATCCTCTTTGGATTGCACATTTTGGAAACAGTTTACCCCAAAATAGTAATAACAATAATAGTTGTGATGCTTAAAGGGGAAAATACCAACAGTCTGGAGTGTTTCTATACTTTTAGCAACACATTTTATTCTAAACCAAACCCTTGGGACAATTGGGATGCCTGAATTCAAGTTTGGTGAGCTGAATAGTTTACTGTGGTTAATAATATAGGTAAAAGTAAAAGTTCAGGAATTTTCTTCATTTTTTTCTATGTTTCAATGATAGCAACACATTGAACAGCTCATGTTTGGTGTTCTTGTTTGAAAATCATGGACTCAGCTTATCATCTTCAAACACATTTGCAATTTGCTTGTTAGCTATGATACCCTCTATTATATGCTTTTCCCTCCTCTTCCCAATTGAGTTATTGCAATGTGATTATAGCCACATGGTCTTTTTCAGCATGGCATAATTTGGTTCTTTATCATCAGAGTCAAATTGTGTTTTGTTATGAGAGGAAGGACATAAGAGGTAGGTGACCTAAGACCGGAAAACGAGGCAGGTTGGTTTCAAGGTTAGCTCAGTTTTCTTGTTCCTTAAATACAGGCATATTCATTTTATTGTGCTTCACTTTACTGTGCTTCACAGATACTGTATTTTTACAAATTGAGGGTTTGTGGCAACCCTGAATCAAGCAAGTCTATCAGCCTTATTTTTCCAATAGCATGTGCTCATGTTGTGTCTTTGTGTCACATTTCTGTAATCCTATCAATATTTCAAATGTTTTCATTATTATAATATGTTTTATGGTGGTCTGTGATCAATGATCTTGGATGTTACTATCATGTTTTGGGGTGCCACAAACTGTGCCCATATATGATGGAGAATTTAATTGATATATGTTGTATGTGTTCTGACAGCTCCACTGATCAGCCATTCCCCTGTCTCTCTCCCTCTTCTCCAGCCTCCCTATTCCCTGATACACAACAGTATTGATATTAAGCTAAATAATAATGTTACAATGGCCTCTCAGTGTTCAAATGAAAGGAAGGGTCACAAATCAACAACTAGAAATGATTAAGTTTAGTGAGAAAGTCATGTTGAAGCCAAGTTAGGTTGAAAGCTAGATCTTTTGTGCCAAACAGCCAAGTTGTGAAAGCAAAGGAAAAATGTTTGAAGGAGATTAAAAATGCTACTCCAGTGGACACGTGACTCAGAAAAAAGCAAGACAGACTCATTGCTGATATGGAGAAAGTTTTAGTACATAGAGGATTAAACCAACCCCGGTATTTCCTTAAGCCCAAGCCTAATCTAGAGCAAAGCTCTAACTCTCTTTAATTTGTGAAGGCTTCAATCAGGAAGCTGCAAAAGAAAAGTTTGAAGGTAGCAGAGTTTTGTTCATGAGGTTAAAGGAAAGAACCCATCTCTATAACATAAAAGTGCAAGGTGAAGCAGCAAGTGTTGATATAGAAGCTGCAGCAAATTGTCTAGATCTACCTAAGAGAACTGTTGAAGGTAGCAACACTAAACAATAATATTACTTGGGATTAGAAAAAAACTTCTGAGATTTTATAAACACAGTAAAAGAATTGTAAATGTCTGAATCTACACTATGGAATGAGAAAAATACACAATCAACTGAATCATGGAACCTATATACTTTATAAATGTAGCATGATTCTTTAATTGGCTTTTGATTCTATTTGAAGCTAAAGTCATTTGTGGCTTGCTCTGGAGTTCCTTCTTCATCTCTCACCCAGATTTGGCTTTGTCTGCCCTTCTACTTTTGGAACAGCCACTTCCTTTAACCAGGCCCAGATTGCTTCCACCAGGAATGCTGAACCTGCAATTGTTTGAAGGTAAGAATTATTATAATTTTGTAGTCTTTGTTATCTGCATTTCCAAGATCTAGAAAATGTCCAGATTTGCTGCATGCCAAAATTTAAGGTCTGCTACCTTATAATGTACTTTCTTCGAACTGCAAAATGACATTATCCCGGGAATGGTACCATTCAACTTGTGTGGCACTGGATATTCTCTGTTTCCATGAGCACCTTGAAAGTTTTGGTTTTTGGTGGGAGAACAGCTTTCTGGATGAATGCAACCTAAAAGTCTTCTCTTTGATGGGAAGAAGTTATAGTTCACATTTCTTCTCTGGCTGTGACCATTTATGCCCACTTTTGTGAAGACTATTTAGGCAGTCAGTGTAAGATAGGTTATGCTGCAGTAATTAATATCTCTCAATCTTCAAAGACTTAAGACCACAAAGGTATTTCTTACTCGTGCTATATGTCCAATGAACAGGAGCAGAAGTACTCCATTTATGGTAGCCATTGAAGTCTCAAGACTTATGAAAGCCCGATCTTCACATATCTTTTCTTGATATTTTCATAGAACTCTCACAATTCACTGGCTAAAGCAAGTCACGTGATTGCGCTCAAATTCAAAGAGGGTGGGTGTTGCAGTTCTACCACATTCTAGGAAGTAAGAGGGCTAGAAGATTTGTGAATAGTCTTAAAGACCGACACAGCTTTATATACAGATTTTCTGATTCTAATTTCAGTTACTCATAGATTTTTAATATTTTGGGTTATTTTCTAAATATGAGAGGTTGCTGGATAATTGGTTTTTTGATAATTGTGCTTTGCTCAAGAATGTCCTGGAGACATATCATCTTTGTTAAAAGATGTCCTTTAAACGTATATCAACTGGGCACTATAACTACTTAGGATCTAACTTCAGTTGACAATATGTCACCTCCTATGAATGAACTTTCCCCTTCAACTTTCTCCACACGAAAAAAGAGATCAGTGGTGGCTCCCTTTCTTTCCCCAGCCTGCCTAACAACTTGACACATTGAAGATTTTATTGATTGCTTTGTAGAGGTTTTCTAATCTTGTAAGTTGCATCTTTTTAAAGGAATCCAGTTATTTGTGGAAACAATTGGAGACTTGGGAGACTTTTCTAATTATAAGATTAAATGAACAATTTCAAGAGACTATGTGGAGGCTGATCAAGGGGCAGGAGGAGGTGATGGCCATATCCAACATGGGTGTGGGCAGTAAAGGTGTGCATTGCCTGAAGAGCATGTAAAAACAATGGTAAACCCACTGAAATGCTGTCAAGTTTTTATTTTCATGGCACACTGACAAATCGAAAAAATGTCAGTGATGAAATGCTCCTCTGGGCCGGAGCCCCCCCATCACCTCCTCCACATGTCACTGACTTAACTATCAACCTCAGTAACCTTAGTGCTTAAAATCTTTTGTTTTAAGAGGAAAAAAATCTGTCACACAATTGTACACAGGATTAATCGCATACTCATGTCACAAAATGTGACACAATCAGGAATCACATTTCTAGTTTAACAAAGGCTTGAACTCACACATGCCCAAGCCCATGGAAAGAGATTAAAATGGAAGGTGAATCCTAGCATAGTATCAAAACCCAATAGGGCTATACCAGAAAACAGAAGATTTAAAGACTCAAGCCAACAGAGATGAACTCTGGAGAAGTTGTCTAACTTTTACCTTCTTATATCTATCTTTTCTTCTTTTTCCTTGAACATATTAAGCAGTTTTAAAAAGTCCCAGTTTGCTAACTCCAATAGCTAGATCATCTGTCTGTCTGCTTTTACTGTCTTTTGCTTCCTCTTTATTAATGGCCATATGGTTTTACTTCTAGGAATATCCGGTAGTTTTAGTTTCTCTCTGCATGTTGTGTTTAAACAAATATCGGAGGCCCTAGATAATCTTATCTTCCACCTGAAAAGATCCTCTCTTTCTTCTGAGAGTCATTTAAGGTGAGGAGGAGAAAGGATTAACTCCTCAATTCTATCAGAGACTGAGTGTGATCCCAGCTGGGCTGTAGTTTGATTAAGACTCAGCCAACTTCCAATCCACCCTGTTCTTAGGGCATGGCCCTCCTGAACTTCTGCATGAAAGTCTGACAGGTCTTTGTCTTCTCAGTCCTGAAAGGCTATAGAAGCTTTGTTCATGCCCTTCAGAGATTATTTTGCTTAGCTCCTGCCCCACATGGCTTTAAATATTTGTTAAATGTCTTGAAGGGAAGACTGACCGTATATTTTCTAAGCACGACTGACTTTGGGAGTTGCATTCCGCTTTTCAGAAGTTTGTGTCCTGGCCTCCCATCTTTTCTTGCAACCTCAGGATTCAGCAAATGTCCCATGGAGAAAACTGGAAGTGCCCTAGAGCTTCCATTGCTTCACCCTAGCCCAGCACTAAAAGCTTTGCTGGTTTTTCTATCCCCACAGCAGAGGTTCTCTGGCTGGGCCATATTTGATCATCAGCCTAACGACACAATAGGCAAAACCTTCTGGGAAACACTTGATAATCAGCTTTCCTCAAAAAGGTTCTCCTCTCTCTGGAATTTTAATTCATTTAGTCTTTGCTGCTGCCACATCATTCAATTACTTTCAAAATGTTATATTTATAATGTATCCAGCTTTTTCTGGCTGTTGCAGCAGGACCATTGACCTGCCTATTCTAATAGCAAGATCGAATCTAAGTACAGTATGTTATAAAGCAAAAGTAGGTGTGACTTTTGCTCTGAAAGCATCAGTGACAGGAATCATATTTGCTAGTATCCAGCTATTAGTCCTTGCTTCCTAAAGATCTTAGAAAATAAATTGTGCCTGTGTCCACATTTATCTAAAATATTATTTAACTATTTTCAATAGGAATCCTTAATCACTAAAATATTTTTTAAATTCTTGGAAATTGAATAAATAACAATATACTTAATTAGAGTAAATAAAAAGATGTTCAATTGTCTGAACAAATATACTTTGACAAACAAAACCTATATAGAAGAAAATAAATGTAGCCTTCAGTTGAAGTTACTGAGTTAAGGAGCACTCTCAGGCAGAATCCATTACTCTTTTAAAGACTGATGAAGTTTTATGAATTTTAGAGTCACAAAGAAAATGGCTCAGTGCTCTCCCACCCAGAAGTATCTTACCTGAAAAGCAATTATGGAACATTCCAGGCAGAGAGCAGAGGCAAAACTGAAAATGACATAACAGGCCCAGTAGACGATGAACAAATTCCTCAAGGAACTGGAGGAAGTGGAAAAGAAAGTTGTGATTTTAAAAATAATAATTTTAGGTTTTTTTTTTTTTTACTATACTTTAAGTTTTAGGGTACATGTGCACAATGTGCAGGTTTGTTACATATATATACACGTGCCATGTTGGTGTGCTGCACCCATTAACTATTTGTTTACCATTAGGTGTATCTCCTAATGCTATCCCTCCCCCCTCCCCCTCCCCCTACCCTACAACAGGCCCCAGTGTCTGATGTTCCCCTTTCTGTGTCCATGTGTTCTCATTGTTCAATTCCCACCTATGAGTGAGAACATGCTGTGTTTGGTTTTTTGTCCGTGTGATAGTTTGCTGAGAATGATGGTTTCCAGCTTCATCCATGTCACTACAAAGGACATGAACTCATCCTTTTTTATGGCTGCATAGTATTCCATGGTGTATATGTGCCACATTTTCTTAATCCAGTCTATCATTGTTGGACATTTGGCTTGGTTCCAAGTCTTTGCTATTGTGAATAGTGCCGCAATAAACATACATGTGCATGTGTCTTTATAGCAGCATGATTTACAATCCTTTGGGTATATACCCAGTAATGGGATGGCTGGGGTCAAATGGTATTTCTAGTTCTAGATCCCTGAGGAGTCACCACACTGTCTTCCACAATGGTAGAACTAGTTTACAGTCCCACCAACAGTGTAAAAGTGTTCCTATTTCTCCACATCCTCTCCAGCACCTGTTGTTTCCTGACTTTTTAATGATCGCCATTCTAACTGGTGTGAGATGGTATCTCATTGTGATTTTGATTTGCATTTCTCTGATGGCCAGTGATGATGAGCATTTTTTCATGTGTCTTTTGGCTGCATAAATGTCTTCTTTTGAGAAGTGTCTGTTCATATCATTTGCCCACTTGTTGATGGGGTTGTTTGTTTTTTCTTGTAAATTTGTTTGAGTTCATTGTAGATTCTGGATATTAGCCCTTTGTCAGATGAGTAGATTGCAAAAATTTTCTCCCATTCTGTAGGTTGCCTGTTCACTCTGATGGTAGTTTCTTTTGCTGTGCAGAAGCTCTTTAGTTTAATTAGATCCCATTTGTCAATTTTGGCTTTTGTTGCCATTGCTTTTGGTGTTTTAGACGTGAAGTCCTTGCCCATGCCTATGTCCTGAATGGTATTGCCTAGGTTTTCTTCTAGGGTTTTTGTGGTTTTAGGTCTAACATTTAAGTCTTTAATCCATCTTGAATTAATTTTTGTATAAGGTGTAAGGAAGGGATCCAGTTTCAGCTTTCTACATATGGCTAGTCAGTTTTCCCATCACCATTTATTAAATAGGGAATCCTTTCCCCATTTCTTGTTTTTCTCAGGTTTGTCAAAGATCAGATAGTTGTAGATATGTGGCATTATTTCTGAGACGGGGTTTCACCATGTTGGCCAGGCTGGTCTCAAACTTCTGACCTCAAGTGATCTGCTCACCTCCGCCTCCCAAAGTGCTGGGTTTACAGGCGTGAGCCACCGCTCCCAAAATTTTAGATTCCTAATAGGACTTATGCAGAGAATTGGTGGTGATATGAAAGTGATTGGGCCACTCCCTAGAAGAATAGCAGAATATGTGGAAGGCAGAGCTAATCAGCATGGGTATTTTGATAAGCATATTCAGTATCTCAATAGCTTGAATTTCTTTTAAACTTGGTAGTTAATATATTTTAAATTGTCAAATATCACTAAAAATTTTGAGATTTTATGCATATTAAAATGCATCTTACAGAGAATAAGACCTATTATTTTAGTTAATATAGAGACTAATCTTATTAATTTTGCAGATGACCAATAGGTAAAATAGAGCAAACTATAAAATTTCTATAAAAAATGAGCCACAGTTCCACTGGTTTATTTCAATTTTATTTGAGTTTTTTAATCTTCTTAACATGATGTCACACTTTTAATCTACCATACAAAAATTTTAATTACTTGTTGTTTAGTTAATAGAAAACACCTGTTTTATTATATCTAATTAGTGCTGCCAACTTAGAGGGCCAATGTATTCAGTAAATAACAACACCAACCAAAAAGTAATGAGCAATTCTTCCCTCACTAGAGTTTAATGAAAGATCAGTCAAATTAGTCTGAATATTTTCTTCTTTTATTTTAACCAACTTTTTGATATATTCAAATTTATAGTAACAGATGACCCTATTAAGAAGCCACAAATAAAGGTGAAAACAATAACCAAGGTAAATTCCTGGTGGAAAAGAGATGATGATTCACTAATTTCACCTTGAAAAGAAAGTGAAATGAATTAACTGTTTTGTTCATGTAACTGGAAAAACATTTACTTCTTGAGCATTCGCCTCTATAAATATGACAAAGAGGTTTATAAAAAAGATTCTTTGACTGACTGCATCATGTATGAAACATATTTTCATCTCTCCCCACAGGATAATGGCCACACAATCTAGAATTGCAAAAAGTGATAAAGCAAAGTAGATATGTGATTAAGAATCAACAGCTTCATGATTTATTCTCAGCATAATAGTGGAGAATAGAAGTTCTGATCATTTGTTTAATAAGTGCAGAACTTATCACCCAAAATACATCATTGTGTAGGGCAATACACTCTGAAGTGGAGTCTGTATGTGACCAAATGGGGCTGCATTTGGGGCAGGGGGAAGAGAACAGTCCGGGTGATTATGATATATCCCAAACAGTAACCCCCAGTTAAGAACCACTGTTCCAGGATATGTTTGTTGTCATTTTAATATTTAAGGATTTTTTTTTTTAAATCTACTAGCCTATTATTTCCAACCCCAATTGCTGGTGAAATCTATATTTTTCTATATTCCATATATCTCAAAAAATTCAAAATTCTTTACTTTCTTCATAAGCAGTCTTTCTTCTCTTCCACTTCATTGAAAGATCCAGAGTGAACGATGAGATAAATGGACTGATTGTCTGTGCTGGTGGGTGAGGGTGGAGAGGGTAGCTTGGGGAATGATTTGTAGTTAGTTGTGCAATAGAAGACTTTTGGCCATGCCTGGTTCACTGCCTAATCTTCAGGGCCTTGGGCAATGTTGGGCATATAAAAGTCACTCAATAATTATTTATTGGATAAATGAATGAACCTTCAGATTCTAAGGCAGGGAAAACATTACTTTCTGAAATAGAATGCATAGATTCAACATAAACTAACTATATTCTCTATTTCAGGCTCTTTTCCTTGTCTGTGTGCTTCCCATGAGAATTATAAATTACAAACGTAGTTTTTGAGACAATTTTGGCAGAGCTCACCGATAAACCTAGGAAAATCTCCTGAAATGTAATCAGAGACTCCCATTCTGAAATATAACCGATAGAAGCTGAAAACGATCTGATTGTTTTATGTAAATGCAAATTGTGTGACACTGGCACTTTGTTATGATTGGTAAAGAATTCTGGACATGCTTGTATTCATTCCCAGGATACTGAGAGCCTATTCTGTGCCTGGCTATGCAAAGCATGGTATTACAAACATGTATGATATAGATCAAGCCCCCACCTCATGGAGCTTAGTCTGGTGAGGGAAATGAACATTAAGCAAATAATCACAAAGTAAATACACAATTTCAAATTGTAAAAAATGCTACAAAAGAAAAAAATTACTTAACAGAGGAAATCATAATGTCAGAAAGGCAAAGGATCATGGAACCTTTGAAACTGATGGGGGTCATTGTGATTGGAGGATGTGGACCCAGGAGAAGAGAGGAAAGAGATGCAAAAGGAGAACTCGGTAGCCAACGTCCTGTCAAAACGAGGGTTCAATAGATATGGAAACAGCATTAGGTGCAAGGCCATGGCACCCCCAGCCACTGACCCTGAGATTGATTGGGTACTTCTTCCTGAGAGAAACTCAAAGGAGATACAAGAATGAAAACAAATTTAGGGAAGGAACACTTTAGTAATTAACAAGACACAGTCAGGGAACTATTTTGCTCAGGGAAATTAAATTCTGCTGACTTAGAACTTAAGCAGATGAAAAAGACTCTCTGTGTATGTTTACCCTTAAAGGACAAGTTTTTAATTTTGCAGATTTTGCCAATGCAATAAAAGAAAAAAAAATACAGTAAAACCAGAGAGAAGAAAACAGAAATGGAGTAGAGAACATTAATCTACTTTGAGGAGGATGACATCCAAGCGTGGGAAGGGTTCTAATCTGCTTCTTTAAAAATCAGCCTTCTTCCTTTATCCCCATATGTTTCTGTGAACTCAATCTGCAAGCAGCCAGGAAAGAAGAGATCAAATGTATGAGCGGGGCAAGGGAAGTACCTGTTTTCATGTGTATTACCCCATTTGTATGATTTGCTCCACAGTTTTGAGAACGTCTTAAAATATCTGAAAAATGCATTGAATAGTAATTGTGAGAAGACACAGTAGGTGAATTGGACAATTATTCTCATGATTAGCAACAAATACTAAGAAGGAGGAAAACAATTATCTAGACATGAAGCTGTCCCCTGTAGAATAATTTACAATGTCCTTCTGCACATTTTGTCACTTCTGTTTGTTTGAGTCTATAATGTGCTTATGAAAGTGTTGTCTGTCTTGGCACACACATCAGAGGAGTCCAGGTAGAACCTAGAAATGTAGTTACCCAAATTAGGTGATGGTCAGCTTAAAAATCACTTTAAATGGCATGCTTATACAGTGACTAAGTTGATGTTTGTGTGTGGCCTTATTCATCTGTTACCATATTTACCCAGTGTGATTTTGGGGGAAAAATGAATGCCCTCCTAGTCAGTCATACTCCTCTTCATCAATATTAGTTCTGATTACTTCAACTGAATTTCTTAATGATTTGATGTTTAATGTTTAAAGCCTAATTGTTTATCAGCTATTGAAAATAATACATGGCTACTAATTAAGATGCTTTAAAATATACCAGTGATTTTTATTTCTTTAAAACAATAACTTAAAACAATAGCTATTAAACTCTAGATAACTAAAATTGGAAATTATTACCCAACAGAAACTCCACACCTGATCTCCAACTGACAGGAGTAGGGCTTTATCAGAATATCTGAGAGGGAGAGACAGAGATTCTGCTCCCTCCATCTCGTTAGCCCCTGCTGAGCCAGAACATGTGATCTGAAGCAGAAATGGAAGGAAAAGCAGTTTTTGCAATGCTATAGAGACAGAGTGCCCTATCCCTACCAGCCTGTAAGTTGGAAGTTCCATGGTGTCACAAAAACTAATTAATACTAAAGTTAGTACTTACTCTTCCTTTCTTATTTTCCCAGGAGGATTACTGTGAATAGGCTTGCCTCCTAGGCCACTCAGAATTTGTATGTTGACAAAATATGTCTCCTTTGGACATGTAAGGAGATATAAAATGTATGCAAAGTCACATCATATTATTTGACTGGGCATTCCATTTTGTCAGTTTATATTTTATACTTTATTATTTTAGGGGCAAACATCTATAAAAACAGGGTTCTGTATTGTCACTCGGGTTTGGTTCATGCTCAGAGTTTTCTTAACAGCATTCCTGTTGTTGTATAACTTTAAAATTAGATGAGAACAAAAATTTCACTCTGAAGCCGGAACAACATGGAACCTGGATTTTGGGTTAAATTGCTTAAAAGAATAATCCCCACTTTCTTTCTTTTTTCTGATGACTATGTTTTGGGGCTACTCCTAAGTCTTGTCCTCTGAGGCCACCAAGCCATGCATATCTAATCCAATAAAATTAGAACGTGAGATTCTCCAAAGATTCCAAGTGTCTTAAGGCACTGAAAATACAGACATGATGTTTTCATATAATTCTACACAGTTATTATTACAAAGTGATTTATTTTAACTTTAGATTAGGGAAAAGAAAATTTGTATGTAATTTAGTTTTAAAATAATATATGTTAAAAATAATTTAAATAATAAATTAAATTGAATCCTTAAAAGAATAATTGCAGATTTGGAAGAAAAAAGCTTTATCCAAGACTGTGGATACTTTAAGGAGTCTGTTAGCTTACTTTCCCTTTACTTTCAATTTGCAATTGTTGGAAACTATACTGGATATCCACCACTAAAACACAATCAGCTCTTGCTTAGATTAAAAATTTCTAAGGCCTTTAGCTTTGATTTCAGTTTTGCAATATGCTGTAACTGCCAGGACAGTGACCCCTGGTGAAGACAAAGGTTTGAGTATCAGATCGCTTGATATGATTAAGCACATTCCTGTTTCATTCCACAGATACCAATATTAAGTCAGACGTGAAACTCCCTTTTGATGCCTATCACTATGCTCTGACTCGCTGCACAACTTAACCTCTTGGTGACTCCAGTTCCTTGTTTGCAAGTGGAGATGAACAGGTCTGCTGTGAGGATTGAATAGAATAATACATGTAAAAGATGCGTTATTTGCTTGATACCCAGCCTGGTACACATGAAGGATTACTAAATAGTTTACATGAACATTATTACTACCTAATTGTTTTTAATTCAGGAAAATGTAGAAGCTACAACATCAGAATATGCTTCTGTAGTAGTACTTTTGCCTCTAGTTCAGTACCCTGTCAACCACCACATGAAGTGGTGTAACAAGACATAATTGAAACACTATTGTAATGAAAGGAACACTAGACATGCAGTCAGAAATCTGGGCTCAATTTCTGAAATGCATGTAGCATTTACCATATGCCAGGTACTGCTGTTAAGTATTTAACATACATTAACCTAAGCTGTCATAACAATCCAGTAAGGTAGGTGCTGTTATTACCCTCATTTTCTGATGAGGACACTGATACAAAAGAAGTTAAGTAACTTGCTCCAAATTATACATATTTGGCAAGCTATGGAGCCAGAATTTGAACCCAGACAGGCAGCTTCCAGTCCATGCTTCATAGCCTTTGGACTCTGTGAGCTTCAGTTTTCCCAACGGCACAATGAGAATAATAATCTTACAGTCATCTCACAGAGTCCTTGCAAGAATTTAATATGATGGTAAATCTAAACTGCCCTGGAACTGAAAAAGACTGTACAAATATAAAGGATTATTGTTATTAAGATTCTTAACCAAAATGCATCACTATCTGTATAAACAATGAGACAGGGTATAGCTGAAGTAATACCACTAAAGATGTGATGTTATAAGCATTCCAAGTGCCAAGTGCCAACAAAAATATTTTTCCCAGTGAACCTCAATATCTCAATGTTATTACCTGAAAGAGAAATTGAAATTATTTATCATTTTTTGAAGGTACTATTTGAACACTTAAAATTGTTTACTCTCTAACTTTTAGAGTTAATATTTTTTCAGAATGTCAAAGAAGCTCTTCTTACATGTTCAGAAGTGACTGTAGCAGGGCATGTTTAAATGGGCATGTAAATGTGAAGTCCTGTCCTATGAATGGTAAACTCACAGAGTGAATTCATTTTGCCTTTTGGGTCAGTGTAATTACCTATTGATTTTTAGGAAAGAAAGAAAAACTGACATTCACAACCTTTGCTCTTTAATTTCTGAACAGAATTACGGCCTAAATGGAAGAATGATGTTGTTTATCTGTTAGCACCTTTCAGAGACAAGGCCAATACTTCAAATTACTTGTGCATAATTGGTGCTCAGTAAACATTTTTGGGTTAAAAGCTTAACCCCATACAGATAGTTCCTGCTCCATTAGACAGATTCATATCACATTCCTAATCAAGCCTCTGATAGGCAATATGCAAAAAAATAGCAACTGTAAACCTTTATATCATTCAAAGTTATAAAATTATAGTCTAAGACATCAGTGGACATCAGCATGCAGCAGTTTTTAAAATTATGTAAGTCTCAATGTGCTGTGAAGTATTAAAAACTATTACCTCAACTGGGCTTGAAATTGCTTCCAGCTAAACAATGAATATTAAATTAAATAATAATGGTTTTTTTGCCTCTTAGAATTTATAAATGCACTGGACTTTGCTTTGGGTAGACCACTTTTTTTTAAAGAAAGAGAGAGGAAAAGAAAAAAGGACAGAAAGGAAGTAAAATAAAACCTGTAAGAATGTTGGAAATAAAATTTCCCCCATATACTGTTGGTAAATATCATTGTACCAAAAAAACACATTGATAAAGACATTGTTGACCTCCAAATTGCATTGCAAAACTCATGCTTTTCAAAATAGTTTTGTAAAAATTTATGAAAATCTTACTAAAGATGTTAGTTATGAAGAAATGGGTAGTTGTTCATTTGAGTCTCCACCTCTTTTCTATTATTTTAATGCTATATATATATATATATATATATATTTCTATAGAACTTCTAGGGTGCACTTTATTCAGGCTTTCCAAGGTTATATGTAAAAAAATGGTTAACATGAACTATATAAATCATAGGCCCAAATTGTTGAACAATGTAGTCATCATAACTTCTATAAGTGTAGTATCAAAATCAAGGTATAATTGTAGAACTCTTATCAACTTCAGTGCTCTAAATAGAAAGTTAACTTCACTTTGAAACACAACTTTTGATGAAAAATTCTAAAAGATTTATATAGCTCATTCAAAAATTTCAAATATGCCTATGAAAGCGTCTTTATTCCTTAGTGAAACATTTGTTAGCCATGATGCATGTATGGACTTATGAAACATTTTGCTTGCAGTTTCCTTGGGATAGTCTAGTCAGATGAATTTGGCACCCACACAGTGATCCGGTGTGTTGCTAGTCAAATGCTGTCCATGAACCTGTGCCACCTGTCTGTGAACCCTTTGCTAACACATTGCAACAAGATAATCAAGAAGCTTGACCAGAATCTAAGCCAACTATACCAGTAAGCTGACACTCCTTTTTAAATAGCATACATTTCCCGGTAAAGCAACCAATGTGTTCATTTATACTCTGGACCAAGTTCTTTCATTTCCTTGGGGATTAGTGACATGTTATGGACTGGCTACTTTGAGTAGCACTGTTCTAGCATGTTTTTGTGTACTCCAATGTGATGCTCAAAATCTTGGGTTCAGGAGGCAGGCAGACCCGAGTTTGAATCCTGGCCTAGCAACTTGGTAGTCAATGGTCTGAAAGAAAAGAATTAGGTGCCTATTAGAAACAGCAGGCAAGGTAAAATGAACAGGTTAGAGGACAGGGCCTAGCGTTTGATGTCAGAACATCTTGGCTGAACCATGGTCACAACTTTTATAGGCTGCTTACCTTAAGGTAAATGTCTTAAATGAGAAAATATGCATCAAATACACACACACAAACACATACACACACACACACACTGCATAGGGCTTGATACAGATAAAGTGCTCAAACTATTTTGTTTATTTGTTCATTATTAATTGTGTGACATAGTAGACTGGTTTCCTAGACTGGATTTTTTTATACAGAAATATATTTGTTACTCTGGAATCTGGTGATCTAAATATTTTAGTCAATATTTGCATTGATATCTTATTGCTTTTCATCACTGATTTTACTAGCCTTATCAACAAATTAATAAATAAGAGAATCCCCCAAAGTCCTGCCAAACCTAAAATACTTTTAGAGTCACATCAATATTTTTTAAATTGTGGATAAATCCAGTTAATCCCAATATGACTCATGACCTGTCTGTGTAGCCACTGACATTTTTGTAGCATTTAATCACTTGGCTGGCATAGTTCTAAGCAAAGATGGTAAAAATAAAGTCTGAATGGAAGAGCACACATTGATTTGAGGTTTACTCTTCTCCGTTTACCCATCTACCTCATAAACCAGGTTAGGAGTAGGCAAGTCAGTAAAGGAAGACCGTTGCTAGTTCCTGTCTCCCAAACTCAGTTTTTTAAATTTTATTTTTGATTCGGGGGTATATGTGCAGGTTTGTTACATAGATAAACTCATGTCACAGGGGTTTTTGAACAGATTATTCCATCACCAAGGAATTAAGCCGATAACCCAGTTGTAACCCAGATATAACTGTTGGGTTTTCTTTGAACCCAGTAGTTACCTTCTCTGCCCCTCTCCCTCCTCCCACCTTCCAGTGTCTGTTGTTTCCTTCTTTATGGTCATAAGTTCTCATCATTTAGCTCCCACTTATAAGTAACAATATGCAGTATTTGGTTTTCTGTTCCTGTATGAGTTTGCTGAGGATAACAGCCTCCAGCTCCATCCATGTTCCCACAGAAGACATGATCTTGTTCTTTCTTATGGCTGCATGGTATTCCATGGTGTATATGTACCACACTTTCTTTATCCAATCTGTCATTAATGGGTATTTAGGTTGATTCTATGTCTTTGCTATTGTTAGCAGTGCTGCAATAAACATTCTTGGGCGTGTGTCTTTGTGGCAGAGTGATTTATATGGAAATTTATGAAATAGCAATAATAATTCATTATCAAGTCTCTACAGCAACAACTGGGGTCATGGGAGATGCAGGAAAATGACTAACATGTCTATTAGCACAAATATATCTCTTTAAAAAGTGCATTAACATAATTCGTGCAAGTTCTTGTTGCACCTTGCACATGTTGTTCATGCTCCATCATTACCCACACAATCATGTATGTGCTATTGTTGCTGAGCTAACTCAAACTTACCTAGTTCCTTTTTATGTTTCTTCTTCTAACTATTACCACCTCCTAACTATCTTGTCCTGCCTCCAAGATTATCGCCCTCCAATTTATCCTCCCTAAGGTTGCCGGAATGAATTTTCTAAACTGTTCATCAGATCATGTCACTTTTCATTAGAATCCTTCAGTGACTGCCCATTGCCTTAGGATAAAATTCAAACTCCTTATCATGATCTGGTCCCTGCCTGTTTTCCTGGCCTCATTTCATATTATTCTCTTGCTCAGTCTAACTAAACTACAGTATTTGCAACTCTTGACCTGTTCCAAGCTCTCTCAGTGCTCCTCCCTTAGCCAAGAATATCCTCCCCTTTCTCCACATATTATTTGGCGAATTCTTACTGTATGGTTAGCTACCTAAACCAGAGACCTTCCCTGCTGGTCTTCTCAAGCTAAGGGCTCCTGTGTTACCAGCTCTTACCTCTCGGGCGACTTGTAAATCCTGTAATAAAATTATCAGTATTCATCTCTAAACCTCCCATTAAACTGTGAGCTCCCCAAGGGCATGAAGAGTTTTCCTCTTTGGCTTTCTAATTTCAATGCCTATAACAGACCTGACACATAGCAGGTGTTCGATCGATGACAAATTAACACATGTTCAAAGTGCTGAGCTAAATTGCACAACTGCACATCTGAAAAATACCCTAGCAAAACGTAACATATTCCATCTCTGGAATCCTTAACTTTCAAAGCCTAAAATAGCCAATATTTATTCATCCACAATTCCAGGTGGTTTTAATGTGGAGGAAGCCAAGTCATCATAGTACTTATCACCAGCCCAGGGCAGTTTCTTTGCTACATCCTTACCCTGTATCTTAAATAGTGTTCAGATCAGCTTGGTTTCTTGGCTGTATTGTTTTATATCAGGAAGTACACATGCATCATGTGTGGGCAGGACCCATAAATAGTGTGCATTACTAAATAGCCCTTTACATTAAAGAAAATATTGCATTCTTTTTTAAAGATCATACTAATAAAAATAGTGATCTAGTTTTTAGGCACTTAAAGTTGCCCATTTAATTGCATTAGGGTTTTTCAGTGACTCAGATTGGGAGTTTTAATTTTAACTTTTAGCTTAATAGTGTCAGTGTTTCCATGGCCACAGCCTGACTTTGAGGTGAATACCTGGCCTAAGGAGTTAATTGAATAGTGCCATTTGCTGCTCCCACCTCCCCACTCATGAGACACTGACTGGACCAACAGCACTCGAGACTAGACATGGTACAGATGGTGCCTGTCTAAAGTCACTTTCTGACAGTCAGGACATCACGGCCACAAATATACAGAAAAACTACAACTCAGAGTTTAGACACCAAAGAGGAAGCAGTAACTATTCAATCCTTTGTGTTATAAGCAGTCACATAATGGAGCTCCTGAGAACACAGGGTTCTGTGATGATGGAAGTTAGTGGTTGAATAGACACGAGGGCTCTGCCCACTGTTAGCTATTATGCAGCATCTGAGTGTGCTCCTGAACAGGCTGCACATTCTGCTCTTCTAGGAATCTGTGGCCTTAAAGACCAGATATTTGGACCAGAGGCAGCTTTGTCCTTAAAGAGACATGTGAGTGTTTTCCAGATGAAGAATGACGTGAACTGCATGATTTATTCCCTCTTACTTCTGTACAGAGCACTTGTGTTTCTCCCCATCTTGAACAATGCAAGGCCAGTTTTGCATTGCTCTTTCTCTTCTATGTCTCAAAGGATTAGAAAAAGCATTGCATATATCAGAGATTAAGCTAATGATTTTCTAGAAAATGTGAAGAAAGGTCAATCCAAATTTTCAATTTTATATCTGCAAATATCCTGTGGATCTCTGCTTCTCAAAACAAATGGCTTTTCCTACTGGGGCAAATCCAGTTTCTGGTTTACTTGTCTGCTGCCCCAACCCTCTTTTCTCTCTAACTGCCACAAGTAAAACCTTTCTGTTTGGTATAAGCTAACTAAGAGATTTGGCTCCCAAGGAAGTTTTCTTAGAGATTGTAGATAAAGAAATGCAAACAGTCACATTTCTTTAGCACGGAAATTTGTACTTCCTTGGATAATGGTTTCAGCATTTTATAGGTGAGTTGCTTGCTGACTGTTCATTATCATTTAGTCAGAAACAACATCTGTCCTGGGAAGGCCGGGAGGAAACCTCTTTGGGTTGCTTATTAGTTTTCCTTTCTCTGTTGCATGTTTAGTGACAAGTTACATCTTTTAGACTATCCGTATTTGTGGAGCCAGAAGATATTCGTCCTTTAAAAAGAGGTTTTGGTTTTGTGAACTTTTCTGGTCAACTTGTGGGAAAGCCCTTTTCCTGGATGGGTCAGCCCCTCCTTAAAGGGGAGACAGCCAGTGCTTCCTTGCCCTGAGCTGTGATTCCACCTCCCCAGATACTGGCTCCCTGAGGAAAAGCAAGGTGAAAATGAACAATTTTCTAAAGTTAAAAAGGATAGAAAGGTCTTCTACGGTTTCAAGTACAAAGCAAAATAAAATTGCGACATGAGCTCCAGAGCCAGCTTGTTCTTTCACTGGACCCAGCAAAGTGGAAGAGGAGAGCCATGCCCTGAGACAAAGGACAAGGCATCCACCAATCAGTATTTGGAATATTTAAATCTCAATGCTGGAGGCCAAATAAACCTATGGCTCATAACAGGCACATATGTAAGAACACCAACCATATTTGTATTAATTGTTTGCAATAGTGTTGGCCAAACTCAGAACCTCTTGGGAAAGTTTTTTAAAGTACCTACTGCTGAATCAGAATCTCTGGGGCCAGGGAGCTGCAGTTTTCTTTTTTCTTTTTAACTTTTAAGTTCAAGGGTACATTTGCAGGTTTGTTACATAGGTAAATTTGTGTTATGGGGGTTTGTTGTACAGATTATTTCATCACCCAGTATTAAATTTAGTACCCATTAGTTATTTTTCCTAATCCTCTCCCTCCTCCCACCCTCCCTGTCCCCAATAAGCCCCAGTGTGTGTTGTTCCCCTCTATTTGTCCATGTGTTTTCATCATTTAGCTCCCACTTATAAGTGAAAGCATGTGGTATCTGGTTTCCTGTTCCTGTGTTAGTTTGCTAAGGATAATGTCCTCCAGGTCCAACCATGTTCCTGCAAAGGGCATGATTTTTTTATGGGTGAATACTATTCCACAGTGTATATGTACCACATTTTCTTTATCCAGTCCATTATTGATGGGCATTTGGGTTGATTCCATGTCTTTGCTAATGTGAGTAGTTGCTGCAGTGAACATACATGTGCATGTGTCTTTATCATAGAACAGTTTATATTCCTGTGGGTATATACCCAGTAATAGGATTGCATTTTTCATAACCACCCAAAAGAGTTTTATGAACTCTCTTCTTCCAAAACCCCAGTTTATATGTCATATAGTGTTACACTTTTAGTTATATGAAATAAGCTACTATATTTTCTCTCTGAAGCCATTGCAGGATTGGAGAGTGAAACACTGAGAGTACATGTTCTTAATTCCCCTCAAAATATCAGTTTATAGTCTTTGAGACATTCGGGCCATGTTGTCTTGAGACATTCTTTATTTTTGTTATACTTTATGAAAAAAAACAACTATAAAAAGAAGCTATTCGCTTGTTTAAGGAGAAACTGAAGACTCTGAATTGTTCGAAAGCTAACAACGTCAGACAACTTAAATACCAAATATACTGGGCCATCAACTGTGAGTCAAATCCTTAAGATGATCCCTGTATATAAATGAAGCTAATCAGTGACTATTCGACTATCGCCTTGATTCAATCAAACTTATATATTTGAGTTAATTGATTATATATGGACACTAAAATAGAATCATTGTAACAAAAGAAAAATCAAATATGAAATGATTAATTATGGAGCCCGTTTATATAAGAACTTTCTCTTTGACATTTACATTGATTTTTTTTCTGACCTTAAGAATGGAAGGTAAACAGAGAACTTCTAGTGAATCTCCGAAACTGAGTATCTTGTCCCAAATTCAGCTCAACTTGAAAGTCTTCATCTACCAAGTCACATATGGCTTAGCAACCACTGATTTCATTTTTTATAACTCAAGAAAATTAATTTGTGGGGACCCACATCTCCAAAAGTTTTATTGACTAATCTTAGTCACCAAACTTTGTGTAAGGAAGCTTCTGGTAAAGGCAGACTGCCTTCTGCCTTTGCTTAGTATTCTTTAAAAATGAACTGCTTGTTCTACACCACTTATGTTTTTTTTTATAGTGAACATTATAAACTAAGAGAAACAGCTGAATAAAGCCATATGACACGATTAGGAACAGTTAACAGAGACTCTAGTCTCTATAAATCCACTGCTTGTTCCAAAAGATACCAATTAGTTTTTGCTGTCTTCATTGGTTGGCATCACATAGACACAGCTGAAGTTCAAAACACTAGAACAATACCAATTAGACCTTACGAAGAAGGAGGAGATGATAGGAAGGGCCAGTTCTTGGATTTTAAGTTAATATAAAACATATATTGAAAAACTGTTCTGTAAAGCTATAAACTATACCATATTTAAGGACATAATATGTAATAGTGAATATATGTTTTTGGCATATTATATCTAGACTAAGAGAACTTTATTAAATATGCACCACCTATAGTTTATTTTTTATCAGCAGAAATCAAAGTTAATACAGTGCAAACAGTTATTATAAAATATTCATACAATTATCAAAACTTGATAAACAGGAGTACACTGGAACATGGTAACTCTGAGCTTATTATGGCTTTTAGTAAAAACATTCCTGGGGCAATTTAATATTGATATTAAAGTAATTTATTAAAATTAGGATAATCATGATGAAAAAGCAAGCAACTTGAATAGTTTCCTTCCTGAGTGAAATAATGCCTATTCTATTGCTGTTACTGACCTTTGAAGGTCTAACTGAATATTGATAGGCAAATAACAGTTATATTTCAATTATATAAAAGTTCAACATAAGAAATATATTCTATGAGCATTCTCTCCTCCTCCTTTTCTAACTGAGCCCATAGGAAAGGAGCTTTCTCTTTGGAGGAGGTCATGCAAGCTTTAATCCCTTCTCTCTCTACTTCTCCTGTGGGACAAATGGCCTATCTAACTAACAAGGTGGAAGAAGAAACCTAGCATATATGCCCTAGCCCAATCGGGGATCTTTTAAAAAGTGGCTCATGCCTAAAATGCACTTATTTGTCTCCTGTACATACATTGGACAGCTGTTTTGGAAAAAGAATTTGTAAACCCATTTAAACATGGATCCATACTTTGTGTGTACTTTTCAATGAACTCAATCCCTCATAAAAGTGATAGTTTTTATTTCTATCTGTGTGACCCTATCTCTTTCTTCTGTATTAGATCAGAATTAGGGAGAGAAAATTAGAGGTGGATTATGTTACTGCCAACCCCATCTACCCTCACGTCCAAATCTAACATAATTGGAGTTCTGGAAATCCCATATCTTTCTGTTCAGCTGCTCTAGTTTAGCCTGTTCCTCATCCTTTACCACCCATTACATCCTTGCCTTAGACCCTTGTATTACCTACTTCTAATCATTGTCTAGTGTCTCTTCAGAAGGCCATGTAGTTATACTCTTGTACTCTATTTCTCTTAAACTCTTGAACCAATGAATCCATCTAGGCGTCATCTTTACTACTTATTTCAATAACAAACTTCTTCTAGCCTACTGACCAAATCTTTTCCAGCCTCCTATCCTAGGTAGGGGTATGGGTTTTCTCTTGTCAATGGATCCTAGAACTATTTTGTCAGTCCTTGGTGATAAAACCTTAGCTCTTTTTGTCCCATTAACAAGAAATTTTAATAATCACTGCTACAACTTGTAGTTCCAACTACAGCTAGCAAAGTAATAATGATATAGTATTATTATTAAGAGAGTTCATCTGGCCGGGTGCAGTAGTTCATACCTGTAATCCCAGCACCTTGGGAGGCTGAGGTGGGTGGATTACTTGAGGTCAGGAGTTCGAGATCAGCCTGGCCAACATACTGAAACCCCGTTTCTACTAAAACTACAAAAATTAGCTGGGCATGGTGGCGTCCGCCCGTAGTCCCAGCTACTCGGGAGGCTGAGGCACAAGAATCGCTTGAACCCAGGAGGCGGAGGTTGCAGTCAGCTGAGATTGCACCACTGCACTCCAGCCTGGGCAACAGAGCAAGACTATCTAAAAAAAAAAAAGAGTTAATTTGCAAGTAATATGAGAAAAATTGATTTTCAAATTAGCTGTGTTTTGCACATACGACATATGAGCGTTACTTTATGGTAACTCTTTCCATCAATATGTATAAATGTAAGAGAGTTTTCTAAGCATATATATCAGAGACCTACTCATTGCAAAACTGGTCATAATATGGGCATTTTGGGTAGTGGTACAATTCAATTCCTGATTTCTCTGTTTTGACACATCATCTTTTCTGAGACGCTTGCTCTTTGAGAGGGTACCCGCTATCTCTGTTTCCCATACTTCCCCTTGAGAAGCCTGCACTGCTTGCTGATTTGAAGGGGAGGAAAATCATCGGGAGTTTTGGAGTGAATCTTATCCCAGTTGTCTCATATGTGCAAAAAGTAGCCATGTTTCAAGACATCTTCATTATTCCCATAAGTGCGTAATAGGAAAAGAAATATCTGCAACCAGAAACTCAAAAAGAAGCAGAAATCTTTATCTGCCAGGACACAAAGAATCTTATTTTACCATCCCTTACAAGATATTTAAATGTCACTTACCCTCTTAGCATGTTAGTTTTCCTCCATCATTGAAATGGGTGACAGTTTTCTGGCCAACTTCATTAATTAGCCAGCCCATCAAGTAAGTAGTTTTTGAGTAAAAATGTTTTAAGCACAATACTACACTATATGCTGGGGAAAGAAAAGTCTATCTAAACTATTACAGACCTATTTCTTGTTTCCCAGGACCATAAAATGAAGCCCATGTAAATTAAACAACTAGGGAAGGGGACTATACATTGTAAATTCTAATATAGGCCTAATAAAGTATCACATAGACAAACTGCATGGAGCAGATATAAAAATAATAAACACACAACATTGTGAAAATCCAAAAGGATTTAATAAATGCTAATTGCTTTTGAGTGATTCATGAAAAAAAGTATTTCAGGACACTATTTAAAGTCTACATTAGCTGGCTCTGGAGGCAGCATAGAAATTTAAAACACAGGCTTTACCCTTCAATGGTTTATAGTTTAATCAATGAAGATTAGATATGAGACCCAATATTAATTATATATATGTGTGTATATATATATATATATGTGTGTGTGTGTGTGTCTGTGTGTGTGTGTGTATATATATATATATTATATATTATATACATATATATATATTTTTTTTTTCAAGATGGAGTTTTACTCTTGTTGCCCAGGCTAGAGTGTAATGGCGCCACCTTGGCTCACTGTAACCTCTGCCTCCTGGGTTCAAATGATTCTCCTGCCTCAGCCTCCTGAGTAGCTTGGATTACAGGTGCCCGCCACCATGCCTGGCTAAGTTTTTGTATTTTTAGTAGAGATGGGGTTTCACCACACTGGCCAGGCTGGGCTCGAACTCCGAACCTAAGGTGATCCACCCGCCTCAGCCTCCAAAAGTGCTGGGATTACAGGCATGAGCCACTGCGCCTGGCCAGTAATATTATCTATAATAAAGAAACTTTCTGGCCTTTCCAGACTAGATTGCTACTTCTTGATATACAAGGCACTGCACTTTTTATAAATACATTAAGCTATTAATTTTATAATTATTTGTTTATTATCTCACTCCCCTATTAGAAAGAAAGCTTGCTTAGAATGGGGACCATGACTCTCCAGTTTGCCACTGTATCTTAGTGTAGATTTTTGGATACAGTGGGTACTCAATAAATACTTTTAAATTAATTAATAATAAATAAGCACACATTTTTGCTATTATATTACTTTATTATATTATATTTATTATGTATGTAATGGGCTGAATTGTGTCACCCTCGAAATTTGCATGCTGAAGTACTCAGAATGTGGCCTTATCTGGAGAAAGGGTTTTTACAGAGGTAATCAAATTAAAATGAGGTCATTAGGGTGGACTAACCCAGTATGACTAGTACCCTCAAAAAAGAAGAAAGCAAGAGATACACACAGGGAGAATGTCATATGAACATCAAGGCAGAGATCATGGTGATGCTTCTATAAGCCAAGGAATGCCGAAGATTACTAAAAAATCACCAAAATCTAGGGGAGAAGCCTGAAACCTATTCTTCCTCACGGCCCTCAGAAGGAGCTAACCCTGCTAATACCTTGATTTCTGACTTCCAGTCTCCAGAACTGAGAGACAGTAACTTTTTGTTGTTTAAGCCACTCAGTTTGTGATTTTGTCATGGCAGCCCTAGCAAACTAATACATATTCACTTTAAGCCTCTTAATTGAATGGTTGACAGAAAAAAGCTATTTTTTAATAACAGCTCATTTAGTGAAAGAATTTATAGTTTTATAACATTATTTAACTTTTGATAAATCATGGGGTCCTTGAGGCCCAAAAGACATAGAATTTCTCCTTTACCCTATATTTAACCATGAATTCATTGAAATCCTTTCCCTGAAAATTCTGTTTATCTTTAATGTGTTTTATAGAAAGAGAGAGAAAAAAAGATCACTTTTATATATAAATCATGTGCTTTCTATGTTCTATGCATGTTAAGCCGTTTATTTAACAGATACATATTTAGAATCCGGTATATGTTAGGTATTGTACTGAGCCCTTGAGAATAAAGTAGTGACAAGACAAATAGCATCTCTGTTTTCGTGGGACATATAGTTTAGTGACAGAGTCAAATCATAAATATGCAGATAAAAATAAATATGTTATCATAATTATGCTAAATATTAAGAAGAAAATATTTAGTGTGCTATGATAGAACAGGAAGCTAATTAAGACTTGGGAGTCAGGCAAGACCTTCTTGAGGCTGTGACATTTAACTCGAGAAGGTTCAGTAGGAGTCAGCCAAGTGAAGGGTTTTATTCCAGAAAATGCAAAGTCTTTATAAGGTTTAAAGCAATAAAAGGATATGATAAAATTTTTATCTTTAAGAGATTACTCTGTGGTGGGCATGGTGGCTCACACCTGTAGTCCCAGCCCTTTGGAATGCCAAGATGGGTGAATTGCTTGAGCCCAGGAGTTTGAGACCAGCCTGGGCAACATGGCAAAATCCTGTCGCTACAAAAAATACAAAAAAATTAGCTGGTTAGATGGCACTTGCCTGTAGTCCCAGTTACTTGGAAAGCTGAGGTGGAAGAATCACTTGAGCCCCAGAGGTGGAGGTTTCAGTGAGCTGAGATCATGTCACTACACTCCAGCCTGAGTGACAGGGCGAGACCCTGACTCAAAGAGAGAGAGAGAGAGAGAGAGAGAGAGAGATTATTCTGGCTGGTGAAATAAGGAAAGATTGAAAAAGGACAAGAATGAGAGTAGAAACAGCAAGTTACAGTACTCTCAAGGTGTCCAGAGTCTTCAGGTGTCCAAAGATGATGTCCTAGACAAGGATAGTGGTAGAGATAACACAAAGAAATAGAAGGATTCCAGATATATTTTTGAGCTAGAATCAACATGATTTTTAATGTGAGGAGGGAGGAAAAAGAACATATAAAGTCTGATATCAAAATCCTGGTAGAAGAAGTAGAATGAGTGGAGGGCCCACTTACTGAGACAGGAAGCCCTGAAGGAGGGATAGACTTATTTAGGATAAAGGTTGTACTTTATCTTCTATTTTAAAATTTTAATCTTCATAGCAGCTCTGAACTTTAGAAATTATTATCACTTGGTTTACTGATGAAAAGGTAACTTTTTCAGTCTCTGTAAGTAATATATCCTGAGGTTTTGTATTCTTCCAGCTAAGCTCCATGACTTGTTAAAAACTAAATTGAAGCAACATTGAGTGGGCATTTATCTTGTGCCAGGTATTCTGTAAAACATAAGGATGAATGTTTTAGCTTCAGCCTTCTAATGAGGGAAACAAAACAGAAATTATAATTCCATGTAGAAAATACAATATTAGAGATATTTAAGGAATATTTTGGAAACCCAGAGGAAGACATTTACATTAGCTCAGAGTGTGAGTGAGAATGACACAAAACTTCCTAGCAAAGGTTACATCTGAGTTGAAGCTTAAAGGGTCTGCTTGGAAATTAGGATCGTGGATCAGGGCTGGGACTAGTGGAGGAGGAGACAAGAGGATTGAGTAACCAGTATAATTAATAAAATGCACAAAGTTTTGTAAACTGGAAATGAAGGTAAGTACTATTCCATAAGGTTTTTAAAGGAATATTAAAGAGCTTTGTTTTTATTATATAATGCATAGTAAGGGAACACAGTTGTATTCTCAATTCAGAAGTGACATTATCAGTTATCCAATATCTCATTCTGTTGGCTGCATTGAAGATGAACTTGAGGGTACTAAGTCTGGAGAGGGGAAACCAATTCAGATATGAGCAGAGTAGTCCAATAGAGAGATGATAAGAGTTCCAATTAGGTTGATGGCTGTTCATATGGAGAGAATTAAATGGACTGGAGAACTAATTAAAAAGTAAAATCAGTAAGAAATGATGATGCATAGATGTGTTAAATTTGAAGATCAAGAAAGAGTAAGGAGTCAGGGATACACCCAAGTTTCTAACTTGGGTTGGTAGGTAGCAGTTACAAGAAGAAAAGCCAGGTAGGGAGAAGAACATGAGTTTAGGTTCAGACTTTTTGAATATGAGGTTCTACATGAAATAGAACTGAAAATATATTCTCAGATCAGTGTTTTTCAAGAGTAGCCTTGAAAATAGCTGTTTGTCCATTATTAAGGTTCAATCAAGATTTGTCGTGAATAAGAAAGCAGAATTTCTTTATAATTTTTCATTTTCACATATTCAAATGGAAGCAGACAGTAATACAGTTCTGTAGTTGGTTACATTTTTGGCACTTCTGTACAAGATTGAAGGAGTTTATTGGATGTGACTCATTGGTAAATTTACAGAGTTGATCTATGACAGGAGCTGTCTTTATCTGTGAAAGAGAAGGAAGATTGTAGAGGAAAACAGTGTTGTGTCTTGGTGCCTATGTTCTTTCCTCTAGCAAGACTGTTTTTGGGTGTCCTACCACCTAATCTTGTCTGGAAACAGATACTTTTTCTCCTTTGGGAGGCAGAGGCGGGTGGATCACGAGGTCAAGAGATCAAGACCATCCTGGCCAACATGGTGAAGCCCTATCTCTACTAAAAATACAAAAAAAAAAAAAAAAAAGAAAGAAAGAAAATTAGCTGGGTGTGGTGGCATGCGCCTGTAGTCCCAGCTACTCCGGAGGCTGAGGCAGGAGAATCATTTGAACCTGGGGGCAGAGGTTGCAGTGAGCCCAGATCGTGCCACTCCACTCCAGCCTGGTGACAGAGTGAGACTACATCTCAAAAAAAAAAAAAAAAAAAAAAGATACTTTTCTCTACAGCAAATGAATTACATCCTGAGTTCACTCCTTGATATAGAAGAACTTTGTTTTCACAAGGAAATTCTAGATAAGCATACCACAATTCAAAGACAGACGGTCTATAGACCATACAAATTTATAGAATTCCATCTTTAGAGAAGAGAGAGACAGTTGGTGCAGATCTCATGACTAGCAAACACAAGAAAAAGCCAAAATAAAAAATGATATAAGTCCAAGCCCAATTCTTCCCGTGCAATTACTGTTCAACAAATCCAGAATGTTTTTAGAAAAACATAAAATACAACCTTAAATTAAATACAGAATATCTCTAGAAAAATATAGAATACAATTTCAAATGAAATGCCTTATGACTTTTATATACAAAGCATGTGTTTTTGTGGAACACGGTGCTTTGAAAGAAATCCACCCTATGTAAAATTGATTTACATATAAAATATTAAAATTGGGATGTGATTCTAGAACATAGAAATATTTTCTAAATACGGTAAGAATGTACTGTGTTTTAAATCTATACCTCATTAATTAAATAGGTTTAGGTAACATAAAACATGGCCTGGATTGCTCAAGAGGGAGGTGACTGAAACTATTTTTTTGTTCCACCAAGAACCAGTGAGGCAAATTTTCTTTCTAGTTCACGTTCACTATAAAACAGAACTTGTTAATGGGAAACTGCTTATTAAGAAGGAAGTCGGCCGGGCGCGGTGGCTCACGCCTGTAATCCCAGCACTTTAGGAAGCCGAGGCGGGCGGATCACGAGGTCAGGAGATCAAGACCATCTTGGCTAACATGGTGAAACCCCGTCTCTACTAAAAAATACAAAAAAAATTAGCCGGGCGTGGTGGAGGGCGCCATTAGTCCCAGCTACTCGGGAGGCTGAGGCAGGAGAATGGCGTGAACCCGGGAGGTGGAGCTTGCAGTAAGCCGAGATCGCGCCATTGCACTCCAGCCTGGGCGACAGAGCTGGACTCCGTCTCAAAAAATAAAAGGAAGTCCAGAGTCTATGTCTTTCCCAAGAGTGATATTCAGCCAAAAGACCTGAGTAATGGCATTGGACATCCTTACTTATGACTTTAGTGAACAAGCAACAGTATGCATATACTTCAATTTTTTGTAGAGGGATGCCAAAAAGAAACTTGCACTGCAGTGCACTGTTGTGTTGTTGTACACAAGCAATTTTATAGCGTTTCTCACTGTAGTTTCGGTACTAACTAAACTAATTGTCACATAATTTTGTTGCTGCTTTTTAAATTTGGTTGTTGCTTTTTAAATTTTGTTGTTGTTGTTATTGTTTGATTTTGTATATTTGTTTGCTTGTTATTTTTGGTAAGATTGGACGGTCTTTTCCCTGGAATAACAGAATTATCTGGAATAACACAACATACGGCCATTTCTTTTGGGGGAGGAGAATTTAGTAGTCATTTATGGCCTATCATTTTACATTTAACCTAGTTTATTTTATTTTATTTTATTTTTTGAGATGGAGTCTCGCTCTGTCGCCCAGGCTGGAGTGCAGTGGCACAATCTTGGCTCACTGCAAGCTCCGCCTTCAGGGTTCACGCCATTCTCCTGCCTCAGCCTCCCGAAACCTAGTTTATTTTTAAATGAACCAGTAGTCTTTTCCTGGTACCTTATGAATAATGACCAAGCCTCCTATTTTTGCTTCAACATTAAGACAAGATACTGAATTGTTGATTTTCCTAAGACAAACAATAGTAATTCTAGTCCACATAGGCAGCACTTTTCATCATATTCTTTCAAATGGTATTATGGTTGATGAATTTTGATATTAAAATTGTTTTATGTACCTAAACTTTATTCCTAGCATTTATTTTTCTCCCTTTATTTCTCAGTCGTCTTATAAAAAATAGTCTGTATACAAAGACCCATCCTATATCTTGGTCAGTCCAATGATACTATGGTTATATAGTATATATATATTACGAAATATACTGTTAAATGCTATAAATTTCTCTATTGTAAAATACTAATCACTTATATTTGGTGGTAATAAAAGACAGTTCACCATGGTTATGTGATGTTTATTCATTAAATCTAAGTAAATTGGAATAAAAAAATAAAAACTATAAGTCAGTTTATGGAATAGTTGGCACTGTTGGAAAACTTTCCTTTAAAACAAGAAATCATGGCACTTAGGACCAAAACCTAATCTTATAAAACCATTATTCTAATAAATAATATTTATGTATTTCACTAAGTAAGAGCCCATATAAAATTGTTATGGTTGACAATGTTGACTTGTTTGGGAAGAAAGTACCTGGAGTTATTTCTACCTGTTAATCTGAAATTTTTCTTGAAACTTGAATTTAAAAACCGAATAGTTTCTGTTCTCTTCCTTTCCTGGACAAATGTCTCTATTTTTCAGTTGTATGAAAAGGGCTAATGATACAAAGTCATATGTTTTGGGTAAAAACTAAAATTATTTTACAAGTCCAAATAATTAAATTAAAACAGAATTGAGAAAGAAAAATACGTTTAGCATAAATTTGAATAGATACTCCTCAGGGAAACAAACAGTAACCCCTTCACTCCCTCCAAATCTCAAACACTGCCCCCTACACACAAACACAGGCACATGCACACATGCATACATGCACAGGCACATGTTACACGCGTGTACATACACACAAGCACAGGCCCACACCATACCACCACAACTGCATGAGACCTTAGGGTTGAGATGGGAGAGGGAAAGTGCCAGGGAACATTTTTCAAACATTTACCTGTTGAACTTGAGCATTGAAAAGACAATTAGAAATTCACTATACTAATTAAAATATAATACAGTAAAGTACTGAGGAATTTGAACCAAAGGAAAAAGGTCTAAACAAACAGCATATTAAAATTTCATGTCTAGGAGTAGTGGTTGAGAGTACCCCAATGGTCTAATTTGCTCAAGCCATGAAAATCAGTGCTGTGATTATGTGAAAAATGAATTTGATTTAGATTCATTTGTATCTTACATTTGACTTTTTACCTAAAAAGGTAGAAAGGAGAAGATATTATCTCTGAATTAGAAAATGGGATTAAAAAAAGAAGCTGTGTTCTCAACAAAAGATCCATTTTCCTTGGAATGCCCAACTAAAATTTTATGTCACATGTTAATAAATATCTCTCAGCCAGAGACCCTAAAACTCCCTTTCCTCAGGCAAGTAACCCGAGGTTTAAACCTGAAAACAAGTACACCAATGCACCAGACTCCAAAGATGGTGGTAGCTGATCTCAGCAAGACAAATAAGTTCCTAGAAATGCTATTTTCTTTGGGTAGATCTCAAGCCAGTCAAAATGGTGATTATTAAAAAGTCAGGAAACGACAGATACTGGTGAGGCTGTGGAGAAACAGGAATGCTTTTACGCTATTGGTGAGAATGTAAATTAGTTCAACCATTGTGGAAGACAGAATGGGGATTCCTTAAGGATCTAGAACCAGAAATACCATTTGACCCAGCAATCCCATTACTGGATATATGCCCAAAGGAATATAAATCATTCTACTGTAAAGACACATGCACACATATGTTTATTGCAACACTATTTACAATAGCAAAGACATGGAACAAACCCAAATGCCCATCAATGATAGACTGGATAAAGAAAACATGGCACATATACACCATGGAATACTGTGCAGCCATAAAAAGGAATGAGATCGTGTCCTTTGCAGGGAAATGGATGAAACTGGAAGCCATCATCCTTAGCAAACAAACACAGGAACAGAAAACCAAATACTGCATGTTCTCACTCATAAGTGGGAGTTGAACAATGAGAACACATGGACACAGAGAGGGGAAAAACACACACCAGGGTCTGAGGGAGATGGGAACTGAGGGGAAGGAAATTAGAGGACAGGTCAATAGGTGCAGCAAACCACCATGGTACACGTATACCTATGGAACAAACCTTTACGTTCTGCACATGTATCCCATTTTTGTTTTTGTTTTTGTTTTAGAAGAAATAAAGAAAAAGAAAGAAATGCTATTTTCTGCACTTTTAACTGAGGAGATAGACCTAGAGTGGAATTCCAGCATCACCATTTGTCTTATAAATAAGATCAAAGTCATGTCGGAGTTTAAGCCACTTCCCAGTAGAAACTTAGGGGAATTCCAGGTTTGCCTAGGGACTTCCGAATTTAGCCCAAACAAAGCTTTTGTGACTTCGCAGCCTGATCCTTTCTACACATGCCTCATTCTGTCTTGGATTTGGTTCCCCACCTTTTAAGGTACAGTAATTTTTCCTATACATTATGAACTTAATGCACTACATAAGAGCACTCTACCAAGAGGTAAACAGAAAGAATGCTTGGAAGCCTTGAATTTTCTAGCCTATCCAAGGCGGGTCCTACTGAGCTTTGGAGCAGCAAGAAGTCAACTTTTGATGATGCATAGTAGTTTTCTGCCCTAAAGTAATTTTAAGAAGGCAAGTCTAGCTAACAACCTCTTTGTGTTAACCTGGTTTTCTGTAGTAAAGGGTAAGTTAAAAATTACCATAATTAGGCCAGGCGCGGTGGCTCATGCCTGTTAATTCCAGCACTTTGGGAGCATGAGGCGGGCGGATCACGAGGTCAGGAGATCAAGACCATCCTGGCTAACACAGTGAAACCCCGTCTCTACTAAAAATACAAAAAAATTAGCCGGGCGTGGTGGCGGGTGCCTGTGGTCCCAGCTACTCGGGAAGCTGAGGCAGGAGAATGGTGTGAACCCAAGAGGTTGAACTTGCAGTGAGCCGAGATCTTGCCACTGCACTCCAGCCTGTGAGACTGAGCGAGACTCCGTCTCAAAAAAAAAAAAAAAAAAAAAAAAAAAATTACCGTAATTAACAGTTCAACTATTTGATCACTTTTCTTTCTTCTGGGAAATATCAGGGGTTAGGAATAGGCTTATAGGAAGGTTCTCGTTTTAGGAATTCCTCTGTTGTTTCTGATAACGAAGAATGTACCAAGTAGCTTTTTCATGGGAAAGGGGTATCTTTCCCGTTTAATTCCAGCATAGAAATACACCCAGGAGAAGGCACAGGTTGTCACTATCTGTGAATTATTTCCTATTGTGGCACTAGCCAACCAGCCAAAGATTCCTTCAGTGATTTCCAAACTTTAATTACTTCAGAATCACCTGGAGAACTTTTAAAAGATGCAGATTCCTGGGCTATCCTTTCCCAAATAATCTAATTTTGTACTTGTGCTCTCAGACTCAGAAACCTGCATTTTAAACAATCATTCTTCGTGACTTTAATGAAGGCAGTAAGTGGACCACATTCTGACAGTTATCACATCAAATTACCTCCTGGACCTTCATGGTAACCCAAGGAAAATTCACTAAGGGCGTAATGAGGAAACAAAGACATTATGTGTAGAAGGGTGAGCAATGGAGAAGAAAACAAAAGCCCCATAATTTATCTTAGAATTTGTTATAATACATTTCCGCCCTTCAATTTCAATGGCTATATTAGTTTGCTGAGCTGCCATACAAAGTACCACAAACTGAGTGGCTTCAACAACAGAAATTGATTGTCTTGCGGTTCTGGAGGATGAAAGTCTGAGGTCAAGGTGTTGGCATCTTTGGTTCTTCGTGCAAGCTCTGAGGAAGAATCTGTTCCATGGATCTCTTCTAATTTCTGGTAGTCTCAGGTTTTCCTTGGCTTGTAGATGGCGTTCTCCCTGTGCTCTCACACTTTCTTCCCTCTGCATCAATCTCTCTGTATGTCCAAATTTATCCTTTATGTAAGTATACCAGCCATATTGGATTAGGACTATCCAGTGATCTCATTTTAACGTGATCATCTGCAAAGACATTATTTCCAAATAAAGTCACCTTCGCAGGTACTAGGAGTTAGGACTTCAATGTCTTTTGGGGAAACACAACTCAACACATGATAACAGTACAAAAATTATTTTACTTTATCCTGCTACAGGTGTTAAAGATATGAAAAGAATAGGATTCAAATAGAAAGAATACAAACTGAGTCATCCACCATCCAAATGTCCCATCCTGTGTTTCCAACTCCTAGGTAGTTAAAGAGCCTGGCCTTTTTATAAGATGCCCCGTGGAAAAACAAAAAATCAAGGATTTTTGGAAATCAAACCCATTTAAATTAGCAGTTACTGCTTTTTGACTCAAAAGAGAACATAATATCTATCCTAATTAATAAAGATACTTCAGTGTATTTTGCTTTGACCTGAGAAAGAGTACCAGATATTGAGAAAGAAAAGCATTAAGGAATTAATTTTATTTTTGTATATACAGATACAAAGATCGTAATTAAAGACTAAAAACTAAAGTTGAACCAGTTTCAGGGGCTTTATGATTCAGAGGCTTGCTGCCAGGCTATGTAATTTGCAAGACCCAGTGAAACATGAAAATGAGGGGACCTTTATTAGAAATCTATTAAGAATTTCAAGACCATGATAGTAGAACATTAAACCAGACATGAGGCCATAGCAAGCGTGAGGGCTTTGTGTGACCACATATGTTGTACATTTATGAAGCCAGCCACGCTTCCTGTTCTGGGGCATAGGCATATCTGGTAGGTATAGCCTAGGATGGCCTTAGCCTAGAATGGCAAAGAGGTTTCAAGGACTGGGCTAATCCTAATGGCCCACGGTGGCTGCCTGGAGCACTGTGTTTGCATGCCTGGAAAGCTGAAAGGTACATCATAATTGATGAGCAATGTCTACCATGCACATGGGATACGTTTTTCTGTCTCTAGAATTAAAATCTGACTTCAGAAGAATATTTTTAAAAATCTGCTTATTTATCAAGGCAGAATTTACATACACTATATCGCACATTTTAATGGTACAGGTAGGTGTCTTATATTTGACAAATGTACTTCTGTATAATCACTAGCCTATTCCAAATACAGAACATTGGCATTTTCCCAGAAAGCTCCCCACTGCCTCTGTGCATTCAATCTCTCTCCTCTCCTTCCCATCCACCTGCAAATGATCACTGACATGTTTTCATGACTATCGGTTAGTTTTGCCTGTTATAGAATTTCATCTAAATGCAATCACACCATCTTTACTGTGTGTATGGCTTCTTTTGCTCAGCATAATGACTGTGAGATTCATCCATGTCACAGCCTATATCAGTAGTTCATTTTACTTTATTGCTTAACAGAATTTATGGTAAGAACATACTAAAATGTGTTTATGCACTTGCCAGTTGGTGTACCTACTTTTGGACTGTTTCCAGTTTGGGGGTTCTGGTGTGAACACTGGTACACACATCTTTTTATTAACATATGTTTTCAATTCTCGTGGGTAAGTACTAAAGAGTGGAATTGCTGAGTATGCACATGTTTTAACTTTACAAGAAACAGTGGCTGTGTCATTTTACACTAGTAATGTGTGAAGGGTCTAGATGCTCCACATCCTTGCCAACACTGAGTATTGACGGTCTTTTTAATGTTGGCCATTTTAGAGGCTGCATGGTGGTATTTCATTGTATTTTGGGTTTGCATTTCCGAAGAGTTAATAAAGTTGAAGTTTTTTTCATGTTCTCATTGATCAGTCATTATAAAGAATATGTTCAAGTCTTTTATCAAATTTTTAAAGACAGGTACTTTATGTTTTGGAGGAGTTTTAGGCTCATGGCAAATTAAATATAAAGTACAAATTTCCCATATACCACTCACCTGCCCCCACCCCACAGACAGCCCCCGCTGCCAACAACATCTCACACTAGTGTGGTTTGTTTGTTACAACTGATGAACCAATCTTATTATATTATTGTCAGTCAAAATCTATAGTTTACATTAGGGTTCACTCTTGTTCTGTGGGTTTTGCCAAATGTATAACAACATGTATTTATCATTATAGTATTATATAGAATAGTCTCACTGCCATAAAATCTCTAATGCTCCACTTATTGATCTCCCATTCCCCTAAATTCCTGGAAATCATTGATCTTTTTATTGTCTCCATAGTTTTGCCTCTTCCACGATGTTATATAGTTGGAATTATATAGTATATAGCCATTACAGACTGGCTTATTTCACTTAGTAATAAGCATTTAAGTTTCCTCCATGTCTTTCATGGCTTGATAGCTCATTTCTTTTTAGTGCTGAACAACATGCCACTATCTGGATATACCACAGTGTATTTTTTTATTCACGATTGAAAAACACCTTATTTGGTTCCATCTTTTGGCAATTAAGAATAAAGTTGCTATAAACATCCATGTGGAGGTTTTTTTATGAACTGAAATTTTTAGCTCATTGGTTTTTATCCATTTTTGAATTCACGTTATTTGTCTTCTTTTTTTACTCAGTTTTGCCTAGAAAGAAATTTAACTTGAGTAGAAAGCTTTTCTTTCTGTTTAACTTTGGTGAGAGAACAGTGATTACTAAAAATAAATTTTAGTTAGTAAATTAAACTTTTAAGAAATTTTTCTAAAATATCATCAAATTATTTCTAATTACAATTAACAAATTAATTATGACAGCTAGGCATACAAGTATTAATAATAATATACTTTACTTACATACCTAGGATTGTTTCAGTACCAGGATCCTTTCAGACATCTGGTGAAATGTGACAAATCTTTCTATACTGTACAGCCTAAAGTGTAATTTCTACTTACCGGACTCACAAACTCAAACTCAATATAGAATTTTAAAAATGTAAAAGTTCGCACTCTCCACTGGGCACCATGGCTCACGGCTGTAAGCTGGCATTGGGAGGCCGAGGCAGGAGGATTGGTTGAGCCCAGGAGTTTCAGACCAGCTTGGAAAATATAGGAAGAACACATCTTTAGCAAAAAAAAAAAAACAAAATTAAAAAAAATTAAATTAGCCAGATGTGGTTGTGCATGCCTGTAATCCCAGCTACTTGGGAGGCTAAGGCAAGAGGATCCCTGGAGCCCAGGAGACTGAGGCTCCAGTGAGCTGTGTTTGTGCCACTGTACTCCTGCCTGGGTGAGAGTGAGACTCTGTCTCAAAAAAAAAAAAACATAAATAAATAAAAAGCTCATGCTCTCGTCCTAATACAATTATTGTTGCATCATGGGATCTACCAATCAAAATGGAGATTTAGCATGGGAGCAGGTTTCTGGAGGACCTCAGTTACGCCAGTTGATACCCTTTTAAATGCCGGATTGTTGGGATATTATTTATTTCTGTGTACATAATATTATAAAGTATGTGCAATATTACAAATGTATAATAAATATGTCTACATAAGAAACTATCCCTAAACCCAGAGGCTTAAAACAATAACCATCTAGTTAGCTCATAAATCTGAGAATCAGAAATTTATGCTAGGTTCAGCTGGTTCTCCTGATCTTAGCTGGGCTTACTCCTATATCTTTGGTCAGCTGCCAGTTCAGTCTGGTCTGAGGCAGCCTCAGTTGGGATGGTTCATCTCTGTTCCACTTGGTTTCTCATTCCCCAGCAGGGTATCATGGGCTTGTTCTTACGATTGTGGAGTGTGTTTTCTAGAGAGAGCACAAGGCTTGTTTAGGATTAGGCTTATTATTTGAATAACTAATTTTATATGCATTCTATTCACCAAGTTATGTCTCAAGGTCAGACCATATTCAGGGGCTGAACAAAGACACTCTGCCTCTTGATAGAAAAAAAAACACAAGTCATATTGCAAAGGGATGTGGAGATAGAGAAGGAAGTGATGTGATCATTTTTGCAAACTGTAATGGGGAGGTTGGTGAGGGGAGGATACAGAAGATATCTGGGCCAGCTAAGGTTCTGAGAGGGCATTAGGGGAACTGGAGGCAGCAACAGTGATCCAATCTCTGTGAAACTATTTCAATATTTTGACATGCAGCTATATGAGTAGGCACAGGCCAAACACAAGCCCTGGAAATAACATTACAATTTTATGTTTTAAAACACAGAAAAGGGGTGGCTGGCAAGATGGCTGAATAGGAACAGCTCTGGTCTGCAGCTCCCAGAGAGATCAACGCAGAAGGTGGGTGATTTCTGCATTTCCAACTGAGGTACCCAGCTCATCTCATTGGGACTGGTTAGACAGTGGGTGCAGCCCATGGAGGGCAAGCCAAGCAGGGTGGGGCATTGTCTCACCCAGGAAGCTTAAGGGGTTGGGGAACTCCCTCCTCTAGCCAAGGGAAGCCATGAGGGACTGCGCTGTGAGGAACGGTGCACTCCGGCCCAGATACTATGCTTTTCCCACGGTCTTCACAGCCCGCAGACCAGGAGATTCCCTTGGATGCCTACACCACCAGGGCCCTGGGTTTCAAGCACAAAACTAGGCAGCCATTTGGGCAGACATGGAACTAGATGCAGGAGTTTTTTTCATACCAAGGTGGCACCTGGAACACCAGCGAGACAGAACCATTCACTCCCCTGGAAAAGGGGCTGAAGCCAGGGAGCCAAGTGGTCTAGCTCAGCAGATCCCACCCCACGGAGCCCAGCAAGCTAAGATCCACTGGCTCGAAATTCTCTCTGCCAGCACAGCAGTCTGAAGTCGACCTGGGATGCTTCAGCTTGGTGCAGGGGGAGGGGTGTCCACCATTACTGAGGCTTGAGTAGGCGGTTTTCCCCTCACAGTGTAAACAAAGCCACCACTGGGTAGTTCAAACTGGGTGGAGCCCACCGCAGCCAGCAAAGCCACTGTAGTCAGACTGCCTCTCTAGATTCCTCCTCTCTGGGCATCTCTGAAAAAAAGGCAGCAGCCCCAGTCAGGGGCTTATAGATAAAACTCCCATCTCCCTGGGACGGAGCACCTAGGGGAAGGGGTGGCTGTGGGTGCAGCTTCAGTGGACTTAAACATTCCTGCTTGCCAGCTCTGAAGAGAGCAGAGGATCTCCCAGCACAGCACTTTAGCTTTGCTAAGGGACAGACTACCTCAAGTGGGTTCTGATCCCCATGACTTCTGACTGGGAGATACCTCCCCAAATGAAAGTTCCCCAGGGCTGCTGCCATGGGCTGCAGTCAGTACTTGTTTCCCCTCCTTGATCTGGGGAACTATTTCTTCATTCCAAAAGGGCAGAGCTCTGGCAGTAGTGTCCTTCAGACTCACAGGTGGGTAGCTGATCTTCAGTGGGATCTGCATACCTGCAGTCCTTACTGACACTGCTGTAGAAGGGATGGTCAGGCTCCTTCAGAGGTGGTAGGACAGCATAGGAGCACCTCCAGATCTTTACCTGAGCCTCAGCATGCTTGGCAGTAGTTTGTGTTTATTGGGTTGGTCAGACCACCATAGTGCAGCTCACTGAGGTGCCAAGTCCTCACTACAAGCAGCCACCTCTGGCCAATGGCATCTAGCACTGCCCAGAGGGTCCAGGTCACTTTCTTTTGCACTGAGGTGAAGAAGATATCGAACTCGTAGCCAACATCTCACAGCAGCTTCCCGCCATGCTATGCCTGCTCATGGCTTGCCGGGCTCAAGGTTGGCATGCTACCAGCCACAGAAGGTGGGTTCCAGACACTCTCATCCTGCCAGGTCAACACCAGCTTATACATGGCCTTGGCGGTGGGGTGGGGATGTGGCACTGACTAGGGCTCACAGAGATTCCAGAGCCCTGTGTTTCCTTTAAACAACACAAAACCATCTCCTCTCATATCAAAGAAGCTTCTTTCATCTTGTAGCAATGTTGGAGTTTTGCTTCCAAAATATAATTCTCCCAGTAACTAATTTAGTAACAGGATCCTTGCAGATTCCTGCTGAAATGTGACCAGTCTTCCTTTCACACTCTATAGCCTGAAGTATAATTTCTACTTACTGGCCTTTGTAGATGCAATACAGAATTTTTAAAATGTCAAAGCTTACATTCTCCTGCTACTGAAAGTATTTCTGAAGTAACTTCACCTCTGTAGCTCACCTGTTGTAGGGTTCTCTGTCAATCATAACACTACATCTTTGTACAGACTAAGGAAGGGCTGGGCTGGAATACGTCAATAATTATTTGCTAACAGGGGCCCATCAACATGTTTCCCCTTTAGTCACTGAACCATAATTATTCATGGGAATAAACCCTTGAAAGTGGAGAAATCATGACTTTTTAATCTTGAGTCTTAATTCCTCCTGGTCTTTCCTCAGCATTTCCCACTAAGTACAATGCTATGCATATGGTAGTAGCTAAACAATAATGGAAAGACTGTTCCTATACATTTTAATGACCAGTATAGAAACCCAGCTTACTTACACAATGAAACACAATTATTAGATTTACTTTTCTTCATCTGGTCCTTAAGTGAAAATCAACAGGTCAAGATAATCTTATGAGGCTAGCCGCTGGGGCTGAGAGCCAAAGACTGTTTGTGTGCTTTGAATCTTTTACCCTTTACATTCAACTGGTAGACCAATGGTGACTAGTAGCTCAGGGCCAGAGAAGCAGGATCTGAAATATATTTAAAAAAAAATTTTTTTTTGAGACAGTCTCACTCTGTCACCAGGCTGGAGTGCAGTGGCATGATCTCAGCTCACTGGAATCCCCACCTCCCAGGTTCAATCGATTCTCCTGCCTCAGCCTCCCAAGTAGCTGGGACTACAGGCGCATGCCACCATGCGCAGCTAATTTTTGTATTTTTAGTAGATACGGGGTTTCACCATGTTGGCCAGGAAGCTCTCAATCTCTTGACCTCGTAGTCTGCCCACCTCAGCCTCCCAAAATGCTGGAATTACAGGCATGAGCCACCAAATTTTTAAAATGGTTTAAAATCAATTAGGCTGCGGGCAACACACACACATACCTGCCCTCATGTAAACAGCAAAAGCAATGGAAAGTATAAAAAATATGGTCTACCACATGAGCATTGCATAAGAGTCTCACTGGACAGTGACATCTCCCATGGTAATTATAGGAATATGGGTGAAAATGTCACAGGGTTGATTGCAGTTTTTGACCTCTCAAGGCTGCAGTTCAGCCATGGTTGCAAAATGCTGCTAATAATTTTTCTCAAAGGAAAGGTACAGGGTCAGCGAGACTCTAGTGGAAAAGAATCAAAGGGGACAACTTGCACTGGTCCACTCCCATGGGTGGTCTTATCTGCCAAGATGTGGCCGGCTAGGGAGAGCCCTTGGAAGTCTGCAGCCCTGTGTTCAAGAGTCTGAGATTCTCATAAGTCAAGCAGTCTGGGTGACATTTCTAGTTTCTTAATTTTTCACCAGGTGGAAATAGCAACTAGGAAATTCTGCTCTCATTAAGAATTCTGAGGTCATTTTCTTGTTTTAGTCACAGGACTTTACAATAATAATAAAGGAACCTGGAGTAGAGGGAGTGGATGCAGGTTATCATATTATCACAAAAATTCTGGTGAAAATTAGCTTAGTTCCTATTGTTCAAATGGAAACACTCTTATTGAGTATCCATTATGTGTTCAAGATTATGCTAGTGCATTATCTTATGTAGTAGTTACTAGAGTCTGAGGAAGTTAGTACTATTGTCTCCATTTTTAAATAAGAGAAAACCAAGCTCAGATTGACTAAGTAACTTATTTTGACCACATAGCTGAGAAGTAGCAGGGTGGAGATATCACCAAGGTTTGCTTTTTCTATATCCACTCACTGTCCACCACCCTTCACTGTTTACTGCAGGACAGTCCAAGGGTAGGGGTGTATGGCTCTGAATTAATCCCACCCCACAAATGTATCTTCTTTATATTTTCCACTTCCCAAAACCCAGGCTCAAGAAATCATCAAAGCAACTGGAATTCTCACTCACTGCTGTTGGGAATGCAAAATGGTATAGCCACTTTGGAAGACAGTTTGATAGCTTCTTAAAAAACTGAACATACCATATGATCCAGCAGTTGCACTTTTTGGTATCTATCCAAATGAGTTGAAAACTTATGTCCACACAAAAACTTGCATATGGATGTTTATAGTAGCTTTATTCATAATTGCCAAAATAAGGAAGCAACCAAAATGTCCTCTAATAGGTGAATAGATAAACTGTAGTAATTCAGACAATGGAATATTATTCAGCAATAAAAAGAGATGAGTTGTCAAGCCACAAAGACATGGGAGAAGCTTAAATGAACATTGCTAAGTGAAAGAAGCCAACCTGAAAAGTCTACATACTATGTGATTCTAACCACATGACATTCTGGGAAAAACAAAACTATAGATACAGTAAAACTATAAGTAGTTGCCAGTGGTTTGGTGTATATGTGTGTGTGTTGGGGGACATAAACAGGTGGAGCTCTGGGGATCTGGAGCAATGAAACTATTCTGTATGATACTGTGATGGTGGATACATGATATTACATGTTTTCAAAACCCATAGAATGTACCCCAGCAAAGGTGAAAACAACATAAAATATGGACTTAATAATAATGCATCAATATAGGCTTATCAAATGCAACAAACATACCTCACTAATGCAAGATGTCAGTAATAGGGGAAGCTGGGAGGAGCGGACTGGTGAGTTGGGGTGGAGTATATGGGAACTCTGTACTTTCTGCTCAATTTTTCATAAATCAAAAACTGCTAAATAAAAAATTAAAAAGCATTCTCAAACTACCAATATTTCTTAAAGGCCTCCTGTATCAGAATCTGTTGTTGCTGCCAGACACTCCTGATTATGACACTGTGCCCAAGGACTTAGCATGTCATTGAGAAGATAATGTACACCGATCACACTGTTAAGTAACAACCCAAGGATTCACTTAGTTAAGGACACAAATGAATGGCAGAGAGGTAAAATGCTGTATTCTCTCAAAGAAGAAAAAATTCAGCATGGGGTAAAGGAGGTGAATTGTAATTCTCCACCTAACACTGACTTTGGAAAGATGGAGGCATTAAGGATACACCTGGTTGTAGATGATGATGAAGAGAAAAAGAAGGCTTGCTGTGAGTGATAGAAGAATACTCCGGCAGTGCGGATTCATAGAATCTGAGGCAGAGAGGATTTCAAGAGGATTGAAGCTCTAATTATAAAGTTTCCTGGAGGTCGTGGTATTTTGGGAATGAGTGTCTTCCCTTCTCTTTCTGAAGCTGCTCCTCTCATTGTAGCTTGTTTCCAGGTAATGTCAAAGCCTCCAGATTAAAAAAAAAAACCGAAATCTTAATAGTCATTGCTTACAGGAATATCAGCTAAGACAGATGTTGCATGTTGGAGTTAAGGGTGAGTGAGTTGAAGGAAGCATGTATTTGCATGCTGGTTGTGCCCCTCAAAATACTTCACTTGCATGAAAAGCCACAAAAGCTGTAGTTCAGAGAGAGAGAGAGAGACTGAGTACACACATGCGTGAGACTCCAAGGCAAACTGTTTATCTGCTCTCTCCAACAAAAAGCAATCAAAAACAGGTTCTTTTTAATACGTACTAGTCTAGACGAGGTTTTGCAATGTCACAGGTCCCTAATTGCAGTAATAACTGCCTGAGAACAATTAAGCAGACACCACCAAACATTTCTATAGGGTGAATCCATTGTCCTATTAATAAGCAGCCATGAGGTTACCTCTATCTGGAAAAACCTCTTTGGCTTGTTTTATCCTACATAAGGCTCAAGCCGGGTTTTTCCCACACATTCCGGGTGCGTGAAGCAGCTGTGTCTGCCTGAGCCAGAAATGGTCCCTCTTGTCTCTGAAAGCCCACAGAGGCAGGTTTTGCAGCTGGCGGCTGCTATGACTGTGTTCCTGTTACTAATTAAAGGCAGTAGCTGTGAATTCAGTGTGAGAGACAATAAGCACCCATCAATTCTAAACAGATGACCTGGATTTGCTTCTGGAAATCCTCTTTCCTCCAGCTTGGCTACTTGCAAATTGGCTCCTTAAATATCCTTTCTCAAGAGAAGCAATTTCTTTTTAATCTTCAGATCAAAGCCAAATCTGAGAGATGTCTTTTTTTTAAATCACTAATTTCATATCCCAAACTATCACTTCATCCATAACAACCTACTATAGCTCTCCAGCTACTGCCTGTCTTCCTTTTTTACTTCTCTTAGTTTGCCATGATGGATTTATTTTTTCAGGAGGGCTTCCTTTAAGCCACATCCTTAGGTCCTCTTGCACCTCTCTTTTTATATCCACACCATGGCACCTTAGGATGGTAAAGCTAGCTGTCAGTCAAAGCATTCCCTACTCCCAGCGTGGCTGAGTCAACTCAGCCCTGAGAGGAAGCTTGAAGGAGGCTGTTAAAATCTATTCATAGATGAAGCGATGTTCCAGCCACAGCGAGAGGTTGCCAATGACGCATGCATGCACCAGCAGTGACATAGGAATAAAATGAAGAGGAGGCTGATGAGGAGGAGGGAGAACAGAGGGGCGGCCAACATAGGATCTCAGAGCCACAGCTGATATCAGCTGCATCACTTTTTGCTATGGGCAGAATTACAAGGACTCATTTTGAACGCAGCACTAGCGCTAGCTGCACTGACACAGATTCCGTGTCCTCTGTCTGAATTATCATGTGGCATGCAGGGCCCTGTATATATGTACAAACACTGTGGGAGTCCTCAGCTTTGTGACATGTACAAGCTCTACAAGGAGCAAATGAGGGCCCCTGGAAGTGTGTGGAGAAGAAAGGAAAGGCAAGGATGTGGAAGATGGAGAGGGGAAGATGAAGGACAGTTCATTCATTCAATTTGGATATATTAAGTACCAGGTTCTGTTCTAGATCTGAAGAGACAAATAAAACAGCCTGGATCCCAAAAGAGATTATAGCATATTAAACTTTGGAGAGTTGTTGAAGGATTAAAAACAAAATCCCCCAATATGTTATAGCTGGAAAGTGCAAAAAAGATTACCATGGAAACTTTAGTTCAGTTTGCTAGTTCAGACAAACTTATCCTAATGAATATGCATGAAAATAGTTCATGGAGCTCACATAAATTTACATATTTTATCTATTGTCAGCCACTTATTGAGGACCTACTACTGCCAGGAATTATGTTAGCTACTGCTGGGCAATGGATACCAAGCATCTCTTGCTGCATTATCAGGCCCTCTAAGTGCGTTAGAAGCAGCTCCATAAGGATGTGGAGAACTACACGAGCTGAGTAGATGACTTTGCTATGCAGAAAAGTACTGTTTTCTCAAAAGTGAAAGATAATGAATGTCCTTTATTGAGACCTTATAAACCATGCCAGGAAAGTCTCAAGGATAATGGGAGGAAATGTAGCAGAAAGACCACTGACCTTAATTGGGTTGGGTTTTAGCTGTAGCTCTGTCTTGATTAAAATCCATTTAGGAACTAGTTCTTCTCATCTGGAAATTAGGTTTGATAACTTCTAATATCTCTTCCAAATTTGAAAGTTATAGTTTTCCAGTATGTTAGGGTTCTTAATTCCCAAATTAAAAAAAAAAAAAACCTTTAATTCACTAGTGCAGGTAATAGAATAGCCACGTGACACTTTAAATTTTTTTTAATTTTTCTATTTTTCCATAGGTTATTGGGGTGCAGGTGGTGTTTGGTTATATAAGTAAGCTCTTTAGCGGTGATTTGTGAGATTTTGGTACACTCATCACCTGAGCAGTATACACTGCACTATATTTGTAGTCTTTTATCCCTCGCCCTCCTCCCACACTTCCCCCCAAGTCCCCAAAGTCCATTGTATCATTTTTATGCCTTTGCACCCTCATATCTTAGCTCCTACGTATCAGTGAGAATATATATTGTTTGGTTTTCCATTCCTGAGTTACTTCACTTAGAATAATAGCCTCCAATCTCATCTAGGTCGCTGCAAATGCTATTAATTCATTCATTTTTATTGCTGAGTAGTATTCCATCATAAATATATATCTCACAGTTTCTTTATCCACTCATTGATTGATGGTGGATAATCTTTTTTGGTTCCATATGGGTATTTGGATTGGTTCCACAATTTTGCAATTACAAATTGTGCTGCTATAAACATGCGTGTGCAAGTATCCTTTTCATATGACTTCTTTTCCTCTGGGTAGATACCCAGTAGCGGGATTGCTGGATCAAATGGTAGTTCCACTTTTAGTTTTTCAAAGAATTTCTGCACCATTTTCCATAGTGGCTGTACTAGTTTACATTCCCACCAGCAGTATAGAAGTGTTCCCTGATCACCGCATCCATGCCAACATCTAGTTTTTTATTTTTTGATTATGGCCATTCTTGTAGGAGTAAGGTGGTACCACATTGTGGTTTTGATTTGCATTTCCCTGATCATTAGTGATATTGAGCATTTTTTCATATGTTTGTTGGCCATTTGTATATCTTCTTTTGAGAATTGTCTATTCATATTATTAGCCCACTTTTTGATGGGATTATTTGCCTTTTTCTTACTGACTTGTTTAAGTTCATTGTAGATTCTGAATATTAGTCCTCTGTCAGATGTATAGATTGTGAAGATTTTCTCCCACTCTGTGGGTTGTCTGTTTACTCTGCTGACAGTTCCTTTTGCCATGCAAAAGCTCTTTAGTTTAACTAAGTCCCAGCCATTTATGTGTTTTTTATTGCATTTGCTTTTGGGTTTTTGGTCATGAAATCCTTTCCTAAGCCAATGTCTAGAAGGGTTATCCTAATGTTATCTTCTAGATTTTTATAGTTTTAGGTCTTAGATTTAAGTGCTTAATCCATCTTGAGTTGATTTTTGTATAAGGTGAGAGGTGTGGATCCAGTTTTATTCTCCTACATGTGGCTAGCCAATTATCCCAGCACCATTTGTTGAAAAGGGTGTCCTTTTCCCACTTTATGTTTTTGTTTGCTTTGTCAAAGATCAGTTGGCTGTAAGTATTTGGGCTTATTTCTGGGTTTTCTATTCTGTTTCACTGGTCTATGTGCCTATCTTTATACAAGTACCATGCTGTTTTGGTGACTATGGCCTTATAGTATAGTTTGAAGTCAGGTAGTATGATGCCTCCAGATTTGTTCTTTTTGCTTAGTCTTGCTTTGGCTATGCAGGCTCTTTTTTGGTTCCATATAAATTTTAGAATTTTTTTTCTAATTCTGTGAAGAATGATGGTGGTATTTTGATGGGATTGCATTGAATTTGCAGACTGCTTTTGGCAGTATGGTCATTTTCACAATATTGATTCTACTCATCCATGAGCATGGGATGTGTTTCCATTTGTTTGTGTCTATGATTTCTTTCAGCAGTGTTTTGTAGTTTTCTTGTAGAGGTCTTTCGCCTCCTTGGGTAAGTATATTCCTTTTTTTTTTTTTTTTTGCAGCTAACGTAAAAGGGGCTGAGTTCTTGATTTGATTCATCGCTTAGTCACTGTTGACATATAAAAGAGCTACTGATTTGTGTACATTAATCTTGTATCCGGAAACTTTGCTGAATTCTCTTATCAGTTCTAGGAGCTTTCTGGAGGAGTCTTTAGGGTTTTCGAGGTAAACGTTCATATCATCAGCAAACAGTGACAGTTTCACTTCCTGTTTACCAATCTGGATGCTCTTTATTTCTTTCTCTTGTTCTATTGCTCTGGCTGGGACTTCCAGTACTACGTTGAAGAAGAGTGGTGAGAGTGGGCACCCTTGTCTTGTTCCAGTTCTCAGAGGGAATGCTTTCAACTTTTCGCCATTCAGTATTATGTTGACTCTGGGTTTGTCATAGATGGCTTTTATTACATCGAGGTATGTCCCTTGAATGCCAATTTTGCTGAGAGTTTTAATCATAAGGGGATGCTGGATTTTGTTGAATGCTTTTTCTTCATCTATTGAGATGATCAGGGTAATTTATTTATTTACTTTTATTTATTTATTTATTTGAGATGGAGTCTTGTTCTGTCGCCCAGGCTGGAGTGCAGTGGCACGATCTCGGCTCACTGCAAGCTCCGCCTCCCGGGTTCACGCCATTCTCCTGCCTCAGTCTCCCGAGTAGCTGGGACTACAGGTGCCTGCCGCCATGCCTGGCTAATTTTTTGTATTTTTAGTAGAGACGGGGTTTCACCGTGTTACCCAAGATGGTCTCGATCTCCTGACCTCGTGATCCGCCTGTATCGGCCTCCCAAAGTGCTGGGATTATAGGCGTGAGCCACCGCACCCGGCCGTAATTTTTGTTTTTAATTCTATTTATGTGGTGTATCACATTTATTGACTTGCGTATGTTAAACCATCCCTGCATCCCTGGTATAAAACCCACGTGATCATGGTGGATTATCTTTTTGATATGTTGTTGGATTCAGTTAGCTAGTATTCTGTTAAGGATTTTAGCATCTATGTTCATTAGGGATATCAGTCTGTAGTTTTCTTTTTTTTTTTTTATGTCCTTTCCTGGTTTTGGTGTTAGGATGATGCTGGCTTCATAGAATGAATTAGGGAGGATTCCCTCTTCCTCTATCTTGTGGAAATAGTGTTAAAAGGTTGGTACAAATTCTTCTTTGAATGTCTGGTAGAATTCTGCTGTGAATCCGTCTAGTCCTGGACTTTTTTTTTTTTTTTTGGTAATTTTAAAATTACCATTTCAATCTCACTGCTTGTTATTGGTCTATCCAGGTTATCTAATTCTTCCTGATTTAAGCGAGGAGGGTGGTATGCGGGCTGCCTATACTGTAACCTCCATCTCAGCCCGGACTCTCCTCTTACTCCCCACACCTCATTTCCTAATATGTCTAGGTTCCATAGAGGAAACATCTCTTTCTCTTAGCTCATATTCATGCTTGGAGAAGAAATACAGTGAGGAATAGTGGGGAAAATCCTAGAAGGACTCTACCCTTCTTACTTTCTCTGTGGTTTTGAAAAAGTCAGTTCACTTCCATGAACCTCAGTTTCTTCATCTGTATTAGGAGGGGATTTGACAAGATGAGGGCTCAGCAGACTAAAGGGTCAAAGTCAGCCTGGTGCCTGTTTTAGTATCCCTGCAAGGTAAGAATGACTTTCACATTTTAAATGGTTGAAAAAAATCAAAAAATTAATATTTCATGACATAGGAAAACTGTATAAAATTCAAATTTCAGTGTCCCTTAATAAAATGTTATGAAGACACAACCATACTTAATTATTTATATATCATCCATGGTTGTTTTTTGTTAATGACCAAAATACTTATAATCTGGACCTTTAGAGAAAAACTTTGCCAACCCCTGGACTAGATGGTCCAATTGGTTCGTTAAATAGTAAGTTTCTGATTGTATTTTAATTTTATTTTAAATAAATTGTATACATCTTAAATAAATTTTTAAATAAATTTAATATGTTTTATTAATAATATAAAATTATTCTTTTAAATAACTACCAACTAAAACACTACAAATGTTTTAATGTTTACATATCATTTCTGCAGGTGGGCATATTCAGCCTTGAGCAGTGGAAGATACCAAGTGATACAGTTTGAATGACCCAGAAAGGCACTCTCCATTTTGTATCCCCCCTTAGCCCTCCATTACTCCTCTTGATCAAGAAGTTGGCATTTGGAGTTATGGAATTGTCTCCAGGATCCCCTATCAGAACGAGATTCTCTTGCTGGGGAAAGTAAATGCCCTGCCAGTGGTGTTTCTGGAGGCATTGCGCACTGAATCTCCATCTGCTCCCACACATCTCAGCCCTGGCCCCTGAGCAGGGCCATGTGACCAGTTCTAGTCAATTAAAACTCCAACTACAAATCTCCAGTTCTTTCTCCCCTTGCCTTTGCCAGGTCTGCAGGCACTTGCTGGAGGAAAGTGTTGTAAGATGATGGAGCCCCAGGCCATCTGCATACTTTGAGTGATTCCCTCCACCCCTCATCCAGTACAGATACAGAATATTGTTGGAAACACATGCACCATGAGCAAGATATAAAACCTCCAGATTTGAATATTATTTGCTACAAATGCCTAGTCTATCTTGACAAATACAGTGTGCATAAACATTGCTTGGAGAGTTCGTTCAAATCCATTTCTCAGTTCCCACATTAGCTAAATCAGAATTTCAGGTGCAAGGGAAAAGTCATCATCACATTTAAAAAAAAAATCATTCAGTAAATTTGATACACACCAGTGATTAAAAACCACTGTGGATAGCCATTTGCATTCCTTGATGATATTGACAGCAATTACCAGGGTCTTTGAAATCTTTTCACTCATAGCACTCAGAAAATGATATTAGTTATATGACTTACTGGGCCCAATCGACCAAGCTGTGTGTGGCTAGAAGCTGAATGGGATGGGGATATAGGAAAGAATGGCTTTCATATTCTGGGCCCTGCCTGTCCCTAAAGCCGAGAGATGACCATTTCAGATCACCCTTCATGTTTGTAATGCTGTGCAGAGGCATGTGGGTTGGGAAGCTCTGATGTCAGCCTGGTGGTCTAGCTAGAGCAGGATGCAGAGGACATGGGACATGGGAAAACGCAACAAGTATCACCCAGGGAGGGCTCTGGGAGACAGCAGTCTGGAGGCCAAAGTGGTGGATTCTGCCACGTGAGAGAACTGCATCAAGTCCTAGAGAGTTGGATGAGGAGCTGGATGAGAACAAAGTAGTCGGGGCAAAGTCTAGGGTTTAATAAGAACTATTCCAAAGGTTTTGTGAAGTTTATAATCCTGCTTAATTCTGGCCCCAGCTAAGGCTCATTCTAAATGAGAATTCAATGCCAGTGAGCTGAAACGCATCTTTATCCAACCTGCAAACACCTATTCTGTGCCAGGAACCGTGTTTAGAAACAAAGCAGGATGTATATGCAGGGCCAGGAAATATTCCCAGGTGCCTCCCCTTGTTGTATGGGGTTTTCTGCAAGACTTATCTTGGCCCAAGGGCCTGCTTTTGGTCAAGGGCTACTTCCCTCTTCCCCATATCACATCACATTATCTGCTTTTCCAAGCCTTAGCTGGTCCGATTCACCTAAAGCAGTAGTACCTAGGGGACAGCCCCATGAGTCAGCTCCTCCTCTGCAGTTCACACAGATTCCAGGAGGTCTTTTTAATCTGTCCGCCAGAAACTGCTGAACACAAAGCACCTGAGTGTATGAAAAATATTATGTTTGGGTACATCCGTGCACTTCTGCGCAAGGCACAGATTTGGAATACTTTACACTAGGAGATGTTCTGGTCTAAGAAATGATATGCTACTGCATCAGTAATAAAATACATCATCTGTCTGCACTGAAGAGCTCTTATAAACCTTAATTATTATCATTAAACACAAGTGTAAGTGCTCTGGAATTTCATACCAGGGCGGGGCTCTGTGAAGTGGCACTTCAGTTTCCCCAAAGGGCTGGCTGAGAGCAGGGAGCAGGCCCACAGAGATTTGGACATAACCACGACCACTCCTTTGAGTGGAATTATTTGGAATTATTTTAGTGGCAACTGGTTGGGTGTTGAAACAATGTAAATGCTATGGTTGGAGGCATTGGTATTCTCCTGGCTACACTGTCTCAGCTAGATGACTCGCTGACCCAAGTTACCATAGTCATCTTTCCAAAACCAGTGAAGGGAATTCCCAAAATTTTCCTAACCTACTGGGCATCCTTACAGGCACAGAATAAAACTTTTTGAAACAGATTCCTCAACTTGCTGTGCAAATGCTTCACTCATACAATGAACCAAAGCTGGGGCAACTTACATTGCATATAGCACCCTTCTGCTTCAAGTTCACATTTGTGTCAAATTCAGTGCTATTATGGGGCTCCTGCAGTATACCTAAGTCTGTCCCAGGTGCTGTGGGAGTTTCAGAAAAATTATAAGGGAGTCCCATCGTGGAGGAGCTTATAATCTAAGAATAAAGCAGCTATCATCTGAAGCACTAAACTCATGTCAGACGAATTTGGGTTCAAATAATATGTATTTCTCCACTTTCTGGCTGTTTGAACTTGGGCCCCAGATTTTATCTTCTGAGTCTACATTTCATCTTCTGCAAGTTAAAGATAACGATAACTACCCTGAGAGGCATTTATGAGAATTAAGTCAGATAATCCTCATCAGACACTGAGTGCAGAAACTGACCCATCGTGAGGGCTCAGTAAATGAGAGCAATGATGATGACAATGATGATGAGACAATAGTAAGCAATAGAATGCAGTATCTAATTGGAAACAAAATTATAAAATATGTACCATACATCTGATAGGAGTTTGGAAAAGGGAGAACCTCTTGGGGTTAAAATACTAAAAAAGGTTTTATGATAAAAAGGGACCAGTGTTGAGCCTGGAAGGATACATAGAATTCCAATGGGGGAGGTTAAAAGAGTTGACATTCCAATTGGGCAAAATAACTACAGTTGGTGAAAACATTCAAAGTTGGCAGCAAGACCTGTTGTGATATTCCATTCAATGGATCTCATTTCAATGTCTTACTTCATTGTGTGATTAATGAAATCCAAGGAGCTCCACAGGAGAGGCATCCACTGAAGAGGCATCCAGGCTTAGTCTCCTAGTGACCACTCCTAATTGTTTGGATTCTATTATACTTCTAGAGGCAACACCCTCCAATATTGCCAGTAGTATGCTTTAAAATGGAAGATTATGGATGGAATTGAATTTGCTAATCCACTGACCTTAAAATAGAGGGATTATACTGGATTACTTAGGTGGGCCCAATAGCATCCCAAGTGTTCTTCAGTGTGGAAGAGGGAGACAGAATAGGGAGAACAAGAGCAATGACAACCTGAGAAGAGACTCTGGCTGACTTTGAAGGTGGAAGAAAGGGGTCATGAGCCATAGGATGGTCTCTAGAAGCTTGATAAGGCAAGGAAACTGATTCTCCCTCACAGCCTCCAGAAATGACTGACAACATCTTGATTTTAGCCCAGTGAGACCCCTGTTGGACAGCTGACCTTCGGAACTGTAAAATAATATGTCTGGGTTGTTTTAAGCCACCAAATTTTGGTAATTTGTTTTAGTGATGGAAAACTCATACAGCAGCAGAAGCTTTTTGACACAGATAGTCCAGATGTTTATTATATGTTTAAATCTCAGCTTTCATTTTTAAATTTCCAAGCGCTGTTTCTCATACAAAGAAGTTTCTTTGTTTCAAATCATACTAGTCTTGTTTAGTGTATAAAATAAGAGTCAGATGGAAATGGCATACTACTTTTAATTTGCTTTGAAGAAAGTAACTCTCATCTTAGGATTCAACATTGAGGGTGGAAAAAAGAGGGAAGGAAGAGGGAAAGAAGAAAAACAAAAGTAAAGACCAGTTGTTTGTATAAATGCCCCTCAATTTGGATCTTTATGATGTTTTACAATTAGTCCTAATTGTATCACATTACGAGGTGTACAATATCAGTTTGTTCCATTATTGGTGATGTTGGCTATGGTGGCATCCTTCAAATTTTAATATGATAAAGTTACTATCTTTAACTCTTTGTAATTGATAAGTAATTTATGAGACAGTAAAGATTTTCTTTTCTATTCATCCACTGATGATTCTTGCATGAATCAATTATTAATACGTTGATTGCAAAGTGGTGGTTTTTTAACTGTATCATTCTTTCTTCCTACGTTATTAGTTGGCATTTTATGTAATGCAGAGTTTTTCCCTCTCTCCCACTTATTTACTCACTTATTTATTTTTATTTTTGACTCATCTATTCTTCTTTTATACCGGTTACACCATATTGCTAGGATTATTTTTTGGCCAGTGGGATAGAAAATTTCTTGTAAATCTCTGCCAGTTTTACAATACCAGTTTTGGTATTGTGCATATCAAGCACTTAAAGGGAGAATGGCCTAATTTTTTTGTTGTTATAGGGAAAATATTAAAATATCAAAGTAGCCAAGCATTTTCTTCTAAACACCTTTTATTCTTTTCCCCCAAAATACAGTAACTTTCAAAAGCAATTGCACAAGCAAAATATGTGTCACAGTAGCCCCAGTCTCTGACCAGGTCTCAAATTTCTACGGTCCTTCTCCCTGTTACCTCCAGCTCTTATTCTTTAGAAAAGACGTTCTAATACAAAATCCTTTAAACCCCTGGGTGAACTTGGGCAGGAAAAAAGTACATATTCATTTTTATTGAACTCTAAGAACAAAATTCTCATTACCTCCAAATATGAAGGTAGGTACCATGTCACATGGTTACTAGCAGTACATGCAACTTTCTCACCAAGAGAAATCACATATTTTTTTCATATCTCATTACACTTATTGCAGATCTTGCAATACATTTTGCATTCACCCCTACTTCAAATGCAAACAGTTATTATACCTACCACAGATGTTGTTACTTAACACATTAATAGAGAAGGTCATATATTACTGTATTACATTAAAATAAACTCTTGATGACTACATTTCAATACAATTGGTTTCCTTGGGAATTCTATGTATATTATTTTATTCATTTAAAAACATCATTCTGAGAAGAGTTCCAAAGCTTCTTCAGACTACAGAGGGATTCATGGCACAAAAGATTATGGAACACTCACATTAAGGCCTCTCACTAGCCTCTTTTATCCGAGGCTGCTACATCAGAAATGGGAATGCTTTCTCCTTGCCTTATGTTTTAGTAATACATAGTAAAGGATTTGGTGGCTTAAATCCACATTCACAAAGACTGACTACCAAGAGAAATTAAAAACAAAAGTTTTCTATGATCAGGTTGGGGTGTCTACTATTAGTTCATTATTTATTTTACATTTTAAGTCAAAACATGCTCATATTCTGTACCCTAAGCACAATTAGTCTAATATGTGGTTCTTTTTTTGTCAAGTGGAAAAAAATTATAAACACATTGTGTCAGAAAAGTCACAGCACATAGTTTAAAAGCTAGTTTGTTTTCTCATTTAAGATTACATTCTTACATATAAAGTTTTAAGAAGCCCCTTTTACTCACTGTAAGTGATTTAGAATATGGGCTTTGGTTTTGACAGATGAAGATATGAATTCTGATCTTACTACCTGCTCATTATAGAGAGTTGGAAAATTATTTTTTAATCTCTATTAACTTTAAGCTTTCTCATTCTTAAAATAATGATGATATGTCACAATATTGTTGGGTAAATTAAAGGAGAACATACGTAAAACAACCAGCACACTACTTGACCCATATTTGATGACTATTTAGTGTATTCACGCATCTACGTGGACAAGCAACAAATCAGTCAAACATCTCTGGAAGGGGCCTAACACTGTAAAGAATAATGGCTAAGTAATATTGCGATGTTATCCTCCGAGTGTTCGCTTCTTTTTCTTAATTCCTCCTGTGGGATTCAAGCCCTACTCACGGACTGAAACGTGAACATTTTGCTTCTATTTCTGATGCGTTTCATCACTTTGAGTCATGAAGATTATTTATCCAGTCAATAGGAATAAAGTTGTCAATGCGTTTCTACTTTACTACCTCACCACTCTTGTCACTTTGATAGACTGCTGAAAACTTCTTCTGAAATGATTTACTTGGTTTTAGGCGGATGAATAGATGCTGGCAACACACTCATTTCAATTTCAAGTTCAGAGGAATTTGTGTCTCTACTTTGATCCTTTTTTGATTTCATAGATTCAGACAGCTTCTATGCCAGCCTTTTCACTGTACAGATGAAGGGAATAGGATCATGTTAAGCACAGCTTAATTAATTTTACATTTGTTGTCAGATAATATACTCAATTTAGTAAGACATAAAACCTGGTCGTGTGCTTAAAAAAAAAAGCCCCTTTTAGATCTACCTTCCATGAAATAAGTACAAAGGAGTAATTTAAAGAGGCATCCCCAAGTAGCTGATGCTCATTATTTTGATAGAAACAGTACCATCTGCCAGTAATGGGCATCAAAAGCCTTAATATTGGAGGAACCCAGAACAGGCTAGAACAGCTACAACTACCCCAATTAAAAATAATAATAAGGGTCCAGGGGCAGTGGCTCACACCTGTAATCCCAGAACTTTGGGAGACTGAGGTGGGTGGATTGCTTGAGTCTTTGCCTGGCCAACATGGCAAAGCCTCATCTCTAACTAAAAACACAAAAATTAGCTGGCCATAGTGGCGCATGCCTGTAATCCCAGCTACTTGGGAGGCTGAGGCAGGAGAATTGCTTGAACCTGGGAGGCGGAGGTTGCAGCGAGCTGAGATCACACCACTGCACTCCAGCCTGAGCAACAGAGTGAGACTCCATCTCAAAATAAATAAATAAACAAATAATAATAATAATAATGAACAGAATGTTCTGATCAATGCATGAAGAAAAAAACTACATAAAGAAGAAAATAACTAACTGAATAAACTAAATAAAGAAGAAAAGAAGAAAACAACTAAATAAAGAAGAAAAAACTAAATGTTCCTCCTACTTCACATTTTCTCCAAAGTAATTTTCCGATTGGTGTCAAGCCCTGCAGACAGTGTAGTATTAAATTTTTGCTCCAGGACAATAACAGATGCTATCATCTTCTGATAAGTCCACAGTAACAAAACCAAACAAACTGAGATTCTGGTTTTTTTATAGGTTGGAGTAGAAAGGAAATGCAGTGTTTACTGTTTAAAGTATATTTAGAATAGTGACTGACATTTCTTAATGAAAAGTGATAGTAATCCCTGTAATAAATACTGACATAGATAAATGAAAGAGGTCGTGGAATTATTTTAAGGGAGACAAATGCTTAAGACAAGGAGATGCGCAAATCGAGCCTTCAAGATCCTTTTTATTTTGAACATCTATGATTTAGTAAATAAATGCTAGAGAAAAAGTGTAGCAGTTGTTATCAGCATTTTACTTAGGCTTCCTCCTGTCATCTGATACACTTTGTAAAAGCCAGAAAAAATATTATCTTGTAGTTGTAGTAACAAGAATAAATAACTTTCTTGGGTGGTCATGTTATAGTCTTCATAAAGGTGTTGTACCACCACTGCACCATCTCTCAGCCATGTTTCCAAATTATTTCTATATGATTTATGGATGTCACGCATGCATGCAATCTGAAGCAATGTGAACTTTTTGCTATTGAAGGCTTTTCTTGGCAGGAGGGAGAAAGCCTCTGATAATGGCTTTCTAGACAGCTATTCAGCACCTGATTGAGCAGAAAAAAAAAATCAGGTTGAAGAGATGAGACCAATGACTTCAAGTGGGGAAATTGAAAGGAGTTCAGCAGGGGAGAAGGAGCTAAATCTAGGCCGCAATGAAAGTCTATAGGCTGCATTTGATTCTTAGTAGACATGACCAGTGATTTTGAAGACTATGGAAAGGTGATCCATTGCAAGTGACCCTAGTAAATCATTTCTCATTTATTTAATTCCCAATCTCTCCCAAAACTGAGTTCTGACTCTTAAAAACTAAGAAAATTCCTAATCATAGACAACAGAAAAGGAGATACATTGAAGATAAAATACAGCTTTATGGCAAGTGCTGATAACAATAAATAGAAAAAGGCAAATAGAGAATGTCATGCTTTATAGAGAAATTAGTTCCACACTAAGCTCCTTTACTGATGCTTTCTATCCTTCCTCACCATAATGACATCATGCTAATAATAGGAGTCTTCATTTTATTCCATGCTGTGGAGTCCATGCTTGGAGGCAGACCATTGGCTTCCATCCCAGCTCTTCCAGTGTGAACTTGAATAAGTTATTTAACTTCTCAAAGCTTCAGTTTTCTGACATGTGAAATGAGAAACCTAAGGTACTATCTATGTCACAAGCTAAGCCCCTTGAACATGCTTAGCAGTGTTGTGTCATTTTATAAACATGCTGTATATGTTTACTGTCGTTATAAGGGCTGTTTCAGTGGTGATTATGGCATGAAAATGAACAGTAAGAATCAATAACTGTCACTCATCTTTTAGCATCTGTTATGTTTCAGACAGTGAGCTAAGAATTTTACATGTATTATTGTTAGCCCTCCCCAGAACTAAAGGCAGGACGGAGAAAAAGCTGTGCTGAGGTTCCATGTTCTGGGGAAAGTGAATATTCAGCAATTGGTCAGTAAGATGGACACAATCAGTATCTAGTCAAACAAGGAAAATGTACCCATTTTGAGAAGGATGCAGCACCCTACAAAAGGAAAGCTACTGAGATGAGATGTGACTCTTCCCACCAGGAACCTAGAATGGAACAGGAATATCAAAAAAAGGCGCAGTTTTATTTGGAGTTTCAACAAACTACAGCACTTTTTCTCAATATAAAAGATCATGTTAAGGCATTTCAGATGAGAGGAAAACCAATTCAGCAAACTAGATTTTGTCAGCATACCTTGGATTTCTAAAGAATTGCTAGACCAAATGTTGAAACATTTGATCTATGAAAATTGATCAGTGATGATCAGTTTTCAAACATCTGGGTGGTCACAAAGGACCAAAAAGCAATGACATGGAACTCAATTTAATCTCACTTTTTCCCTGTGAAGTCATCACGGTAATATTTAAGCTCTCAGTCAAGTGCTTCCTGTATAGTTAGCATGCTTGGTTGTGGGCCTTTCAGAAGCCCGTTGGAACAGTGCTGACAATTTTTTTCTGTGGTTGTTATGACAAAAAGGGGGAAAAATAAGAAACATTGTTTGACAAGAGTTGGCCACACAGCCCATTAATTATAGATTGTACTGGGGGTAACACACGCCTTTTTTAATGCAAATGTCACTGGGTGATGCGACCATTTTCACATCTTATCAATATTTCAATTAGATAAGATTTTAATAAAATAGTAAGAACAGACAGAACTAGTAAAAAGGGAATGTTGACTGGAAAAGTTGAAATCTTCAGGTAAAGCAGAATTGGGTTGAAGTCATCTGTGGGTTGTGAGGAGTCACAATATTACAGGGGCAACGAAGATTCAGAAATTGTAAAGAAAGAACATTCTGGATGAAGAAAGTTTCCAAAAAAAAAAAAAAAAAAAAAGAGAGAAAGAGAAATAAAAAAAATAGAAGAAGCTGAAAAGAGCCAAAGATAAATTTACCAACTTTCAAATTCCATGTGACTGTAATGCCAGTAAACAAAAAATTTCCTCGCAAAACTATCTTGCTACTTAGGTCAAGCAAATTTCTGATGACTTTTCTGCATTATATGTGTAATAAAGTGATTCAAGGTTAAACTATAGCCTATGCAGCCTCTGACCACTTCTTCATCCACACCGGCCTTACCCAGGGAGCAGGGCTCATCCCATTGCTGCAGGGAATTTAGCTGGCTTAACACAATGATTGTCAATCAGGATTCTCAAGTGTGGTCCAGGTATTCATACAGACAAGTGTGAGGTGTTCCTAGTTGTGAGTTTTTGCTGGTTCTATATTTAATAAAAACATAGTTAATAAATAAACTTATTATGGTTGTAAAAGATTCAAATACTACAAAAATATGTATGTATGGAATATGCGTGTGTAATCTCCCACCCTAATCTTATTCCTTTTCCTTAACATAAGCATATGTTCACAGCTTCATGTTTTTCTTTTTGATATTTGTGATTTATGTCCCTATCCCCCAAAAACCAGTAATAAAGAAGAATTCTCGTGTTGTATTCTAATATTTTATAGTTTTATTTGTAAAAGTAGTTTTTGTTTCCTATGTAATATAAAACATTTATGTATGGCATGAAGTGAAATTTGTTTTTTATTTTTTATTTTTTTTTAAACAATAGAGCGCCCATTGCCCCAGCATGATTTATAGAATGGTTCTTTTCTCTATTGGGAAGAAATGCTTCTTTGATCATATAAGTCATAACCATACTTAGGCCTGTCATGGGAATCCATTCCATTGATCTTATTATCTATTTTTGTGTCATTATCACTCTCATAATTTCTACAAGTTTATCTATATTTTGTCCACTGTAGGGAAAGTTCTTTTCTGTGTTCCTTTGGGGGAAAAACAGTTAGCTATTCTTCCACCTATCTATCAGATAAACTCAAGAACAACCTTCTCAGGTTTCAGTTTTTTAAATCTTCATGGAATTTTTGTGAATTTTTAAGATTAATCTTGGAAAAACTAACATTTGTGTTATTGCTTATTCCCATGTAGTAATGTGGATTGTTTCCTAATGTATTCAAATCTGCTTTCTTGCTAAGTACTGTGGTTGTTGTTATATGTCCATCTACTTTTTGTAAAATCCTCTTTAAGATATTTGGAAATTGTGCAGCTATTGCAGTGAAAATACTTTTATTGAATTTTTTAATATAGGCATCAAGATCAAAGAATTATCTTACTAATAATTTACTAGTTTTCTATAATGTATGTTGTAAAACAAGAAGAGAAACAAAAACAAAGATCAAACTTCATAGAATAAAAAGCAACCATCTCCTGACTCACCTGCTGTCATTGACTACTTAGTTATCCTAGCTCTCATTACCACAAGTTTCAATAATATGCTTTTGGCTCTGGTTTTGCTTTATCAGTTTTGGATACTATCCATTATCTCCTGCTTTAAAGATGATACAATCCCATCAGCTATTTCATGTTGGTATCTAAGAAGCTCTGTTCGTCCATCAGTGAGGGCTAGCAGATTACAGACCTTGCCTCTGGTGATGGTAGGTGGCCTTGCTGATCTTGTTGGGATATTCTGAGGACCCATCTTCAGGCTATGGCAGCATCATTTCTTCCTGGGATCACTGGCTACCTATAGCACTGATCTATTTTCTGTGCTCATGGTCACCATTTCAATACAGGGAAACATTCTACTGCTTCTGCAAGGACTCACACAGATGCTAACCCTTTTCTAGTGCCCCTGAAAAACCCTCCTGCTCTTTATACTGGTTGATTTTCAATTCTGATCACCCCCCAAAGCAGCTTGCCAGTCATCTCCTGTATGCGTTTTGGGCGATGATGCCCTCTAGTCTTGTGTCTCTGTCATTCCAATTCTATTTGACTTCTATACTTCAGGAACTTCTTAAGGCTTCCAGTTTGCTAGGAAGATTCCTTTTTCAACAGTTCGTTTCCTTTTAAAAATATAGATAACTTTTCTCATTTCAAGGGCATCCGAGGAGGAGGGGGGTACACATACATGTACACCAAGATAGCCGTCTTAATCCAATCTTACAGTAACTAAGATTATTTTAATATTTATTTTCTTTAACACAGAACAACATGAGAGCCTTCAGTAACCTACTTAATAGGGTAAGATGGCAGGAGAGCTCTGGTGAGTATAACCATGACTCATCTGAACACCTTTTCTTCCATCTCCAATCATACAGCTCTAAATGCTCTTGCCTTATAGTCACCAATTGTTTAATTTAAACTTATAATTGACCATCGCTGAACGACAGGAAGCACCAGGAACATTGACCTTGGAATATGAATGTTAAGGACAAACATATAAACAATAACAATTCTACACATTTGCCTCAGTGATCTTTGCCTGATCTATAGGTTGTATTCCTTTAATAAAAAATATTTTGCATAATAATAAGATGGTTTTACAACTTCCGAAAAATAACGATTTTTAAAGGCAAAATACATTATTATATCTAATCTGGGTTTTCATTTATTGGCAATAAAGAGTAGATACATCAAAGTGGGATACTGGTAAAGAAATGTTTGCATTCACAGTTTAAAACCTTCTCTCTCACATAGCATTTTAGAAAATATAAGACATCAATATAAGCTTCTAAAATTAAAAAACATCAGAGTTTATATTGTTACAAAAGCAGTTTAGTATAATTTTGATTGCTAAAACATGTTAACGTTTAACATTTTTATATAAACTGTCACTAAACCAACATACATGGTCATTAAAAGTTTGTCTGAAATTTACCTTTTATGAAATAATTTCAAAAAAATTAAGTTATGTGCCTTTATAGGATCAATGTGGAAAGTTGCAATTTTTTTTATATAATATGAATGTTACTGAAAAGTACATTGAAGTAAAATTCAATTTTTACTTCAAATAATATTTTTTAATTCAAAAATTAAAATAATTTTTAGTTTTATACTTGAAGTAAAAGATTTTTATGAAACAATTTTTTATTCAGTATTCTGCAAAAATGATGAAAAGACTAAAAAGTGCTGAGTATTCAGAACATTGCATGTTACTATGAATGTGAGTCTTAAGTCAAAAGATGTTGCAAAATGATTGTTTAAAATAACTCTAAGGAATACCTTCCGCACCAGACAAGAGTAATGAAGCTATATTAGAGACTGTCGTTTGGAGAGAGCCCCCTTTGAAATACTTTTGCTTAGTTTTCTACCATTTACATAAATGTCACTAGTAAGTACCTTTGAAAATCAGATAAGTTCCTAAATATTTAGCTATGATTAATCTCAGTAATTATCAGTGATTCAACATCAACCTGGAGAAAATATAAAATTTTATGTTCATTAATTATTTTGACAAAAATGATATCTATTGCATTTGGAAACATAACAATAAAGGGTGGTGTCTGACCACCAGTTTTATGATTCTGAGTTTGTTAATTTAGTAAAAATAAATCTAATATGGTTATGTAGTAATGGTTGGGATAAGTGTCTCCTTTTTTGACTATTGCATCCTAGTAAAAATCAAGTAGATATAGCTGTGTTGGTGCAAATTCCATAATGATAGTACGGAAGAGGGAAATAATGTCCTGACTAACATACAAATCATTTAGAAAATAGAATTGCAGGTGAGGCAGCTTCTTTCAAAATGGGTCTATTGTGAGAGCGGTTAGAGTTTAATAGTTGGTCTTATGGAGAGCAGTTGCAAATATTTTTCCCAGCCCCACAGGACAGATGGCAATCACATGTGCTAAAAACATTTTACTAGGCCTAACCAGGGTGGTTTGTCCCAAGCACGTTAGCTATCTTTCTATTTTATGAATTTCAAGGAAACATATCAAAATTTAAATGAATGAGAGTCATGCATTTTATTATGGAGAGAATCTTAACCAATTCCTGTACATAAGACAAAAAAGTCTTAAAAGGTATATTCTTACTGTAACTATTAATAGTGAGAACAATGATGTATAATAAACCTCCCACACTGCTCTCACACACCAGTGTGTTGAGATGTCATAATTAAGAACCATCACCTTAGGATACCACAAGAGTATGCCTTAAAGATTTTTAATATGTTTGATACATTAGCTTGCTGGGTCTGTTGTAACAAAGTATCACAAACTGGGTGACTTAAAGAACAGAAATTAATTGTCTCACAGTTCTGGAGATGAGAAGTCCAAAATCAAGTTGCTGGTGGGATTGGTTACTTTCGAGGGCTCTGAGGGAAGAATCCGGTCCAGAACTCTCACTTTGACTTATAGACAGCCATCTTCTCTTTGTGTTTCTTCATTGTCCCTCTGCGTGTCTGTCTCTGTGTTCAAACATCCCCCTTTTATAAATACAGCAGTCATATTGGAGTACAGCCCATTCTAAAGACCTCATTTTAAATTGATTACCTCTGTAAAGACCATATCTGCAAATAAGGCTACATTCTGAGGTACTGAGATTTAGGATTCCAACATATCTATTTTTTCATTTTTGCCAGAGACAGGGTCTTGCTAGTCGCCCAGGATGGAGCACAGTGGCTATTCACAGATCCCATCATAGCACACTGCAGCCTTGAACTTCTGGGCTCAGCCTCCTGAGTAGCTGGAACTACAGCACGTGTCTAGCCCAACATATCTAATTTTTGAAGGGCAGGACACAATTCAACTCATCCCAATTGATTTGAAACTAAAAAATGCTTGGAATATCAAAATTAATCTCTGAGAAGATGAGTACACAGTTGCTTAAGTCCAGACTACCAGCAAAGGCCAAGTGAGTAAGGGAATGCAAACATTTCCATGATGAACAATTCTCATAGTGAGAAATTAAAACATGGAAGACCAAGAAATAAACATGGGAATTGGGAGCAAGAAAACTGGTTTGGGGACAGACGTTGAGGTAAAATGTTAGTTGATTTAGGTGATAAATGTAAGGAAATCTTTAAATTACTGATGCTCTTCTTACTTCAGACCAGGACCTGTGAATATTCCTGAGGGAATATTCAGATATTCCTCCTCCAGGTGCCCTAAGAGCTGAAAATTCTAGATGTATCCCTATTCACTTATTTCTATCTGCCATTCAGAATTACTGATAATAAAAAATAATTGGTTTTTCATTTACATATTTTTCTCATGTATTTTCATTTTACCCAGTAAAAATTAGATGAAGAGAAAATATTTTGATTAAGAATGATATGAAATACTTCCAAGAAGAATCAGGTACATTGAGAAGGTTATAATTTCTAAATATAAATATCCTTTTTAGAAATGATTCTAATACTGTTTTCGAAGATTGCAGAGCACACACACATACACATTCACACAGTTTTTGTTAAATGAGGCTATCGAGGCTGTAGCCTAGGGCTTAGCTTGATGTCCAGGACCAGCTGCATAATCTGCGGTGCCCAGTCCAAGTGAAAATGCAGGACACCTGGTTCATGAATTATTAAGAATGGAAAGACTGAGACAACAGAACATCAAACCAAGTGTGGGCCCTCCCAAGCATGGGGTCCTGTGTGGCTATGAGTCGTGAGACCATGAAGTTAACCCTTTAACGTCACATGGCCCCTGAGAGGTGTACAGCTCTTCTGTAAGCTCTTCCATCTCAGAGAATAATATTCACTCTGCTAGACTTTTCTCATTATATAATAAGAAGAATATCTTAAAATATAAGAGTTAGATTAACAAATCGTTTGAAGACTTAATAAAATTTGAAGCCTAAAGGAAAGGCAAGACGTGACCTCATTTTGCATGCATATAAAAATTTTTACTCTCTTATTATTTGCTTATTGTTGACTCTTTCCTCTTCTCCTTTGTGTCCTCATCTCCCCCTTCCGCACGTCTAACCACAATAAGGAGTGGAAGCATGACCTCATGTGCTTGTGTACTTAGGAAAGCATTGGTTATGTTTTCTGTTTTATTTTTAAAGTAGTTAAATCAAGAAAAATAATAAACTTTGTATAGCACTTTACAGAAATGGATTTGCATGCATTACTCATCTTTGCTTTAGTCACCATCAAGAATTTAGATGAAAACGATGCTTCGTGAATAACAATTGTGCCTTTAGAAAGGTTAAATGGGACCTTCTCCTGGGTTAGAGGTAGAAGGCCAAATGGTATGGGTGAGTTTTTGTTTAACTCTCTACTTCTCATTAAAGACATGGTGTTGTGTCAAATTAAGACATGATGATTTGACCTCTTGAATTCCTGAGAACATGTTCAGCTGGGGAGAAACCCCTTGGGTCTCAGTCAGCCCTTGAGTCACTGTGCATCTGTTTGCCCTGGGATCTCCCCTAAGTTGCTGCTCTTATTGGCAGCCATTCCTCTGGCTTTGGAAAAACTCTGTCCTTTCTGTGATGGTGCATCACTTTCCCAGGACTTGTGCCTATTCAGCAGACACAGGGAAGTCCCTGGAAGAACAGTTGAAGGGCCAGACTCACAAGTCTTCCTCAGCCCCCACCCAAGGGTCATGGGGAAAAAAAAAGATTGATGTGCTTATAGTCAGCAAATTTTAATGAGACCATTCAATAGGAGATATTTCTGTTTGTATAACATAAGATCAGTAGCATTCATGATATCAGAAAAGCAGGCTAATCTAATTTCTTATATTTCAGGTGGAATGATATGAAAGATAATTTCTCTCAAATGTTTACTCTGTAAGATTGCATTTCTAGAAAGATCGTGTCTTGGGGAGGAAAACAGAGGAGACTGTTCCCCTTATAAAAAGGATGTTGGATCCCTTTACTTTCTCCCTCAAACCTCTGATAATTGACAAGTGACAGACAGGCATTACTTTGAAGAGCAGGAATGTGTAACTTCTTTGACTTGTCACTTGCTGTAAGTAGCATCATTTTCTAGCAATGTTCTCTGGGCTTTATTGAATTTTGTCATTGAACAAATAAAATTAATATTATTTGTTCTACATGGATCAAATTATAGAATGTATATGAAAATAACAAACCCTAATCTCTATTATAAGATCATTGTATTTTGATGCATATATCTCAATATAATATTGTCAACAACATGTAATACGTATCTCAATGGAAAGAGAAATATTAAAATATTTTCTATTCTATGCTGACTTTGGCCCAGAACTTCCAGCACCCATTTCTCCACCAGGCTGCCTTTAACAGCTGAAGATTCTAGATGCATCACTGATCACACATTTGTAACAGCCATTCCTATTATCTTCAGAATGTGAAACAGAGTTACACCTGGCAAGACTCAAAGTCCTGGCTAAACAACTTCCAGCTCCCAAATTCACTCTAGAACACAATATTTTACCGTAAAAAAAAAAAATCTACTTTTAGACCAGGTGCAGTGTCTCAAGCCTGTAATTCCAGCCCTTTGAGAGGCTGAGGGGGCCAATGGCTTGAGCCCAGGAGTTCAAGATCAGCCCTGGCAACATGGCAAAACCTTTTCTCTACAACAAAACAAAACAAAAACAGAAATTAGCCAGGCATGGTGGCACGCACCTGTAGTCCCAGCTACTCCAGAGGTTGAGGTAGGAGAATTGCTAGAACCCAGAGGTCAAGGCTGCAGTGAGCCATGATAACACCACTGCGCTTCAGCCAGGGAAACAGAGTGAGACCTTGTCAAAAACAAATAATAATCTACTTTTAAGACTATTTTTCCTAAACTGCAAAACAATGTGGCCATGTTGCACAAATAGCAAAGGCTATTGTAAAAATAATCATTAATCCACAAGTCTAAAGTTATATAGAAAGTAGAGCTTAAACATGCTCCGGACACTGACTTAAAAGCATCTTCACAGAGATGGTTTAAATTTTACGAATTGCAAATGTAACATTGGCTTAGCTCCCAGGATTTAGATTTGTCACTCACGTCTGCAGAACACATGCTCTGAGAAATAAAAGAAGGTTGGGTAACTTGAGTTCAGTTAAATTAAACTTCCTTTGAAATTTTCAAAAGGGCAATTATCTGAAGTAACGATGTTGAAATATTTTCACCCTAGTGCTTTATGACAATTCCTACAGTATGTTTCTTTACAATGCAATTTAAAAGTCCTTTATTGTTAACACTGAGTCATGCAACTCTTTACATTTCCTCTAATTCAATCTGTCATATTTAGACATGTGGCAATGTTTAAGATATCCACTCCCTGGTAACAAGCTTATGAGCATTGTTGCAAAAAATAAAATCCACAAAAGCCTGAGAAAAGACACATACATGATGTATTCAGGCAATATAAAAAAGTAATTACCCTTTGAAAACTGGTGAGTGATTGAAAACATACTTGTGATGATACCAGATGCTAAGTAAAACACGGCTCATGCTTGGAGTTTTCTGAATCTTTGGAAGCAGATCAGGATTGTTTGAATATAAGGCAGCTGTCATCTGTCTGCCTGCCTTGGTCAGTGGCTTCTCTTAAGATCTCACAGCAAGGCATGAAGGACTTATTTTCAACCTCTCATTTCATGGATTCTTCTTTTACCAAAACAGGACCGGAAAACCAGAGGCTGATATATCTGTCGAGAATAGCTAACAGGTCACATATGTGCTTTTTAGGATGATCACTAGCTGCTAGCTGTGTCAACTTAAAATAAATGGTTAACGTGCATATGGGCATATGCAGTAAAAGTGGAAGGAACAACATGAACAGAATAGTCCTTGGTGGGTAAATTGCCTTGCTGGCTATTTTTAAAAACGGAAAAAAAAAATGGTAATCTTTGTCAGCTTTTTTACACACATGTTTTGAAGTTTAACACCATCGGAGGATGAGAGATCCTCTTTGTTGGCGGAACACCCATTGGATTTAGCTCCTTGAGAACTTCAGAATTCGAAGCCTGGTTTGCCACCAACATGGCTTGACAGTATCAGAAGCAGCCACAATATGTGGCACAGATAGCCAGTGGCTGTTTTCTCAAAATGTGACTCTGGTGAGCCTTGCTTTCTGTTGAAATATTCTCAACCCACTGATATGTGCCTTGAGTTTTTTGTAATTAAAATTATTTTTAAAAGCCTCTTTGTCTCTATTTTGGGGAATTGATGAGACATCCACCCCCAATTAATTTGACTGGAGTCATAGGTATATCATCACATGACTACAAATGAGTAATTAGACTAATTAGAAAATTTGGCTGGGTGTGGTGGCTCACACCTGTAATCCCAGCACTTTGGGAGGCTGAGTCGGGTGGATCACAAGGTCAGGAGTTCGAGACCAGTCTGACCAACATGGTGAAACCCCGTCTCTACTGAAAATACAAAAATTAGCTGGGCGTGGTGGTGTGTGCCTGTAATCCCAACTACTCAGGAGGTTGAAGCAGGAGAATCACTTGAACCCGGAGGCGGAGGTTGCAGTGAGCCGAGATTGCACCACTGTGCTCCAGGCTAGACAACAAAGTGAGACTTTGTCTCAAACAAAAAAAAAAAAAAGAAAGAAAGAAAGAAATTTTCTCCAAGATCCAGGCTAAAATAGAAATTTGGTTTAACATACAATGACTTAAACAATTGCATCACACCCTATTTAGGGAAAGACAGTAAACAGCTACCTAGTTTATTGAGTGTTTAGTCAGCATTGGGTTTACAAATATCATTGCTCTTACTTCTTCCAACATCCCTGATAGGAAATTATTATCAGACCTATTTGATAGATGAGAAATGGAGGATCTGAATGATTATGTAACTCTCCTAAGTTAATTTTTATAAGTGATAGACCCAAAATTTTGATCTGTGGCTGTCTGACATCAAAGAACAGGGGTCACCAAAAACGGGGTCTGTCTGTATGAGAATCCCCTAAACAAGAAGATTTCTGGGTTACTTCCATTCTAATTCCGTTGATCTTGGGTTAGAGAAGGGATGAGAGAGTAAGGAATTTGTGGTGGAAAAGAGAAGCTATGCCTATTCCGGCACACTATTTAGGTGAGTAATACCCTGTCAAGCCAGCAAGAGGACTACCCTTCCAATAGATGTGACCATTATGAAGATGGAAAATTATGAAACCCTGAGACGATTTAACATTCTTACTTTATAATGAATTTCTCTTCTGGTTCTAGTTCATCACACCTATGAAAACACGTCTGCCCAAGTAGCTCATCTACTGGGAAATAATATATTGACCTGCTAATCTAGACACTTCAGCCCTTTCATTAAGGTTTAATACAGTGCTCTCTGTGAGTGGTGGTTATTGTGAATCCCCAGCTTCCAGACAATGTGTGTGTGCCAACAATTCATGCTTCAAGTTTGAAGGCTGGACCGTGGACTTTAAGGCATCCAAACAAGCAAATGCCACCCTGAATGAATGTTTATCGGTAGCCTTCTCTGGGTGATGTACACACCCTGCTCTCAGAAGGCATGCAGCTGCTGGTGTTAGAATTTGGTCGGGAAAAGGATCATTCACCTAGTGCCAACAAATGAAAATGAAATAAAATTTTTACAGATTATAGATGATCAATAAACTGGGTAGTCTTCCCTCAAATATAGTAAATTACATTTTATTAAGTTTCTGCTTACTAAAATGCAATTTCATTTTAGCCTGAGATATTCCCATAGCATTCTGACAGAAGTCTTGAATGCAGAGACATAGGTTTAGAGACAAGTTCTTAGTTGTTTGTGACAGTTGGTCAATCATACAAACTGTATGTGCTTTGCTAGTTAAACTCTGAGATGATATTATTTTCTATATTGGGCAAGGATTTTCTCGCCCAAGACCTCATACATTTAAAAAAAAAAAAGGGGGGTTATGTTAATGATTTGAGAATATTTGCCCTAACACTAAGACAAAAGATTTTACCAAAGTTAAGTTTGCAGAAATTTTTGCAATATTAAATTATAGTTGAACAATAGACTAGGAAGATAATATTACAAACTGTACTTTCTAATAGCATTTATTTGGGTGATAATGTGAACTATGTTATCGCTTATCTTTGGTAAAATCACATAGGTATGTTTTGGTGTTGGCAACAATAAGATAATCTCAAAATCAGGTTAAACATTCTCAAGTGTAGAAATCTATTCAATCCTTAAAGCAAGGCAAATGTTTGAAGAGTAAAATAGAAACCATTCACATATTATTTTCAATTGATGGCTTCCACTGCAGGGAGTAGGGATGAGCAGTAGATTCACAGGAACCTATTTCCCTTCCTGAAGCACCTGCTCAGGAATTTACCTGGGACCAGAACATGTAGCAAGGCCAGGTGTTGGGCACAGTGCCCTCTTGCCTGTGATCCTTCCTTGCATTCTTCCTTTTTAGCAACACCTTTGATTTCAGAGCTGGTGGGGATGAAGGAGCAGGGTTGCAGGAGTGAGAAGCTGAGCCTTAATAACTTTCATCAGGAGCTGGACTGAATGTCAATCACCACGTCGCCTCCGATGTTCCTATTTGAATGAAGATGTTTTTGGATGGGAAGTATTTTTACTCTGTGCCTACCTTCTGCCCATTTTTAAAAAGTAAATCTATGTAGTTTATAGACTTTTGAAAACATAGTTCCAGGGCCAAGCACAGTGGCTCATGCCTGTAATCCCAGCACTTTGGGAAGCCGAGGCAGGCAGATCACTTGAGGTCAGGAGTTTGAGACCAGCCTGGCCAACATGGTGAGACCTCATCTCTACTAAAAATAAAGAATTAGCAGAGCATGGTGGCGCATGCCTGTAATCCCAGCTGCTCGGGAGGCTGAGGCAGGAGAATCACTTGAACCCCTGGAGGCGGATGTTGCAGTGAGTGGAGATCATGCCACTGAACTCTGCCCTGGGTGACAGAGCAAGACTCTGTCTCGAAAGGGAAGGGGAGGGGAGGGGAGGGGAGGGGAGAGAAGGGAAGGGAAAGGAAGGAAAGGGAAAAGTTGGAAGAGTAAAATAGAAACTAATTACATATTATTTTAAATTGATTTGCCTTTATTTAACAATAAAATACCATATCTAGACTCACATTGTATGGTTCATATCCCTCAGTACTAGAGGGTCTGCATATTATTAGACTAAGCTTTTTAAATTTAATTTTCTGATGAACTGTATTCTTTTAACATCACAAAATCCAAGAAGCAGAGTATTTTTAAAAATGGTTAGTAAACTATGGCTAAGGGAGCCAAATCCTTGCTGTGGCCTACTTTTATAATAAAGTTTTATTGGAACATAGCTACACCCATTTATGCAGTGTTGCTTCTGGTGACTTTTTTTTGCCCTCATGAAGCTTACATTGTATTTTTTATTTTTATTATTTATTTATTTTTGTTTCAATAGCTTTTGGAGTACAGTGGTTTTTTGTTGTTATCTGGATGAGTTATATAGCAGTGAATTTTGAGATTCTGGTGCACCCATCACCTGAGTAGTATACATTGTACCTAATGTGTAGTTTTTTATCCCTAGACCCCCTCCCACCTTCCCCCTCTAAGTCTCTAAAGTCCATTATATCACTCTGTGTGCCTCTACATACTCACAGCTTAGCTCCCACTTATAAGTGAGAATATACAACTGTTGGTTTTCCACTCCTGTGTTATTTCACTTAGAATAATGGCCCCCAACTGGATCCAAGTTGCTGCAAAAGACATTATTTCATTCGTTTCAGTGGCTGAGTAGTATTCCACGGTGTATATATAGGTTATCATGACTTTTATGCTACAATGGCAGAGTTGTGAGGATTTGACAGAGACTGTATGACCTACATTTGGTCATATGTATGGTCATATGGTATGACCTATTTGGCCCTTTTCAGAAAACATTTGCTGATGCCTAATATAAAGCAATGCTCCAGAAACTGAAGTATAAAAAGATTTCTTTTCCATTAAGTTTTCCACATTCTTTCTTATCCCCCTTCACCTAAGCTGAAAATAGTACAGCAGGAAATTATCGTGCGCTCTGAAACCCAGGGGGTTCAAACAAACAAACAAACAAAAACAACCAAACAGCATTTTATTTTTTTAATTTATTTTTATTTTTATCTTTTGAGACGGAGTCTCGCTCTGTTGCCCAGGCTGGAGTGCAGTGGCACGATCTCGGCTCACTGCAAGCTCCGCCTCCCGGGTTCAAGTGATTCATTCTCCTGCCTCAGCCTCCCGCGTAGCTGGGACTGCAGGTGACCGCCACCGTGCCCAGCTTTTTTGTTTTTTGTTTTTTTCTTTTTTTTGTATTTTTAGTGGAGACGGGGTTTCACCGTGTTAGGCAGGATGGTCTCAGTCTCCTGACCTTGTGATCTGCGGGTCTCGGCCCCCGCAAAGTGCTGGGATTACAGGTGTGAGCCGCCACGCCTGGCCACCAACCAAACACCATGTTAATGAAAGGAATAATGTTAAGAATGTAATGACCAGCATGGTTTCACAATTTATCTCTTTTATGATAATTTATAATACTGATGGATTTAAAAGTACTTCATACTAGCTTTAAAAAACACATTTTGAGCTCTCAGCTTTAAACATCTGGTGTCCATTATTTCTAAGAAAGTGTTAAGGAAATTCTAAAAAGAAAACATTTAGGGAATAAAGAAGAAACTGGTTAGAAATTACTCAACTGGTTTTGAAGAAATAAGGTTAGAACTCTTATTCCAATGCAGAATAAGAATTAAAATACAGTTCCAGAAAGGAGAAATTAGGATGTACATATTTACAGAGCAATAAAATATATCTAGACTCACATTGTGTGACCGACTGATCATTTCTCTTTGTACAGGAGTTCAGTGGTGGAATGAATCTTCATTTTCAGAAGAATTTAAAAAAGAGAGCAGTTGTTTTCTTTTTTACTTAATTAATTTAAACCCTTCTATTCCTAATTTAGACTTTAGGTGACACCATTGAAGTAACAAGAGAAAAGATTATTTTAATCATGGACAGAGTTTCAGCCATGCAATAAAGACACAGTGAGCATCAGCAATGAAGGAAGCCCTAAACCAGGCACTTGAGTTATAACGCTAGACTGTGAAAAGCGGAAATGCACCCATCCCATCTGAACAGGATATGGCCAGGTACCTGCCGTGACATCCAGAGGGAAAGCCTGTAAACATACTTTCCCGCTTAGGAACTAAGTCATCTACCACCCAGAAAGATTTTTCAGGGGATATGTGAGTTAATGTTTACCGACTGCTTTAATATTCTAGGATTAAAAATGGAACATCAGAAAGAAGAGGCTGTGCTGGAATTTGGAGGCCATTCAAAAATCCAGCCCAGCAAGTCTAATGGTTTGTTTTCAACATTTATTTAACCTCCTTCTGCTATCAAGAAACCTGAGAGCCCTCTGAGGAAGTTTATAGTGAAGGAAATGGAGAAAGTGTACCTTGTTTTTGAGTTGTTTTGTTAAAGCTCCTAGATAGCAAAAGTGTGTGTTTGATAACTAGGAACATTTGCCCAGCTTGTCGAGAGGTAATAGGCTTAAATCTTTGAACCAACCAAGATTGGGTATCTTGCCATGCCGCCTTAGAAAAGCAAATGTTGTTAGAGCCCTTGAAATAATCTTAAATTCTGTCCTTGAAATAGCTATAAATGAACTTGGACTCCGTTCAACATAGGCCAGTGAAGAGAACATGCCAGGGGGAAATGTTTTTGTCCACCCTGGAATGGCCAGCTGTCGCTGCCTGCCAGCAAACGGAGGGCACAGAATGGCCGGATCTGTGGGAATAAGCAAACAGTTCTGTTTTCTCCACAGAAACTCATTTCCCTGGGCTTCATATTGACAATTGTGAGCTATATTTACAAAGGGGTTTGTATGCAAAAGAAGCATCCACTAGTGTAGTGGCAAATATTTATCCCAGCAGGTCTGGGAGCTACCTCACCCAGCTTGCTTTTTATAGAACCAGGTGATAACACATTTCAAAGAGCTGATTTGAGAGGCAAGTGTTTACTAGCATAAAAATGTTCTTTAATTAGTATTTATCTCAGAGTCAGGGTGACATAAGTTGCTACTTATGCTGATACAAGAACAGATAGAGATATTCTTGTATGGAGGGAGAAAGGGGTAGTAGACATGCCTTTTGGATTTGGGGTATATGTTTATATTAGCTTGATTTGACCCTAAATTAGCTAGAATCCAGTCTGGTCTTTGGTTAACCTGTATTTAAAATATCCTTCATGGTATCTAAAGACACTGTGCCAGCTTTAGTCTTGGACACTAAGAATGTCAAGTTGTACACTGCATAGGCAATTGAATAGATCATCTCAGTTGCTTCATAGAAGTTACTTTTCATCCCAATGTTGATGAGTGGGAACTTTATACATCTCCCAGGAGCTGATTATCTCAATAACTGCCAAAAGTAAGTCATTTTTTACACAAAAAAATTCAATGGAGAAATATCCTTTATATCCTTCTGAGCTCTAATAATAAACTATTTTATTAAAAATCCTATTCCCGTATAAAATGATTTAAAATATGTGTGTTGCTTATAATAGCTTGGCACATGGTGCAGACTCAATTATCTATCTATCTATTTATTTTTTCAAGTATTTGCAAGAATGATTATTTATAGCATGGTTTTTAAAAAGGAGAGTATAGACTACATTTTCTATTTTTCTCATGGCCAATAATAATACTTAATGCTTGCATAGCATTTTTATGTGCTAATCTCTGTTCTTAACACTTACCATATAATAATTTATTTCATTCTCAGGCAACTGTATGAGATCAATATTATTAAGTATGCCTATTCTGTCTGCTGGAGGCACTGAGGCACAGTGTTCAGTCATTTGTCAAGGCTCATATAGCTAGTAGGTGGCACAGCTGAGACAGAAACCCAGAGTGTCTGAGCACAGAGTTTGTGTATTTGGCCATTGTCCTATCCTGCCAGTCAAGAGGTCTAAGGTATTCACATGCTAAGAAATACCCCATAAATTCTCTCTTCTCCTGCACTCTCTTAAACTTGCTTCTTATTTATTGGTGCTTCAGCAGCATTTTGATAGGTGTTCATTATGGTGAACCCACACCAAGATCCTGAATTCCATTTGAATCAATAATAGATTGCATAATACTTCTGTGATATTTAGAGTTGAGAAGGTAATCAATAGAGAGCACAATAGAATTAACTTATTAAAATATGTCATTAACTAGGACTTCTGCTTACTCCTTTCAGCAGGCCAGATCAAAAATTGTTCTTACAGTATTTGGGAAGATAGCTTTCAGATGATGACTTTTAACCTCATAAGGAGATCAGAGTTAATGACTCTGCTTATGGGAAATCTTGCCAGTCTCAGTAACACTGCATGTTTATTTTCAAAACTGTGTAGTTTAATCATTGCTATATTTCTGGTGACTTCTCATAAAAGCAAAAATACCTTTTATACTCATTTCTAATATAGCCTATTAAGAGGACTTTTTGTTTTTGCTTTCTAGCAATTCATGACTGTAACCTCTAACATGCCAATTTATGATTTGGAAGTACTTTAAGGATTTTTGTCTATCATGCTTGTCCTTTATTTCCTTCTCTACCAAATTTAGAACAAAGTATATGCCTAAAAATATCCATCCAGTCAGTTTTTATGATATGGAAATACAACTATTTTTTAATTAAAAAGCTCTCATGTTATTTGGTTATTTCTATCTATAGCCTATTTCAACAATAAAATGTACTTACAAAGCACCTCAGAATCAAGTCTATTTAAACACAAAATGGGATATGTGTTAGCCCTACAACACCAGCATAACACTGGTGTGATTTGTCATCTCTGTTATGCTGCTAGTAGAGTCACATGCTCCAGGAACAGCAATGAAATGCTATATAAGCTTTGGGCAAGACAAATTTTAGATTTCTTAATTACCAGTAGTTGGAAACGTGATTGGAATTTTCTGAGGTTAAAGTAGATATCTAATCTACCTTGTCTCATTCACATGCTCACAAACTCAGATTTATAAGAAATATGAATTCTTTTGTTTTCAACAACCCAACTTAATTTCTATTTTAAGCCACAATCCTACTGGACTGGCAGAATTTTTAAACCAAAGTCTTTTGAAAAATAACCTCATCTTCATTCCTTCCCTCCCATCAACCTGGGCACATCAGATAACCATTTCAGACTAGGGGTCTTCTCTGTTCCCAGGAGCTGAGGGAGAGCCAGCAGCCCCTCACCTCAACCTTTGTGCTTCTCCCCATGACCACAGAGGGAAGAATCACTTTTAATTCAGGAGCAGTAGTGCTATTCTCATTTCTTATGACCAAGCCATTTCTACCCCTCCCCATTCCATTTTGCAATCCTCTTTTTTTAAAAAAATTATTGTAACCTTCTTTGTAAAACTTTACACATTTCCATAAAGGCCTGGGCTTTTGGAATGCAAAAGTTTAGTTCCCAGCCTGAACTGCTTATGATAACAGTGAGAGAAAATTTAGAAATGGAATAAAGGAAATCCAAGAAGAACAACGTAAGATTATATTTCAAAATATTGCCCTTTTCTATAGGAATTATTGTAAGCCAGGCTATTGACATCATCCTCACTTTAAAACTGAGGAAACTGAGGCACAAAGAGATTCAGTCATATACTCAAGGTAACTCAGTTAATAAGTATAGAGTTGAAAGTCAAACCAGGCAGCCTGACTTCAGAGCCTATCCTCTTAACCACCCCACTCCATTGCCTGTCAAAAGGGCAATATTTTGAAATATAATCCTACGTTGTTCTTGGACTTCCTTTTTCTATTCTAAATTTCATGTTATATACGAGTTTACAGGTTTATAGCACTGAGAACAGTGCCTGGTAAAAAGTAAGTGCTATGCCACCATTAACTGCTATTATGATTATTAGAACAAAAGTCTTGATTTTTACTTGGTCCTTGTGGCTGAGACAAAGGAAAACCTCAACTTGGAAAGCTTGAACCATGACTTTCATTCATGTTACATTTTGTACAGTATGTGTACAAAATACTTAAAACCAGGTATGTGTATGGAATACAACTAGTTCTTAGACTCCAGGAAGAATTATGTAAGGTTCAAGAAATAAGAAAAACTTCCAGTTGAATGCTCAAAGCTTTCATGTTGACAAATATTTAATTCTTCTCATTAAGGAACAGAGAACAGTCTTCTTATTTACTCTCGTGAAGAAATGTAGCAGTGTATTGGAGGGAAAGCTTTGAGAAACAAAAATGCCCTCCATAATAACATTACACTATATTGTTTAAGAAATAATGAAAAGAAAGAAAATAATAATAAAATAACATTACAGTTATATACTGAGTACATACATGGGCAGATATAATGGCACACCAGCCTGTCTGCCACGTGTTATTATAATAGCTTCCTAACTTGTCACCAGCAGCCAAAAGAGTCTTAATAAAACACAATCAACTCATGGTAATTTCCGTTGACTTTTCATTTCACTGATAGTAAAAACCAAGGCCCTTGCTGTGTCCGTCAAGGCCCTAAGTGATACATATCTCCCTTTACAATGTCTCTGACCTGCCACTCATCAGACACTCTTCTCATAGAAACATGGCCCTGCTTCCATGGAAGGACTTGCCCCTTACCGACCTCTCTCCCTGGGCTGCTCCTTCACCACATATTTACATGGCTCACTCTCTCACTTGCCAGGTATTTACTCAATGTCATCTTCTCAATGAGGTCTTCTGTGGTCCTGTGTCCCCCTTCCATGCAAGTCTTCCATGCTTCAGTGTTTCTCTTAGCACTTAACACAATCTAACACATTTTGTGTTTTCCGGGAACCTCTTCAGGGTCAGGGATATTTCTTGGTATTTTTCACTGCTCTCTCCCCAGCACCAGGCACATAGTAGGCACTCAGTAGATAGTTGTCCAGTGAATGGATGTGTACTGGATGTTTGGGACTGTGCTGAGTCCCTTATAGGGGATATCTCATTTGACCTTACTACAATTCTAAGAAGTTGGAGTCACAGGATAAATAACATGAACTGACTTATGTTTTATTAGAATCACTCTGGCTGCGGTGACAAGTTGGGAAGCTATTGCAATAATCCAGGGCAAAAAGGCTGGTGTTTTGAAGCAGGGCAGCTGCAGTAGAGTTGGTGAGAAGGAGTCAGATGTTCAGTAAATCCCTCAGTAAATGAGGACACTGAATTAGAGAAATTAAATGCCCTGTTCAAGGTTACCTAGCTATTGAATGGCAGACTCTGTGTTTAGATGAGACAAGCTGGATCTTATCTACTAGTCTCTGTCGTTGCTTACACTACAAACTTCAGAAAACAGCAAGGCTTCGGGAGAGCTCCTGCTCATAGCTAACCATTTAGTTTGACACTTGGTTCTCAGAAAAATATGGTTAATATCTACATGGCCAGATTTTTTAACTACTGAATAAGATATATGTAGCATCTGTCACCTAGACAGAGAGGGTTCCTTAATAAAATGTAGGTACCTAGCGATCAACTACTTTGTGTAGCTATAACCTAAGTTTTAATAAATATATATTAAAATAACTTATTATATAGAAGTTTCATTTCAGCTTTCTTTTGCTGGAAGCATAACTGAGAATATTAAGGAATATATACCAGTTTCTGCCTGAGAAATATTTTAAGAGAAAGAAAAGAGGGACTGGGGAATGATAAAAAGAATCACAGGCAGATAACAGCTGCCATCCTGAGACCAGCATGAATCCCCATAAATAATTTATTTAAGTTAACGCTCATAAAATTCTAAAGAATCTGACTTTTTTAGATTTGGTTTGTAATTAATTTGATAACCTGAGCCAATCCTTTGAGTTGCCCTGGCAACCAATTTTAGTAACATAAAGAAGTGCTAGATGTTAATTGGTATTCAGAGTTAGTAGCTAGTGTCTCTGCTTCTGTCTCCATGGTAACCTAACTGTCATGTTTTCATCTCTAGCATGGTGGTGAGATTTCATATGTGTGTGCCTTAATGCACAGGTCCATAGTCTCTGGCACGGTGTTTTAATTTAGTATCTCTAAATGTGATCATTTTTGAGCTATTAGGGTTATTGCTGAAAAACTATTGTTCCAGAGAAGCCAATTTCATCTTCTCTCTTCATCTTCTACATGTTGCTAGCTTCCATTTTGGGGGATGTGTGCATTAGGGTTTGTATGGATACCTGCATGGGAATAAGTCTGCATAACTCTGTATGTATGTGTGGAATATAGATGTTTTAAATATGCAAAATAGGGCCAAATTGTATAAATAAAAAATGATTTTTCAAGAGTGTTTATCTGAGGTTAGAGGTAGTGAATATCATATTTGAGAGATAAATGTCAAACTAGAAAAAGGAGATTCAGTGTTTTCTGTGCTGCAAAAAATATTCTCACACTGCTGGATAATGCAGAGATGTTTCATATATCTAATTTCTAACAATTTCCTATTTAACAGACTGTAGTTCTCCCCTATGTTACCTTCTCTCTCTTCATTTTTCTACTTAATATTAAACTGAAGTTAGCTCTTCTAATTTTTGATATTTACTAGTCTTTTTTCCAGTCTCTGGACTTAAATAGAATTATTTCCCAACCTTAAATGGTCAGCCAATTAGCTGTAGTTAGTCCTCATTGTTATCATAAACACAGCAATATCATGATGGAGCCAAGGAAGATGATTTGCAATGTGTAGTAATTAATCCTCTTAGAGAGGCAGCATGCATATTATAAACAAAGCTAGCTCTACATGCATTCAACACTGGGTTCAAACTCTGGTCTTTCCATTTACTACCGCTTGGAGGAAGAAAAAATATCAAGACAATTTTTAGAACAAATTTAAAAACCTCTCATTCTCCAATTTTCCTTCTCTGTAAATTAGGGCCAATTATACAACGGAAATTGGTAAATTCTACAAATCAGTGATCCCCCTTAGTATATGATACTCCCACCATGGTTGACTTTAAACCTCCAATATGATGTTATTAAGCATGGAACTTTATAGAGATGCTAACAGTTGTCTCTCACAAGCCAGTGTGAACCAGCTCCAGCACACCACTATTTTATGTTTGTTTTGAAGTTTAAATAAACTATGCTAGGTAAAATACTGGGTACGTAACAGGCTCCAAAGATCTTAATTGTCTCTCTTAATAAAGTGCACTCTCCATTTCTTTCTATTAAAAATATTAACAGTCTTATTGAGAAATAATTCACACACCATACAATTTATCCATTTAATTTTCCGTTTCTATTAATACATCTGTTGATGGGCATCATATACATCTAATATTTATTTGTAGAAGACAAATTTGCAAGTGTGGTGCCTTTAAAATATGTCCCAAACTATTTGATACTCCTTCCTTCAAAATGTGGAGCCTAATTCACCTCCTTTTGATTATGGCTTATACTTAATGACTTGCTTCCCACAAATAAAATATCGTGAAAGTGATAGTACATTGCTTTCCAGACTAAGTCATAAAAAGCATAAAAAGCATCGTGGTTTTCTCCTTGCTCTCCCTTTTGAAATTCTTATTTTGGGAGAAGGTTGCTATCAAAGGGCTCAGCTACCCTGTGCCCTATACCCTATGGAGAGATTCATGGGGCTAGGATCTGAGTCCTCCAACGAACAGCCATGTCAGTGAGCCATCTTTGAAGTTGATTCTGCAGCCCAAGGCCAGCCTCCAGATAACTGAAGTTCTCACAGACATCCTGACAACAAACTCACCAGTCGTCGGCTAGAATTACCCACCTAAGCTGCTCTCTAATTCCTGATCGACAGAAACTGAGATAAAAAATGCTTATTGTTTTAAGCATTAAGTTTTTGAGTAATTTATTACACAGCAATAGATAACTAATACAGCATAATTCATAGTTTTCCAAAAGTCTAAGATTTGGGTACAATAGCATTACGTTTTAATTACAGAATACAGAGAACATGCAGACGAACACTTTAATATTCCCAAGGACTGACAAACAGCTTAGAATGCTGTCAAGAGGGGAGTTGTTATTTATATTCACTATTAATAACCAATTTACTGGGTATTAGAGGCTCATCACTGTCAAGGAATTTCTGTGTTGTGTGTGTAGGTATTTAAAGCAGTTTTCTAGATCAGTTGTGATCTGGGACATCTCTGGGAAGATGTGCTTATGTATATAACATGAAGGTCGACTTGACTGGATTCCCAGAAGCATGCGAGGTTAATTAACTGGTAGCATCAATCTTGGAAGCTCAGACACCAAACTTAAGGGCTATTACAGAGGTCATTATGATGGTCAGTGATGCAAGAAAGAGATGATATATATTTCTTTTAAGGCAGAAATTCCTTTTATGCTTTTCAATCATATTTAAGTGGATATATCCTTGATGTGCTTTGTTTTACTTAAAGCTTTAAATAGATTTTTTTCTTTTATAGTAATACCTATTTAAGAGGTAGACAAAATATTTTTTAAATAATAAAATATATATGACCTATATTTTATCTTGAGTTTCACACCTTAGAAGAGTAGATTATTTGGTCCATTTATATTTTACTTTCAAAGAGTGCAAGGCTGATAGCAAGTTCTCACATAGTAATCCATGGAAAAACTACCTGTTAAGGTATGCATATTTTAGCTTGAAATCACTGAAGTGGCACAGCAGTGGCCCTAATGACCCCAAGCCTAATATATTGGAAGAAAAATCCCAAGTGAGTCTTAATTAAGTGAACCACTAAGTAAAGCATACTAAGACAATACTAATTGCACTGATAAACATAAGCAGTGTGAACAGGAAGTACATAGATACACTTGTTAGGGTTTTATTCATATTTGAAAAAAAAAGGAAAGAAAAAGAAAAGAAAACTTTACATTTTTTTCATGAGGTCATCTTCAGTGGTTTATTTCAAAGATGCTGCACAAATTCCAAATAAAGATAAGATGAACTGAGATGGAATAAAAGTAAACACTTCCTCAGCATATTAGGTTATTTTTAAACTCTTCAGAGTGGACTTTATTTTATTTTAATCCCATTTTCCCAGAAAGAATTTCTTAACTGAACGAAACAAACCACAAGAGGACTATCTGGTTGTGCGACTACCCATATTTAAGGTTGACCTTTTTGAAGTCTAAAGTCAAGTCAGTTTTTTCTCCCATACCTTCTGCTTTGCTGTTGCTTATTTTTAAAAGTACTGTACTGCTAAAGTCAATAGCTGGTCCTCTTCTCATACACTTTTTAAAAATTGAAAATATATGAGAAAGAGTAATTTCAATTTGAGCATTTATTTTATTGAGGGCTGTGTAGAAGCCTGCTGAAAAATTACTTCTCTAATAGTAAGTAACTCTTTAATTCCTATTATTATGATTTTTAAATAAATTAGCCAGTTGGAAGAACTAGGTGATAGACATATAAGGCAAAAACTTGCTGGTGAGAACAGCATCCCGACTTCTATACTGTCAAGCTACTTAACAGTGAAAAGACCAGTCTCTACACTGGCATTGGGATGTAAGATGTGTTCATTGTTTTCCAGTAACTCTTAGTCTCGAAGGGAAGACAGACATGACTTTAAAAATTACAGTAAATGCTAATAATGCTATGAAGGACAGACATAAACAAAGCACAGTGAGAGAAAGAAAGAGGAGCTGCTAGCTTTTCCTCTAGGACTTGGCAGAGGGTTTCCTAAAAGAGGTGAAGCACTGTAAGAAAGCACACAAGAGACATGGAGGGCTTCTGGGAGAGATGGTATTTGAGCTAGGACTTGAAGGATGAACAACAATTTGCCAAAACCTGCTCTTCCTTCTTTTTCAGGTTAGTCACAACTGAATCTTTCAGAGGAGGAAAGAGCAGGTATGCAAAGTCAAGCAGTTAGGATGCATTCAATGTGTTTAAAGAGTAGATGTTCAACATGACTAGACTGTACATTTGTGTCTGTGGGTCATTTAGAAGATCTGATGGGAGAAACAACAGGACTGGTGGGATACGGGGCTTAAAAGATTTGTGGAAATTAAGCTATGAAGACGTGAGTAAGCCATATTGTGGGTTTGGATTTGATTTCATATATGATAGCTGTTTGAGATTTTCAGCAATGGGGTGATATGATCATATTTGTTTTTATAAAAGTTACCACATTTAAGTAGTAGGTGAGCAGTATGATGGATGAGACCATAGTTTCTGGAAGATCATTTAGGATATTACCACAATTGTATACACATATTGATTCTCCAGTACTGGTGGCAGAAAGCATGATCACCAAATTGGTGTATTACAGATACATACAGGGAAATATTTCCCAGTGTGAATTCCAATACTTTAGAAGAGACTTTGATTCTCTGATTGGCCCAGTTTGGATCCAGTGTCCACCCATGTAACAATTAGTTGTGGCCAGGAAGCAGGGTCATATGGTGGGAGAAAGGCTTATCAGAATTCTACTTCTGCAGCACAGCAATGGGGGCCTCAGAGGAAGGGACATTGTTGTGATCTGGGAAGACAACTCAGTAGCTTTCCACTGGGGAGTACAGATAATATATTTTGTTTGAGGCACATTATTCAGCTCTTAATGGTTGTAATTTAACCTGAGCTTGGCGTCAGATGCAATCAGAACAGACAGACACCGATTGTCTTCAAATATTTGAAGATGCAGTAGCCTTGGTGATAATGTTTAGTTCTCCACTGAAGGTGAAAGATAACATCTTTTAGAAATCTGGAAATAGATGGCTTCCAGGAAGTTTCAGTATTATGTTTCAAAAAAAGCAATCCATCTTCCTCCTTTGCTTTTCTCTGAGAGTGAAGAGGTACTCTACCTTCCTAAAAGCATTTTTAAAAATCTGTAGCTTGGAATAGCAACTGGGAAATAAATTTAAGAAACTTACTTTATAAACTACTGGTTTTTACTGCAGTTTTTTATTGTCTACACGGTCAAGAGTTTATGCTGATATCAAAAGTTTGGCTAGAGTTGTGTTTGCTTGAACCTCTGCAGGCTTAGGTTCCTAGGATCAAAATGAATTTATCTTAACTGAGTGCATTATTTCTTTTACCCTCTGATCCTGATTAAGATTTTCAGTAGTGTGTGAGTTTCCCACACATGGATTATTTAGCTTGGGGACTGTTTAATATTTTTTAAATCCTAGGTTTATTTCCCTCATTCTCTCAGACAAATTTTGGGTTGCACCCATCCAGCCCCTTCATCCACACCTGTGGGATATATTTCGGAAAAAAAAGGCTAAATAAGGACAAGTAAAAAGATAAATAAGGACAAGAAAAAGATAAATATCCATCCCACTCTACCCTTCCAAAGCTCTACCTAATCCATTCCAAAGAAAAAATGTGAAAAGTGGGTTATTTCGGAATAACCACATTAGAGAAATCTTTTTAGCTTTCAAAATTGAGTTCCTTACTATGAAAATTCATGTATAAAACCAAGAGCTCTAATAATTTTCAAGACAAGTGCAATCTTAGACATTTTAGATAACAGCATTATTTTCTGCGCATAAATAGCATGTGTGGGTAACCCTCAGTGTATGTGGGTTGAAGGAATCAAAGGAATCAAACAGTTGCATCTTATGCTATTGGTGCCTAGTATACTCGAGATCTGCACAAATGAAGCCTCAGTTTATACCCTAAGCATAAGCATGTCTTCCCCACAAAAGATTTTAAACCTTCTTTCCAGACACTAGGCACAGAACAAAGAGCAAATGAAACAGGAACTGTGGAATAACACTGTGTTCCCAAAGAAAACATAACTGCCATAGATCACAGAATGAAAGCCCCAGAGCACGCAGCAGAGAAGTCCAGCAACAGGAGTCAACATTTACAGAAAACCCTGTAGGAAGACTGTGGCACTACCAACTGATCAACATGTAGGTACTTTAAAACTACTTTTAAACAAGGAAATCGTAATCAAGTTATGAGACCTAGGAATCAGAATCCTGAGGCAGGAAGCAGGTACCTTAGTGTACATAACATATTCCAGCTAAAATGTGGAATTCAGGCTGGATCACGATGGATTAGCAGACATAAACAGTGCCTTATTAGAATCATAACCTACTGTAAATCTTCTATATTTCGTTTACTATAACATACAGAATAACATTAGAGGGATTCAATTACAGGGTCTGGGCTGTCATTCTCCACAAGTTTAATTGCCTTCTTCAAAAATTCACAGGTTAATTCTTAAAGAGTTATGAAAGTTGATTGAGTGAAGAGACCCTGACTTACTCCTTGCCTGTATTCTTGCATGTGGTATGGACAGAAAGAAACTTAGAGCTGAACAGAATGCCTAGCACCTGTTTGGTGCTCAAGTGAACAGATTCACTTAATCTCCCTGGATAACTTTGTTCTTAGGTTACAGAACTCATTTTATACTGCAGCCAGGCTGAGGAGGGCCCATCACCTGCACATAAATATTTGGACAGTGGCGACAACTTGAAGACAGCTAGCTGCAGAGTGATATTCCAGAATAAGAGTTTTGAAGCTCCAGATGGTGAGAGATTATTGTGTTTATAAGTGTAACTGGGGGATAAAAAAAAGTTTTCAAATTGTAGAGGCAATCTCTAGGTGCTGAAGGAGTATAGACTCTCCCATGAATTGAAGGTTAGTTCAGGAAAGTTCTTTATTCTAAGTCTGGAGATGCCTTCAAATCAGAGCAGCGTAGAAGAAAAGGGTAAGTCTGGAGTTCCTGGGAAAGTCTGGTGCACAGACAGAGAGAAAGGACATGGCTTTCTTGGAGAGCATGTGAGCTGATAGACTAGCTCTTAGAGTGAACACAGTAAATACCAATAAGATTGAACCAACTAGGAAAGACCCAGTGAACAAAAGGGTCCTCTGATGGGAAGAGCTAGTGGACAACTGGAGGAGAGGAGGGGCAGAAACAAAGAGGGCCTGGAGAGGGTAAGCAACTCCTTAAAGACCAATCAAATTACATTAAATGATGAATGATGAGATGAAGAGTGTGCTGTAAATAGAGGGCCAGGAACTAACATTAACTGACAGTCAACAATAAGCACATGAAAAGCATGTTATATATTCATCTCATTTGATTATCACCACAGCTGGAAAAATAGAACAGATTAAGCAACTTACAGGCATCAAGTCCCTAATAGGTGCAATGTAGCAAGAATAACCCAAAAGAAGTAGACAAATTATAGATGCTTGAGTCACATTTATAAGGGTATCAATCAGAGTTCTGCCAGAAAACAGATGACACCTTCAAATGGGGAAGTGTGTAGAGAATTTAACAAGGAGACTATTCACAGAGATGTGGGCAGACATAAAAAAACAATAGAGAATACCGCAGTACTCCAAAACTAGTAACAGAAAGGAGCATTTTTCACCCAGAACCTAAATGGCACTTAAAGAGGGTATGGATCCTGGAATATGGAGATTTTCTGATACCGAGAGGGCCGCTTTGTCAGGTGTTGTGACCTTTGGGAGCGTGAGGCAGCCAATCTGCAATGACTGCATAGGAAACAGCCTGAGATATACAGACCGTGTCCTCACTTCTCTCCCTTCTTTGATCTCTCATTAATGCCTCTCCCCACCCCTCTCATTGCCTAAACTCACCTGGAAACCGAAGGACAAAGAGCTTGCTGAAGGAATCCATGCATCCTCCCTAATGGGGCAGAGGACAGGGAGGAGAGGGCGACACAGGAAATCTGGAGGAGAAAATTGGAGCTTCCCAGCCCAGGGAGTCGATCACTTCTGACCACATAAGTCAGTGGTTCTCAAGATTTCGGGGCAGAAGAACAATCTGAGTTTTTAAAAGATGCATATGCTTGAGTCAGCTTCCCACACATTCCAGATATTCTGATTCATTAGGCCTGGGATAAGACTCATGAATCTACTTCTTCAACAGTGACAGTTACTAAGCAGGTATTCATTGGATCAGACTATGAGAAACACCTCCTTGAGTAGAGAAAGAGAGTCTCTCTTTGTAGCCAAGTTGGCCTTTGGGAGCCAACTTTCACATCATGGTGTTCTGTTTAGGGAATTCCTGGCAGGGGGAGGGGTCCTAGCATCATGTAGTATCATGATTACCCAACTTCTATCTATCTGTCTGTCTATCTATCTATCTATCTATCTATCTATCTATCTATCTATCTATACATATCATCTATCTATCTATCTATCTATCTATCTATCTATCTATCTATCTATCATCTATCATCTATGTACCTGCCTATCTATGTATCATATATCTATCAATACAGGCTTTGACGTTAGTCACAAATGAGCTTGAATTCTACTTAAAATATGTGATCTTAATCTCTCTAAGCCTCAGTTTCCTTCTCTCAAAATAGAGTGATGAGACCTACTTCATAGGGCTGCAATGAGGACTGTATGTGATTAAATGTAAAAAAAAATAAAAAATAATAACTAGCATAATCTTTGGCACAGAGTAAATCTACAATTATTGATATCTATGGCATTATCATTATTAGTCTATTATCGCTTCGCATTGCTTTGTTGCAATCTGTGTTCTATGTTAACATTAAATGTGGTATTCAGAGTCAAAGCAGGAATCAAAACTTGATGGAGAAGACTATGTGCACTTTACTCATTTTTAATAACGCAAATAATGATTTCGTCTTGGTACCTAGAAGCTTTTGATGTAAATGCAGGGGAGAAATGGCAAGATCAGCAAGAGGAAAGAGACCTAGTTTACTTTCCTTTGTCCATTATCTATTCAAAGACAATGGAAACAATAGACAGAGCAGCCTTCTAATAAGCTGGGGGATTAAAAAATCTTTTCAGAAAAAAAGCTGTAAAATTCGTTCATGAGATCATTTTTATGAGAATTGACTTGTTTAGCTTAAGGAATGTTTAGAACCAGGGCCCTGCCAGAGTTTGTGTGCAGAACACTATCGAAACGTTTCCTGTATAGTTAGTAAACAATAAGTCCTATTGTTTTGTTGGAGTTCAGGTGGCCCCAAGTTTGGGGGTGGGGTCTCTAAATCTCTTCCTAGCTCCTTCCTATTCCCGCTACGCTTAGTTTCAGAAATGCTGGAACATACCCTCGAAGCAACCACTGAAGCCCTTCCAGCAGAGGAACCGCAGAACTCAAAAATCCTAGCTGTAGGTTGGGTCCACACTACTAGGGAGACCTCCAGCCCAGAAAGCAGCTTGGCGATAAGACGGAAGAATGAAGGAGCTCCAGTTTTGAAGCAGGGTTGTTTTTTGTTTGTTTGTTTGTTTTTATTTTTATTTTTTTCCTCCCTTTAGAGTAGAGAGATTAGGGCTGAGCAGCTTGGACATTGGACCAGATGGAAAGGTGGGTTTTTTTTGTGTGTGTGTTTTTTTTTAAGACAGAGTCTCGGCCCTGTCGCCCAGGCTGGAGTGCAGTGGCACAATCTCAGCTCACTGCAACCTCTGCGTCCCAGGTTCAAGCTATTCTTCTGCCTCAGCCTCCCAACTAGCTGGGACTGCAGGCATGCGCCACCATGCCCAGCTCCTTTTTGTATTTTTAGTAGAGACGGAGTTTCACCATGTTGGCCAGGATGAGGTGGGCATTTTTATAGGATTCATTCCCCAATAGTATAAAACCTAAAGACAGTAAAAACACAAAGTTGTCAGAGATTTGCCATATTTTCAGGTATTAAAGGAAAAGAATAAAGTGTTTAGGAAAAATCTTGAAGCAGAAAAGAATAAATGGGATTTAAGATGAATTGTTTAGCCCGTCTGCCATAATTTAAAGCAGTTTTTCTTCAAGTGGGGGTGATTTTGTCCCTGAGGGGACATTTGGCCATGTCTGGAGACATTTTTAGTTGTCTCAGCTTGGGGAAGGAGGTGTACATGACATCTATTCTATATAGGCCAGGGATGCTACTAAACCTCTTCTAGTGTTGCACAGCAAAGAATCCTCAAATTCAAAATTCCTATAGGGTCAAGTATTTCCACACATTCTAACTTGCTGTTTCAAGTCTTAGCAAGCCTCAGAATTTCACCAAATTATTTGGGTATCTAGACAGACTCTGATTAACATTCATAGTTACATATACTAGGAAGAGTTTTATTATGGCCTTGTGACACCGAATGTTGAGAATTATTTAAGCCATCATTTACCTAATGCCACTTTATCTTGAGGGACTTTGATAGTTAATGGCCAAGTTCATTCTCAGAATAGTAAAACTTCCAGAACAAAAAGAAGTTTTGCTAGGCACAACTAAAGCAGTTTCTTTGTCTAAGATTTCTTAGACCCAAGTAAATGGTATCAGAGCATTAATATGTGTGGAAGGAAGGGAGGTCTGTGGTGTGATACTGTAGCAAAAACAGGAGAAATTATTTATTTTTTAAAATTAATTATATTTTAAGCACCATACAAGGTCATTTAGAGTAACTAGATAAATATTTAATCAGCTTCTGTTTTTCTTTTTTTGTCACACACATAAGCTAGGGTATTGAAAGTATCTTCTGGATTGCCAATTTGCTAAGGGTAAGAAAGACTTCCTTTATATTTTGGCCCATCTCCTTCAAAGTGTTCTGTTAATAGATTTTTCTTCTGCCTTTGGGGAAACTTTCCACTTTAGGAAATACTTTTTGATATGAACTTGGTTGAAATTTACCTTGGCCACTACTCCTTCCTTGTGGCATAGTAACAACTTTTACATTTTAATATTTGGACTTGAACATTCAAATTGGTAGGAAAAACCCTACCCAGCCTCTCCATGCCTTTGGAGGATATTAGTATATATTTCACATAATGGGCTTCATCTCTTATTGAAGCTTTTAGATCCAAGAGAGGAAGGGCATGGTAAGAAAATTAGAAGTTGTTACTGTCAGAGAGATCATTGAATTGGTAAAGATTCATGAAATTAGCCAGGTAAAATGTAAAGCCCTAGCCTCAGTTCTGTTTGTATTGCAGTTTCCCCTAAATTGCAATTTTTTAGAGACAAGAAAAACTATAATAGAGGATACAGCTTAATTATGAATGACTTCAATTGAGCTGTCTCTACTTGAATATAGTATTAAAAAAATTAAAATCTATTGAAAACTATGAACTTGAAATTATTCACAATGCTTTTGCTTTACTTGGTTAAGATTTTGTCTTAGAAAGCTATCATCGAGGTAATGTGTTCTCTATGACCCTACTTAGAAAAAAAATTCTCTCTCTCTACAAATATATACACATATATATACACACATATACATATATCATACATATATATTAAAATTTATGCATATCTTTTTATATTAAAATGCTATCCTATTTTAAAGTAAATTAGTTAACTGGCTAATTTTCAGCTATTTGGAAAGTGACAAATTGATCATGAGAAAGCTAAAATGACAAATTCAAAATGGCTAAATTCATATAGTTATTGAGCTTTCAACTGACATCTACTAGTCCTAACTTTTTAAACAGAGGGACAAGACTGACAGTGACTATGTTGACCCTTAGTGGTCTCTAGCTATGATATCTGGGTAATGAGGAATTATTTAGGGTTGTAGTTTTTTCTTCCAGTTTTCCAATCCTACCCATCGCCATTGTATTTCAAGCTTGAAAGATCAAGGCTGTTTTCATGGTAGATTTCAAGTTCTGCCTGCCTGGGATTCATCTCCTGGCCAATATAATTGAGGATGCCATTTCCAACCCTGCTCAGTGCTTTTCATTCTTTTCATTGACCTTTAAAAAATAATCATAAACTCAACATTCACTGGGAGACTCAGGCTACACCATGGTTTACTCTTTTTTTAATAAAGATGTGCAGAAAGTCTACTCTTGGCAAAAGATTTAGCACTCACTTCTGAAGGACTTTTTCTGGGGTTTTTTGTTATTATCTGAGGGGAACAGTCAGTAGTGTAGATTCAAGAATAGGCAAGAGAAATAGACTCTGGTCAAGTACATATGAGACTGGAACATCTCCAGACTAGAGTAGAAAAATCTAATAAAAATTGTTTTATTATTTGGTGTATTTTTCACATATTCCATTTACAGAAGTAGAAATTAGGCTTAAAATAATGAGGAAAAACAAACACAAAATACCATGAATAAAGAGGTTTTTTTTTTTCATTTTCCTTAGACATGTTATTTTAAACTCAGCCTTCACTAAATAAAGGTGAATTTTTAATTCTATACTATAACATGAAAAAGTTTAACTTGATTTTCTGTGGTAATAGGCCAAGAGAAGATGTTTATAGCTAAAATCAGTGCTCTTGATCACACCTTTTGCACATGATAGAAAAGCAACAATCTGGATCAGTAGACTATAATTCACTTTCCTTCCTCTCACTCATCCTTTTGTGGGGAGGCTCCAAAGAGATGAAAAAAACAAAGATCGGGCAGATGAAAAAAAGAGGTAGGAGAAGTAAAAGGAGGCCAGATGGTCCGTGGAATGAACTAACTCTACTCATCGTTTCTGAAGAGCCGGCTGTGCTAATATGTGGATATCCACTAAAGGTGCTACGAAGGGCAGAGGGAATGTGTTCCTTTAAAAACACAGTAGAGGATGTGTAATCTGATAAGAGTGGTTCTCAAATGGAATTATTTTTAATAAGTAAGAAGTTGTTATTTTCTGGGAGACACTAAAATGTCAGGTCAGTATCATTCCAGACAGACAGAAAGTGAATCCTGCTATAAAGCTGCAAATCCCACAGCATAACCTCCAGCGTTTCCTCCTCTCCCCTACTTCTCTCCTTTCACCAGTTCCCTTTCAAGTCCTTTGATATCAAACCCTGCACATAAAGCCATAAACCTGTTCACCTGTGTTTCTCTCTTCCCCTTATGCTGATATTAGCTTGTTTACCCCGGTTCTGAGTTTCATTTACATTTCCTATTGCATAAAACATGAGCCAAGTAAAAACTGATCCACCTGTGCGTTATGTAGAAAGAGGCAAATTGGAAATCAATGAGCCAGAAACATTTCAAAATAAAATAATCTTAAGGGCTAGACTTTTAACATGCTATCCAGAAGCCCTGAATGTATCATAAAATAACACAACACAGGTCAACTATACGTACAGAAATCAGAATCCTTTGCTGGACTTTATAGATGATTTGGTGCACTTGTTACTAGCCTTCTTGGGTCAAAGACACATTGGAGGACCTCAGAAAAGGCAAGGAAATTCCATTTTGAAGAAAACATAAGACTGCCTGACACAACAATGTGCATACAATTTCAGAACATTAATGGAGGCCTTAGAGCTCATTCACAGATCTATGCTAAGGGCTCCAGAACTCCCCCAGTCCCCTCGGTGTGTGTGAATGACTAAGTCAAATCCAAAGTCAGAGCAGCTTGCAGCATAAACTGGCCTCCAGGTTCCCAGTCCCACTACTCTTGATCATGATGTCAGCTCTCTACAGAGCTCTGAGATAAGGGGACACTGATAATTCCTGAAGTGATTGTACTGATTGAATAGCATCTTCAAAATTTATTCTACTTGGAATTGCAAAATGTTACCTTATTTGGAAAAACGGTCTTTGCAGACATAATCAGTTAAATTAAAATGAGGTGATACTGGATTAGGGTAGGTCCTAAGTCCAATGTCTGGTGTCCTTTGAAGATGGTCATGTGGAGACACATGGGAAGAAGGCCATTTGATGACTGTCACTGTGAACTGGCATCATGTTTAGGGATCATGGTGAGGAAGAGATTGGAATAGTGCCAGGAATGTCAAGGCTCACTGGAAACCACCAGAAGCCAGAACACAGGCACAGGACAGATTTTTCCCTGGAAACTTCAGAAGGAACGAACCTTGCTGACTGATTTTGGAATTCTAGTCTCCAGAACTGTGAGAGAATAAACTTCTGTTTTGAGCAACTCAGTTTGTAGTAATTTGTAATGACAGACCTTAGAAACTAATACAGTGATTTACTGCTCTCTGTTTATGTTTTTACTAATATTGTTTTTAAAAACCTTCACATGTTGTTCCCATCACTGATCCACTTGGTCTCTTTCCGTTTTTTTTTTTAGACTAGCTGACCTGGGTATTAATGCTGGATATAGCAACGTCCTTCTATGTCCTTCTAAATTTTCTTCATGAGTAGTGATAAGTTATGCTGAGAAAAATTCTTGAACCTACAGTTATACAACATTGTTCTTGCCGCCTTTCAAAAATGGACAATGTCTCCCATATGGAATATCTACTGATGATCTTGCAAGAAGGTGAATAAAAAATCCAATGAAGACATAAAACGAGTTTCATTTAAAAAATCTGGTAAAATGGAAGTTTGCTTTACACAAACAGTAAAGAAGCCTTGGAAGATAATGTTGACTTCCCATGCTCAAAAGTACTCTGACTCAGGAAGATAGCTCCAGCCCTTCAAAGGAAGGGCTGTCTGCAATAAATGCCCATGGAGACCTCTCAGCAATTCCATAAGATAAGTGAATTGGCTTAAATCAAATGTTTTGCAGTTCCATTTACAGAGCATTTACTGGCCATCGTGTACTACTCAAGTTACTAGAACACTAAGTTGACTCATGCTTGGAAATACTGGTTTTATGTTGCTATCAGAGTATTGTCATAAATCCACCCACAATTACAAAGAGTCCTACTCTGCTGCTGTAGCTACCTTTAACTCCTTGCCCTCAGCAAATTGTATGCCTAGGGAGATGGACTACTTCGGCCTTGAGAAATTTCCAATTAGGTCATTTTGAGAAGCAGTCTGGATGTGTGGTCTGAAATAGCATTTCCAGTTTTTGCCTATTTTTATTTTTGAGAACTGCTTGCAAATAAATGCCACTGAGTTTGTTAGGAAGAGGTTACTCTTTACTACCTTTGGGAATTGTGCCTTACCCTTAGGTTGCACAGCTTCTATTTTCTGAGTCCCTTCTGATTTTCTCATATGGTTGCTGCAAATTGCAAAATCATTGTAAGCTTCTGTTTCTTCACTAGCAAAATGAGAAATAGTAACACACCTAGGGATTGGGAGGATGAACTGAGGAAATATAGCCATTGGATTATTTTTATAAGGCCCCTACAAATTGATGGCAAAAAAAGACCTGGCCCTTTGAAAGAGCATCCCATCTCCTCAAATGTGTACTAGTGAGTTTACAAGAGGCTATAATGACAGCTGAAGTTATCCTTGTTCAAGTATAAATATGGACTTGGAAAAATAAGTCAGGAATCTATGGAACTGCATTGAAAACTCAGCTGTGCATTGCTTAGTCACATAGGAAACACGGTAAGGAAATGCAATGTGATCAGATCAGCTTAACCCCTAGAGTGCAAGCTGGATACGGGAGCAGGGCAGTAAAACCAGGAAAACTGAGGGGATGGTAGCCTTTTAGGAGAAAAATATAAGAGGAAAAACAAATCTAGGAAAGAAAAATATGAAGCAGAGAAAAGGCTGTGAAAAGAAAGAGAAAAATCAGTCTAAGAAGCCAAGATATTTGAGTAGCAGGCAGTGTTTTGAATGTGCAATGATGACAAATAATCCCAAAGATGGATGTGTGTCACACGCTGGAGAGCAGTGACAGTGAGAAGATGAGATGTCTCTAAGGCAGACCTTGGTTTAAATCTCAAGTCTGTGGCTTATTAACTTTGCAGTGTCAAGCAACTTACTTCATTCTTCTGAGACTCATCTGTAAAATATGGATAATTACTGTATTTCTGCACTGTTGTGAATATTTTAGTTAATATATGCATATTTGTCCCTAGCAAAATGCAATGAGTAACAGTTATTAGTTAGTCTAAAGAGGAAATAAAGGGAGGGACAACTAAGAGTAAAGTTGTCCACTTTCTACTTCAGCTCTCCCCTCCAAGGGAAAAGGTGATATGTTGGTGCTAAGTCTGACTGAAGGCATCTGGGTCACATGTACCTATGAGAGTCCCTGACTAGAATCTAGTTGTTTCCTGCAATAATATCATATGTATTAGAGCAGGTTGTTCAACAGAGTAATATGTGTGGTTATTTAAATTTAAACTAAAAGTTAAAATATGCTTTGTTTCAATAGCTACATTTCAAATAATCAACAGCCACATGGCTGGTAGGCAGCATACACACACACACACACACACACACACACACACACATATATTTACATATATGCTGTGCATATATATGCATATCTTTGTGTATGTATGTGTATTTCTGTCATCACAAAAAGTTCTATTGTCTGACCTTGCTTGACTACGGTGGATTATGTGGCCAAAAAAAAAGTAATTCCGTAAGTCAAGAAAGTGGGCAAAGATTGAGGAGAGAAATTAGAATAGGAAGATAGGGCTTCTGCTGAGGGAAGCCCTTCTCTTTTTAAAAAATACCTGAGGTGATGGCAGTAGAAAGGAGTGCTTAAGATTAGAAAGGTGAGTTAACCATAAACTGTGATGTCTATGGCCTGGGGCAAGGATGAAAGGATTGCAGCCACACTTGAAATTTGCTCTAGGAGTGGTATTGTGGTCCCAGAAAACCTATTACATGGTGACTAACATGGAGAGCTGCTTACCTAGAGTGGTGGTAATGTGGTGACATCGAGAACTATGTAAAAGTAAAACAGATGCACTCCCAGCAAGTAGACCTTCCCAAATGCATCATACAATGCATGGATAAATAAACATTGAAAGAACATTGGGACCCAAAGTGAAGTTTTGCTATAAGTCTTTTAAATCAAAGTCCCAAGAGAACAAGAAGGAGAATTCCTTATGCTTAATCCACCTAGTATGTAACATGCAGTGAATATATACATAAGAATAGATGGGGAGAGTGCGGATCTCCCAGCATAGAGTTCAAGCTCTGATGAGGGACAGATTGCCTCCTCAAGTGGGTCCCTGACTCCTGTGTATCCTGACTGGAAGACACCTCCCAGTAGGGGCCGACAGACATCTCATACAGGAGAGCTCTGACTGGCATCTGGCAGGTGCCCCTCTGGGATGAAGCATCAAGAAGAAGGAACAGGCAGCAATCTTTGCTGTTCTGCAGCCTCCGCCAGTGACACCCATGACAACAGGGCCTGGAGTGGACCTCCAGCAAACTCCAGCAGACCTGTAGCAGAGGGGCCTGACAGTTAGAAGGAAAACTAACAAACAGAAAGGAATAGTATCAACATCAACAAAAAGACGTCCACTCAGAGACCCCATCTGAAGGTCACCGACTTCAAAGACAAAAGGTAGTTAAATCCACGAAGATGGGGAGAAACCAGTGCAAAAAGGCTGAAAATTCCAAAAACCTGAATGCCTCTTCTCCTCCAAATGATCACAACTCCTCACCAGCAAGGGAACAAAACTGGATGGAGAATGAATTTGACAAATTGACAGAAGTAGGCTTCAGAAGGTGAGTAATAACAAACTCCTCCAAGCTAAAGGAGCATGTTCTAACCCAATGCAAGGAAGTTAAGAACTTGAAAACAGGTTAGATGAATTGCTAACTAGAATAACCAGCTTAGAGAAGAATGTAAATGACCTGATGGAGCTGTAAAACAAAGCACGAGAACTTCATGAAGCATACACAAGTATCAACAGCCAAAACGATCAAGTGGAAGAAAGGATATCAGAGATTGAAGATCAATGAAATAAAGCAAAAAGACAAGATTACAGAAAAAAGAGTGAAAAGAAATGAACAAAGCCTCCAAGAAATATGGGACTATGTGAAAAGACCAAATCTATATTTGATTGGTGTATCTGAAAGTGATGGGAGAAGGGAACCAAGTTGGATAACACTCTTCAGGATATTATCTGGGAGAACTTCCCCAACCTAGTAAGGCAGGCCAACATTCAAATTCAGGAAATACAGAGAACACCACAAAGATACTCTTCAAGAAGAGCAACCCGAAGACACATAATTGTCACATTCACCAAGGTTGAAATGAAGGAAAAAATGTTAAGGGCAGCCAGAGAGAAAGGTCGGGTTACCCACAAAGGGGAGCCCATCAGAATAACAGTGGATCACTCTGCAGAAAACCTATAAGCCAGAAGAGAGTGGGGGCCAATATTCAACATTCTTAAAGAAAAGAATTTTCAACCCAGAATTTCATATCCAGCCAAACTAAGCTTCATAAGTGAAGGAGAAATAAAATCCTTTACAGACAAGCAAAACCTGAAAGATTTTGTCACCACCAGGCCTGCCTTACAAGAGCTCCTGAAGGAAGCACTAAACATGGAAAGCAACAACTGGTACCAGCCACTGCAAAAACATGCCAAATTGAAAAGACCATCGATGTTATGAAGAAACTGCATCAACTAACGAGCAAAATAACCAGCTATCATCATAATGACAGGATCAAATTCACACATAAAAATATTAACCTTAAATGTAAATGGGCTAAATGCCCCAATTAAAAGACACAGACTGGCAAATTTAATAAGGAGTCAAGAACCATTGATGTTCTGTATTCAGGAGACCCATCTCATGTGCAAAGACACACACAGGCTCAAAATAAAGGGATGGAGGAATATTTACCAAGCAAATGGAAAGCAAAAAAATAGCAGGGGTTGCAATTCTAGTCTCTGATAAAGCAGACTTTAAGCCAATAAAGATCGAAAGAGACAAAGAAGGGCATTACATAATGGTAAAGGGATCAATGAAACAAGAAGAGTTAACTATCCTAAATATATGTGCATCTAATACAGGAGCATCCAGATTTAGAAAGGAAGTCCTTAGAGACCTACAAAGAGACTTAGACTCCCACACAATAATAATGGGAGACTTTAACACCCCAGTGTCAATATTAGACAGATCAACGAAACAGAAAATTAAGAAGGATATTCAGGACTTAAACTCAGCTCTGGACCCAGCAGCCCTAATAGACATCTACAGAACCCTCCACCCCAAATTAACAAAATATACATTCTTTTCAGCACCACATCACACCTTTTCTAAAATTGACCACATAATTGGAAGTAAAACACTCCTCAGCAATGCAAAAGGATGGAAATAATAACAAACAGTCTCTCAGACCACAGTGCAATCAAATTAGAACTCAGGATTAAGAAATTCACTACAAACAGCACAACTACATGGAAACTGAACAAACTGCTCCTGAATGACTACTGAGTATATAAGGAAATGAAGGCAGAAATAAAGATGTTCTTTGAAACCAATGAGAACAAAGACACAACATACCAGAATCTCTGGGACACATTTAAAGCAGTGTGTAGAGGGAAGTTCATAGCACTAAATGCCCACAAGAGAAAGCAAGAAAGATACAAAATCGACACCCTAACATCACAATTAAAAGAACTAGAGAAGCAAGAGCAAACACATTCAAAAGCCAGCAGAAGACAAGAAATAACTAAGATCAGAGCAGAACTGAAGGAGATAGAGACACAAAGAACCCTTCAAAAAAATCAATGAATCCAGGAGCTGGTTTTTTGAAAAGATCAACAAAATAGATAGACCACTAGCAAGACTAACAAAGAAGAAAGAGAGAAGAATCAAATAGACATAATAAAAAATGATAAAAAAGAGAATATCACCACCGATCCCTCAGAAATACAAACTACCATCAGAGAATACTATAAACACCTCATGCAAATAAACTAGAAAATCTAGAAGAAATGGATAAGTTCCTGGACACATGCACCCTCCCAAGACTAAACCAGGAAGAAGTCGAATCCCTGAATAGACCAATAACAAGTTCTGAAATTGAGGCAGTAATTAATAGCCTACCAACCAAAAAAATTCCAGGATCAGACAGATTCACAGCTGAATTCTACCAGAGGTACAAAGGGGAGCTGGTACCATTCCTTCTGAAATTATTCCAAGCAATCGAAAAACAGGGAATCCTTCCTAACTCATTTTATGAGGCCAGCATCATCCTGACACCAAAACTGAGCAGAGACATAACCAAAAAAAAGAAAAGAAAAGAAAAGGAAAGAAAATTTCAGGCCAGTAACCCTGATGAACATCGATGTGAAAATCCTCTATAAAATACTAGCAAACTGAATCCAGCAGCACATCAAAAATCTTATCTACCACAAAGAAGTTAGTTTCATCCCTGGGATGCAAGGCTGGTTCAACATATGTAAATCAATAAACGTAATCCATCACAAAAACAGAACCAATGACAAAAACCACATGATTATCTCAATAGATGAAGAAAAGGCCTTTGACAAAATTCAACATACCTTCATGCTAAAAACTCTCAATAAACTAGGTATCAATGGAATGTATCTCAAAATAATAAGAGCTATTTATGACAAACCCACAGCCAATATCATCCTGAGTAGGCAAAAACTGGAAGCATTCCCTTTGAAAACTGGCACAAGACAGGGATGCCCTCTCTCACCACTCCTATTCCACATAGTATTGGAAGTTCTGGCCAGGGCAGTCAGGCAAGAGAAAGAAATTAAGGGTATTCAAATTGGAAGAGAGGAAGTAAAATTGTTTCTGTTTGCAGATGACTTGATTGTATATTTAGAAAACCCCATCGTCTCAACCCAAAATCTCCTTAAGCTGATAAGCAACATTAGCAAATTCTCAGGATACAAAACCAATGTACAAAAATCACAAGCATTCCTATACACCAATAACAGACAAACAGCCGAATCATGAATGAACTCCCATTCACAATTGCTACAAAGAGAATAAAATACCTAGGAATACAACTTACAAGGGATATGAAGGACCTCTTCAAGGAGAACTAAAAACCGCTGCTGAAAGAAATAAGAGAGGACATAAACAAATGGAAAAACATTCCATGCTCATTGATAGGAAAAATGAATATCGTGAAAATAGCCATACTTCCCAAAGTAATTTATAGATTCAATGCTATCCCCATCAAGCTCACATTGACTTTCTTCACAGAATTGGAAAAAACTACTTTAAACTTCATATGGAACCAAAAAAGAGCCCGCATCACCAAGACAATCCTAAGCAAAAGGAACAAAGCTGGAGACATCACGCTACCTGACTTCAAAATGTACTACAAGGCTACAGTAATCAAAAGGGCATGGTACTGGTACCAAAACAGATATGCAGACCAATGGAGCAGAACAGAGCCCTCAGAAATAATACCACACATCTACAACCATCTGATCTTTGACAAACCTGAGAAAAACAAGCAATGGGGAAAGGATTCCCTATTTAATAAATGGTGTTGGGCAAACTGGCTGGCCATATGCAGAAACCTGAAACTGGATCCCTTCCTTATACCCTACACAAAAATTAACTCCAGATGTATTAAAGACGTAAACGTAAGACCTAAAACCATAAAAACCCTAGAAGAAAACCTAGGCAATGCCATTCAGGACATAGGCATGGGCAAAGACTTCATGACTAACACACCAAAAGCAATGCCAACAAAAGCCATAATTGACAAATGGGATCTAATTAAACTAAAGAGTTTCTACACAGCAAAAGAAACTCTCATCAGAGTGAACAGGCAACCTACAGAATGGGAGAAAACTTTTGCAATCTATCCATCTGACAAAGGGCTAATATCCTGAATCTACAAGGAACTTAAAGAAATTTACAAGAAAAAAACAAACAATCCCATCGAAAAGTAGGCAAAGGATATGAACATACACTTCCCAAAAGAAGACACTTATGCAGCCAACAAACATGAATAAAAAGCTCATCTCACTGGTCATTAGAGAAATGCAAATCAAAACCACAGTGAGATACCATCTCACACCAGTTAGAAAGGTGATCTTTAAAAAGTCAGGAAACTACAGATCCTGGAGAGGATATGGAGAAATAGGAATGTTTTTACACTGTTGGTGAGACCGTAAATTAGTTTAACTATTGTGGAAGACAGCGTGGTGATTCCTCAAGGATCTAGAACCAGAAATACCATTTGACCCAGCAATCCCATTACTAGGTATATACCCAAAGGATTATAAATCATTCTATTATAAAGACATATACACACATATGTTTATTGCAACACTGTTTGCAATAGTAAAGACCTGGAACCAACCCAAATGCCCATCAGTGATAGACTGGATAAAGAAAATGTGGCACATATACACCATAGAATACCATACAGCCATAAAAAAGGATGAGTTCATGTCCTTTGCAGGGACATGGATGAAGCTGGAAACCATCATTCTCAGCAAACTATCACAAGAACAGAAAACCAAACACCACATATTCTCACTCCTAAGTGGGAGTTGAACAATGAGAACACATGGACACAGGGAGGGGAAATCACACACACACTGGGGCCTGTCAGGGGGTTGGGGGCTAGGTGAGGGATAGCATTAGGACAAATACCTAATGTAGATGGTGGGTTGATGGGTGCAGCAAGCCACCATGGCACATGCATACCTTTGTAACAAACCTGCACGTTCTGTACATATACCCCAGAACTTGAAGTATGTAAAAAAATAAAAGAATAGATGGATAAATGTAAAAAACAATCTCAGAAACCTGATGATGGAGCTACGAAGGTAGCACTGCCACACCTCAAAGAGGAAGACAATGTGCAATGTCTTTGTGCAGGTAGCTCTTGAGATCTGAGGCTAACCAGGGTCATAGCTAATATCTGTGAGCACTGAGCAGGGCCTGGGCTAGGAGCTCAAATGTGTTCTACCACAGTGAATCTTTACAATATCAAAGTGTTGCTATCCCCATTTTATAGATCGCAAAACTGAATCTTAGAAAAGTCAAGACCTCTGTTGAGTTATAATGCGAGTTGAGTTATAATCCAAATTAAAGTTCCTACTGTTGTCTTTGTAGTTGACAAATGCCCACTTAAAATAACAAAGCAAAAATAAAAAAAGAAAGAGAAGACAAACATATTTTAAATGACATGACTGTATATTCCTGCTATCTTCCGCGCTTTACCCATTTATGCAACAAACTACAACTAAAAAAGTAGTATTGAAGGATGAAGAAGAAGAGGGCATGAGACCTTTACTTTTGATGTTTGTGGTTGATGCTTGAAGTTTCTCTGACAGTGCTAACCAGCTCCAAGGCTCTTGAAGTCATATAAGCTGAAAGAAGGAGTGTGCCAGATGGCATCCTGGAGTGGAAGGGTCCCTGAAGCCGTTCCTTTCTGCAGTGGTTTATTTGAGGATTTTATTCCTCCATGTGTGAGTTCTGACGCCTTGGCAGATGGTTTTTACTGAGTATTACAGATGATTCCTTTCTCTAAGCAAAATCCTAGTCCCCAATTTATATTTAACATTTTATCAAACCACCATCTTCTGGAGTATACAGAATTAAACATATGTAGTTAGCTCCACATGTTCTGCCTCATAAAATAACTTTCTACTGCTTTAATTTTCATGTGCAATTATATATGGTTATAAATAATATTTTGATAGCACTCCTGAAGTGGAAATTGAATCTTGACAAAGTATTGTCACTGGAAGAATAGGGAGAGGGATGAGAAAAAATTAAAGATTTCGTACTAAATTTCCCTTTATAGGCATTTATGTGAAGCTGATAAAGGCCTATGAAAAGTCATAGAGGTCACAGGGGTCAAGGTCATAAAACTTGTGAGAACATAGTAAGATTCTATGGTCATAATCCTAGTTAGTGTTGGACACGACAGTCTTGGTTGGTCTGACATGGAGCTCATTCTCTTACTCACTTCCTTATGCCCTGAAACATGTGAAGAAGAAAATGCCCACTGAATGGACCCATGCAAAAGAAGAGGCTTAAACAAATGGAAACCTCCTTAAAGGAAACTTAAAACAAAAAACACCAATATAACATATTTTGAGATTTAAGGGTTACAGTAATTTCAATGACTAGAAATAAGAAAAACCTAAGCAATGTAATATAAAAATGACAAGACACCTTCTTCTTCACGTTCAGTAAGATGGTTTAACTTTGCCGTAATTTTTCTCCAGGTGTATTAGTTTGCTAGGGCTGCCATAACAGAATCCCACAAACTAGGTGGCTTAAACAACATAAATTTACTTTATCACAGTTCTGGAGGCTGGAAGTCTAAGATCAAATTCTTGGCGGGTTCAGTTTTTTCTGAGGCTTCTCTTTTAAGCTTGCAGACAGGCACCTTCTCGCTGTGTCCCCACGTGGCCTTCTTCTCTGTACACACATCCCTGGTGTCGCTCTTCTTATAAGAACACAGCCATATTAAATCAGGCCCCATCCATATAACCTCATTTAACCCTAATTATCTCTTTAAAGATCTTATCTCCAAATAGAATCACGTTATGTGGTGTACCAGGTGTAAGAATTTCAACATAGGAATTTTGCAGGGACACGATTCAGTTCCTAACACTAGGGTAGACATGTTCTCAGAAACTCAGATCTGCCTCAAAAAAAACTTCCTCCAACCCCTCATCTACTTATTAATGAACAAACTCCTGCCTAGTGTATATCTAGTCAGGTTTAAGATGTAGGAGAGCTTAGACCTCAATAAAATCAGTGAGAAAAATGACTATGCATATGGCTGACTGCATTGCAGCAAGGTTTCAATCTGGAATTCCAGTATTGGTATCCAACCTGGAGTCAGTGGGGCATCAATTTGCCAACTGGGCACTATGCTTGGTTTATCATGGAATTGGTTTATAAATCCAGAAACATGTAATTATAGCACGAAACCCACTGGGCCTACATTTTCCATGTCAGGGACACATTTTTCTAAGCTCTCTACCAAACAGAGCTGCTCATGATAGACTTTCCCAGCAGAGATCTCTTGTGACCAAAGAGTTCAGGAATAAGGTTGAACTATTTGAATTGGGTCAATATTATGGGCACCATTAAGTCTAAGAGATAAAGTAAAAGAGGACACAATCTGGCTATAGCAATTAAAATTCATGTGGATGGCATGCTCAAGCATGAGATTGCTGTGACACACCATGCCTGGCTTCACTGGCCACTATGAAGGCACAGTCAAAATACTTGGGGTGATAGCAACAATGATGATGGGGTTATATTATCTGACTATAACATGGAAATCTGAGGGTCTGAGGAAATGAAACACTCTATCTTAGACTTCTTGCCTCTATCAATCATCTATCTATCTATCTATCTATCTATCTATCTATCTATCTCCCATAAGCATGAATATAAGATTAGTAGGGAATATTTAGGGAGATCGTGTTTAGAGGAGAGAAAACAAATTGCAGTACAAATTTCTCATCAACACAGCATCAGGAACACTTAAGAAAAAAATTAGAGAAAAGATGTTTTAGATGTCTAGTTTCCTGATCCTTTGGGAAAACTATGGATTTGTTGGACATGAATTAATGTTACCACCCATGGATGTGGGCCTTAGGAAATTCACGAGATGACAATTTTCCTTAGTATGGTATATTCTTGTATGGATTTTCTTATCCATACAAAGTCAGCAACTGCCCAACTCCCATACAAATATACACCTCCTCCCTCTCCAAACTTACATTGCCCCCTCTTCTCCCAGTACATGCTCCACCCAATTTTTCCTTCAAAATAACAATCAGCAAATACGTCAACTGAAATAGCTGCAGTAGCACCATTTGCATGGATCTAAAAATTATTTCTATCTATGAAACTGAAGTTACTTTTAAAAATCATAGCAAACAGACTTTAATATTTCACTACTCAGAGGAATTTCATTTATCCCATAATAATTCCCTAATTGATTATCCACTTCCCATTATTTAAAAACAGTCCCATAAATGTGAATCAGTGAGAAATCCAGTGATAGTTGTTGTACCAGGACAATGATCCATGAATAGCAATAAGAAGCTAAAGAAACCTGAGAGTCCTGTACTTGGATCTACTGTCTAAGTGAGGCGTGATAGCTCCAGAGTTTTGATCTTCATACATGTTCATATGTAAAAGGGAAGAAAAGGGAAAGAATAAAGCATGCAAGAAATGAAAACTATGGTTAAGTATTCATGGCAAGTCATTTAAGGGGGTCATGATAAAAACTTAGAGCCAAATTTCAGTGAATAATGGAAATAAAACTTGTGCAACCTGTGGTTGACTGCAGCCTGAATATCCATCATCACAAAGGGGAAAACATCTTCTCCAGTGAATTCTTACCCCTGTCTTAGCCCACTTACCATCAAAAGCAATTCCTCTCTGGGTTTCCCACCCTTGCCTAGAAAATATAATGAGAAGAGCAAGCATTTACTATTAAATTACTGTAGGATAGACACTATGCTAAGAAATTTACTTGAACAATCTCATATAATTCTTACAACGCTCTGAGGTGGATAACTGGACTGTCCACATTTCACAGACCAGAAGACTGAGGTTCAGAGAAGGGAAGTAATTTGCCTGAGTTTATATAGCTAGTGGCAAAGTCAGCACCAGAATCCAGATCTGTCATGATCCTACAATGCCTAGGAAATAGCATTTTGTTGCAAAGATTAAAAGTAAGGACATATATGCAATTCTTATTATACTCATTTACTTAATATCTCGTTGGCATGGTGCCTTTCCTTTTTTACAGACAATGTTGTTAGTTGCTTCCTAAGTCAAATTTCACAGGTTGCATTTAGAACCCTCCAGCAGAAGCCTGCTTATGTTCGTAATAATAATTGAAATAGAAACAGATGTATCCAGAATCTGTTCTGAAAATTACCCTTCATGCATTTGTCATCCTTACTGGTGTCTTTACTTTTTCAGTTTTTTATTTGGGACCTAACAAGATGAGAACAGTGTTCTTAGGGTCAGAAATATTCTCTGGGAGTTTCTCTCTCTCCTGTTGGATGATTTCCTTGTAAAACTAGGAGCTGGGTGGGGCTATGCTCTATCTCCTGGGCATCATACCACGTCTCTGGGGCAAAGAAATTGGTTGGTAAATTGCTGCTATATGTTCTCTTTTGAAAGGTTGGAAGAATAGGGGATTTTAGGAGAGCACTGGAAACTCATGAGGACAGAAACCATTTGGCGCTTCAGGCACAGTGCCTGGTACAGAGGAGACGCTGCTCAAGGATGCTCATTTACTGCCTGATAGTCCCTGCCTTGGGCTCTAAAGGATCTAAAGGGCACCACACAGTCTCTGCCCTCAAGAGCTGATGGGGACACAGATAAATAAACAGGGAATTATGTCAAGTTGTCATGGCCTAAAGACATTGTATAAGCACACTCAAGTGAGCACCTGGGTCAGTAAAGTCTTCTCAGAAAGTTCCATCTAGGTGAGGTCTAAAGAATAAATAAAAGGTATCCAGAGACTGTAGGAGAGAACCCTTGAGGACAGTGCTTTATAAAATTGGAAGCACCTAGAGAACTTTAAAAAAAGTACTGATGCTTGAGTCCCATGCTTAGAGATTCCGATGTAATGGCTTTGAATGTAGGCGAGCATTGGGATTTTAAATGTTTCCAGGTGAATTTAATGTGCAGCCAAGGGTGAGAACCTGAGCTGGTGACTCTTGATACAGGCTGGGTTTTAAACCTGGGAAACTTTCAGTCTACCCCAGAGATTCCCAAGCAGTTTGTCAGGGACACAGGTATCTCAAATGATTCTCTGCGGTTGAGAATCACTGCCTTAGGTGTTACTGGTAGCGCGTGCAAGGGTTAGAAACAGAAAATGTGACCAATTCTATGGTTGGGATGTAAGGAGCAAAAGTAGACTATAAAAGAGAGGGAGGGCCTAGATTATGAGGAAGCTGTTAGCCAAATTATTATATTTGACCTTAATTTGAGGGATGATACATAGTGAGTGAAATGTTTAAGAAAAGGAAGTGGCAATGTAACATTTGCTTCCAAGACTGGATGCAGGAAGGAAGGCCAGGAGTGCCTTTGGTTGGAAGAAATTCAGGAGCAGAACAATGAAGATTTGGGATGTTGGACAGGGGACCCAGATATTTTTGGCTCCAATCTCTTTACTTTCAGAGGGAAATTTGGAAAATCAACTTAGTTTTTCTGTTCTTATTTAAGTGCTCTAAGGTAAAGAAAAGCATCATTTGTCATCCTCCACAGGACCTCCTACAGGATGGTAGCAGGTAAGGAAGAGGCTGTCTGGAAAGCTCCTGAAGTGGAGGAGCCCACAGCCCTCCAGAAGAGCCCATGGCCTCCAAGGGAGAGTGGGCAATCAAGACAGACTGAGATGTTACAGAACTGACATGCAAGAACTGCATTAAACATTCTCCTGGTGTGCACTTAGTTGTAAAGAATATCTTTGTCCTCCTTGTATTTACTCTTGTAAACTTGGCTCCCAGGGTTTCTCTCCTTGGGATTGTTCAGGAAAAAAAGAGGACATGAGAAAGGATGCTCATGGCACTCTGTCTTTCCTTGGCCATTGCTCAAGCTGAGAAAATAGCCCTGAGCCTTTTATGACTCAGAAGTTTGAGGAAAGAGAAGGTGGCCGCTCATGGGAAAATGATGACTTGTCATCACTCAGCAAAACATGTCATAAGAATAGAGCGTGAGGAACACCTGCACACATCCTGTACACATCCTTCCTGTGGGCGCTGCCGCTCGTGAGCCTGCTGAAATCAGCATAAGCCAACTCAAGAGGCTATCTTTGCCTTCCCTTAAGTTACAGCTGAGAAATGTCACAGTGGCTTGGCATGCAAGGTGACTGATGCTGCTGAAATAAGCCTGTGGGCTCTTTCAAAGCCTCGTCCCATGAAATTAATATTAAGTAATTACATATTAAAGGATTTCAATAACTTTTATGAAAATTGAGAAACTTGCATCAGTATGAAGATGCATCTGCTGAGAAAAGAGTCCTTGTGGTCCTCAGGTGCAGGATTCATTGTGTTCTAAGGGAGGCCAATAGAGTCAGGAAGGACCTCCATTGCCAGCGCTATGGAAGCCTGGTCCAGATTTTCCAGATGGATGAGACCCACTAGCTCTTTGCATTAAGGTTTTAGCATGGCTCTTGGCTTTTCACACTTACGTAAAACTTCTATTAGGTCAAAAGACAGAGTGCCTTGCCCTTTTAATGACTCAGTTAACAATAACTGATGCCGTTTATTGATCTTCATGCCATGTGCTTTGAAAACATTACTTCACTAATCTTTCCAACAATCCTGCAAGTTACTATTATTATTTCCAGTCTTTTTTTGCTGAGACTGAGACATGGAGAGGTTGAGATTTCTTCTACAATTGTAGGCTTTCGTCTACAATTAATTAGCTTTCCTACAGCAACTCTGTATCTCTTTTCTCCTGGAAACCAAGTCCCCGGAACCCAAGGCTAGAATAGAATTTAAGTAAAAATGTACTGTTCACAGAATTAACCCCTTCCCCAGTACCCAGCTTTACCTAAAAGTAGTCATCCCTTCATTGATTCACAGGCGATGTAATGACCAACATCTTTGATTCAGACAATGGGATGCAGTGATTAACTTGGTAGTTTCCCTGCTCCCATAGAATTTGTTGTCTGGTTTGGGTAAGACAGTAAAAAAAAAAGTTAAATAAATATTTGAGACACATTTGGAGTGATAAATGCTGTGAAGGCAAACAGAAAAAGAGGAAAGGATAGAAAGTGATTTTGGTGAGGAGAAAGGATGAACTGGGTGGTGAAGAAAGGCTTCCCTGATGAATTCCATTTGAGCTAGGGAAGGACTGATGAGAAGGAACCAGCACGTGAATGACTCTGGAGAGAGCATTCTAAAGAGAGGAAACGGCGTGTGCAAAGGCATGGAGACAGGAAGGATTTAATGATTGTGCACCTGCTGCTTTCTCTCCTCTGAGTGGTTTATTCCTTGTTATGATAAAGGAGTGCCCAGATCATCAAGAGTGAGAACTGTTTCCCTGTATCTTGGGGGTCTTAGCTATAAAATATGGAGGTGTGGATGTCAACCTAAAGTTATCCTTTAACGCTACTCTCTTAGGACTCTGTGGACCTTCCTGTAAATGACGCCCTAAACAGCCACCTCCACCCCCACCCTCACCCCTACTTGCTGGCCAGTCAGGGCATGCCTGCTCATGCTTGAGTTCTCAAAGAGAATATGCAACACACTCCATGAGCCTCTCTATAAACAAAAATAACTAATTTCACTTTGAGTTGTTTAATGAGTGAAAGGAAATGACCTACTTAACTTCGTATAATTTTGCCATGACAAATGATTTTAGTCACTTCATAAAGTAGAATGCTTTGAGTTCTACTTGAGTTTTGATTACATTTAGGTAAAAGTTGGGGGAAAAACAGGTAGCTAGGTAGCTAGATAGATTGGATGGATGGAAGGATGGATGGATTGATGGATGGATGGATGGACAGACAGACACATGGATGGATAGATAGATAGATAGATAGATAGATAGATAGATAGATAGATAGACAGACATGTTGAAACAATGACTCCAGGTCTTCTCTGTGACACTTCATTTTCAGTCTGAAAAGCACTGTCATGCATATTATCTCATACGTGCATCATGACAAGCTCGAGGCCAAGGCAGGTGGATACTGTGTGTTGCTCTACCCATATTCTCCTCCTCTATCTTGAGGAAGCTAAGGCTCAGACACAGATAGTGCCCTTTCAGGTTTCACAGCTAGTAGGGGCTGAAGCTGAGATTAGAACCCAGGGCTTCACAGCTTCTTAAACTACAATGGTCAACTCTGCTTTCTAAGTTTGCTATCAATAATGCCTCTGCTGGGCAGCATGGAAAGTCACCTACATAGCACAGGTCTTCTCACACAACCAGGCCTGCTCTGTCACTATGCAGGGCCTTTGCATTTTTCCCTCCCCTCTGCAGTAAAACTTTTCCCCACCCTTGACCCAGGGCTGGCACCTTCCCCTCTCCTAGGTTTCCAGCTCAAGATTACCTTTCTAGAGAAGACTTTTGGGACTCTCCTTCTCCAAAGTGGCCTCCCATCTCCTCACCCCACCTAGTCATGTTTTGTTACATTGCCCTATTTATTTCCTGTGTGGTACTTACTGTATTTATGGAGTTGCCTCACATGAGTGTTTGCTAACTTACTTCTTGGCTGGCTCGTCCACAACATAGCAATCTCCATAAGGGAAGGAGCTCTCTACCCTCAGCATTTGTAGCAGTGCCTGGCACATAACAGGTGTGCAATAAAGACTAGCCAGGGAAACAGGGAAAGCACTATTATTTAAGGTCACTCTAAGGCTTATGAAGAGGAAAGGAGGGAATTGCATGTCCTGGCTTACCCTTGTCTTACTCTCTATGTGATCTTGAAACATTTTAACCTGTTATGAACTGAACTGTGCCACAACCCGCAACCAAAAAAAAAAAAAAAAAAAAAAATCATGTGTTGAAGTCCTAATCCCTAAAACCCTAGAATATGACTGTATTTGGAGAGAGGGCCTTTAAAGAGGTGATTAAAGTTAAATGAGGTAACTAGGGTAGATCTACTCCATTATGACTGGTGTCCTAGTAGAAAGAGGAAACTTGGACACAGATACACAGGGAAAACTTTGACACAGATACACAAGTCAAAGAGAGAGGCCTCAGAAGAAGCCAACTGTGCCAATATCTTGATGGGGCTTCCAGCCTCCAGAACTTTGAGAAAATAAATTTCTGTATTTTAAGCCACCCAGTTAATGGTATTTTATTGTGGCAGCTCTAACAAAGTGAAACAACCTCTGTAAGCCTCTTTTCTTCATCTCTAAAATAAGGATAGTAGTAGTTACCGCTACTGGATGAGGATTAAAGGAAGATTAAAGGAGATCATAGACAGTCATGTGTCACTTGACGATGGAGAAATGTTCTGAGAAATGCACCATTAGGTGATTTCATCATTATGCAAACATCGTAGAGTGTACTTACACAAACCTAGATGGCACAGCCTACTACACACGTAGGCTGTATGGTATAGCCTATTACTCCTGGGTTACAACCCTGTACAGAATGTTATGTACTGAATACTGTAGGCAATTATAGCACAATGGTAAGTATTAGTATATCTAAACATATTTAAACATAGAAAAGGTACAGTAAAAATATGGCTTAAAAAAAAAGATCAAAAGTGGTATACCTACATAGAACATTGACCATGAATGGAGCTTGCAGGACTGGAAGTTGCTCTGGCTGAGTGAGTGAGTGAGTGGTGAGTGAATGTAAAGGCCTAGGACATTACTGTATACTACTATAGACCTTATAAACACTTAGGCCACACTAAATTTATTAAAAAAATATTTTTTCTTTCTTCAATAATAAATTAATCTTAGCTAACTGTAACTTTTTACTTTCTAAACTTTTCAACTATTTAACTTTTTGACATTTTTGTAATATCACTTAGCTTAAAACACAAACACAAAAATACGTTCTTCCTTTGTATATTTATTTTATAAGCTTTTTAGATTTAAAATTTTTTTTTTTTACTTGTTAAACTTTGTGTTAAAAACTAAGACACAAACACACATTAGCCTAGGCCTACACAAGGTCAGAATCTTCAGTATCCCTGTCTTCCACCTCTACATCTTGTCCCACTGGAAGGTCCTCGGGGCAATCACACACATGGAGCTGTCATCTCCTGTGAGAACAATGCCCTCTTCTAGATACCTCCTGAAGAACCCGCCTGAGGCTGTTTTACAGTTAACTTCTATTTTTCTGTAAGTAGAAGGAGTATACGGGGAATATTGTTATAAAATAACAATAACAATATGACATAGTAAATATGTAAATCAGCAACGTAGTTGTTTATCATCATTATCTAGTATTATGTACTGCACATAATTGTATGTGCTCTACATTTATGTGACTGACAGTGCAGTAGCTTTGTTTACACCAACATCACTGCAGCCAAGTGAGTAATGTGTTGTGCTATGACATTACAACGGCTATGGCTTCCCTCGAATTTTTAAACTCCATTTTAATTTTGTGGGACCACAGTTATAGATGCAGCCCATCATTGACCAAAGTGCCATTATGTAGCACATGATTGTATATAAAGGTACATAATATATTAATGGGAATACAAAAGTTACTGAAAAATATTAGTGACAAATGTTCTTTATTTCTAAAATCTAATTACTTCGTATGTCACAGTGTCATAATCTTAACAAATTTCAAATAGAAAATGGTTCAGAATTATTCATACTTCCATATAATTTTGAAGTAACATGCTGACCATTTTATATTAAGTATTAAATACATGTTTGTTCTGTGAATAAATGAATAAATTAGTAAATATAATAGGTATACTGATCTCTAGTCTCTTGGTAATTCTCTTCAAGCTCTATAACCCACAGAAACCCCTATCTAAAGCTGAGAGGAAACTCCCAATACAATAAAAACAGCAGATCCAACTTCATCACCTTATCTGTGGTGTACATTTCACTGTGAGCCAAATCATTCCTCCCTGAGAAGAAAATAATTTCTAATTCCTTTCTGAAGCAAGAGCATAACACAAATCAATCCTCGCTTTGTCTAAAGCCTACTTCCTCCTTCAGGAGAAAACTCCAACCGTTAGATGACTCAAGACAGCCCTTTACAAACAAAACAGCGAAGACACAGGCATTTCCCAGCCTCCTGCTTCCTGGAAGAGTTTCCTGCTTCTCAAAGGTTTGCTCTGTCCAATGCCAGCACCACCCACTCTGGACACTCACACCTTGCATTTCCTGCTGTTAATATCTACCGGAGCGTCTGGTCACATGGATGAGAGGAACAACACACACTCCATACACAAATGCATATGTGTCAGAGGAAGAGAACTTGGGGCTTTGAAAGGCCCCTCCATCTATGGTAAACACACATTGTTATTATTAACTTATCTTCACCATCCTTTGAGAATATTTCCATAGGGCAGTTTCCGCCTTTGAGGCCACGAACACCTGGGAACCTACATGACCTTCTGGACACACCTCTAGATTTAAAAGCTCTGTTTGCTAGTTCGTTATCTGTGTATCACCAAAGAGAATCTATATTTTCCAAATCTCACTTTAATTAGAAGTACCTGCAAGGAAAGGTGATCAGATATAACCCATGTGCCCTTCAAATTCTTGCCAACACAGCATCTTCTTTTGTCCCCACATAAAAAGAGGAAGAATGGCTAGAAGAGAAAAAGTACTTTTTTTCTTGTCAATTGACAGCCTGTAGGTTTACACACTGTACCCTGACAAGTTGTATTTCTTTTTAATAAATGCTGAAGCTAGATTCAACGTACTGAAGACATATAGGAACCATATATATATATATATATATATATATATATATATTATTCCTTTGTATCACGTGGTAGCTTTCACAGAGCTCCTGCAAAGTCCTAAATATAAACAGTGGGCAAGTCATTATCAATTCCAAAGAACAAGCAAAAAGCTTATTTCACTTACTTATTTTGTTTGGTTTGTCAAGTTAACTTCAGATTATTAAAGATACATTTTTCTCATTTCCTTTGTATTTTATTATAACACTAATTACTATCATTACTATTATTGCCACTCTTTATAATATCTTACCTTTAAATACTATCTTTTGTCCTGAAATATCTCAAAGTTGTTTACAGCCTAGTAAAGAAATTAGACATGCATCTCACTTTAGTCCTCCCTCTAAACGTACCCACTTCCTGCAGTGGAAACCAGCAGCTGTATAACTACATGCCTAACCCAGTCTAAGATGGCTTTAAGGACACAGGGGGCTGGATAATGCATGCTCAAGTCATCCAGTTACTAGCCAGACATGGTACTAAAAGGCCCTGAGAAACAAGTAGAACCAAGGTTGTTTTTGAATTATGGGCCTTGATCAAAACCCTGGATCGGGGGAGAGATGATTTGTCTTCTCTTCTGAAACCAGGTCTAAATAAGTTAAAAGTGCAAGCCTATAAATATGTTATTTCTCCTAATGTTAAAGATAAAAAGAAAATTCTTGAAGTTTTACAGGAAAATCGGCATCGTTAAGTTAGGGAGCTAACACCATTGAGGCATTTAACCTTTGAGAGTGATTTGAAGTGCATCTGAATTCCTGATTTTTAAATATATCCTTTATTATTCACCTCCTATGATAAGAATATTGAGACATGTTTGAAACTTGCTTAATTTTTTGTGTTGTTTTTTGTTCTCCCAGAGTATTTATACGACCACCATTAACCTTGTTTGTCTTTCCACGTCAACTACAATGTCTTTTTCTGCAAGGCTACACACAAAAAACTTGTTAAACTTTGAAAAATTTTAGTGGAAAGCATGCACACGAATCATCTCCATCTCTAACATTTCTCTATTCTTCTTATTTGGGAGAAAAGTGGGCTTCTTTGTCACAGATATATTTTTGAGAGTCTGGATAAATAGCAATAATATTCCAGCTGTTCTCCACTGTCCTCACTCATATATCATAACCATCCAGCTGTGAACACTCTGAATTCCCCTTCTGTGAAAGGCCCTAGCAGCCTTGACCCAGCCCCATTCCATCAACACACATGAAAGACTCAGAGAACAAATTCCCTGGGCTCCAAGTAAAACTTACTGAACTCACTCCCTCCATATCCAAACTATTCCTCCTGCTACTATTCAGTTCTCTGCCATGCAAAGAGGTCTCTGGAAAAGAGAACCTTAACTGGAATTCAATTTCCTCATCAAGTCTGGGGCAAGTTTCTTTGGGCTGCCTTGATCATATAGGTTAATTAGAATACCATGTATTATGGACCTGAGCTTTAGAAAATGAAGCAAACATGATTTATTCTTACAGATTTTTGACAATAATTTTCAACGAAGTCTTAAATCCATTTAGTTATTCTGCTGCTAAATGTGTTAAAAATTATAAAAATATCGACACAGGAATTTGTTTATTAGGATATTTGTCTTTGAGTTAGAGGAAGAGAAAGTCTAATGAAGAACCAATTTATAGCTGAGAAAGATACTTTGCCCATACTTATTCTCATGGAACCTGGAAGATTCCAGTTAGTCTGATTTTTCTACATGCAAATTAATAATCAGCTGTTATAAAGGTGAGGTTACTACACCATACACCAAAACTCAAATTTCTTTTTATGTCATAAAATCATGGTTATAATCTTTTGTAATGCGCAAATAGTTTAAAGGATTATGTCTATACACAAGTCTATGGAAAACTTGTAAATTTCAGGGATGACAGTATCAGTGCAGTTTAATATAGCTTCAACTGACCTGATTATAGGTTGCCATAGGCTGTATTAACCAGACATTAGGGTTATCCAAATGTCTCAAGAATCCCAAATCTTTAGGGCTAGAATACCAGATACTTTCTATTTATGAGTTGGATTTGATGAGGTGGAAAGACTTGTGTTTCCATTAGTTATTCTATTTTGCCTGAAAGAAGGAAGACAATGAAACACTTAAAAATAATGGCTGCTGATTCTCAAGTTCCCCAAATCCCTTCAGATTACTGAGCCCATGGATTAGCATCGCTGGATTTTCCAGATTCAGAAGTTTGACAGATTAGAAAGAAGTCTGGGGCATCACCCCTTTGTATTTGACCTCAAGGTGCCTCCATGATTAGCTGAAGCATCCCCAAAACTTGCCTACCCCGTGAAAAATATTCCAAGATTTCAGTTCTTTCTCAGATGTTGGAGTGAATACATGGAGTTGTTGGTTTTGAGATAAGAGTGTCTTCATGAATTCACTTTATCATAGAACTGCCTGGACTCACAGCTAGAACAGTATCAAATCTGTCCGTTTGTATGAGGGGAAGAGTGTGTAGGCGAAGCCAGCTGGCCCACAGTTGGCACAGCTTCCCATGCTGTTGACTGAATGCCGCAGGCATGCTATGATTCATTTCACCTTTCACCTGGCCATGCACTTTATTAGAGAGGCCCATGAATTTGGATGTTAAGGATTTTCCCTGAGGAAAATTTTCTCAGACAAAAGCATAGCATCCATAACATCAATGTAGAAACCTAAGGTAAAAGCATTAGTAACACTAGAGAGAGATAAAAAGCATTTTGGAGCAAAATAGTGAAATTTTTATTTTCCCAGAATTTTATACATCCTTTTTTCATTTTTAAATTATAAGTAAACATGTATCATTGAAAATTAACAGAGGAAATGAGTTTCAATAAAACAAATTCGTTTTGGGGAAAATCATTTTTTTTTTCTGTTTTAAATAGGGGGCAAAATGGAGCTGCTCTTGCCCATAGTATTCTGTGCTGAAAGAGGAGGAAGATTGAAAATATCTTGGAAAATATGGGTCAAGTCCCTCCTTTGAGTGTCTCTATATGTCATTCATATACAAAACAAGGACTGCTGGGTGGCAGAGGCCTTCAGGAAAAAGCAGATCAACTCATGTAGAAAGAGAGACAATTCTTCCAAAGTCTTATGCAAGTTGAGGTCTGACCCTTGAAGCAAGTATGTTATTTTCTGCTAGAAAGCAGACGTGTAATAAATACCTGGTGTTGGCCTCAGGAAGGATAGGAAGATATGCAGCACTTATCCTGAAAAGAAAAAGGCTGTAGTCCCAGCTACTCGGGAGGCTGAGGCAGGAGAATTGCTTGAACCCGGGAGGCAGAGATTGCAGTGAGCCAAGATTGTGCCATTGCACTCCAGCCTGGGCTACAGAGCGAGACTCCTTCTCAAAAAAAAAAAAAATAAATAAAAAAAGGCAAGGTCAGATAGTCAAGTAGTCGAAAAGGTTCAAAGCCAGAATATGGAAGAAATATTACTGTGAGAAAGAATGAGCAGGTGGGCTTCCTGGCTGGCTTCTTGCATTGGAAGTAGCACTTTGCTTTAGCTGCCAGTAGAATAATGAGGCAGTGGGAATGTGTGCCTAAGAATCTACAGCTTAAAGAAGTAAGAATGGATGTTATGGAAATCCAGGAACATCTCCCAAGCTACCTTATTTGTGTTTTCAAATGACTTTAATCTCTGAAATTTGAAAAAGAGTTACAGTAAGTGGTGATAGCTCTGAGACTTTGATGGAAACATAAAGTGAACGTGTCTGTGAAGAATATTGCCCAACTGAATGCTCTTATTTTATAAAGTGAAAGGTCCAGTTCACACAGCTAATTATAACAAACAAAAGCACATTGGACTGTTCAAATTTGTCTTCTCATAACTTCCTACTTTTCACAGTTATTTTCTCTAAAGGCCATTTTTGTAGTAGAGAGAATTTGCTAGAATTTTCTGGGAACATTTGCCAATATTTCTATTGTTCTGACAGAGAAAGAAGGGAGGCAAAGACAACACATGTTCCTGTGAGCCCGTAGAGAAAGCATACTTGAGAGCCATTGCCACACCTCAGTGACACCATTCTTCTCCATGGAAAATTTCCTGATTCTTTCTCTACTCAATTTTGAGAGTCCTGCTTGTTTTAAGATATGTAGCAATGAACATCCAAGGAAAATGAAAGCTGCATAAAGAACTTAGAATCTTAAATGTTTAATTTGCTATGTGTATTTTCCTTATTCTACAGAGAAACACATTATTTAAACTTACTAAGAACTCTTTGGTTGCCTACTATACCCAAAAGGCATTAAATGTGCAAAGATCACTTGTATATCTAAGAGTCATAAAATTCTGTTTCTTATATAAACAAGTTCTACATAAAAGAAACTATCAAAATCAGTTATCATGTGAATTATATAACAGTGTCCCTTGCACCTTACTTCTATGACTCATTCTTTCATGATTAATTAGAATTTATAAAGATAGCTTTGCAAAATTTAATGCACTTGCGCCTTTTCTATGATATAGTCGACTGTAAATTAGTGGTTCTCATGGAGGCGAGAGAAACATGTATACTTGAAACAACTCTTCAGGTGATTTGAACCATCTTCAACAAAATCACAGCTGTGGATGGTATCTGGACCACATAATCTCCACTTTTCACTAAAGACTCAAACATTTATACAGGCTATTGTCTTGCTCTTCTCAATTCTTCCTTTGATGATGGTACAAAAATTATAAATGGAGGAGCAATCAAAAAAGAGTAATTTCAACTTGTTTTATTTTTTTATTTGTGAGAAATTGTAAAATGGGGATCTTGTTAGAGTTGGCTTCTGAAGGTTAAGAATAAATTGTTTTTAGAGAAGATTATCTTTGTTCTAAAATGAGCCAGACATTCATTGAGAAGCCTATTAAATAACAGCTTTAGTCAAAAGAGTAAAATAAAGCAAATACCCACCTGCTCTTTGAGAACATAATAAAGTGACCATAAGATTATATATGGATGCTGCAGAATATTAACCAGTTAGTGTATAATGCAAATTGGAGGGCACTTTATTAGCTAAAATTTTTCCCCAAATATGTAAAATATTGGGTTCACTATTGTAATAGCTCTTTCTGGGTGGAGAAGTTCTAGTTATATATTGTAGAAGTTTTAATTACACATTGTTCTAATTACATATTATAGATTCTAATACAGGAAACAGATTTACCCCTGTTAATTATGCAGGGACAACTGGAAAGGAAAAGGTCACCTATACTGAGCAAATGACTGGAAGTGTGAGGTTTCTAGGCTCAAAATTATGAGTGAACTAAGATTTATTTTTGGCCAAAATGAAAAAGCCAACCTCTACCACCTGGTCTTTGGATGGGAACTTTGAGCCTGATAAGACATCAGCAAGTGCTGAAATTCCAAACTTGCAATAAAAAGTGTTCAATAGCATACTTTGGTTTAGGTGGGTATTGAATTTTTAAATGTGCCTGTAGTAAGCTGGTACCAGGAGATGCAACATTTAGGAAACACCATTGCCTGACTGCATATGGGGACCCGGAAATCTCTGGGATCACAAAGCATTAAAAGTGTGTTGGCGATGCAATCTAGAAGCCATCCTTAATCTCACCCCCACACCTTATCCAGGTCTAATCAACACACCTACAGAACATGTCCCCATGGCTTCACACTTTCCAAGTCCCCTCTGAATCTCACCTGAACCATTCTCATAGCTTCTAACTGCTCACCCTGTTTCGAATCTTGCCAGCTACAATCTATTCTCCATACAAACACATCTTTTGAAGTTACTAATCACACCATGCCACTCCCCCTACTTGCCAGGCTCCAGTGATTTCCCTTCACAGGAATATTAAAATCTACATCTCCACCAGACTCTCCGGGACCATCCCTGCTTTTCCCTCACTTTCACTTCCGCTCCTGTGCTCCAGCCAAATGGATTGCTTTCCGCTCCTTCAGACCTCACCTCAAATGCCCTGCCCTCGGAAAGTCCCGCCCTGACTACCCCTCACTGTTCATCAAATCACTGAAATTTAGCTCTCAGATAACACTTAACATTTTCCTCCTTATTTTTTTGCTGTTTGTCTATTGGTCATCCTGTTGATTTGTTGGGTTATTGACTGCTTCTTCCAACTAAAATGCAAGCTCTATGAAATCAGGGCATCCTTTTTATCCCTAATGCCTGGAACAAGGTCTGGTATTTAGTGAGTGGACAAATATTAGTGGAATTTACAAGTGAGAATTCCTCAGGGATTGACAGACATTGCTTCAAAAGAGAAGTGGCATAACATACCCCCAATTTTGAGAAAGTTGGGAAATCATAATCATTATAGTTGAAACCTCAAAATAAATATCCCCTTATTTTGTACTCCAATCTGATGAAGTGGGACATACTAGTTCATCATGTTGTACCAAAATTATTTTTAATTATTTAAAGTTATAACTTATTTTATTTTTACTTGATAGGTAGGTAGACCTGATCATATCAAAGTTCTTTCAGTTTAGCATTCAAAGTTCTATTGTTGCAAAGAAAAGGAAAGCTTTTACACTGTTGGTGGGAGTGTAAATTAGCTCAACCATTGTGGAAGACATTGTGTCATATAATTACATTTTTAGCACAGTGTTAACTAACTGGTATAAGATTGATTTTATTTACTTGCCCAATTGCATTTAAATCGGTTAAAATTCATCCAACTAATTCAATAGTATAACTGTGGCCAAGTCTGAATATAAAACATTTGAAGCAATCATTACAATGTATTTCAGAAAGAAAATCTAAACAGCAAGGATTCAGCTAATCCAGCAACATACTTCAATGAAACAAAACTCTTCAGTCTAACCATAGATTTATTCAACTGTGCTCTTTGTTTTTATTGTATTATGTATATTCCTAGGAATATTATTCTCTGGGGGCAGTTTCGATTTCAACCATGGAAAAGATTTTCTCTGGAAAAGATTAATTCCTAATTCCTCTAGGCTGGACAATACGTTCCTAGTAGATTTCAGTGATAGATGGATGCACTTTCAGCCTCTGTAGAGAAACAATTCTAGCTGGTTAAAGGCCCCAAGCCTTCTGGAAATTTAAACATACCCACGTGCATTTCTTCTTTTTCCCTAGAGCAGACCATCAGATTGATGTAACTCTGGGTGGTGATGAGTGAGAAAACACAAGGCCAGCCCAAGGAAGCAGTCGCTTCCTTTATCTTTCCTGATAACAGTTGCTTCTCCTCTTCATCACTGAGTGTGTCTCAATGCATACACAAACTGCAGCCACTTCCCTAGGTATGTGCCTCTGTCTCTTTAATTTGATGTGGAGCTTCATGAGGTCAAATATTGTTTCTTAATCATGTGTATCCCTAGCTCCTAGCCATACACATGGTACATTGCAAATGCCTGAACAAATATTTCTTGCAGTGAAAAAGCAGAATCAGTAGTGATCTCACAAGGCTGCTGGATGTCTGCTCTTCCTTGCAGCCGAAGGATCCTCTAGCGAAGACTCTCATTTCTTTTCCTCTTTTTTCTGTTCTTGGACTCCGTGGAGGAGTTTGAGAGTTCTAACACCCACTTTAGGATTACTAATATTAAAAAGCCATATGGGGAGTATTGGAGGTGGTGGAAGCCCACTTGTTAAAAAGGGCCTCATCTTAAATAAATAATTAAAGAGAAATAATTATTTAGAAAAAAAAATAATGACTCAACCAAGACGACAGGTTTGTCTCTTGAATGAGTAGGCATTTGGTTGAGATAAACAAACATTGCCACTGGCAATAGATCCTGCTTCCTGTTGCTAGGCAGAGATCATGCTGGCTTTACTTAGATGGTGGTGTAAGTTTCCCAGCTGCTTCAAGTGCTTATTCAAGAGAAACTGAAAAATAAAAAATAAAAATGGAACAGGGGACAATGGGGAACTGGGCTCCCCCTAACCTGCTGAATAGGTCTGGTGTGGTTGTTCTCTGACAATTTTGGGAAAACTCTCCTGAAGAAACTGAGTTAGCTATCACCGGAAACAAAATGAGATCAGATAAGACAGAGAATGAGGGCCATTGTTTCTCCAAGAGAGAAAAGCACTTCATTACATTATGATTAGACTATTAAGACAAGATTCACCTGGTAGGACTAGTAGGTGAACAAAAGTGGTAAAGAATGGCCAGGGCCATGGGAAGGGCAACCTCATGGCAAAATTGGGCAACTCTTCCGAGAATAATGAAAGAAAATATTTGAAGCCACTTGAGAGACCCTAAGCTTGGATGGAAAACAGCATGGATTTGGAATCGGACACACCTATCTTTAGGACCCCAGTTCTATCCGGCTGAGAAATTCTTTAACTATTCAGAGAAAGAATAACTCATTTTTTAACTGCTAAGGGCAAGTTCCTTAATCTCTTTGAGCCTTAGTTTTCTCATCTCTAAAATGAGCATAATCACTTGAAAGTTATCAACTCTCTTCCCAGAAAAAAGCATATATCCAAAAAAACTTTTTTTTTTTTTTTTTTTTGAGACGGAGTCTTGCTCTGTGGCCCAGGCTGGAGTGCAGTGGCGAGATCTCGGCTCACTGCAAGCTCCGCCTCCCGGGTTCACGCCATTCTCCTGCCTCAGCCTCCGGAGTAACTGGGACTACAGGCGCCTGCCACCACGCCCGGCTAATTTTTTTGTATTTTTAGTAGAGACGGAGTTTTACCGGGTTATCCAGGATGGTCTAGATCTCCTGACCTCGTGATCCGCCCGCCTCGGCTTCCCAAAGTGCTGGGATTACAGGCGTGAACCACCGCGCCCGGCCGCATGCACTTTTAAGGAGTTCACAGATGTTCTGCAGCCCAATCCGCCTCTTGAGAATAAAAACATTACCTTACATTTTTTTTTATGCTGAGTTAAATTTTCTACTTCACAGAACTTTTCTAAAAATAGATGATTCATTATAAAATATATAATGAATATAGAAAAGACTATAAATACTTTTATTTATCAGTAAGAATTCTCTTTTAACAAGGATCACTGTGATTCACCAGCATACTTATTATTATTATAATGCTTAACTATAGCTTAACACTTCGCAAAATGTGGCCCCAATTTTTTTTTGTCAAAATTATGTTGGTTGCATGCTTAAGAATCAAGAATTCTGCCTCCAGAAATTCTGATCCAGAAGGTTTGAAGTGTGTCCAGGAATCTACATTTTTAACATAATAAAACCACTTTAGTTCCTAAATAAAGCTTAAGAATAGACAAAATTTGGATTCTAGCCCATCTGCTTTTACTATTAGAGGTAGTATCTATCTGTTTGGCTTTCTGCATTTTACATTCGACTTATTTAAAGTAAAAGGATCAACCTGTACTTTGTGTTCCACCATTTTGACTAACTATTTTGAAAGATTCCATTCAATGTCAGAGTAATGTACATCATAGTTATATGTGGAACAGGGAAATCAGCTAAGTCCAATGTTCTCAAGGGAGCTAGCAGTCAAAATATGTCCTGATGTTCATACACCAGGGGTCAGTTATTAGCTAAGGGCTCTCAGCAGTGCCCAGGGCACAGCAAGAAGTGAAAGCAAACAAAGGTAAAAGCAATGAAGACCATAGACAAAATCTATGGTTTACAAAAGCCATACAAAGGATTGTAAAAGACTGGCAGTACAGGACCATTTGGTATGGAGCAAATAGCCACAAATAGCTTAATTATTCCCAAGACCATTATGTTTTAGGCAGAGGAAAATAGTCGACGTCCATGATGATTATTTTATTTATTTAAAAATTTGGAAATATGCATCAAATAGTTTGTTTAAGAAGGAAATGAAGTGCATAATATATTTTAGAAAACTTCCTATCCAAAATTCAGAAGATTTTTTAATTCAACTCTCAAGAAAAATGTTACCTTCTGAAATTATTTGTCTTTGAAATATGAAAGTATATGTTGTCCCTTATCATAAAGATCTCACAAAAGATACAAAGCTATTAAACAGTCTGGTCACAAACCCTAGCCAGACTCAGACTGCAGCAGAAAAGATATTAAAAACTACTGAGTGCTATGAGAGTTTTCTGACAGCTGAGGGCAAACCTAGAAGGGATTAATTTTCATCCTGTATAAAAAACTAGATTTCATTTTCAAAGAAATTTTCAAATTTCCCTTTAAAAGATAATATAATAATAGCACATCATGAAGACATTTCATAGTAATTGATAAATAGAAAAACTTTCTTCCCAAATGTTAGAGGATTGCCTAAAGCATCAAATAGAAGTAAACAGAACTTCAAGGGGAAAGCGTCCCATGAGGGGGATTAAAAACCCCTCCCTTTAAGGTTCTGATTAGCTATAATTGCTCAGTAACCACCTGCAGTTAATGACAAACTCTGGCTAAGCATAGGGCAGGTTCAAGGAGAGTAGCCTCAGAGTCATTTCAGACACTTGGTGGATTCTTTCCAAGAGTAACAACATAAACCCCAGGGATAAACACTTGATAATTTTTCTAAAGAAAGTGACACCAAAGATGCCAGTAGGGTTATATATAATTAGTGTGCCATTAAAGAGATTTGAGTAAGACCTACCCAGGAGATTTTCTTTTTGCTCACTAGATGCTGCTTGTCTGAACAGGTTTCGGCCTATTTTTGCCTCTTTTTCTTTCACAAAAGCCAAGGACAATAGAGAGATAATGGGACACATTTAGGAAAATGAAAACAGGAATTTAATATGCATCCCCTCACACTCCAGGTAATCCTTGAGTATTGGTGCTGTTCCCAAATGCAATGGGAAGAATGATGATGAGTAGTAATTCCTGCTGCTGCTGGATGATTAAAAGTTTAAATACGGCACATAAAAAATAAATATAAGGTACCAGAAAAAGATTATTCTGTACTTGGATTGAATTACTTCCTTTTGGCATATGAACTGTGTTTTCTTGTGAAATTCATTTCGGTTTAAGCAGTGAGCTGCGGCTGCCAGCTAGCCCTCCACTAGTGGGATGTGCTGAAAAGAACACAAAGGCATTAATAAGTTTGTTTTTCAGGTCATGGAGCCTAGTGCCTGCTGTGATGCCTCTATGTTTGTGTTCTTCCACAAGCCATTTAAATATATTATTTAAACACCTAACCTATGAGACTAGAGATCTGAGAAGATTTGGGGAGAAACAAATTGAAAGCCTCAGCAAACTAAATAAAACCCAAAAGGGAAATATAGCCAGTATGGGGTAAGAGGAAGGCAAAGTCAATAAATATAAAAGGGAAACAAAGAATTTTGCCAGTAACCACCCCTAACAAGTTCAGAAGTTGGTTGAAAGATTTTCACTGCTAAGTATAATTCCACAAAGGGCGTACAATGATCTTGGAATTATCTCTGTTCCAGGTAGAGATGCCAAGGTCTCTGCTTTTTTGCAGGCATCCAGGGGCGGAACTTACACGCAATAAAACCACTGTTTGCACCTTCCAGTGCCCAAAATCCTTATCATTTTCTTCTTTGACCGTGAAGACAATATGAGCAGGCCCCAGACATGAGACATGGTGCATGCCTGCAAATGAAATGTCTGGGGCTAGGGAATACAGTCCACTTTCCAAGTCTGTGACGCCTTCCTACTTTTGCATCAGAGCCTTCTGGGTTTCAGGAGAGGCTCCTTTTAGAATCCAGACTCTGACCATGTCACAGAGAAGTTGACTGGTGAATACTCATCTTGTTTTATGCAAATGATCTTACTTCTGACCTAACATGTTAGTCTGAAAACTTGCCCACTCTAATGAACTCAGAAAGGATGAGGAACAGGAAAGCTGCCCTTGATTCATGACTCTAGCTCCAGCTGTACTTATGATAATGGATCCGGGCTGGGCGCCCTTGGGAAAATGTGTATTTGGGGGAGGATGATGCCTGGACAGTATATTGAGATTTCCTGTGCTGCCATGAGCAATTTGTGACTTAATGACTGTATTTATAGGTACATTACAGGTCCTTTATCATTTCAGAAATCAATGAAGTAATTTCCATAGGAAGTTGGAGTGATTTGTGGCTGTATCAGCTGCCTCTATTTATTTTATCATAAAGAGAAAAAGAATTCATCCATTAGGGAGAACTGAAAATGGAATAATTTGTCGGAAGGAAATCTGGCTTCAAGAAGATTGAATGAAAAGTCGTATAAAGAAAGACACTACTTAAAAGAAAAAGATATAGTGTTTCTAGTGGTAAAACCTCTTACAAATTATTAGGACATCTTTTATTTTTCTACCGTGACTACCACTTAATGCTAAGGGCTACCATTTATCAAGGACTTGCTACATGGCCAGACCCTTACAAAAGTTTTTGCATGCTTTACCTCCTTCAATCCTGTTACCCATTCCATACCTTACAGATGAGGAGAATGAGGCTCCGAGAGATGTAATAATTGCAATTATTACAAGGAGATGTAGTAACTTGCCCAAGTCATAGAGCCAGCCAAAGGGGCAGAGCTGGCTTTGAACTCTGTTTTATCTCACCACAAATCGGTTCCTCTAAGTCACTGTTACTATATTTCTATGACTGGACTAAAGTTATTTGATCATTTGTGTAAACAGCTGTGTTTTGACCTTACAAATTCATTTTACTGTATGTGTGTCTATATAGTCATATGCAATTTATTTATTCATCCCTTCAACAAATACTTATCGGACACTTACCTTATACCAAAACCATGCCAAGCACAGGAGACTTAAAAATGAAAAATAAGGTCTTTCTCCTCAATGAGTTTATATCAGGAAGATAGAATAGGATTATATTACAGTACGTACAATAATGCAAGAATGTAAAGGGCATAAAAGCAGAGCAGAGGCATGGTCCGAACACAGCACTGGAAGACTTCACCATTTGTGTCAAATTACCAACTATTTTTCCAAAGTTACTGATTTCAATTCAAATTTAAGATAACAAGCAAAGGAGTTGATATTGTTTACTTGGTTTTGGGAAAACTCCCATTTGGATATCTGCAGAGCACACAGGAAAGGGTGTATTTCTAGACAAGGGAAATATCCTTCTTCCAAATATAGATCCTCTAGGAAACTGTGTTCTGAATTTAGAAACCAACTTCAAACTTTGGTGCTTGCAAAGTGGGTAGGCTGAGGTAAAGCAAAACTTGGAATGGCTACATATATTTCATTTTCATCTTTCCATTTCCTTGGCAATCCTAGAATTAGGTACAAAAAGATTTGCAAACAATAATTTTATATTGTTTGCACACAATAGACTACATGTTACCTTGGTTAGCAAAACATGAGTTTCTTTTCAAAATTAAAGCTTTCAATATAATGAGAAATGGCTTTAAAAAGCTGTAATATTCATTCTATGAAAGCCGCATTTAACAGTCTGTGTACTAACTAAATCCTAGTTTTTGTTCCTGAATGAAAAAGAAAAATGCCTTGTAAATACAAATGTGAGAAAAATGATAAGGGCTAAATTCACATTATAGACAGCATGTTGGAAGGAGTGACATGATTGCTAGACTTTTTCAAAATGCATACCGGTGTGGGTCGTATATTTTACACCCGGCATTCATATATCTCAATCAATCATCAGGGCAATCTTAGGAAATAAGCCAGTTAAGTTTTTCTTCCCTTTCCTCCTTTCCGTTCCCGTCCTCCAGTTGAGGAAGTAGAGCCTTTAAAATTGTCATGAACTCCATGGAGATCATCTAGCTAATAAAAAGGATAAGGGCAGGACTCAGCTCCACCTGAATCGGAGCGCAGTATGCTACACTATGTGGCATGCAAATTATAACTAGAAATATGCAGCAAGCTCCTTGGTGTTAAAATAAAAATGATTTCTAATTATGCTTATGCTGTAATGTATGAGGAAAGCTATTTATATTTTATTTATTTAATAAATATTTATTGAAGGAAAATTACTGTGTTAGGAGAAACAACAGGAACCAAAAGATAAACAATGCTATAACTCTCTTCAACTGGGAAGATCTATGTATATCTACCTATGCATATAGGAAGAGACATCTTCTCTAAACACAATCTGAAAGTAGTCTATAATACGAATAATGAAATAAACACAGCTCCCTTTTTTTGTATGTTTGGGGCAGCTGAAAAAAAACGATGAACATATACAGGGATGAAAGATTTATGTACAATCCTGTTTATACTTAAGTTTACAACCCTATTCATTTGTTTGAAATGAGCTTTATGTCACAACTGCCTTTAGACTCACTGTGTCTGGGGTAAAGGTCAGTGTTGTAGTTCCTGAATCACGACTGGGTTCAGGCAATATTGATACATCCTGACACTTGCTGTCAACACCTAGCTAATAATTATGCTACTGGATTTGGGGACTTCATAATGAAACTTTTCAGAACTTATACTGGCGAATTTGACATTTTATTCTTTGTTTTCAGACATGAGCTGAGGTATCCAAATTCATAGAGGTTGCTGCATGATAGAATACTATTCTTATATGTCAGAGACAAGAAAGTGACCTTTTGCACTTCTTCAGGCTGTGGATGGAGACTGTCCTTACATGTATATCTGCAAAGCCTCTCTCTATGTGTCTGTATCTCTCTCCCTACACGCTTCACTTTCATCCTCAGCTCTCATTAGAGAATTTGTCCTTTCCTATTCCCCAGAAGCACACAAGTTTTGAAAATCAATTTCAATGCCTTTTAAATAAAGTTGTTTCCTCCCCCAAATACATTTTGCCCTTGAATTCATATTCCTTTATGGAATTCAGGCATATCCATCAACTCATCAGTCAGAATCCTGAATATGACTTGAAATAGATTCCCTTAGGTAAAAAATAATTTTGTGAAAGTGCTTTCATTACTTTCAGTTTAACACTTCTGAGTTCTCACTTTGACTTTTTAAAAACTCATGCATTTCTAATTTTTTAAAGTCACAGACAGGTAAAAGTCTCAGAATCGGTGAGCCATTGTCATTAATCATTTTTAAAAGCACCAGAATAATTGTGCAGAATTAAAAAACATAAAAAGGTTATTTTTGTCATCTCTGACTTTATTCTCATCCTAACCATGCTGTGAATATTACTTTATGATAGCATGTATTTCATCCAGGTAGAAAACTTGTATTCATATGCTTGCTGAAACACTAAGTCTCTTGTCCAGTCTAAAAGTGATGTCATTTCCTCCATACCACTTGCGAAGCTTTACTTTTAAGGAGTCATTGTGTTATTATGAATTATATTGTTTCATAAACAGTTCCATTGTCCTGGGTATGTACCCCTGTATGTTAGTAAAGACCGAGAAGGAGAAGGGCAAGGCCTGAGGTCATGTACTCTCATTTTGCATGGACCTGTGACTCTGGAGAGAAATTGTTACCAGCCCATGGTTACAAATATTAAGCAACAGACTCTCCACTTAGCACTGGGTAAAATATGCATTTTTAATACCAGAAATACATAAATGTGGTCCTGTATTCTTTCCAGAGGGGATGAAGGTAGAATGGAGTTGTTTCGTTTTAATACAGAAAAGCTCAATGGAAGTTTTATAATCTTTTAAGCGCACAATAGGGAATTACATCAAGATTATTGGAAACGTCTTGGCAAATGCCTTTGAACTGCTAGAACATAGCTCATGTTTTCAAATGTATATGTGTATAAATACATGCTTTTTAAAATTAAAATATATTTGAGTCAATGACCAGACTGAGATTCCCAATATGCAAATTTATAATTAAAGAGATTTTGTTTTCTGTTCTTTGGGGATTGGGATATCAGTCATTGCAATGAGCAATTGTGTCCTTATAGCTTTGGGTTTTTACTATTTGCTTATGAAAAACTCCACAAGAATTATTGGCTCAACATTATGACTTCCTTGGCAGCCCCTGCTTCACGCAGTTGTGTTGCTTTTCTGTAAGGTTGTAGCATTTTCCACTTGCAGTATTCTTCTTACTTTCACTTTGTTGGTTATCACAGCCCACAACTGCTGCTAAATGCCATTTTCCTTCCAATGAAGGGCCAGTTATAGTGGATAATACATGTGCTCCCTGAGGCTTTAATTAAGTTAGCGTCTGTGTCAACCTAAGCATGTGACAGTTCATGAAAGGAACTCTGGATATTAAACAGCATGGAGCTATTTGAAGAGTGAAATATATCGTGTGTGAAGAACAAAAGAATCTGCAGGAGGTTTCAAAGCAGTGAAGCTGGAGTCTTACAGCATTCTGCGTTAGCTGCTGCATTCTTTTGAGGAAGCTCTTGTTCTTCTTCCACTAGGTGATTGACACCTGGGACGGGGTGTCCTCTGTCGTTATTACTAACATGACTATATAACATAAGGAAAACTATACTGAATCCTGCTGAGGGCATTTTCAGGCCAGGCCTAATTCTCACAGATGATAAGCTGCATTAGCCCAAAGTGGCCGACCTGCTTGGAAAGAAACTATTTTATCTATTTAGATTGCTCTGGAAATAACAATGGGGCCATCATATTTCAAAGATGAGCAATGTTATTTATCCCATATTCATTGTAAAATGTTTTCTTACGTAAAAGTGGGAATTCATTGACCAGATTTTCAACTCCCTCAAAAAAGATAAAAGGCCAATAGAAAAACACCTCGATAATCTAGCTCCACAACAAATGCTCCGAGAATCCTACTTGTCTGGCTAAAATTTCTCTGAAGATCTCTCATTTCTGCTCTCAGAAGCACAACATGCAACCTGGTTATTGCTATATTTACCCTTGTTTTCTCATAGGATGCTCTCACAGGCAGAGTGGGAGCTAAATTGGGCTCTGATAGGGTTTCCTCATCCTGAACCCATTTTCTGAGCACGCTGCATTCATAAATAGCCTGCCAGGCTTTGGGCTTCTGAGGTCACCGTGCTTCACACAATTGTTCTCTGCAGGACTACGTGAAAGACAGTGCCTGGGCTGAGGCCTGCAGTTCCTGGAAGCTGGGTTTCTCAGCATTGAAGGGCTATCTCTCCTCAAAGAAAAGCACAGCCCTGCTGTGGAGGGCGACCTTGGTCATTGTTCTTGGGGCCTGTGACTTCAGAAGTGGAGGTTGCTCCTGAAATGATAGGACCAACCTCTAACCTGATACCATCTGGCTCTCAGGACACCTATATAAATAGCAAATTGATAGCTGTAATAGAATAAATGCTTTGTAAACTCTCCTGTACTTAAAAGGAATGCAAATGAAGGTATGATCTGAATACTTTTCCCTCCTGCTTCCTTGACACCCTTCAGGCTTAATCCTATCAGACGTCAGAAAGAGTAAGCTGATAAATGTAGTGACTTGCCATTAATCAATTAGAGGAAGATGTTTTGTAGATACATGCAGAAGGTGAAAAAAATCTAATAATTAGCAGTTTGACCAAGAGGTTTAAGAAGGTAGTATGAGGGAAACAATAAAGAAGAGCATTAGGAATTTGCTGCTAATTTATTGATATAAATATATTATGTTGCCATGTAGCTATAGGTAGATATAATATACAGCTGCAATTAGGAGATCACGGTTCAGTTATCACTATCACATTAGTTTTTTTCCCATTGGCTTTTCTCTTATTTTTAATGACTTACTGCAGTTTATATAAAGTCCATGAAAATTTCCTAAACTAAACATCCTGATAGTTTTCATTTATTTTCAAGGTTGCTGTAAAGTTGAAAAGCAAAAACAAAACAAATGAGTTCATTACTTTTCTCCAAAGCTCAGTAATTTATGGCAACCTGCAAGCTTTAGGGAACGTCACCTTTTGAGATAGAGCGGAGAGGTAGTAAAAACTGAAGATTCAATAAACAACTTACTTTTAAAATGTGTTCAAATATATTTTGGAGCCATCTTTATAGGGAAGTGCATGAAGACTTTTCAGGCTGTGAAGTACTTGAATGATTATCATTAAATATCTTAGACATATGATGTGATTTAAGGTACTATAATGAACTAGTCTATACCTAATATTCTGAACAAGGAATAAACCATCTCTGTGGTTATTGTTCTCCTTGTACCTCTCTCTGACAGCCTTTCCCTCCCGTCTTTGCGAAGGCAGCCACTCTACATTACCTGTAAATGTATTTGAAGTCAAACCACTAAATAAGCACACAATATCCTAAACAGTACAAAATGTTGACTACTTATTTTCACACAGTTTCTGATGAAGGCAGGGATACTACTATATCTCAGTTTGAGATATAATTGAATATACTTTCTTACCTACCAAACATAAGAAATGCTTGAGAATATAAGTCAAAGCAATGTCTTTCATATTGTTATGAATAGATACTCCTAAGAATATGATAAGGAAATTAACAGTGTCAAGTATCAATACTGTTATTTAAATAAGAGTCAGTCTTTCCTTTTCTTTCCCTTTCTTCAGGTCAGTTGGGTAATAAGCTGAAGTCGTAACAAGGTTTGAGGGTGGCACATATCACATCCGTGTGTGAACACTCAATCATCATGCTCGTAAACTACAAAAGGATCTGATTCAATCTTTTTGTGTGAAAATAATTTTACCGACTTGGAACTTAAAAAATAAATTTCCATCACACAGGATTACATTTGGCCTGTCATGTTTGCATTGGCCTCACCTATATTTACACAAAGTAATATTCTTTCTCTTATAGTTACCATTCTGTGTTCTTCCCCTTGGGCCACATTCCTGGCTTTAGAACACACACACACACACACACACACACGTAGAGTAAATAGCCTCAGAGGTAATAATCTGAAGACCTCAAAACCACCTGTCAATCCATTTAAATCAATTCCAACTGATTATTTGACTAAATTTACTTATGCTTGGATTAAACTGACAGGCACATCATTGAAATGAACCCACAAAAGAGCTTCTTGATCCAATAAAACAGAAGTTATGAAAATGAAAAACAAAATTGCCAAAGTCATAGTTTGTCTTCAAGCCAACCTTATCTGGGGCTTGGTGTTTCTTTCCAAAGCTCAACTAAAGGGCTTTCTACTTTATATCATCTATAAGGACTGTACTACTGAGAGGTGACAGCGTGCTGGCAGCCCTTGCTCGCTCTTGGTGCCTCCTCCGCCTGGCACCCACTCTGGCCACGCTGGAGGAGCCCTTTAGCCCGCCGTTGCACTATGAGATCCCCTCTCTGGGCTGGCCAAGGTCAGAGCCAGCTCCCTCGGCTTCCAGGCAGGTGTGGAGGGAGAGGCGCAGGCGGGAATGGAGGCTGCGCATGGTGCTCGCGGGCCAACACAAGTTCCGGGTGGGTGTGGGCTCTGTGGGCCCCGCACTGGGGGCAGCCGGGCTGGCCGCGGCAGCCAGGCCAGCAGCTGCAGAGGGTGCACCAGGTCCCCCAGCAGTGCTGGCCCGCCGGCACTGTGCTCGAATTCTCGCTGGGCCTCAGCTGCCTCCCCGCAGGGCAGAGCTTGGGACCTGCAGCCTGCCATGCCTGAGCCTCCCCACCGCTGGGGGCTGCTGCCCAGCGGAGCCTCCCCGACAAGCGCTGCCCCCTGCTCTGTGGCACCCGGTCCCACTGACGCCCAAAGGCTGAGGAGTGGGGGCACATGGCGGGGGACTGGCTGGCAGCTCCGTCTGTGCCCCGGTGTGGGATCCACTAGGTGAAGCCAGCTGGGCTCCTGAGTCTAGTGGGGACTTGGAGAATCTTTATGTCTACCTAAGGGATTGTAAATACACCAATCAGTACTCTGTGTCTAGCTCAAGGTTTGTAAATACACCAATCAGCACCCTGTGTCTAGCTCAAGGTTTATAAATGCACCAATCAGTGCTCTGTGTCTAGCTAATCTAGTGGGGACCTGGAGAACTTTTGTGTCTAGCTCAGGGATTGTAAATGCACCAATCAGCACCCTGTCAAAACAGACCAATCAGCTCTCTGTAAAACAGACCAATCAGCTCTAAGTAAAATGGACCAATCAGCAGGATGTGGGTGGGGCCAGATAAAGGAATAAAAGCAGGCTGCCCGAGCCAGTAGTAGCAACCTGTTGGGGTTCCCTTCCACAATGTAGAGCCTTTGTTGTTTTGCTCTTTGTAATAAATCTCGCTGTTGCTGAGTTTTTGAGTCTGCCCTGCCTTTATGAGTTGTAACACTCACCGTGAAGGTCTGTAGCTTCACCCCTGAGGCCAGTGAAACCACGAACCCACCAGGAGGAATGAACAACTCCAGACGCGCCTGCCTTAAGAGCTGTACCACTCACCTTGAAGGTCTGCAGTTTCTCTTCTGAAGCCAGCGAGGCTACGAACCCACCAGAAGTAAGAAACTCTGAACGTGTATGAACATCAGAAGGAACAAACTCTGGACACATCACCTTGAAGAACTGTAACACTCACCGCGAGGGTCCACGTCCTCATTTTTGAGGTCAGTGAGACCAAGAACCCACCAATTCCGGGCACACTGCCGTTTGTATGTTGGTAAGATCTCTTAGTTATAACTATGTCCTGAAATTTTGGAATGTATTTTTCTACTAAGGTAAGCCAGGAAAGTTGGAGGAACATTTGAATGAGGTGGAGCCGTGTCACCTGGCATATGTAAAAGTAATTTTAATTTAGAAAGAGTGCAATTAATTTCTCTAATTGTGTATCCAGGCATCTGATTCTGGGTATGGTACAGTGACTCATGAAATATTTTCATAACGTTCTTAAATAATAAAATTGACAACCTTCAATTCTAAAATGGTCTAAATAGGTGAATTTTTTTTTTCTTTACTTCGAAAGAGGCTACCATGTGGCTGTGACAGTGTAGAAACTGTTTGCTTAACTTCGGGCTTTCTCTCTTTGCCTTCCAGAATCCCAGTGTGCTCATCCCATCTGTGACTCCTGGTCACCGACACATAAAGTGTAGCACACTGCCAAGCAGCACCTAACTTTCAGATTTCATGGTGAACTTGTCCGTGTGGGAAAAGGAGTCCTCGCAACTACTGAGGATGCTATTGCTTACTTTGGAGGCAAGAAATTATTCTAAACCTAATTAATCCACCGCATCATAAAAACTTACACCGTTGCTGTCTGAATTTGTCTAGAAGAGACTGCTGCACAAGTATTTTCTAAGAATCGCTTGAGAACCTGCTAAGATACTTCCAGGCCCAGATAATTTAGGTTGTAATGCAAGATTAAGAAACTGATGTACAGGAGAAAAACCCAGGCAATCAGCCATAATTTGGCTACACTTTTTAAGAAAATGTTATCTAGATATATTTCTCATTAGAGCTTACCATGCTTTAATGTATCTCAATAAAGTCTCCATGAATACCTAAAATGTTACAATTCACAGCCTTAAACTAAATTTTCTGTTTTGTTTTAAAGTTATTATAGTTAAAATTAGGAGATTTAGCCTGGTATCATGACCTATGTCTGTGGTCTCAGCTACTCGGGAAGCTGAGACAGGAGGATCACTTGAACCAAAGTGATCAAGGCTGCAGTGAGCTATGTTTGGGTGACTGCACTTCAGCCTGTAAAACAGAGCAAGATCCTGTCTCAATAAAATAAACTAAGATAAAAGAAGAGAAATACGAGTAAAAAATATAATTTTTCCTACTTTTCAATAAGCATAAGTGTTTTTTGGTTTTGTTTTGTTGCAAATTCACTATATAATAACCAATCCAGCAAGATTGGTAAGTAGGACCATACTAGGTGTTAACAGTACTCTGACCTGCTTAATGAGGACGCTAACACCAATCTGGAAGGTTGGAGAAAATAAAAAAGCAATTGTAGTCTGAGGGTGACCTAGTATATTTCCCAAATCTGTTACCTGGGAATGAGGCAGGGGAAAGAAAGACACAAAACAATGGTTTGTTTATTCTTGCAGGGTTTCAGATCCATTCTTAGAGGGTTTCAGATCCATTTCTGAAGATCTCTAGAAAGATACAGAGAAATGTTTCCTGTTAACAACCTCTCACTACCCTTTCAGGTTAGAAGCATTTCCTTTGAGCTGGTACAAGGCCCTGCTGCAATGCAAAGCCTTCTTCCTCTACTGTTCTCCAGGGAAATGGTTAAGAGCTACCCATTAGCCTGTGTGCAGACATCACTCAGGTACTTCCCAACTAAGATTAATGAAAAGCTCAACTTTTTCTTTCCCAAGCTAATAAATACCTCTTGATATTTGCTGACTTCTCAAGATGGTCGTCTTCCATTGACAACACTAACATATCCCAAAGTAGGATTTTATGGAGCAAGTCGATTAAAGACTACGTCTTTAAAAAATAATTTTTAATTATTTTGTTATTTGTTGCAGGCCATTGAATTAGCCTTAAACAAACCATGGAGATGGTCCCTTTCTCGGTCCCAATGCAGGCCCCTTTCCTTAAATAAAGCTGGCTCTGCCCCTGTCATTGTGGAGTCTCAAAGATGATCATTTTTCGATTCTTCATGTTTTTGCAGCCATATTATATATCAGAGATAATCAAATCAACCATGCTATAACAAAAACCAGATGTTAAACCCACTAAAAGCCCTGGATGATTTTTTCCCCTATTTTTAGTGTTACATAGTCAAAGCCTCCTTTTTTACATTTCTCTTTTCTTCAGGCCTTTATTTTCAAAACTCACTAAAGCATTATACTATTTTGTTTTCTATTATAATATTTTTTGTCACTTAAAAATGTGGATTAATTTTGCCCATCACTTGAACTACTAGTGGCCAGATTTTATAATTCCTTTTACTTTTAACTTGAGCCAACTTGTTACTCTACTCAGTATATAGGTGCCATCTTAAAAACCACCCTGGGTTTTGGAAATAAGATAACTTCTTCAGGTTTAAACCAGGACAGGTGATACATGACAAATGAAATGAACCTTCTGCAGAAGTTATCTCATGGTATTTATACATATCATGTAGTTATTTTCTTAAAATCTAGGTTCTCAGGCCCCAAATCAGAGATTCTGATTTAGTATTTCTGGTGGGGATCCCATGAGTCTACATTTTTAAATTAGCATCTCAAATGGTTGTGATACTGATATTACAAGCAACACAATTTGAGCAACAGTAAACCAAGGAACAGGATGTCCCATTAGACAAAGCAGGAAGAGCAGCTCCAGAAATCTAATCAAGACTTGACAGAAGGGGACAGAAACCGTAGCCTAAACAATGGTGTTAAGAGAAATAAGAAGAGTGTGAGAGGAAAAAGGCAGAAATTTTGCATGGAGTATACAGAAGGGTAAATGAAATCACAGGAATCTGTGACCTCACACCGTTCGGAGAGAGAATGTCTTAACACCTAACATGGACAATCATGATTTCATGATGGTTATCTCCCTACAGTGGAGATGTATGCCTCCAGCTCTCTGTAGCTTAAAGGCAGTATCCATTAAATAATCTAGTTTACTGAACAAACTTGATGATTTTTCAACCTGTTTAACTATTTTCAAGGGAGAAAAGGCCAACACAATGTTTTGGTCTATTTAACAGTTTAAAAATAATACATTGGAAATTTTATACGTTAGTGTTTTGTGAATATAGTAAGAACAAATCAGTTTCTCTGAATCTAGTCAACATTGAATAGAACGAAAGTCAAGTTTTCAGACCTTTAAAAGCAGACTCTTAAACTCAACACCAGGATGATCCTGTCTACCTACTACCCTCCTATAAAGAGCTGATGAGTGAGCTGGAGTGAGAAAAGAATGTCTACCATCTGGTTTTAATGACAGCTCCACCACTTACTAGACTTTGCATGAGTGATTCAACCTCTCTCAATGCCAGGACCCCTTTTGTAAATGGGGGTAATAATACTTAGCACAAAGGGTTGTGTAAATAAACAAGCTAATGCATGCAAAATTCATTTTGCCCAGTAGGTTTTCATTTCCATTAAAAATCTTCCCTAATACTCTCCTTTCCTAGCAACCGGTGGAGTCTGCTCTTTATTATTTTTATGGAATTTAACATTGTTGGTTGTTTTTAGAAATTTTGAATACCATATATGTACCTGTGTGTGTGTGCATGTGTGTGTAATTAACAAAAAAGTTAAAAGTGATGATCTCTAAAAGGTATATAAAATTTTCCTGTGTTTTTAAACCCATATAAACAATATTTAATATTTTCAAAACTACGATTAAATGTCATTAATCTAATTCAATGATTCTTAAATTTGGCTGCACATTAGGATGATTAGGGGCTTTTAAAAATGCCACTGCCCAGATGTGTCCCAGAGTAATTAACCAGAATCTCTGAAGGCAAGACTCAATCCTTAATACTTTTTTAAAGCTCCCCAGGTGAATCCACTTTGCAGCCAAAGTTAAAATTTCTGGTCTAATTCCAATGTACTTAAATTCAGTCCTTAATGAGGAAAGAATTGACACCTTATAAAAGTTTGTAACATCTTGAGATTTAAATAACATTTTTTCCCAAATGACTTAAAAATAGTTTACTAAATCTTTCTATAAATTAAATGGCTGAACTCCCCCAAATCAGTATTTAATATACTTTCAAAATCTTAGTTTTAATTTATTTCATTTAGCTTATTTAAGAAAAAAAGCGGAACCTCTGCAAAATATGGATTTAGGATGTCACATTTCTAATAGAAATTGCAGAAGCTCAAATGGCCAACTCTTTGAAAGAGCTCTTGAGGACCTGCTAAGGTATTAATGATAGTTGATCACATCAAATTCAAGAGTAAAAAGTTCATTTAGACATCAGAAAACCTTCTGGTGGGAAGATACTTGAAAAGACATCAATAGCAGGTCACTGGCTGAAAAGCAGAGGAAGGTGGCATGGCATCAGGAGACCATGGCAAAAATTAAACAATATACAGTTGATTAGCAACAGAAATAGTCCACAATGGGCTACAGGAGACCTCCCAGAAACAGAGTGGAAAATCGAAGTGGGAACTTTATGGGCAGAAAGTGTGTAAACATCCAGGAATGCAGACAGTTGAGTTAAAGAGGTTGGACTTAGGTAACTAGAGCTGAACTCCAGTATTGGTAAGGGGGATTATTTGACCTCAGTTCTCAAGGTACTTTAGAATTTAGATTATTAAAAGTCAGGGGTCTAGTTTCTGATGTTTGAAGAGAAAGTCATGATAATGAAGTGGTTACACGAGTTTCAGGTTGAAACAGATGTGAAGTCAGCACTCTGGGCTTCTTAAATTCTGCCCAACAGTAAACAAAATTGATCCTATTCCTAGGGCAAAGCACATCTTTTTGTGAAAGCAGAGCAGACCCACCCCTGGGAGTTAGTTGTAAGAATATAGAGAAGGCCATTTCAAAATCTAGGGAGAATGTATGTGGCTTGCAAGGGTGCTGGAGAGGATGGCTCATCTGTGACAGCCCAGCTGGGACCTTGGGAATCACCCTGGAGGTGGTCTTCTCTCTCAGCCTATCTGATCGGCCACACCCCATATCAAGTCAATCACCAACTTTTGTCGATTGTAACTCAATAGTATCACTTACACACATCCAATTAACTTATTCCTGCTGTATTCATCCTAATTGAGGCTGACATAATCTCCCGTGTTGATTTACTACATTGACCTCCTAACTGGTTTGCCTTCTCACATCCATTGTAAGCAAAGAAATATGTCTGACCATGATCTATGTTTTTCTGGCTCTAGTCTTTTCATGCTATTTAGAAATCTAGCTTACTATTAATGTTTTCCCTGGACAGTTCTGGGAGTTTCAGGGATGTTTTACAACAGCTCAGGAATAAGTCTAGTTGGCTTCTGGTTCTGCTGCACGCAGAAGGGACCATGCCTTTCTTCTGCTCTAGCTGTCTCCTCCCAATACCACCAAGTCTTTGGGACATTACAGGGTCCTGCTGTGTATGGCTATATCTACTGGAATCCAAAGACCACCACCAGGTCACTGCTTACTCCAGTTTCCTTAACTATCTGCAGATACCCTGGAGGCCTCAAGGCATGGTTATCTATACTGAGGGGGATGTTACAACTTGTGCAAGGGTCAGAGAAAAATGCATTTAATAATGTATAATAGTGTTTTTATTCTTTTGCAGTGTTTGCAGACAAAACTTGAAGGTCCAATTCTAAGTTTCTGTCTTACCATTTATGGCCACCACTCAAAATCCCCATCCAGCACCCCAGAGAAAAAAGAAAAGAAAGCACTCAACAAAGTATACTGGCTGACCTGCTCTTTTTCTGAATATCTAGGTCAAAGTAACCACCAAGGCATGGCTGCTAGACAAAATGGAACCCACAAGCCAGTCAAGGGTGGGTGGAGAGACACCTGGACAGTGGTCATTCTCTGAGACTTTTCAGTGCCCCACTTGTTTTAATTTGTGGTGTGTGTGTGTGTGTGTGTGTGTGTGTGTGTGTGTGTGGCAGGGTGATAATTGGAGAAGAAAGTTCTGATTTTACAGTGCTGGCAAGAGAATTTGGAATAGGCACCTGGAGTCTTACTTCTTTATAAATTATTTTTTTCTTTTTTTTTTTTTTGAGATGGATTCTCACTCTGTTGCCCAGACTGGAGTGCAGTGGTGCAATCTTGGCTCACTGCAACCTCCGCCTCCCGAGGTCAAGCGATTCTTCTACCTCAGCCCCCTGGGTAGCTGGGATTACAGGCACATGCCACCATGCCTGGCTAATTTTTGTATTTTTAGTAGAGTCCGGGTTTCACCATGCTGGCCAGGCTGATCTGGAACTGCTGACCTTGTGATCTGTCCTTCTCTGCTTCCCAAAGTGCTGGGATTACAGGCGTGAGCCACCGTGCCCAACGTTATAAATTCTTTTCTTACTAGGGGTAGACAAAAGTAAAATAACCTGATCTGGTGGGGGGTGCATAGGTGGGACCTAAGAAGTGGATTCTAGGCAGCTGGGAAGTGACCTCTTACGGCTTCCCAAATCTTGCTCAGTAAGTCTGTACTTCAAAAAATAAAAAATAAAAAACACCTCAAGTATATTTCAAGCAATAAAGAAATTAAAGATACTTTTTGTTTGTTTTTAAAACTTGTGAGTAACCTGGGAGTTAAGTAGGAAGGCATCAATTACTTAGCAGACCTCAAGCCCTTAGAGACCTCAAGTTGAAAATTTAAAAACTCTGTCTTTTAACCCAGATTATCTTGGTTACTTCCGTTGGGCATATTTTAGCGTACTTCCTTTTGGTTATACTCTGTTGTTTAGTGGAGTTTCATTTGAACATTCAACCTGGTCACAGCTAAGGAATATTAAGGAAGAATGATGTATCCACACCTAGGACAGGTTGGTAAAGGAAGATCAATGACCTCACCCCTTCAAAGCTACATCCCTTAGGAGAAGACAGATCATTAGAGAAAAAAAGCAGGACAACAAGGGCCAGTTTCAGCCTCTACAGGAAGCCACTCCTTCTAGAGCATCTATTTATTTCATTAGAGAAGTTTGCAATTGAGCCTACAGATTTGAAGTTCTTTGGGAAAGAGCAGCAGAAGGGCTGGGTTCCCTGAAGGGTCTCCGAAGTACCTTATACATTCCCAGGGCTTTTCCTGGAATTAGCTGGCTGTTATTTGAGCTCAGCAAGCAGTTCCTTCAGTTGAAATCAAAGGCTGACTCAATCCAGCTCCTCGGATAGAGTAAGAGACAAAAAATGAAAAGAGATGACCCAAGAGACTACAACTACTTCCTGCCTAAGCTGTTGATTGATTGTGAGTCTTGGGAAGAGCTTGTGATTTTGTAATCGTTAGCAAAATGTTTGATAAGTAGTTTCCAGCAACTTCAGGAATAGGCTGATGTTTAGGCCCTGAGAAAAATGTCTCCTGCAACCTCAGAGATTGCAGGGAAGTTCAGTGACAGGAAACATTTTTATCTGTCTCCTAACAACCAACATCACCTAATGAAATCTGAGTTGCCTTCAATTTCTGTCTGGTGCATCCACATCCATTTGGTTCCCTGTCTCAACCTCATTCACATGCTGCCATCTACTTGCTTTCTCAGTGGGTTGAATTCTGCCTCATTACTTTACTTTGAGCACACTACCAATGAGGTTATAAAGTTTGGAGGAAAAAAAGTACATGAGCAACCCAAGTGAGTCTGCCCATACTAACTCCCCTAAAACAGAATCAATAAATCTTTTCAAAGGCCATATCATATATTTGCTTTCTTTTGAAAATATTTTTCTGTGTTTAAAGTATTTTCACACCCTCATTTTAACTATTGCCGAACTACACTCCAGAGCCATTTTTCCTCTCCTGAATCTTGACTTTTCTCTTTTTACTGCAATGTCCACATTATCACACAAATAGACTTATTACTTCCACCTTAAAAGAATATTGTGACTCCACTTCTTTTTAGTCTTTGGGCCCCTTTTTCTGTGTTCATTTACAATAATCTTTTCACTCTCTGTTGATCCAATACAATTTTCCTTTCACCTTGATTACACCAAGGTTATGAATGACCTCTGTGCTGTTAAATCCAGTGGCAATTTCTCAGCCCTCATCTTACCTGACCTATCAACAGCATTTGATACTAAGGATCACTCAGTTCTTAAACCACGTTTTTTTTTGTTTTTGTTTTTGTTTTTGTTTTTGTTTTTTTTCCTGTGGCTTTCAGGCCATAATTCATTCAAGTTTTCTTCTTCCTAATTGGTCACTCCTTTATCATTATTGCAGCTTCTTTCTCATGTCCCAGAACCCTAAATATTGGAGTGAGTCAGGACTCAGGCCTGTGTCCCTCTATATTTAAACTCACCTCCTGGGTTCATCTAGTCTCATGACTTTTAATACCGTTTATATATGTTGATGCCTAAGTCTCTCTCTTTCCAGCACCTATCTCTCCCCGATTCTTCATTTGTATATCCAGCTGCTTACTGGATATCATGAGATGTCTAATGGGCATTTCATGCTTATGTCCAAAAGCAAATTTCTGTTTTTAAGTAACCCCAATTATTTCTCCAACATCATGCCCCATGAGGAAATCCCATCTTTCCAGACACTCAGACCAAAATCCATCCAAAAATTATTTGGCTCTACTTTTCAAAATATTCCCAGAATCTGGTCTGTCTCAACACCTGTACTGCTACTACACTGCCCAAGCTGTATTTGTCTCCTCCTAACACTATTGCAATGGCCTCCTAACTTTTTAAACTTCATCCATGTTCCTTTTCTGTACAATACTGTACAATATCTTTTAAAATTAAAATATAATTCACATACCATACAATTTACCATTTTAAAATATAAAATCAGCAGTTTTTAGCATATTCACAAACTTGTGCAAAAATTGCCACTAATCCCATTTTTTTGACTCCAAAAAGAAACCCCATCCCGGTCACTTTCCACACTCCCACCACCAGCCCCTGGAAAAATACTAACTGCCACTAATCTGAATATTTTAGATGAAAGGAATCATACTACTCTGCCTTTTATGTCTTTTTTTTTTTTTTTTTTTTTTTTGAGACGGAGTTTTGTTCTTGTTGCCCAGGCTGGAGTGCAATGGCGTGATCTCAGCTCACTGCAACCTCCGTGCCCCAGGTTCAAGTGATTCTCCTGCCTCAGCCTCCCGAGTAGCTGGGATCACAGGCACGCACCAATACGTCTGGCTAATTTTTGTATTTTTGGTAGAGACAGGGTTTCACCATGTTGGCCAGGCTGGTCTCGAACTCCTGACCTCAGGTGATCCACTCACCTTGGCCTCCCAGTTATGTCTTTTTTTTACACTTACCATATTTTCAACGTTCATTCATGTTGTAGCATAAATAAGTACTTTATTCCTTCTTCTGGTTGAATACTATTCTATTGCCTAGGCATACCACATTTTGTTTATCTAAGCAGCAGTTAATGGGCATTTAGGTTGTTTTCATCTCTTGGCTATTACAAATAGTGCAGCTATAATTCACATACACATTTTTGCATAAAAATATGTTTTCAATTCTTTGGGGTATATACCTAGGAGAGGAATTTCTGGATCATATGGTAACTTTATGTTTACCTTTTTAAGGAACTATCAAACTGTTTTCTAAAGTGGCTGCACTATTTTACATTCCCACTGGCAATGTGTGAGCTTACTATAAATTCTTAACACAGTGACCAGAGCTGTGGTATCCAAAACGGTGGCCGCTAGCAACATATGGCTGTTAAACACTTGAAATGGGTATCATCCAAATAGAGATGTCTGTAAGTATAAAATAGACACTTGGTTTCCAAGACTGAGTGTGAAAAAAGAATATAAAATATCTCAGTAATTACAGTTTATATTAATTACACACTGAAAATAATATATTTTGATAGGTTAAGCAAAATATGTTAAATAAATTTTAACTGAATTTGGCTAATTCAGCACATATTAAAAGGATTATACATCATGACCAAGTAGAATTTATTCCTGGAATGCTAGGATGATTCAAAATATAAAAATCAGTATAATATACCATATTAACAGAATGAAGACAAAACAAACACACAGTCATATCAATTGATGCAGAAAAATCATTTGACAAAATTCAACATTCTTTTATAATAAAAAAAAACTCAACAAACTGGAAATAAAAGGAAATTGCCTCAACATAGTAAAAGCCATATATGAAAAACATACAGTGAACATTATATGCAATGGCAAAAGACTGAAAACTATTCCTCTAAAATCAGGAACAAGACAAGGGTGCCCACTTTCACACTTCTATTCAATATAGTACTAGAAGTTCTAGCCAGAACAATTAGGCCAAAAAAAAAAAAAAAAAGGAATCTGAGTTGTAAAGAAAGAAGTAAAATTATCTCTGTCTGCAGATACATTACCTTATAGGTAGAAAATCGTAAAGAGTTCATAAAAATAAACTTAGAACTAAAAAGTCATTTTAGCAGTGTAGAAAGATATGAAGTCAACATACAAAATGTCTTTCATTTTCACACTCTAATAATGAATAATCTGAAAAGGAAATGACAAAAACAAGTCAATTTACTATAGCACCAAAAAGAATAAAATGCTTAGGAAACAAGTTAACCAAGGACATGAAAGGCTTGTACAATGAACACTATAAAACATTACCGAAAAATATTAGAACAGAAACACATCTTAACTTTATGGATTGGAAGACTTAATATTGTTAAAATTTCAGTGCTACCCAAAGTGATCTACAAATTCAGTGCAATCCCTATCCAAATCTCAATGATTTTTTGCAGAAATGGGAAAACCCATCATAAAATTCACATAGAATCTCAGGGGACCACGAGTAGCCACAGTCTTGCGGAAAAAAATAATAAAAGAATAAAACTGTAGAACTTACACTTCCTCATTTCAAAACTTACCACAAAGCTACAGTAATCAAAACAGTGTGGTACTGGCATAAAGACAGACGTGAACTAACGGAATAGAAGAGAACCCACAAATAAACCCTTGAATTATGGTCAAATAATTTTTGACAAGGATGCCAAGGCCATTCAATGGGGAAAGGACAGTCTTTTCAACAAATGGTGCTAAGAAAATTGGATATTCAGAATAAAATTGGGTACCTTACATAACATCACATACAAAAATAAACTCAAAATGGACCACAGACGTAAGGGTAAGACCAAAAACGATAAACTTTTAGAAGAAAATATTGGGCAAAAGCCTCATGACATTGGAATTGGCAATGATTTCTTCGATATGATTCCAAATTCACTCCATAATGTGAATTTCATCCTACAAACTAAATGCATGACTCCACACATTCATGTACTACTCCAGGGATATCAGAAAACCTTCCCAACATCATTCACATAACAAGCACATTTGTAACTAAAAATTTTCATTAACCTTTTCAACAAAGATTTTTATATTCCTGTTTTTATATTCCTGTTTTTATATTTCTAGTTTTACTATGAGCTAGAACACAAAATTCAACCCAAGGAGTGCAAATCAAATTGAAAAGGGAAAAATTGTAATTCAGGAAAGGGGAATCAAGACTTGAAGAATTGACTGAATTATTAATATTTTCTCTTATTGTTCATTGACCCTAGTCAAGTTGACAATACTTACTGTGTTTATGGAGTTTTATTGTTCCTAGGGTTTCGGGAACTGAAAATGCATGTTATCTTAGAAATGATCTCACAAATACTGGCTGGATTCCCAGGCAGTGCACCAAAGCTCATTTAACTCATAATGTAAGTAATCATGAATGAGAGAAACTAATGCTGGAGAATAAATGTGTCTTTTAAATACAATACATATTTAAACATCTCTACAATCTAAAAATCCTTAAATGTAAATATAAAATACTGATAATCAAAAATTTTAAAAAATAAAATTGATGACAATGGTTGAGTATGGCTGTAGATAAGTGTGAGGGAGATTCTGTTTGGAACTTTGACCACTTCCAAGAACCCTAGGGGCTGAAGGATGCCATTTCTTTCCTGTGCCAGATTTTGCCTCAAACTCAGAGGTTTTATTTCTTTGACGAAAGTGTCTCAACTATCAACATGAGTCTCTTGTCCATCCAAACACCATATTAGGTAGGTAATTTTGTATTTTTTAACATCAAAAGGGAATTCATGCACTCTGTTTAAAAATGTTTGCATTTAGAAGATAATGGAATTTATTCAATCTCTAAAGCAAAATTTTTCACGCTCTCTTTAATTCCTTTCAATCTCAGGGTTTCTTCACATCTACACCCATGGTTTTTTCTTTGATTTTCACGGTCACTTTTTCATGTTATCAGAATCTATTGGCCTCAGCTTGAGGTCATATTGTACCTACATTAAGTCAGGAATCATATTACCCTTTCTTGTGTCCTGCAGAACCTTCCAGTAGATAACTGAGTTCTTAGACTCCTTGTTCTTCACTCCATCAAGATCAGGGCTAAGCTAAAGCCTAATGAACTGGGCAAACTGTTGAGGTCCCCTCATCATGGTTGGCTAACAATCTAGGATGGACTGTTAAGAGCACAACAGAGTCTTCTTTTTGTTTGGAGACAAGTGGCCCTGGGCATCATTCTAACTTCTCCTTACTGAGAGGTCTTAACAAATGGATGTCACCTCTCAGAGCCTCAGTGGTCTCATCTAAGAAAAGATCGTAATATGCCATGTAATGTATGTAAAATATCATGAAAATTTACAGGCATATGGATTTTGGATGATTATGATGGGTCAACGTAGGCTTATCAGTTGTAACAAGTGTACCCTCTGGTAGGGCATATTGACAATGGAAGAAGGCTATGCACATGTTGGGGGGGTGGGTAATGGGAAATATCTATACCTTCCTTTCAATTTTGCTGTGAACTTAAAACTACTCTTAAAAATGCCTTAAAGTAAAAAGTTACAGGCACATAGAAGGTATTCAATAAATGCCAGTTTTGCTCTCTCACCCTTTTTTAAATCTCTACCATAGACACCCAGAAAACGGAGGACTCCAATACTCAAATGAAAAACACTGCTGCAGGAAAGAGATTCTAAGAGCCCTGTTTCCCAAGGAGGATCAATGTGCTCTCTTCCCTGTGCCAGCAGCAGGAGAAGAAAAGGTGAAAGGTAAGAGTTAGTTCTGCTGTATGGGATTGTGCAGACTGTGCCCCAACACTAGGGTGGCTCCCAAGGGAGATGAATGGGAACTAAAATTTGGTCTCAGCTCTGCTTGCCTCACCCAGTGTTGCTGGCGGTCTGGAGGAAAAGAAGCCTTTTTTTTTTTTTCAAAATGATTTGCCCAGAAGAACACCTTTTGGCAATTTCTCTGTTTGAAGAAGGCATCCTTTTCAAGAAGAAAAACAGCAACATAAACAAGTGCTAAAGAGACTTCATGAGAATGTGCCTCTATTATCAGTGATTCTTAGAGCTGTCTCCAACCCACAAGGAAAATAATTTTCACTTCAGAGGGTAAGAAAGGATGGGATCAGTCCTGAATCATCTATGGTATGGAATAAATAATTCCTATAATAGGAATTTTTAATTTAATTTAATTTACTTAGGGATTAGTCCATTCTCACACTGCTATAAAGAACTACCCAAGGCTGGGTAACTTATAAAGGAAAGAGGTTTAATTAACTCACAGTTCCGCATGGCTGGGGAGGCCTCAGGAAACTTACAATAATGGTGTAAGGGGAAGCAGAAGCATCCTTTTTCACATGGTGGCAGGAGAGAGAAACGCCAAGCTAAGGGGGAAAAGCCCCTTGTAAAACCATCAGACCTCGTGAGAACCCACCCACAATCATGAGAATAGCAGCATGGGGGTAACTGACCCCATGATTCAATTACCTCCCACTGAGTCTCTCCCATGACACATGGGGACTATGGGAACTACAATTCAAGATGAGGTTTGGGTGGGGACACAGCCAAATCAGGGACTAAATTATCAAATATAGTAATTATGTATTTGTTTATCAAAGTTATATTTTAAAGCCCGACTTTTCATAAATTAGATCCAAATATATAGAGGAAGCTCCCTACAACACTTATTAAACATAATTTAGAAAACTCAACCACTAAGCTTTTGATTTCAGTTATTGTATTTTTCTGTTCTAGAATTTGCATTTGGTTCTTCTTTATATCTTGTAATTCATTGTTGAGACTCTATTTCTTTGCAATGTTTCAAGCATGTTCATAATTGCCCATTGAAACATTTTTTACATGGCTACTCTAAAATTTTTGTTGCGTAATTATTACATCTCTGTCATTTCAGTGTTGCATCTCTGCACTGTCTGTTTTCTGTGTGAAATCTTCCTGGTTCTTGCTATAAGTACATTTTCTATTGAAACCTGTGCATTTTCATATTACATTATAAGACTCCTGATTTTATTTAGGCTTTCTAGGTATGCCTTGTGTAGTTTTTGTTTGTTTGTTTGTTTTTTCTTAAGACGGAGGTTCGCTCTTGTTGCCCAGGCTGCAGTGCAATGGCATGATCTCGGCTCACCGCAGCCTCCGCCTCCTGGGTTCAAGTGATTCTCCTGCCTCAGCTTCCCAAGTAGCTGGAATTACAGGCATGTGCCACCAAGCCCAGCTAATTTTTGTATTTTTAGTAGAGACGGGGTTTCTCCATGTTGGTCAGGCTGGTCTCGAACTCCTGGCCTCAAGTGATCCGCCTGCCTCGGCCTCCCAAAGTGCAGGGCTTACAGGTGTGAGCCACCATGCCTGGCCTGTAGTTTTGTTTTTAACACATCTCCTGTAGGGTAAAGTGGGAATACTTCCTCAATAAAATACTGGCAAAACGAATCCAGCAGCACATCAAAAAGCTTATCCACCATGATCAAGTGGGCTTCATCCCTGGGATGCAAGGCTGGTTCAATATACGCAAATCAATAAATGTAATCCAGCATATAAACAGAACCAAAGACAAAAACCACATGATTATCTCCATAGATGCAGAAAAGGCCTTTGACAAAATTCAACAACCCTTCATGCTAAAAACTCTCAATACATTAGGTACTGATGGGATGTATCTCAAAATAATAAGAACTATCTATGACAAACCCACAACCAATATCATACTGAATGGGCAAAAACTGGAAGCATTCCCTTTGAAATCTGGCAGAAGACAGGGATGCCCTCTCTCACCACTCCTATTCAACATAGTATTGGAAGTTCTGGCCAGGGCAATTAGGCAGGAGAAGGAAATCAAGGGTATTCAATTAGGAAAAGAGGAAGTCAAATTGTCCCTGTTTGCAGACGACATAATTGTATATCTAGAAAACCCCATTGTCTCAGCCCAAAATCTCCTTAAGCTGATAAGCAACTTCAGCAAAGTCTCAGGATACAAAATCAATGTGCAAAAATCACAAGCATTCTTATACACCAATAACAGACAAACAGAGAGCCAAATCATGAGTGAACTCCCATTCACAATTGCTTCAAAGAGAATAAAATACCTAGGAATCCAACTTACAAGGGATGTGAAGGACCTCTTCAAGGAGAACTACAAACCACTGCTCAATGAAATTAAACAGGATACAAACAAATGGAAGCACATTCCATGTTCATGGGTAGGAAGAATCAATATTGTGAAAATGGCCATACTGCCCAAGGTAATTTATATATTCAATGCCATCCTCATCAAGCTACCAATGACTTTCTTCACAGAATTGGAAAAAACTACTTTAAAGTTCATATGGAACCAAAAAAGAGCCCGCATCACCAAGTCAATCCTAAGCCAAAAGAACAAAGCTGGAGGCATCACGCTACCTGACTTCAAACTATACTACAAGGCTACAGTAACCAAAACAGCATGGTACTGGTACCAAAACAGAGATATAGATCAATGGAACAGAACAGAGCCCTCAGAAATAACGCCTCATATCTACAACTATCTGATCTTTGACAAACCTGAGAAAAACAAGCAATGGGGAAAGGATTCCCTATTTAATAAATGGTGCTGGGAAAACTGGCTAGCCATATGTAGAAAGCTGAAATTGGATCACTTCCTTACACCTTATACAAAAATCAATTCAAGATGGATTAAAGACTTAAACGTTAGACCTAAAACCATAAAAACCCTAGAAGAAAACCTAGGCAATACCATTCAGGACATAGGCAAGGGCAAGGACTTCATGTCTAAAACACCAAAAGCAATGGCAACAAAAGCCAAAATTGGCAAATGGGGTCTAATTAAACTCAAGAGCTTATGCACAGCAAAAGAAACTACCATCAGAGTGAACAGGCAACCCACGAAATGGCAGAAAATTTTCGCAACCTACTCATCTGACAAAGGGCTAATATCCAGAATCTACAATGAACTCAAACAAATTTACAAGAGAAAAACAAACAACCCCATCAAAAAGTGGGCGAAGGACATGAACAGACACTTAAGGGCTAATATCCAGAATCTACAATGAACTCAAACAAATTTACAAGAAAAAAACAACCCCATCAAAAAGTGGGCGAAGGACATGAACAGACACTTCTCAAAAGAAGACATTTATGCAGCCAAAAAACACAGGAAAAATGCTCACCGTCACTGGCCATCAGAGAAATGCAAATCAAAACCACAATGAGATATCATCTCACACCAGTTAGAATGGCAATCATTAAAAAGTCAGGAAACAACAGGTGCTGGAGAGGATGTGGGGAAATAGGACCACTTTTACACTGTTGGTGGGACTGTAAACTAGTTCAACCATTGTGGAAGTCAGTGTGGCGATTCCTCAGGGATCTAGAACTAGAAATACCATTTGACCCAGCCATCCCATTACTGGGTATATACCCAAAGGACTATAAATCATGCTGCTATAAAGACACATGCACACGTATGTTTATTGTGGCACTATTCACAATAGCAAAGACTTGGAACCAACCCAAATGTCCAACAATGATAGACTGGATTAAGAAAATGTGGCACATATCCGCCATGGAATACTATGCAGCCATAAAAAATGATGAGTTCATGTCCTTTGTAGGGACATGGATGCAATTGGAAATCATCATTCTCAGTAAACTATGGCAAGAACAAAAAACCAAACACCACATATTCTCACTCATAGGTGGGAATTGAACAATGGGAACACATGGACACAGGAAGGGGAACATCACACTCTGGGGACTGTTGTGGGGTGGGGGGAGGGGGGAGGGATAGCATTGGGAGATATACCTAATGCTAGATGACCAGTTAGTGGGTGCAGCGCACCAGCATGTAACATGTATACATATGTAACTAACCTGCACATTGTGCACATGTACCCTAAAACTTAAAGTATAATAATAAAAAAAAAAAGAAAAGAAAACATTCTCACTTGGCTTTCATTAACACCCAAGGTGGAGAGAACTTCTTGTTACTGCCAATTAGACATAGAAGTTTCTGCCCCCCACATGGTCTCTATTGACACAGTGGGCAAGAAAGGTCCTATTACTAACCAGCATCCCTACTTGGCATTCCCTGATGGGATCCTGGTGGATGCAAGAGCACCTTGTTACAGCTTCATTAGGTTGGAAATCTAGGCTCACTACTCAGCCTCTGCAGGCTTGGATCAGAATGCACTCACAGTTTTTTTCTGTGGTGTTTGGCTGAATTGGAGAGGTTATTGTCTAAAAATGTTCACTTTTCCTAGGCTACTTCTTCCTGAGTCTTTTGCCTAGAGAAATCATAATTTCTTTTCTGTTTTTTATTTATTTGTAGTGGTCTGCCCTCATTATTGTCTCCAGGTTGCTGGCTTCTTCAGCTCCAAGTCTGGGATACATGAGGCAAAGAGAACACCCAAGACCTCATTACTGTGTTGTTTCTCAAGTTCCAAGGTCTCTAGCCAGTCTGCCTTCTCATGTCCAGCTTTCAAAGTCTTCATATGATTATTATATGTATTATAGCTACACTTTTCAGTTGTACTTAGAAAGATAAGAAAACACACATCTATCCCGTGTTCCTAGAAAAGAAAGTCCCTCAATTCACACCACATTATTTGTTGGTGATCCTGCAAAGAACATTGTGCAGGTTAATAAATTTAATGTTAAACTTAAAACTTGACTTTGCCATAACCTTTTGGGTATTTACAAGACATCGTTAGGTTTAGAAAAACTTTCAGTAGGCTTTTTGTAACTGTCAATATTGTGACAATATTTACCCTGAGAATATGGTATTATAGAGGATGTTTCTGACTTATACTGAATACTTATAGAGCCATTTTTATACTCAGTCAATTTTGGCGTTGACCCGTTGTACCTTGCAATTTTTATCATTCTGTGCTTTTTCTTTCTTTTTCTCATCCCGATTCCATCTAGTCATCTGGAATATATAAAAAATGTCCACAAAAGAATGATAGGACTTTCTTCCAGGCCAGCCTCTTTTTAGACAGTAGTCAGTGAAAACAGAACCAGATTGTTCAGTGTGGGAGGTGTGTGTGTGTGTTCGTGTAGAGGGCAGTCAGTTTTTTGGCACTCCACTCAAATGCGTAGCTACCTCAGTGGTCATTGCTTATATTAATACAATGTACTCAAAGTTACCTAGACCTTAAAGCTGAAATGTAGCTTTCAAACACTCTTTCTCTTGTCAAAACTCTTGGAACTTGATGAGTTTAAAAAAAAAAAAGCAGGTATTTCAAAGATTGTAACAAAATACTGCAGGTTGAAGCACATATTGTACGAATTTGTTAGTAATTATGATGAAAAAAGCATGGGTGATATGATTGGGCCATTGGGTTTTAAATGAGCCATCTATGTTGGTGATATGAATGGTGAATCTCAGAGTTTCTAGGACAAGATGTTTTATGTGTTTCCTCTACCAAACTGCAAGATCTTGGAACGTAGGGGCCATGTTGCATTCTTCAGGGATTGGCCTATAGCAAATTGTCAATACACCTCTTGAATGATTTAAAAAGTTATTATCCTATAATCATTGATCTCTTCAGAAATTAAACCAGAAGAAAGGTCACTTCTACTGGTACAGACAGACATTTCTTTAAGAGAATTAAAGAGCATACTCAGAAAACAACTCCAGAGGACTTCCTCAGAAAGTCATTTTCTATTACTTCAACTTCCACAAAAGGAATCAGTCATAGAAATGAATTACAGGCCAGAATTAATTTTCCATGAAAATGAAAGGGATGCATTTGGTAAACTTAGGTGAACATCAAGCCAGAATCCTTATTTAACTACTTTTATCATTTGTTTTGCTTTTGAAACTGGATATTTTCCAGACCCACAGCTGCCCATCTACAGAAATGCATTCACATTTTCACATGGTTATGGATCCATCGATTCTAGCCAGTATAGGCTGGTATGCTGTTTATGCTCAGGAAATGCCAAGTGCACTTTTGATCTTTACCAGAAAACCAAATGCCATTAGGGAGTTGGGCTGTGGCTATAAAAACTGACCCCTGCCAAAGGGGGGAGGGTAGGGAAGGACAGATTATTCAGAACTTCTCGCTGAACTTAACTGCTCACACCTCTCCACCTTCACCCCACTTCAGTTCCTTCTTCTCCCCCGAGCCTGTGTTGTTGGAGATAATGACAATGGTGTCAGTGTCTGTCAGAATGTACTTAATCGATAAAGAAGAAGCATCCATTGCCTCCTTCCCCAGGCTGTTAATCCCCTGGAAATTGTATACAAAGTGATAACTATATATGCATATGTCAGTTTTCTAGGGGGAGGCTCTTGTGGGCTCCATCACAGTTTTTAAAAGATTAGCAATCTAGATAAATGTATTGCACAATTAGCCTGCTAATGCAGAGATAAAGGTGGTGATTGCAAGGGATAGCAGTATGTTATCAACAAACTAAGTTGATCTGTTTCCTTTTGGCAGATATTGGAAGTCTTACATGATTGGAGGCCTAATAATTTGTAGGTCTCCTTCTCCCATCATCTTGCTACCAGGTGAATATTACAATAAAAAGAAATCTGAGACAGAATTCTGCTATACATACAAGCGTCTGTTAACAAGCAGAGACTGAAAGTACAAAATAAGAATATGCCATCTGCCAAAAGAAAACAGCAGAAAGAGAAATTATTGAGAATCTAATTGGGCTGGGAGTGCTTGCAGGACCGTGCAACAGTCCTCAATATATGCACAGTGAATATGCACACACACACCCTTAGCCACATACCATTTTAAAAGGGCGAAACCACTTCAATAGGACAATTTTCCCCCCTGCAATTTAGCCAATAAAATTTTGTTTTCCAAATATCATTGAATAATGTGACTCTGAATCCCATGTAGTGCATATACATTGATAAGTTTAAAAAGTTAGAAGCAGATTGAATATGACAGAGATAAAGAAGGGAGTGATTATAAGTGACAGACATACAAAGTAGAAAAAAATGTTAAGTACAATAACTAGATTGAATTTACAAAACAGTTTAGGAAGAAAAATGCCTATATTTTAATTGTTCAGTAGTGGGCAAAGTATATATCAAAACAAAGCTAAACAGGAGGCATGAGCACAACAGAGACAGGTATGTTTTACAGCTGATGCTGAAAACAGTTTTATTATAGTGGATGGCTTTACAATAGGACAACGAACTATAGGTGACCAGAATATGCCACCTTAAAGTATGTCACTTTGGCATAAGGATTATTTGAGCTGGAGATAAATGGGAATCTGCAGATGCAAAAAGAAGCCTTCCCAGGGCTTCCATTATCTGACCAAAAGCAGAAACTTCTGAAAAATGAAGACTTCCATGAATCTTCTCTCTTGGCAAAGTTTTATGGCCATGAAGAAATGGAAAGTCAGCACAGAAATGAACCTGCACAAACAAATCTTATTTCATTAGTTTTCCTATCTATGTTTCCTTCACAGTTTGCTGTCCTTGAAAATCTAAAACATTTTCCTTTCTCTTGTCCCTTCTTTACAGATTTATTGGTCTTTTATGAAGACACTAAGAAGCCCAAGTTCTAACCACCCCTTTGAGTCACACTCTTCATTTTGATTTCTCCTGAGTGATGTATACTGTATGTTTTAATAAATAAACAGCTCATCTCTTGTTAGTCTGGTTTTTGTTAGTCTAGTTTTACAGGTCCCCAGCAGTAACACCAGGGGGTAGAAGGAAAAATAATTTTTTTGAACTTCAGGAGGAGAAAACTTTCTCCTCTACCCTCTTAGGGTTTCTGGCAAGGCCTAAGGAATCAAACTGGCATAAGATGGATTACTGAGAAAAAGGCATACACATTTATTTTATGTGACATGGGAGCCCTCATAAAGAAGTGAAGACCCAAAGAAGTTAAAGTTGAACACATATATACTGAATTGGAAAAAGTGTAGTAAATTATGAAAACGTGACAAGACAAAGGGGCTTGGGTTATGGCAGTTAATAGTAGAAAAGTAACTAGAAAGATAAAAGTTAGTATAACAAGCTTTGTTTGGACAGATTTTTCTCAGTTTCAAGTCCCCATCTCTAGTGATAAAAGTGTTACTTTCTTCCTGGTATAGGGAACACATCTCCTATATGGTGATTCCACCTCTTTTTTTTTTGGGAAGAAAAAGAAAAGGTCAGAATGCCCTTCTTGTGTCTGTTGTTTTCCAAGTGACTTTAACTCAAAATAATTCTTATGCCAAAGCGTTTTGTTTTTTTTTGAGCAGGGAATATTCTGCCATACTTCACCCTCTATAGAGCTAATAAAGTATGGCTAGTATTACAATAGAATGAATGCAGGGGAAAAGTGTTCAAAGTCGAGCCACCTGGGGCATAAGGATATATGGTTTTAAAATGCTGGAAGTATAATACAGTAAGGGATTCTTCACAGAGGTGCTTCTTATTTCCAGCAAGTGGAGGCTCACAGTCCAAAATATAGTGTCCCTATTAGCAATGGGCCTTCAAGAGAGCTGGAAAATAGTAGGCCAGGCCTATGGTAAGAACACCAAGTTATTCTCTAGGGTGTTATCTCAACAGTGCAGTGTGCAGCAGTATGATCCGAAACTCCTCTAGGCATGATGCCCATACATTCTCCATGGGTCCAGACTGATTCAACTTTGTGTGTTACCCAGATTCTAGGCCAAACCTGAATTCCAAGGAAGGGGGAACTATGTGAGGGTCAAAGTCTGAGAGACTGGGTTGAAGACCCTCATCAGAATTAAATTTCTTCCTGGACCTGTTGAACATCCTTAGCCTCTAAACCACCAGGGCTGTCTACATTTCTGACTTCTTGTACATTTATGATTGATCCACGTGTTTACAACAAAGTAACTGTTAGTGTCATGCAGCAAGAGAGCACACAAACCATGGAGTTAATAGTACAGCCTCTATTTTTTTATGCTTATCTGGATTTGAGCAAGCACAGTGGATCCGAAAACTTAATAAGCTCTTCGTGTTCTCAAGTTATTTAGCTTCTCTGTGAGCAATGGGAGAGTTACCAAATGTTCCCCTTTTTAATCTGTAGCCTTTGAAATATATAACTAGATTTTGACCTCAAATTTTTCATAAAATATTCTTAGCATTAAAAAAGAATTAAATAGTTGGCATAAAGAGGGAAAAATTAACATTTGTAGGGTCTTTCTTTCATCTTATGGATTCAGTGGTAGAAAACTAGACAAGCATATAGTCAGTCCCATGTGACCATATGTTTATGTATAGTTTAGGTAATTGTGTGTAAAAAATTAGGTGGATTAAAGGAGCACAACACTAAATGTGTAATCAATTAGAAGAAAATTATTGTTCCAAGAACATATACTTCCATAGAAAATATTACAAAGGTTTTTATTTTATAAATAAGTTAACAATGTTGTAACATTAGAGATCCTGGAACAAACTCAAACTTCAAAATTTATAAGAAATGCATCTTTTATATTCAACTGGAGAAGAATGTTTTAATTATAAGATAATATAATACAGCCATGATCAATTTATTATCACTCACTAGCTCTTTTTTTTCCAACATTCCACATTTTTAAATTTATAAATATTTTAAGAGCAGAGTAATACATCTGTTTCTTATTTATTTACATTTTATTTGTTGTGATGTTTATTATGAGCTATTAGAATTTCCAGAAGCTCTCAAACTTTTATGGAGGACATTACGGTTTCCTTTTTCCTTTTGAATAAGGGTGGGGTGCTTTACCAAGGGAAAAAAACAATTCAAATCTCCAAAGTTTCTAGTTTAATTTGAAATTCAAACTCAAAAACTTCAAGCAGGTTTTGAAAGTTGGTATAATGCATCCTTCCAGCATTATACTTAAGAACCTCAAGATGTCTTATTTTCCAGTCCATAGTTAGATTTTGGTGGGCTTCTTTTTAATGTGAAGATGTATGTTTCACTGAACCCTATGATTTTATTATACAATGGCAATCTTTCTTAAATTAAGTTTGAAAACTCAAATAGAAACTTAGAGCCAAGTTTTCAAAAAGAAATTCTTGAACCAGTCCAAAGATGAATTAACTTTCTTTGCAAGAGTCTAACGGTAACTTATTTTCAGTACTTTAATCAATATAGAATGGATTCAGCAACTCTAATGTGAAAAAAAAGAAATGTATTGCTTGTTTCCAATTCAAGCAATGCATTCTGGCTCCTGGGATTATAAGCACAGGCAAATACATAATCAAATGCTTTACTCATTTCATAAGCTGATTCCTTTTTCCACTAGTCTTTATCCCCCCTTAGCCACCAAATGATTTAGGTGAATTATAGAACATTGCCTAATATTTCTTAATAATATGTTAAATAAATCTACTGCTTGCACATCAGCTGCCCATGAAAAGTCTGAAGAATTAACAGGAAAATGAATATTAATCTTTTGAAAGTAAGTAGAAGTGCCCTCAAAAGTAGAATATGCTGCATCACATTCAGATCTCTGCTCAAATCTCCTCTCTTTTGTTAAGTCTTCTATAATTATTTCATTAAAAGTAATATAACAATTCATGAACATGCCTTGTCTCCTTTCAAAGGGATACATCTCTTATGTAGAGTCCACCTAGAGTCTGAAAAGCTTTGAGGCTGAGGGGACGGCAGAGCTCTAACAACAAAGTTATAGCAAAGTCAACTGGTGAGAAAGGTGACTTGAGTAACGGCGCTAATGACTCAACTGGTGCAAGGCTGGAAGAGAGGTGAGTGGAGATTGGGAAGATACAGTGACTTAAGAGCTAATACTTAAGAATGCTTGTTCTGTGCCTGGCATTGTTCTAGAACTTTATATGTATTAATTGATATAATCTTCAAAACAATCTTATGACGTTACTGTTTTTACGCTCTTCTTTCATATAAATAAGCCAAAGGAACGCAAGGTTGCAGGTCCAAGCTCATGAACCAGTCCACAGTGTAGCTTGGGTAAAAATCTTGGCAATCTGGTTCAAGAGTCTGCACACCTACCTACCATACCATGCTACATTTCATGGCTTCAAAAGAAATATTTAAGGATGAAGGAGTTAGCTTTTCTAAATATAATGAATTTGATTTTTCAAATGCCTAGGAAAAAAACAGAAGGCAGAGAAATTTTCCTGTGACCCCCTGTCTTTAGTGTGTTCTTTCAACACAAATTATTATCATCCTCTTACAAATGGACAAACTGAGGGATAGAAAGTTTATACAGCCAGTCAAAACCTAAGTAAAAATTGAAGTCTCAGTGTTGGATATCATTTAAGTAGTCCAAAAAACTTAAGAAACACAGTCAGGTTTTGGAAACAATACATTATTTCCACATAGTAGCAGCAAGATGATAAAGAAAGCTTTACAACAAAAGTGCCATAAAATAAAAAACTCCCCAACAGATGCCTGTGAGAATAGTGACTGCAATTCCCAATCAACATAACTACTTAAGAAATGAAGTCATTGAAACAACTATGTTTGTGTATTGTAGGAAATAAGGGAGTTGACTTTTTGTTTTTAATTGGGCTGCTATTTTAGTGTAATGAAGAATGATCTGAATTCAGGGGAAATGCCATGAGAACTTCCATGAAGGTCCAGATGTAGTATCCATCTTGAGGATGGAAGGTAATTCCTCTTCCAGGGGTGGAGTTGCTTCTGTCTGTTCTCTTATCTGTCTGCCTCCTTCTATCTCTGTGAAGGGAGCCAGAAGGAACTAAACCGTGCCCTGAGTCACCACTGTTTGCCTTATCTAAAGTAAGCTTGTTTAGTTGCATTTCTAGAAATATTCTGATCATATTTTGTGTTGTTTTTGGCTCCATGAAAACAGAGAATATATATTTGCTTTAAAAAAATGTCCCAGCATAGGCCTCTAGGTACAACTGCAGGGCCCAAAGGGAGCATATGGTTGTCAAATGCTAACAATTTGGCACCTTGGAATGAAAACAATCCCCACCCACATTTTCTGTTTGTGGTTGCAGCCCGCACCACCACTCCCACTTCCCCAAGGGAACACCTTCAAAGGTGATAACTTGCTTTCTCATGCCTCACACTTACTTTCCTGGGGTGAAGAATACTGTGAGAGGTCTCTCTCACACTCTCTTCCTCATCTCATGATCAAATGGCAATGAGACCTCAGAAAGTGGTCAGGATCAAATGAGTTCACCAGTTTAAAGCATCTAACGTAGGAACTGGCACAGATAAAATGCCAATCCAAGAAGTTACCTCCATAGTGCACTTTTTCTTCACCAGCACCTAACCTGGGGTTAATGTGAGGAAACGTCAGTTCACCAAAATAGCCAAGATTCCTGCTGTGGTTTTAACACAGACAACTCATTTATTTATTTTTCATTTAGTTTAATAGAAATTACTAGTTAAACCATCAAATTAGTTACTGAGGTCCCAGGAAAAAGTGTTACACTGATGTGATGTAACTTATAAATCAGGCTTCTGGATCCTGTTAATTCTCCCCTCCATGGTGACACAAAAATAATTGAGTAAAAATTTTATATTTGTTTCTTAGTATGGTAAGTAAACGTAGGCACAGAAAGGAATTATGCATATGTGCATGGTCTTCATGTGTACTATTAAAGCACAAAAAATCTTTTTCAGCTTCCAATATTCACTGCAATGTTTCTTCTCCAGCCATGCTTTCAATTCTTTGGGGTGTTTGACGAGGATGAATGTGTTTGCATGGGTATGTGAGGAAAGAGAGCGGTAGGAGAGCCAGGATACAGAGTCTTTGTGCATGGTAAACTTGGGCAGACAGGCAGAAAAGAAGAGAGCTAGTCACTGCAGGTGAAAGAAGCCCTTGGAGGATCCTCTTGAAAAATATCTTCCCACTACATATAATCAAGTAGAGACTTGTGGTTTTTTTTCTAAGCTTCTCTATTAAAATGCAAAACACAATTCTGGTTTTTTACTTTAACACAGACATCTCTAAATGAAATCTTTTCCAGCCCCCTCATTTTGCTTGTGAGGAAACCAAGGCCTTGAGAGACAGAATGACTTGCCCGTGCCATACAGCTGGTTAGTAGGAGGAGGCTGAACTAGAACATGGTTCCCCTAATAGCCAGTCTGGTGCTTTGTCCCAACTTCCGCGTGGCATGGTTAATCTGACTGAGTTACAGGAATAACTTGAGAATGTGGCTTCAGAATATAAAGTCAGGCATGCTGAAATGGTAGCAAGTATTTCACAAATGGTGGCATGCAGTACAATTGTGGAGCTGCTCTTTTCAAGGCCACTAAGGACCTCCATGTTACTAAATCCAATGGACAATTCTCTGTCTTTATCTTAATAGGACTTTGAGCCACTATTGAACTAGCTGGTCACTGGCTCCTTCATCTTAATTCCAGCACACCACACTCTCTGGTTTAACCTGGCTCCCTGCTCCTTCTCAGTCTCTTTTGCTAACTTCTTTGCTGCTTCCTGAGCTCTAAATGCTAGACTTTTCAAAGCTTTGTCTTCCAATGTTCTCTCATATCTGTCGACGCTTACGCTGTAGGTGAACTCATTCAGTCCCATCAGCATCTGTATATTGATAACTTTCAAATCTATGCCTCTCCCTTAAATTCAAGATCCATATGTAACTGTTTATTTAACATCTCCACTTAGATATCTATTTGGCACATCAGAGTTAAATGTTCAAAACTGAACTCTTCTTCTTCAGTGACCTACATAGGAAATGGCACGAGATTTACTCAGTAGCTCATATAAAAAAACCTTGATGGCCTAGTACTGCTAATGGCCTCTACCAACCCCCACCAACACCCCAAATATCCTGACACTGTCAATGTCTCACAACTCCTCCACTATTATCAAAATAAACTAAGTCACCATCATTTCCCCCTTGGAATAGAACAATTTCATTGTTTTTGTCTTCCTATTTCTCTTGCCCACCACATTTTATTCTTCACACAGCAAATGATTCTTCAAAACTCAACTCAGATAATTTCACTTCTCTGCTCAAAACTAAGCACTTTCACAGTTTTCTATTATTCCTAGGGAAAACAAAAACACAATTCTTTCTATAGCCCACAAGGCCCAAATTATTCAGACCTTGGCTACCTCTCTGACCTCATGACTGCCAACATACTCCTTACCCATGGAGATGCAGCAATATTAACTGGTTTATTACCCCTCAGATATGCCAGACATATTCATGACTCAACTTGATATGAAACTGCATTGTTAAAAATAGAATGACGGTTCAAATAGGTTGATAAAAATTCAAAATCAAGATAAAGGTTCACCCTCAGAATTAAGTGTTAAAGTTAACAGATCTTAAGAAAGATATACACAGTCTTAAAAAACATAATGAAACAAGTAAAAAATTTCACATCATTATAACTGATGATTAATTGGACGTGAGGGATAAAGGAAAGAAGGAATCAATGGTGATACTCAGGTTTTCCACGTGGTCATCTGGGAGGGTGATCGTGTTCAATTTACCTACTTGGGACCAACTAGGCTTTATAGGAGCTAATAGTATCCCCAGTTTAAGGAGTAATAAATTACTGCACAGAAGCATAAATTCTTCAAAAATGAGTAATCTACTTACAAATAGTTCAGCAATTTTCAGTAGTAAGACCTCAAGGTGTCTTCATTTAAGTTAGGATATATCAATAGGATTCTTTAAAAACTCAAAAATTGCTTTTAATTTTGTTAAACCTAATTAAGCTAGATTGAATTGTTAACAACAATTAGAATAGCAAAGGTAGGGAGATTTTGCCTCAGTTTTATCCATTAAACAGATGCAGTTGGGGTTATACTGTTGATTTCTGGCAATTGAAAGAAGATTCTGACCAGATTATCTACTCTTTATCATTGATTGAGGTTGGATGGGGCGGTGGGGGGGATTTGTCGGTACTTGAATGTGCCACTTTCCTATTCTGTGCCATGAGTAGGATTGAGCAATACCTGAAAAGCAAATATGTGTTAAAGTCCAGAGCATTTAGTGACTTTTAAAATGTATTTATAGCCTATTGTGCTTTCACTTTAATAGACAGTGACAATTTGCTCTCACAATTAGGAAATATGAACAACAGACAAAAATGTCACTCCTATAGTTGGAAGGGCTTGCATCCAAAACACTTAGTTGGTTAATTGGAAAGAGAGACACTAGACTATTGTCTTAATTCTCATCTTGGCTTGAGGAAGTGATGAGAGAAGACAAATTTGGATTGGAAAGTATTTCTGTGCCCTCTTAAATGTTCCCTAAAACTTCTTTCACTATTGTAATTCTTTTCATTTTGTCCCCACATCAGCATCAAACTGACTGCCTCTTTCCAGGAAATCTGTCAATTTGGTATTATCAGTCTTAAATTTTAGCCATGCAAATAGAAATAAAGTGGTTTCTCATTATATTTACTTCTTTAATAAACTGTTTTTAACTTTATAGAAAAAATACAAAAGTAGTACAGAGTATTCCCTTATACCCCATATCAATTTTCTCTTATTATTAACATCGTGCACTGATAAGGTACATTCTTTACAATTAATGCAATAATAATGATACATTACTGTTATACAGTTCATACTTTATTAAAATATTTTTGGCTTTTACCTAATGTCCTTTTCTTGTTCCAAGGTTCTCATTAAGGATTCTGTACTACATTTAGTCATCATGACAGTTCTTATTTTTGATGACCTTGAAAGTTTTGAGGAGTACTGGTCAGGTATTTTGTAGAATTTCTCTCAATTGGGAGAGGAAGACGACAGAGTTATCCATTGCATCAAGGAAACATATTATCAGCATGGCTTATCACTCTTGACATAAACTTCGATCACTTGGCCGAGGTAGTGTTTTTCAGTATCCTGTATAAAGTTACTCTTTTTATGCCTCTTCCCATACTGAATTATACTTTTTGGAAGGAAGTTACTGTGTGTAGCCCATATTTATATTTAAGGAATGGGGAGTTATGCTGTACCTTGAGTGGGGAGTATCTACATAAATTATTTGGAATTATTCTATATAGATTTGTTTTTTCTTTCTATTTCTTTACTTATTCATTTATATGAGTATGAACTCATGGATGTTCATTTTATACTCTGGGTTATTCTCCAATGCTTCTGTAGTTCTTTTCTTCTCAGATCAGATTATTCCAGTTTTGGATGTTAGGAGCTATTTCAGTTGTGTTCCTATGTCCCTTTGGCATGCCCCCGTCATATTGTGTGTGTGTGTGTGTGTGTGTTTGTACACACGTGAGCATGCAGTGAACACTTCCTTCTTGGCACAATAAGATGTTCCTACTTGCACAGAGAAATATAATCCTGCTTCAGTCCTAGAATTAGCCCTTTCTCCAAAAAGCCCTAGTTTCTTTTATTGGAGAAGTTATTAGAAACCAAGACCTGGCACTGGGTGTGCTAGCTGCTACTGGGTGTTGTTGCTTCCAGGCTCTTTCAAGTGACAGAGCAAGGAATCCTTGTGTATAGAAACATATAAATATTCAGCATGAATGTATCTGTATCTCTATTAAGCTAAATTAAATATAGATATTAATTGGTATCTATAAGTTAAAGTTCAAAGAGTTGTCTCTAATTCCAGCCCGTTAACACATGGACTGTTCTAGACTCATCCCCTTGTTTATTTGTAACTTCCTAATCCTACAGTGAGAAATCTGACTTCCATCATGAGCCATCCATTTACTTAGTTATGCAGTTCTAATATACATATATAGCAGTTTCAGAATTTTTAATTCATACTCCCATGAAAAAAACTTTATTAAATAGGTATAGATTTTTGCCTCTAGTCTTATAGATTTCTCCCATTTCAAACTTTTTAGGTCAACACATTTTTCCCCCGCCTTTCACTAAGGTTGTTTGACACATTTACAATATACATAAGTACTTTTTAAAAATATTCTGCATTCCATCTTAGGTTCCCTTAACCACCTAATTTTTTTAGTTTCCCAATACATTAAGATTCACTCTTTGTATTATGAAGTTCTATGCGTGTTGACATATACATAGTGTCATAAATCTGCCAGTATGGTATCATACAGAATAGTTTTACTGCCCCCAACTTAGTGGCTTAATATAACATAGATTTATTATATTATAGTTCTGCAGGTCAGAAGTCTAAGTCGGGCCTCATTGGGTAAAGATGAGGAAGTCAGCAGGGCTGTTTTCCTTCTGGAGTCTCTAAGGGAGAATCCGTTTTCTTACCTTTCCCCACTTCTAGAGACTGCCCATAGTCCTAAGCTCAGGGACCCCTTCTTCCATCTTCAAGGCCAGAAATGTCATGCACAGTCTTCCTCAGGCTGCATGTCTCTGGTGCTCCCTCTCTTACCCGACTTCCACTTTTAAGGAACTGTTTATTATACTGGTCCCACCCAGATAATACAGTATAATATCCTTTGCTAATCACTAATCATGCCATATGATTAGGAACTTAGCATGCCATCTGTAACCATAATTGCCATTTGCTGTATAGCCTAACATATCCACTGGTTCTGGGAATTAGCACATGGACATTTTTAAAGGCCATTGTTTTACCTACCACAGCATTTAATTGTTGCAGTACCATTTGATAGGTCATTTGTTGATAAGGATGTCTTTTCTTCATTGAATTGCTTTTGTGCCTTTGTCAAAAAGAGTTTACTATGTTTGCATAGACCCACTGTGGTTTTCATTTACATTTTCCTGACAAGCAATAATGTTAAAGCAGTTTTTCATATACCATTCTGGTAACTTCTGTGAGAGATGCCTATTTCTTTTGTGGGAAGTTTTTTTCTCATGTTTCCCTTATTGTTACTTGTCTTTTTCTTACTTACTGGTTTATAGTTTTGCATGGATTCTGTATCCAAGTCTTTTGTTAGGTATGCATATAAAATATTTTCTCCTAGTCTATGGTTTGCCCTTTCACTTTCCTAATAATGTCTTTGGATAAGCAGAAATTTTAATTTTGATGAAGTCCAAGTGGCGATTTTTGTTTTCCGTATGATTACTATTTGTATGCGTGTGTGTGTGTCCTGTTTTAGAAATCCTTGTCTCCCTTGAAGACCTTGAGATATTTTCCTATTTTCTTCTAGAGCAGCACTGTCCAGTAGAAGTAAAATGTGAGTCACAAAAATAAGCCACAGGTATAATTATAAATTTTCTAGTAGTCACTGTAAACAAAAGTAAAAAGAAACAGATAAATTAATTGTAATAATTTATTTTGTTTAACCCAAGATATCAAAATTTTGTAATTTCAAAATCTAGTCAATACAGATATAACTAATGAGTTAGTTTTCTTTTTTGTGTGTGTACTAAGTACTTCTTAAAAAAAATCTATGTATATTTTAGACCCACAGCACATCTCAATTTGGACTAACTGCATTTGACATGTTCAATAGCTACACGTGTTTAGTGGCTACAATATTAAGAGCATAATTTCAGAAGCTTTCTTGTTTTATCTATCTTTAAGTAAGTTTTGTGTATGCTATGAGGGAGAGGTCAAAGCTCATTGTTTAATACAAATACCTGGTTGCTCCAACACCATGTATAGAAAGACTTCCCTTTCCTTATTTAATTACATTAGCTCCTTTCTTCAAAAGCAAGTAATTGTATATGCCATATTCTCTATTCTGCTCCATTGGTCAACTTCTCTGTTCTCATGCCAGTATCAGATCATCCTTAATTATTGAAGATTAAAGTAGATCTCAAAATCTGGTTGTGTGGATCCTCCAATTTTGTTCCTCTTCAAGTTTTCCTTAGCTGGCCTGTGTCTTCTGCATTTTCGTACATACTTTGGAATAAACTTCACAATTTTTACTAAAGCCATTTCAGATTTTGACTGATAGGGAACATTGTTCTTTGAACTGATATCAGCAATTTATTATCACCTCCAATAGTTAAAAGACATGTAGTTACAGATATTGAAGTCTTTCTGTAAAATTGACGTTAACCAACTATTTTCTTTTGACCTGTAATGCCAGACGAGAGGAAACAGAGATGATCATTGCCAAATAAGCAAGAGTGAGGATGAAGAAAACAAAGAAAAACTAATATATACTAGGTTACATAGAACTTTCAAAATAATCTTTTAAGAGACTCACATCATAAAAAAGTCATGATAAATGATACATTACAGCAAATATTTCTTCACATATATATGGGTGTATGGAGGGTGTGTGTGTGTGTGTGTGTGTGTGTGTGTGCGCACGCACTATGGTTTGAAAGTTTTTGCCACCTTAAAAACTCGTGTTTGAAATTTAAACCCTAATGTTCAGTGCTGGGGCGTGGGCCCTTGGGTGTTTAGGACACGAGGGCTGTGTTCTTATGAATGGATTAATGCTGTTATTAAAAGGGCTTGCAGGTGTAGGTTTGCACTCTCTTGCTCTCCTACCACATGCAGACATAACAAGAAGATGTCACCAGATGCTGGCATCTTGATCTTGAAATTTTTAGCTTTCAGGACTGTAAGAAATACATTTATGTTCTTTACAAATTAGTCTCAGATATTCTTCGACTAGCAGCACAAGACGAACGAAGGCCACATAGCTTCTAAAAATATTAATTTATTTTTATTACCATGTACTCTAAATTTTTAGAGGTGGAAACATTATACCAAAGGAGATTACATAATTGTCACAGAAAATAAGTTAAAAAACAAAATAGTTTCTATGGTTTAATAAATTATTGCAGTGAAATCTAGTTTATTCTCCATTTTGTCGAATTACACTGACGTTCCTTTATATTTGCAGAAGAATGATAATTCAAGAATATAATACTGATCCTGAGAGAATAAATAATTCTTTCATGTATATATTCATTTACTCAACACTTATTAAATGTCTCCTAAGGGTCAGGTGCTTTGCTTGGTTGGTTTTTTTTTTCTGAGAAATTGGACATCAGAGAAATATTGTTGTCATAAGTATATTTGAATTTATTTTCCTTGAAAATTGATAATCTATGTATGCTGTTTATAACAACTCTCTATTACCCTGATTCCTCTAAACCCCCTGGATCAGATTACACACTAGAACAATCTTTCTCTCTTTGGAATGAAAGAAGGACTTGTTAGAAATTTGTAGAGTCTTTGACTCTACACTTTTAGAAGGCAAGAGTTGAAAGTGATCGTAGAAAAATTAATCTTCCGTGTCTATTTTCTGGTTGTGGCATAGTTCCAATTCAGAAGGCAAGTCCTGAAAGCAACCATAGAAGAGAATGTGATTCTTAAACTTTTATATGACTGAGCATCACCAGGAGATTTTTCTTAAAAAGCCCATTCTTTGTCCCACTCTCAGAAATTCTGACTCATAAGACTGGAGTGGGACCTGAGAATTTGCATCTTTAATAAATGCTGCTTATGATTCTTTTCTTCAAATTATAAGCATTATTGAGTATTGTCTGTGACCAAAAGAAGAAAGGAATCGAGCTAGGTCCATAGGATAAGTTTCCTCTTGTTGTGGAGCTTACTTCTAGGGGAGGAGACAGGACAGAGGAAAAAGGGGCATAACATTCACTGAGACTCCAAACTACCAGTGGCCTACGTGTTTGGAATTCTCATACACTAAGTGCTCCTAAGAAATAGTCAGCATGCAGGGATTCCTAGGACCAAGGGGCTGGGGCAGGCAGTGGCCACACTCATGGGGAAGTGAGTTCGGTAGGTCAGAGAGATTCAGAGAGTATTTTCTGTGGGAGGTGGGTTTGGAGGGGCTTCAGAGAAATTGTGGGCACTGCAGGAGCATCACAGAAATACTGTAACAGGCCATCAACTCAAATTTGACAGCATGATTCTATGTCTCTTCCCTTTTCCCTATCACTTCCTTTTGCAGGAGTAGACCACCCAAAACAACCTGTTGTGTCCCATCACTTCTGGTGATATTTAAAGTAGTTTAAGAAATTTTGCTGTAAGTTCTGAGTCAGTAGGCAAGGGAAGTTCTTTGCTTAGGCTTACCAAGTTGCTTGTCTTGTAATTTTTCTAACGTCTTTTTTTTTCTGGCTTTTCATTTGTTTTTTGTTCTAAGGGAGGAATCACAGGAAATGTTGCTGTTTTGTGTCATTGGAGCCTCCAATTTAGAAACAGAATGCAAAATAAGGGAAAAGATGGGGTGCATTTACAAGAACATAAACGGCCAGTGTTCTTGCAAGCAGAAGCAGTCTTGGCCTTAGCAATATAGAACAATGAGAATGCTTTCTACTTAATACGGCTTTTGCTTGCAGAGAGACAACATGTGTTCTTGAAAATATTCCATCAACTATGAATTCCACAATTCACAATAGGTTTATGAAATAGCCAAGCAAAGTGGAAAGCACCAAAAGTTGTACAAAATTCTTTGACTAAATTAGTTACATGACTTTTACTTAGCCTGTAAAATTGCTCTCAGGTAAGTGCATTTGTCCTGGTAGTTTATATTGAATGAGAATAAATAACAGGCACCTGCAGAATATCATTTATTTCCAACTTATTTCAGGAAAGCCATAACTCAGCATCCTCTACATTAATAGGAGATTACATTTCAGCAGTGCTAGGAATGACCACACAACAACATTTTGGGGGGTGCATAGCAAGACAAAAATGTGATCCAAGTGAAATTGCCAGTATATTTTAAGATGTCCAAATCTAATGAACACATTGGAATTTTATCAAGGTTGTTAACTTTCCTGGTTGTTCAATAACCCAGACATTTGCCATATTTTTTTCTTACGTGAACAGTAGTGAAGGACATTTTTATGCCTTTCTAGCTTCAAAACAAAATGCAATTTTTTAAGGTATTAGCAAGAGGTTAGGCTTGATGAGTTGGGATAACTCCCAATTCTTTGTACCCTCACTTGCTCAAATCTAAGGTCTACAAGCAATAAGTTTTTCTTCTGAAATCTTTTCAACACAGTGTGACAGTCATGAACAAAACTGCAGTCATATAAGACGTTAATTAAGATGAGAAGTAGGCTGACAGCTTCCTGTCAGATTTCCCTGTGCTCTTCGTAGATCTCAGATGACACCGAGAAGCAAGTCATGGTTCATAAAGATGCCCTGCCCATTTCTGCCCACCCTGAGGTGTTAGGTTAAATTTTATAACTGTGCAGTATAGAGTGAAGCAAACTTAAAGAAATGCAGAATTCTTTTAGGTATTCTAGGTGGTTTTAGACCTAGAATGCATCTGTAACTCAAACCTTCCATGGAACTCACTTTTCTCTGTGATCAAGCCCAGTAATGTCCTACATGCTTAGCAACACGGTTCTGAAGCAGAATTCTTCTGAGGTGCTTCCCATCACAGAATTGATGTTACAATGATAGTGGACATGACAATTTGTAATCTCACTTCATTTACCTGATGGGAAAAAAACAGTAAATAAAACATCCATCAAAATCTGATGTTCTATTTTATGTTGTACATATGAAATTTAGGAAGAGAATTCTAAGCCTTTTAACCATCTTTAATTATTTTGTTGTAGGGAGGAGAATTCAGCTCTACCTGGAGTAGTTTAGATCAGATAACTTTTACAAGTTATGTTGTTATAGGGGCTCTGAATCTTTCTCTGAGTTTAGACTCCAGCTTCACTCCTGAGTGACTTATACAAGAGGTAGAGATTTCTTCATATATAGAAGCTGAAGAACTGATTTTTCTACTGCTGTAAAAATATTTTTTGCCACACACTAGTTTAAAAGAAGCAGCACTTCATTTCCAAATAAAACTGTGAGTACTAAAACTTACTAGATAAGACTTACTTGTTCAATCCTTACAGAGGCCATTTCTATATAATAAACAATTGAAAATTTAACTTTTAAAAATACCATTTACAGTAGCATCAGAAATACCAAATACTTAGGAATCAATTTAATGAAAGGTTATTGATTGTATAATGCCTATATTAGCTATATTACCTGTATTATATAGGTATTGCCTATATTAGAAAAAAGGCATTTAAAATGATAAATATCTCTAAATACCATTTTAGCTACATCCCAGCACTTATGAAATGCTGTATTTTCATAATTCAATTGAAAATATTTTAAAATTTTCCCTGTGATTTTTCTCTTTGACCAATGGGTTAAGAAATGTGCTATTTAATTTTTAAATTTATTAAATATTTTATTATTATAGCTTCTCAACTTAAATTTGTTGTGATTAGAGAACATATGATGTAACATTTTAGCCTGTCATATTTGTGAAGTTTTAGGCCCAGCATATAGTTTAACTTGGTAAATTTTCCATGTGTTGTTGATAAAAAATATATATACACTCACAAGTTGGGTGTAGTACTCTACAAATATCAGTTAGTCAAGTTGGTTGATGGTATTCAAGTTTTCTCTGTTATTACTAATTTTTTGGTTTACTTTTCTATTAATTACAGAAACAGAGGTTTTAAAATATCTAGCTATAACTGTGAATTTTTCTATGTTCCCTTTATTTCTGTCAGTTTTGATTTATGTATGTTAAAGCTCTATTTTTAGGTACATACATATTTACAGTTGCTATGCTTCAGTAAACTGCCCTTTTCTTTAAACTATCCCACTTTATCTCTGGTAAAACTGCTTGTCTTGATGTCTAATTAGACTGCTACTAATAGGACCACTTTAGTCCTACTGTGCTTAATATTTGCATGGAACAAATGTCTTTTTTGAAGGTTTAGTCAGTTCTGTTAATACTATCCTTTTAGAGAATGCATACTCTTGCATTTTTATTCCTTCTGAAAATTTCTACTTGTAATTTTAATTATTAATGTGGTTGGATTTAAGTATACCATTCAGCTATTTGTTTTCTCTATTTTTAAATCTGTTTTTATTTGTTCATTGTTATTCTTCTTTTGCTTCTTTTCTTCTCTTTGTTTTTTCCCTATGTTATTTCCTTCAGTCTGAAGAACTTCCTTTAACATTTCTTTTAGTAAAAATCTGCTGGAAGTAAATCATCTTAAGATTTTTTCTGCATAGGTATATATTGGACCTTAATTTTTAGAAGTAGTTTAATGGATATTTAATTCAGGGTAGACAACTTTTATTTTGGAAGGGGAGACACTTTAAAGATGTTACATTGACTCTTGGCCTCCATAGCTATTCTATTTCTATATCTATCTATCTCTCTGTATCTATCTATCATCTTTTTTATTCTAGTTGCTTTTAATATTTTCTCTTTATTTATTATTTTCAACAGTTTGGCAAAGATGTACCTATTTGTTAATTTCTTTGTTCTTATTCTGCTTGGGATTTCCTGAGCTTCTTGGATCTACACATTTGCCATAAAAATTGAGGAAGTTGGGAGTATTTCCTTTCTGCCCCATTTGCTTCTTTCCTGAGATTTAGCTGCTGGTATGTTTAATTACGCTAAGTCTTGTCCACTTTTATTTTTTTTTAATCTTCAAATTAAAGACTTGCTCTTTATTTGCTTTAAAGTTTACTGATTTACTCTTTTGCCATTTTCAATCTGCTTTTAAGCTCAACTTGTAATTTTTTTAAATTTAAAATGTTTGTATTTTTCAGTTTTAGAATGTGTCTTTGATTTTTATAGTTCATTTTTTTCAATGAGATTCCCTATCTGGTCACCTACTGTGTCTATTTCTTCCTTTATGTCCTTGAAAGCTTCCATAATAAATGTTTTTAAATTTTTTGTTGTCATATTCTAACATTTAAGTGAGTTCCACTGACTACTTTTTTTAACTCTATTCTGTTACGACTGTAAGCTGAACATGTGAATGATACACTGCATGGAGTCATTTTATGTCATCCTTATTTAAAAAGTTATTTATTTTTGTCCTGGCAAGCAATTAAATTATTGGCAGGTTTGATCCAGTCTGGCTTTGTTTTTATGTACTTATTTTTTAGGAAAGTTCTGTTTTTTTCCCCTCCCTTATTTCTAGTACATGACCCTTCCTCCATGGACTGTTTCTCACTTATTAGGTGTGGCCTTTCTGGGGTTTAAACTGAATGCTTCAGGGTCTCATTGAAGTTTGTCAGTTTTGGCTGTGTTGCAATTCCCAGGGCTGTACAACTTCCTGAATCTCCATTAATCTCAGAGCCCTAAAGCAACTGCCTCTGCTAGACTTCAAAGAGTCCTACCCAGTACATGCACAGCCCATCCAAAGACCTTGCATCTGTCAAAATTCTCCAGAGAAACAGAACCAATAGAATATACATCTAGACCTAGATTTATTTTAATGAATAGGCTTATATGATGATGGGGCCAGCCAGTCCAAAATCTGTAGTGTAGGCTTACAGGCTGGAAAGACAAAATTTCTATGTTCCAGTATTGAAGCAGAAATCCCTCTTCTCCAGGAAACCTCAAATTTTACTCTTGAGTCCACCAGCTGATTGGATGAGGCACCTACACCAATGAGTGTAATTTTCCAAGTCAAATGATTATATCAACCCGACTTTAGGGTACTCACTCTGCACACCCAACTCATGTCCAGTATCTGTTGGGAAAAGACTTTTGGGTTTCGCTTCCATACAGCTTCCCCATCTCCAGTACCCTGACCCTCAATTTCCTGCCACTTCAGCAGTCACACTCTCCAATACCTGCCTTCTCAGCTCGGTGAGACCTCTGTGGTCTTCTTGGTCATCAGCCCCCAGCACCGTGGTTGGAATGTGCCCTAGGCAGGCAACTGGAGTAGATGTGGGGATAATCACTACTTTTCCATTCTCAGGAATTACAGACCTCTTCTGTATTTCTCAATGCCTAAAAACATTGGGTCATATATTGTGTCCAGGTTTATGATTGCTTTTCATGAAAGGTCAAGTCCTACACCAATTATTATGTAATGGTTAGAAGCTGAACTCAAGAACTGTGTAACTAGTTCTTAGTTATCTATGTCAACTATTCTAAACCCTTTGAAACAAAGCATAAATTACATCTTAGTGGTTCTCTGTTGCAAGTGTTTTAATTAAAACAAAATTAGTAAAAATATACATATTATTTAAGATTTCCCTTCCTGATATTTTCAATTCATTGAGAAGTGCCAATTGGTTTGGAGACATGGGCTGCTACTATATTCTAACTCTCCCAACAAAGCATAAATGCAATCCAATTGCTGAAAGTTTGAAAGTTATTTAATATTACAGGTATTTATGGAAATGCTTATGTAAATAATGAATTAGAAAAATAATCAGTAACAAATAGTTATGCTGCACAAACATTGTGTTAGCAGCTGTGGATAATGCTATGTCTTCAAGAAGTTTATGTTGTAATGGGAAAGCAAAAAACTTAACTGTTCTATGTGCTATCCTCAATTTTATAAACATTGTACATCAAACAAACACTGTGTCCTTGTGTATTTAGAACAATCGGAAGTCTTAAAGACACAATGCTTGTTTACAGGAGCAGATGGGTGCCATTTTTCAGAAATGGACAAAATTTGGACAGGTTGCATGAGTTCACATTTTAGCAAGCATTTAAATAAAAAAGAATTGAGCAAAATCAGGAAGATGATTGGTCTAAACAAGGCAAAACAAATAAATATTTGGTTATTTAATGTCTTCAAATTTTTCAGCAATTAGTCTTTCCAGTCCCTCTTTGAAGGAATACCACAGTACCAATTACATTTATGTGCAGATAAATTTGATAAAGTCAAGGCAGGACATGACTTAAAAGGAAAGTACAAAAGATGTGGTGGGGAACTAAGCTATATCTTGAGACCTAGGCAGACATATTATTCTTACCCACAATGGACTTTATTGATTTATTTGCAAATCATTATTAAGTCCTCACTATTTGCCAGAAACAGAATAAGAGATTAGTGAAACAGTGGTGAGAAAGCATACATGGTCAGCTGTGAAGGAGCTAGGACATCCAGGCCTAGCACTAGACCAGCCATCACCTTCATGGAGTTGAGGCAGAAACCTTCAGAACCAGATTGTCTGAATTATATCTGAGGGTCTCATAGGGATCAAAAATAGAGTAATAGTTTAAGTCCAATTGTCACCTGGGTTCATCAAGCCAGAAAAGCAGAAGTTAAATGGCTAATACAAAGAGGTAAAGTATACCTGTTTTAGAATCCTGGTATGGTACTAATAATGCATAGTTTAGGACAGGTGTGGGGGCTCACGTCTGTAATCCCAGTATTTTGGGAGACCAAGGCAGGTGGATCACAAGGTCAGGAGATCAAGACTGTCCTGGCTAACACGGTGAAACCCTGTCTCTACTAAAAATACAAAAAATTAGCTGGGCGTGGTGGCGCACACCTGTAGTCCCAGCTACTTGGGAGGCTGAGGCAGGAGAATCACTTGAACCTGGGAGGCGGAGGTTGCAGTGAGCCGAGATTGAGCCACTGCACTCCAGCCTGGGTGACAGAGCGAGACTCTGTCTCAAAATAATAATAATAATAATAATGCATAGTTTGCTCTCCTTTGCTGAGCTAAGCTCATGTTCTTAAAAATAGCAAGACAAGACCAGTTAAGAGTAGAAGCCATTAAGGAAAAGTCTTGGTCCTATTGTTGGAAGAAATTTCAGTCCAGTAGGCAAATATAATACCTAGAACCATGATATGTAAATACACCATAGTCAACAGGTAGTGGTCCAGAGCCACCATCGATATAAGGACTTGTAAACCAGAGTGGAGATATTTTCCAAAATGCAGTTGGAGATTGAAGAAAAGGACTCCAAAATCCAGTGATAATCAGAGTTGTAGGCCATTAGTATGCAATGGCCTCCAACTTCGTCAGGAGGCAAACCCCAGACAAAGATGAATTTTCAGAACCAGATATTAGGCATTCAAGTGTTGCAGCAACAGGCACAGTTGCAAAACGAATGCTCAAATGTAAGGCAAAAAAAAAAAAGTTGTTATAATAATTGAGATTCACGGTGGTATCTGAGTCATAAGAATAGGCTAGAATCGCCTGTAGTCCCAGCTATTAGGGAGGCTGAGGCAGGAGAATGGTGTGAACCCGGGAGGCAGAGCTTGCAGTGAGCCGAGACTGTGCCAGTGCACTCCAGCCTGGGCAACAGAGCGAAACTCCATCTCAAAAAAAAAAAAAAAGGCTAGAATCCCAGCTTGCAAAGCTAGGCTTTAAGGTCAAAGCTTGGTCTCTGAACTCCAAGACGGAACTGGGTAAATACCTCCAGTTGTAGGGTAGAATTTGTACTAGGGACAGGGAGCTGGTCAGGCTAGTGGATAGTGAAATTCAGAGACAAGGAACTAGGCTGGGCCTGTCAAAGTATCTTCTTCATGAATTTGGAATTGACCTTGTAAGGTGGTTATCAGATTAGTTGACCTAAACATTAATACTTTTATCATAATATCTTTGTTTTATACCACTAATGCTTTGGTCTTTAGAGTATATTTAATAGTATAAGTTTCAAACAGTCATCTATTTGAGTGATTTTTCCAGTAAAAGACTTTCAAATTTGTGATAAAATATCTACTACTGCAGATCATTAGTTTATGGCAAGCATGAAGATAAAAATTAGATAGTCATTTTTGGTTCTACTGTCTTAATGTTCACAGAGGAGATAGTAAAAAATTCCCCAAATGAGAACAAAGTGTATTAATTGACGTCAGTAACTCATACCCCTCTGCTCTACCCAGTGTCATTTCTGCTTTTACCGTGTCTTCTATCTCTAATTATCCTACCCCCCATCTACTGATTAAGGGCTTCCCCCTTCCTGTTTTCCCTAAAACCCAATATATTTTTTATGAAAGCACTTATTATAGTTCAGAATAATAATCATTATCATTGGTGTTATGTCAAGCTGTCTCGAGAATGGAGCTCTTTGGGAGTAGAGACTTGGTCATATTCTTGCCTTTTCAGGTCCTAATATTGTGCCTGACACATTGTAACTATGCAAAGAAGTTTGTTAAACTCATAAATAACTGAATACATAATATTTTTTCTTTAGTTTTTCAAAAGAACTGTGGTATACTATTTAAAGAAAAAGTAGACTACGAACTTATGTTTTCTTTGGGGATTTATTTCGCTGCAATTTATTACCCTTGACTACATTCCTTCACTCATTCTTATCACCAAGGACTCCTGAGAAAATTTTATTGCCGGAGAATGGCCACTGACCACTCTATTCCTCCTCAAAGGAAGAAAGTTCTTTAAGTCTGCAGGAATTTTACTCTGTACCTTTGATGTGAAATTTTATCATCTATTTCTGGGAAAGCTTGCTATGTTATATAAGAACATAAAGAAGGAAACAAAGAGAGGCTACTAGTCTCAACTTTTGCAATCTGCAGATTTCAGCTTCAAAGCAAAAACAACAGATTAAGTTCTCAAGTTTTGAGTTTTACTTGGAAGAAAAACAACATTTAGAACTTATTTGCATCTCATGGCTCAGTTTTATAAATGGCAAAGCTGTAATCTTGTGTACAGAACTCCATCTGGGCCTGGTATCTGTGTTCATGCAGTGCACCTCACTAGGGGTGATGAGTTTTCTACCTATAACTGCTTTTTGAGAGATGTTACTCTGAAATGTGTTACCGCCCACTGGCATGTGAATAGAAGACCCCAGCCAGAACCTGTGTTGTTTGGGACAATTCACTGTCTTGTAATTTTAATCATTGTAATACCAATCTCTCTTCTGCATAAGGTTATAGTTCAATGAGCCACCTCTTCCTTGATGTTGGGGCCAGCTCCAGATTTGTGTCTATCTTTAGCACCTGGTAGCTATGCTATTCTGCATCTTATTGTATTTCATTATTGAATCCCCTTGTCCTCTAAACATAAGTGGGAGCAAAGCAGATATAAGGTAACATTGACAGGTGATAAATAATGCTATCATCTTCCTCAGGAACCATTTTGCAACCTAAAAGGTTAAGATTTGAGAAACTCATCATCCCAAGTGACATCTTATGTAAAAGACACATCTAATTTTATCATGTAGTTAAATCTTTATGCAGATGATTAAATCTGTGAATTTTTCCACATAACAGACACATTATAACCAGCTCCTGCCATCCCAGTTTCTTTAAATTATGTATATTCCATATATTATGCACATCTCTGATATATATATGATATATGTATATATATATATACCCATATAAAATTATCATGTAGGTACTGTTATTCCTTGGTACACATCTTACCCTGTAAGCCACATCATTTCTGCTTTAAGATGAGCAACTTTGAGGTTAAGCTTTGACCTAAAACCAGTCATGGACAGCTTGTTTAGTTATTTTCATCACTCTAAAAACCAAAGAAAAACATATAAATTGGTTTAGGAGAGAGAGAGAAAATTTTATTGCAAAACTTTAAAAAAATATTTTTGTGGCTTTAAGTTGATGGTTCAAACATACTTAATTCATCCTTCAAAAAACTCAGTGGTGTTGTTAGATGAGCCACAGGTATAATTATACATCAGTGTCCAGATTTTAGAAAATGTGCCACAGGTTAGGAGACGTACTAGGAAGTTAGGAAATTGTTATGGCAGCAGTTAGCTGCAGAATTCTGATGAAAACCAATGCTTCTCTATTCACAAGACTGAGTCCTTTGGCTGAAGCAGTAGTCATCAAATGCTGGTCAGCTGACACCTGCATCAGAGTCACCTGAGAGTCTCTAAGAATCAGATTTCTATAGCTAACCCCCTAGAGATTTCAATTCAGAATACCACCTATAGGGCCTAGAAATCTATACTTTGAAAACTTTCCAAATAATTCTAATAGCTGAATTTAGGTAGCAGTAGATAGAAACTTACATTGTTCTGTTTATGAAGTCTTGCAGTAGAAGACATCATATTGTGTCAAATATAGATCAGGGACCTTCAGCCTTTAACAAGAAACAGACGAATAGGTCAATCCCAAGAAGGTTTCAATGAACAGTCAAAGCACAAAGGGATGACTTTGTTGGGTAAGAGAGTTGACTTAGCTCCTAATAATCTTCCCTCATGCAAAGAAACATATAATCTAAGTAAAAACATGCCTTTCTTGTACAAAAGAATCTCACAGGACTAGTTTCTGGCCCACTGGCCCCTCTATCCCAGCTCCTTACCAGGATTCCTATCCTTTGGTGTATTGAAATTCTGAAGCTGTAGTCATTATATATCCTACCATTTCACTTCATTGTAAACCAGCTTAGAGGAATATCAACAATTGGGAACAGTTAGCAAGATAAGGAAGACTGTACTCAGAATCTGTTTGATATATACTTGAAATATATTGTGTATTATCTAATTGTTAGGTGCATTACATTCATAAGATAAAGTTCATTAATTGGATTTCTTAAGTCTTCTGTAACTTTAATAATTCTTTTTCTGTTAAATCCATTGTTTCTGAGAAATGTTTAAAACCTCTCATTTTTAGTCAGGTGAAGTGGCTCATGCCTATATTCCCAGCACTTTGGGAGGCCGAGGCAGGTCGATCACTTGAGGTCAGGAGTTCGTGACCAGCCTGGCCAACATGGTGAAACCCCATCTCTACTAAAACTACAAAAATTAGCCGGGCATGGTGGTGAGTACCTGTAATCCCAGATACTAGGGAGGCTGAGGCAGGAGAATAGCTTAAACCTGGGAGGTGGAGGTTGCAGTGAGCCAAGATCGCACCACTGCACTCCAGCCTGGGCGACAGAGCGAGACTCCATCAAAAAAAAAGAAAAAATCCCTCATTTTTAGGAAGACTTGTCCATTTTTTTCTTGCAATAATCAATCTTTATCTCTGGCAATACTTTGGTTGATATTAGTATTCCTTAGTAATTGTCTGGCATGTCTTTTATTTCTTTATCTACTTTTGGTTTTTATCATTTAGGTGTGTATTTTATAAGTGATATATGTCCAAATTTATCAAAACCTAATTTTACAATTATTGTCCTTTAACTGGTAGATTCAATTCATTCATGTTCAATACAATTACTGTATTATTTTAACCTTATTTTGCATCATTTATTTTCTTTGCTTTTTTCTCCTTTCCTGCTTTACTAAATTGATCAAGCTTTCTCTGTCATAATTTTCTCCTCTACCAGCTTTTTTTTTTTTTTTTTTTTTTTTTTTTTTTTTTTTTTTTTTTTTTTTTGAGACAGAGTCACACTTTGCTGTCCAGGCTGGAGTGCAGTGGCATGATCTCGGGTCACTGCAACCTCCGCCTCCAGGGTTCAAACAATTATCATGCCTCATCCTCCTGAGTAGCTGGGATTACAGGCGTATGCCACCATGCCTGGCTAATTTTTTGTGCTTTTAGTAGAGACAGGGCTTTGCCATGTTGTCTAGGCTGGTCTCAAACTCCTGAGCTCAGGCTATTCACCTGCCTTGGCCTCCCAAAGTGCTAGTAAGCATGAGCCACCGCTCCCAGCTACTAGCTTTTAATTATACATTCCATTTCTATTCTTTTAGTGGTTACATGTATTCTTAAGAAAGTCTAAGTTTAATTACTCTTCCTTTGTCCTAGAACTGACAAAGTTTGTTTTTTTGTTTTGTTTTGTTTTGTTTTGTTTTAAGAAAGAAAATCACATATCACCAGAAGGATAAATTGTGCTTGCTCCTCAATTTTCTGATAATTGTGATACATAGAAAATAATACTTTAGAATTGAGTCCATTATGGACTCTAATCCTTTGTTTTTTGGTGGTGAAGGAGAGAATGGGAGGTGCCTTAGGGGCTTTCTGAGGGAAAGGAGATAGGCACTAGGAGCTCAAAGTTTCAGCAAATCTGTTTAGGGGCTGTAAGAAGAGTATAGTTATTACTCTTTACTTCTCTTTGGTTGGATTATTTTCTCCCCCTCTTGTGCCAGGATAGGAAAAACTTAGAAGGCACAAGTAACTCCCTACAGACTCCCATATGTTTATTAAAGCTCCTGTGATTACCAGGACATGAGGAAGGTCCCATGTGAGCAGATGCAGCAGAGGTCTGACTTCTCTGAGGCATGAGCATAGTCTTTTCTTGGGAAGCCTGACTGCTCTTCACCAAGTCTCACGTAGGCTCTCCTACTGTATTGAGTAACTGGATTTGCTTTTCACGTTCCAAATTCATGTTGTTTTCAGGTCCTCTGTTTCCTGGTTCTCCTCTAGGTCATCATTAGATTCTTGCTCAATTTTCTCTTCTGGCTATTCCTGCCCTGCAGATGGGCTCATCAGCCTGTCCAGCCCCAGGAACATGAGTTTGTTGATATCTCTGCTATTTCTACAGCAACAAATTCCAAACAGAGCCAAGATGATCTCTGGTCAGGGACTCTGCTCTCCATGGAGCACTGACCTCTGGGAAGGATTCTACTGAGTTCTGGTAGCTGGCAGCTCTGTGAGTTCAAGACAGTAATGAAAAAAGAGTCAGAATTGGGATGTGGGACAGGATTCAGAGTTATTGTATATACTTACTCAATGGTTTATTAGTATGCCTTCAATTGCAGGAAACAAAAAACCTGACTAACTGGCATAAGCAAAAGGATATTTATTGATTCATGTCCTCAGAAGTCCTAAACAGAGCTATTTTTAAGTTATACTAATCTAGTGGCTTGAAATAACGTGAAAACTACTGTTTTCTTCCTCCCTTTCCAGTTCCAACTCTTCTGTATCACTTTATTTTGGAAGAACCTTGCCTTATGGTCCTGAGAAAGTTGCCAACGGCTCCCTGAGCTCTATCTTTATTATTTGTGCCCACAGGGAAAAAAAGATTATCCTTGACTCAGCATTCCAAAGAAAAGTTCTAGGGTAGTTGAGGTCATCTGCCCAGTACTGAGACAATCAGTGGGAGCGAGGGGATGAAATGCTCTAATTGGCTTAGTCTACCAGGTGATGCTTCCCTGGGGCAGAAGTACAGTCAAGTTCCATAAATTCCATAAATCCCCAAATCCCAAGAATCAGTGGATGCTAGAAAGGAAAATATTGGTGCTGGCAAAGGTAGCAAAATGTCCACTATGGCTAAATGTGCTTATCCTCTCTTAGTAACTATGGGGTCCAACAATTCATCTCCTTTTTATTTCTGATTTTTTTTAACCATAAGCATATCCTTTTGTGGTTTCTGTGAAAACACTGTCTTGTCAGTCAATGCTTTTTCTCTCTGGCTACCTCCTACAACTACTTCTCCAGAAAAATGAGTTATATCAGAAATAACATGGGATTCCATTAAATGTATATTCTTTTCTTATTATCTGGGAGGCACTGCTTTGATCAAAGAGTCTTAATGGGCAAATATGTATGTACATAAAAGACACTGTGATTTAGAAACTGCAAGATGCTTTCTTTGTTTTATTTGGAATATTTCTCTGTTTTAGGGAAAAGAGTGTCTTAGTCTATTTTGGCTGATATAAAAAAAATACCAAAACTGGGTGGCTTATCAACAACATAAGTATATTTTTCACAGTTCTGGAGGCAGGAAAATCTAAGATCAAGGTGCTGGTAAATTCAGTGTCTGGTGAGGGCCCACTTTCTGGCTCACAGACTGTGCCTTCTTGCTGTGTCTTCACACAGGGGATGGGAGAGAAGAAGGAACTCCCTGGGGCCTTTTTTAAAGGGCATTCATCCCATTCTGCCATTATGACCAAATCACCCCCCAAAGGCCCCACCTCCTATTACCATTACCCTGAAAGCTATCACTTCAACTTATGAATTTTGAGAGAACATAAATATTCAGGCCATAGCAAATAGTTTTATTCTCATTAGAACTTTTGGCATGCTTAATAATGAATTTAGATATAAAATGATAAGTATCAAATCAGCTAATAATTTGTGCTTCTCAACTGTGGTTTATAATTTCTGGAGTATAGGATAGTTTAGGAAATAATACCCATGAGCCTTCCTTCTCACTCTATAGTTGTGCTGTCTTCATGTAAAATAGTATATCTCTACCAAAAGACAGACAGACAGAAAGAGAGAAACTTTTGACTTACTTCTATATAGTTCTTGTATTCTCAAAAGAGAGAGCCACATACTTAGCTCACAACAAACAGGTAAGTCTTGTTCAAGAGTAATTTCAAATAAAATCACATAAAATTTAGTTACAGCAAGACAGAATGCTATCACTAGAGCAAAACACTTGCCAACCCCTACCTTACTTTCACATGGCACACACAGTAGGAACACAGTGAACCAGAACCTTTACTTCAGAAAGCAGCCCCCAGCCAGAGGACAATCACACACCATGGTACCAATCCCAGAGGCATAAATGTGTAAGGTGGACACAAGGTCAAAGAAAAACACTAAAGCACCATAGTCCAGGCAATGGGTCCTCAATAAATCTGAGAGTCCATTTTCTCTATCCATTTATTTCCAACATGAGTGTCAAAATTCAGTTAGGAAGAAAGCATGACAATGTGAATGGAGAGAGAGGAATAGGATTAAAACCCTGGCAAAGAGTCCTTGGCTTGAATTTACCCATGACTGGAATGCTTACAATTTCCAAGCACACTCGTATCTCAGCAGAGGTTGCTAGAGGTGAACCCAGCCCCACAAGTGCTTGTGACACAATTTCTGTCCTATGCACGGCTCTGGGCCAGTCCCCCCAACCCCCATAAATCCTGCATCCATGTCATCACTGCCACTCCAGCTTCCTGCTGGAGAAAGCCCTGGTGACCCAGGAACTCCTCAGCTCTCTGTCCTTGCCATGACTTTGATTGCTGCCGAGTCTTTGGCTTGGCCCAGGCTCAAGAGTTAACAGTTCTTTGGACAGTCTTGGGCCAAAGCCTCAGCTGGAGAGGAAATGTTGGGCTTCATCTTTTGTCACAGATAAGATTTAATGAGTCCAAAGGATGTGTGATTAAAGGAAGTCCACAGGAAGTTGGGCTGAAGCTTTTCTGATGATTGTTTAAAAGGCATTGACCTAGACATTGCAGTAAAAAATAAAATTGAACACATTAAAAAAAAGTCAAAGATTTGGTTCAAAAGTTATAAAGGCAAATCCATTAGGTTTGAGGCTGGAGGAATAGAGAAACAAAAAGAGGAAAGGTTTAAATGGGAATAAAAAATAGTTATTCATAATTAATTACCACAGACCAGGATTTATCAACCAGCCTCTAAGAAGCTAACAATAGTAGTTAGGTAATTATTTTACATAGTGAGGCCTCTAGCCAAAGGTAATAAATTCCATTTTTTAAAAGCAGTGTGCCTTCTTCTTTTCATCTGGGAGGAGATATGATGAGAGGTGAAATTTAGGCTTAGGGAAATAAATGGCTTACAGAGAATTAGTCTCTTAAAAAAACAAATGAATGAATATTTCCTTGCAGGGATTTGAAAACTTAAGAGTCAGAAAGTTAGTCTAATCCATAGATATTATTTTCATGGATGCCTCACCTAAGTATCTGAGAACTAGAGACAATTTGATATTTGTCTTCAAATGGCTGTGTTGCTGCCAGCAACATCAAAGGCCATAATTCTAAGTATGACATCTAGTGAGTGTAGACTTGGTTCTCTCCAGAGCGTTATCATAGGCATGGTGTGGTGAGAGAGAGTAAATTTAGAATCAAGAAACCTTGGATCTGAGATTGGAGCTGATACTTAGGAGTTGTAAGTCCTTGTGAAAGTCACTTTTCTTGCCTGGAAATTGTTTTTTTCCACTTCTCAAATAAAGAAATTGAATTAGACATTTTTCAAGAAATATTCTTGCTCTAAAAGTTAACTCTCTAAGACATTTAACCGCAATTGGTAGTTGATGTTGCAGTTTTATTTAGTTGGTTAGATGACCTAGTCATATTATCTATCTAAAAGGCAATTCCTATTAAACATCCTAAATGTCTAAGCATGTGTTAGACATATTATATGCATTTTAAGAGAAATGTAATTGTTGAAATTCTCTAAGGTAAACTTTATGACTCTGCCTTAATTCAGGCTTCTTATAACAGTTATACCATAAACTGGGTGGCTTAAACAACAGAAATCTATTTCACATAGTTCTGGAGCCTGGGAAGGCTAAGATGAAGGTGCTGACAGATGTGGTGTTGTGAGGGTCTGCCTTCTGGTTCACAGATCACCATCTTCTCCTTGTATCCTCTCATAGTGGGAAGCAGAGAGAAAGAAAAAGCAAGCTGTCTTGTATCTCATTATAAGAGAACTAATCCCAGTCATGAGAGCTCTACCCTCATAACCTAATCACCTCCCAGAGGCCCCACCTCCTAATACCATCATATTAGGGGCTAGGATTTCAACATATGAATTTGGGATTGACACATTCAGTCCATAGCAGAATCACATTTTCTAGATGAGATGTGTAAGGCTAAGGTAACTGGCCTAAGGTCACAGTTCTGATAAATGGGAAAGCTGAAAGGTATTAAGGACCTCGGTTACACCATAGATGTTTCCTTCAACCTAAAGGGAACTGCCCTTCATTCTTTTGAGGTATGAAATACCATTCTAACAATTCAATCATTTATTCAACTGTGAATACATTCTTTTGCTTGCAAATGCAATTTTTGTTCTCTTATGGATTGATTGCTTAATGTAAATCAGTTTGCACAAAAGTCAAACAGAATCTTATGACGAAATTGACACCTGGAATTTGATTCTACTTTTCTTACTTCAACCAACCCTACATTTGAAAAACATGTCTCTTGAAGTAAGAATACTGCTACTAGGTGCCTTGTGCAAACTTCCTGGTTACCTTTAAGTGAATTGCAGCTATCTTAGTTCTCACTTGGTGGGAGAAGACAGGAAAGAACAGAATATTTATTAGGGAAAGAGCTTCACTTTTTTAAAGCAGAGCCATGGTAGAAGCTCTGTGTGAACTCCAGTTAGGAAAACCTAATCCATTAATAAGTCATGAATAGGTTTGTTTTCATTTATTGTCCCCTTCTGTCCACCCTCATCAAAAGATGCAAAAAGGACATATATGTTGACTCTTCAAAAAGAATTTGAGGAAAATATATAAACCTAGCAAAATAATTCCACCTTCCAGGAAAGGCAGAGAAACAAAGGGGAAAAAAATCCCAAATTTTGATCATTGCCACTTTGATTTGCATATTTATGATAACTGAATTTAATCCTTTGCTGGCTGTTGTAAGGGAAAAAACACAAACCAAAAATAAACATCATTATTAAAGTAACATTTCCCAATATTAAAAAATAACTGCATTGGAAAAGTACTCAATTTATTGGACAGGATACATTTTCGCTTAAGAGAAACTACAGCTTTAGAAATACAAATCAGTGTCACCTATATGTGGGTGAAAATTAAACGGATAAGCATATCTTGAGAGGAAGGCATGGTATCTATTCTCATGTAAATTATTTTCATTGTGCTAGTAGCTCAGTATTGTCCAGGATTTAGGATTGCACAGTATGAGCAGCAAAGCTGCTAACACAAAAGTCCTATTCCTGGCTCAGAGTCACGAGCTTTATTCAGTTAGTTTCCTCATCTATGGGATACAATAGTCACCCAGGCTCTGAGCTGCAGAGAAGCCTCATTAGATTGTCCCCACCTATGGGCACTGGCATACTGACTAGAAGGCATCATAAAAACAGAGATTATTTTATAATTAGGATAAATCCTTGGATGAAAGGGATGGATTTTCAAATAATGCTGTATGGAGAATGAAACTATGGCTGATATTTGAAAAGAACTGCATTTGTTAAAGACGATATTCTGAGTTCAAAAGCAACACTCCCCAAAAGAGCTCTCCCCCCAGCCCACTTGGCTATAGTTGCCTTCTACAGTTCAATAAATGGCCCAAGGGATGGTTCTTGCGTGGGTGCCTGGGGCTCTTCGCACGTTGACTACACCTGAGAAGCACACACTCTCAGGCTCTTTCAGGGCTTCCCTGCAGATAAACAACTGATCTTCTAGGGAGGCTCCAGGAAACCTTTCACAGTCCTATGCCAGGAACCCTTTGGAAATAGCACGTCAGCAGCATCTGCCCTATGGAAGTTATCCCAGGCATCCTGAGGGAGCAGCTCTGCGGTTAACAAAAGAGTTATTGCGTAAAACCAGATTTCCACACCTTAAAATTGAAAAATTAATAAAACCACAAATATGTGCACTGCTCAGGGATTATTTGTTTATTTATGTAAAATGCACTTCTGTTTTTTCCCATTGCCCATGTTTTCTGCCTTCTTGGTTCTATTCTTGTGCTTTTAAAACATGTTGTTTCCACTAAATAAGACTGTAGAGGAGATGCTGATTTATTTGATCTAAGTTTTCAACATCTTTTTGGGGGAAAACATGGGTATGTATATTCTACACTGCATAGGCACTCAGAATATTATTTTTTCTCCCTTTCTCTGTGTGTCCTGTGTGTGTGTGACAACATTTTAGCAATGTCTTCAGAGGAAGTGAATTCCCCATCAATCAGGGTGTTCAAGTATTAACAAATTGGCTACTTCATTGTAGACACGTTTCCGAGGGAAATTTCTTAGAAAACGAATAGCTCATTCAGACATATGTCCAAGTACTCTTTAATGCTTCATATGTATTAAGCACAAGGTTACATTATAGAGGCTAGTGACTAAATTAGTTGACACATAAGAATTTCATTTTCTAGAATATGCTCTGCCTTTGTCCCTGTGTCGTCTGTAATTCTACATCATCATATAACATAGATATTTAATGAAACAGAGATCACATACTCATTAATGAAAACAATGAGCATGAATTCCATTATAGTTATGATTAGTACTTAATTTATCAAGTCACAAAATACACTAAGTTTATGATTAACAACACGATTTATATTATACTAATAAATTCATATTTTCAGTAGTCCTTTTATTATTTTTGAAATTTTGATTAGCAGCTTATGAGATCTTATTAGTTCATAATATTTTTGGTGTCAACTCTACCATTTTCTGCTTCCTCCGCCTTCTAAGGCATGAATATCAGTGTTATTCTTAAATTCCCAATTGTTGTTGCAACGAGATAATATTATCTGCAAATACATTGAACTGGGCTCAAGTAACCTGCACTGTGTCCCAATATGCAGAAAACAAAGGAATCGACTGCATCAGTGCTGCCAACCCCTGAAGAGGAGCTGGATTTCCCTTGTCTCCTGTCTAAGGTGTGATCCTGAGCAGGGCCAGCTGAGCAGGCCTGTAGCCAGTGCAGTCACACAAGGCCCTGTGTTCAGATGGGGCTCACCCTTAGCGTAATGTCCTGCTATCACAGTCTTGAAATTCTTAATAATTTTTTTTTGAACTCATGTTTTGTCTACTGTTAATATGGATGAGTTTGCCTTAAAAAGAATAAGAGGAAATACTTTGGAAATTTTGAAAAGAGATGAAATTATCTTCTTAAAATTTGGGGTGGAATGAGGCATTGGGAACTGAATAAAGCCATAGAGTAGAATGGCCTAGTGGTGTTGAGGCTTACTTGGGATTTGTGATCATAAATTTGTCATCATGTTTGTGCATTTTTCTCTAGCCACATTCATCCACACAGGAATAAGTGGGGAGCAGTTGAAGAGTTAAATCTGAGCAAGGTTGAAACCTTTAAAGGCAAATACAACAAAGAAAGCTAGGGGCACATGATAGTCTATGACATCTAAGATGAGTAAAAACAAAAGAGATCTGACCTCACGAGAGCAGCCAATAATGAATACATGGATTGAGGCCCCAGTGGGCTTGAAGAATCGTTTTCGTTGGTGAACCAGAATAAGTTGAAAAATAAGAGAAGCTGGTAGTGAGTGGCAGGGGTGGGTGTCAAAAGCACAGTGATTGGTAATTACGAGGTCTGAGATTTCAGCTCAGGAATACTGGAGTGCTGGGATGCAGTACAGAAGGCATGTGAAGTGGTTCAGACACAGAGCCCAGGGTGCTGAGGGATGCATTTTTGTGAAGTTCCCCACAGTAGTGAAGTAGTAACAGAAGTATCTGGGGAGAGAAAGGAAGCAAACAAAAATCTCGCATGAGGGTAACCAGCAGAAACAATGGGTGCTCTCACCTGATGCTGCCTGGTTGGAGTGGTGGGGAGCCACCACTCCAAGACCACATGTCAGCAGGGGTCAGAAATGCCCTCCATGAGGAAAAGTGAAAGGGTTTTCGGAATATGGTAAAAACGGAGGGTGGGGGATAAGTGTTTGCTCTTTATCAAGGAGTGAGAATGTAATGAAAAGGGAAGAAAAATCAGGGCATTTAAAAATCATTAAAATGTCCTCACTCAGTCATGCAGATTAATTCCCTCAAAGATGAAGTCTGTCACAGTTCTAGCCAGGAAATTAATGGACACTTCAGGTGAGCTTTGCCCTTCTCAGCCTTCCCTGCTCAGCATCATACCTCAGATAAGAGGCAAGGGAAATCCAGCTCCTCTTCAGGGGTTGGCGGCACTGATGCAGTCGATTCCTTTGTTCTCTGCATATTGGGACACAGTGCAGGTTACTTGAGCCCAGTTCAATGTATTTACAGATAATATTATCTCACTGTAACAAACGGACAACTGGGAATTTAAGATAACACTGACAACGCATGCCTAGGACACCAAAAACGCTGAAGACACCAGAAGCACTAGCCTTGCTGCTTTTCTCCAAGTTGTATTGAATTGCACATCATCAGGTTGAGAGACCACAGGGATCAGCAGTAAGATCACTTTAAATGCGGTAGTTTTGATCTGGTCACATCGTCTTAGTCTAAATGTGGGAGAGAAAAAATGGTACACTGTGTTCATCTAGCAAACAAACATTGTTTGATCTCTATGTGAAAAGCACTGTGCTAAGTGATGGGGAACAGGGAAATAGACTAAACGCTATTCCTGCCCCAAGGACTTGATAGACTCTGGGCAGGAAAATGGTGTCATGGCAATTGACACCAGTTTACCTCATGGAGTTGAGTAATCTGGCCCCTTTGATGGAGAAGCCAAATTCTATATCCGTAGTAAAGTTGGGCCTCATCTGCATCTCAAAGTGGCAGAAAGGGCCCCAGTCTCAGGAGTCTGGTCAAGTTGAAACTAGGTCCCAGATCCTTGGGGGGTCTAAGGCAACCATGGTTCTTAGGACACAAGACAGTGGTGCCATCAGACAGAACTCCCCGCTGGAGCAGCGGCCATGATTCAGAGTAGTTGGAAGAGAGGGAGCCTGGGGACTCACACAGAGTGAACCCCACAGAGAGCTGCTTCTTGTTTCTTAACACCACCATTTCCAACTTCATGTAAGAATTTAATGTTTTTGTAATTTATACATGAAGTTACATCCCCAAGCTGTGTTTACATGCGTTCATTTCACTGTATCTGTCTTCAGGACTGATATTCAAACTGCAGCATTAGGGAAGAATCTGCCTCGTTTGCAAAGGTAATCACAAGAAGCAAATGTGCCCAGTTATTCTGGATCACTGGCCACATTACCGAGATCATCTGTATTTTCTAGCTAAAGTGTTTACTTATCTGTAATGGATGTCCATTTTTATCATATGGCATAAAACAGAACCCAATGAGCCATAACATGGCAAAGTTTGCAATACTAAAATATTGCAAGGTTTGCATATTATTTTTAACAAGCTTCTCTAATAAAATCTCATAATTAACCTGAGTGCTTAGGAATAGGATGTTTTAAGCTTTTAAAAGTTATTTATGGTTCATTAGAAATGCTTTTCTTCCCTCTCCCAACCTTGCTACTAACTGAAATTGGTCATAATTCTAGATGCTGTTCTCATTGTAGAATCATGGATTTAGGGCTAGAAAGGTCCCCAGAAATAATGATGCCGGATTAAGAGACTTATCAAAATCCACAGCTAGTTAGTGGCAGACATAGACTTAAAAATATAAGACGATGTAAGAAGAACCCAAGAATTCCCTGTAAATTATTTTTTTCACTAAGTCTTTTATATGAGTGCCCTTATACAAATTACTCTTTCACTAAAAATTAAATAAAGAAATATATTTCAGAATATTTGGGAGTTCTGGTTGGTCATAGAAAATGGTAATTCCCCTTGAATTGATATTTGAAGATATTTTTCTGTTTATATTATTATTTTTAATTTTAGCCAGTGTCACTATTTAAGAAAAAAAATACCTGACAGTAAAATTAGTTTTGACAGACAGCAGAAAATCAAGGTTGCTTTGAGTTACACATGGACTTCTTGATATTTTTATCAATTCAAATAAGGGTTCTACACCTCCCTTTAGCTGACTTTTACAAGGTCATTTTGTATAGATGAGTCATAATGCTGCTACTGGATAATGACTTTAGGAATAAGCCATACGGAGGTTTGAAAGAGCCTTGTTCTTCACTATGACAGTTATGCAAGTGGAAAGCATAGCCTTGGATCCAAAGAAAAGAATAGCAAGAGCCAGGGTATTTCAGCAACTGAATAGAATATTTACCTCCAGAAAATGAACCTGTTTATCTCTATTAGCTATATTGTTTGGCCTTGATTTTATTTATTTGCTTCCTGGTAAAAAGATTTGCCAAAATAATCATAATTAATATGAATATGCTCCCAGCTACCAGCACTTTGGCTATTTTGCCAATTTCAACCCTAATGAGGCGGATGTCAAATTTAAACACAAATCCCTATAGTACCTATAGCACTTGGCTTTGGAAGTAATTTATTATTCAAGACTAAAATTCAATTTCAGACTGGGGTACTCGTGGATGATAGTTTATTTTGTTACTCAATATATCTCTGGGTAATTAATTTTGTTATTTAGTTTGTTTGGGATCGCTCAATACTAGAAACCACACACAACATATTTTTATTATTGCATTCATCATTTTTGGGTCATTGAAAAGGACTGGATGCTTCAACTTAAGAACAAAAGAGAACAATTTTGTTCTCAGCGAACACTGTATTAGAATTTAAAACTGCTGCTTTTCCTTAAATTCTTTTTTTGTCAATTTCTTAAACAATGAACCATAATGAGACTTTATGAGTTTTTCCCTTGGCTTTTGATATGTATGTAATAGAGTCACATGCCATTGTCATTGTGTAATGATTCCCAAGTTTCTACTAACCTATAATAAATAGCACTAATGAGATTTTCTCACATTCTTTGTGTGCTCAGAAAGCATGTCTTATTTGTTGTATCAACGCTATGAGGTAGCCTAGACAGAATCTTGTTACCCCTGCCTTATTGCTGATAAAATGAAAGCTCAAGACTCATACGATTTTATCTATATCCCATAACTAGTTTATACGTTTTTAGAATTAAGCTTTATGTAATTTAGATGGTTCATTGTTGTACGTGAACAGAAGATTTTGACCTGTCTATAAGACCCTATTTATACAAAATAAATAAACCAAGTTAGAGCTTCATTCTATCTTTATTTCATTTTTAACTTCCTAGTTTTGTCATTCTCTTAGACATGAGCCTTAAGAGTTCTCAGATACCCCTTAATTCTCAGGAATGTTGCTTTACACTTCCAGGGAAGACCTCAAGTTTCAGCGCTATTTAACTTTAACTTCTGGAAGAGAAATGTCGTGGTAACAGAGGTTTAACAGAGGGCTTCCCATAGAGACAATCAGCTTACCAAAGCCTGAGAAAAATCAAGATTATTACAAGGACCAGGAACATAATGATGGCATTGTCCTTGTCCTGGATATAAGATTTCATCCATGATCTATTCACAACTTTCTCAAAATCCCTTCAGAGATCAAACCTATTACAGCACAGGGTCTCAGAAGTTTATTGCCAGAAAAGAGCCTGGAAATCAGCCATATCACATCTTCATTTTAAAAAAGAAGAGCTCTGAGACAGATATGAAGAAAGGAGAGAACTCAGTAGGCATCTCACAATGAGTTCTACAGGCAAGTCTGGCTTATAGGCCCCTGACTTCCAGACCTGCAATCTTGTCTTAAATAATGATCACTAGCCTGGAAAGTGCTTTTGTAATTATTTATGAAAAGATTTTGGCTAAAACCTCATAGTGCTCTTCAAAAGCAAGTTTCTTATAATCATTCTTTCATGGATGGGAAAAGGAAAATGGAGGCATGAATGTTAAAGGATTTGGTTGAGGAAATTCAGCCAGTAAATGGTAGAGCTAAGCTATGACATATGTCCTTTTCACATGGCACAATGCAACCCACGCATTAGTGTCTATTGACTGTAACCACTAATTAAAGGGAAAAAACCCTTTTATCAAGATCACGGTTCTGATCACAATCAACATTCATTTAATTGTTCATTTGATAAACATTTATTAGTAACCAACTATATGACAGGTATAAATATTTATTACATTGATATTCATTCATTTAAAAGAAAAATAAAAATTAAACACAGTTAATTTTCATTATTTGAAGTAGTTATGTTCTATAGAGTCTCTGTGAATACTGAATTAGCACATACTGAATCATTGTCACGGAGAGGAAATACAGGGTTGGGTTCCTGGGAGCCTCTTGTCACAACGTTTTAATCAAATAATCAATACATAGCCTTGTTGCTTGTTGTATGTTTTATGTTTCTGTTTAAAGACACCATGCAAAACATATATTGTCTATTCATTAATATTGAACTCACAGCCAACCACACAGAACTCATGCCTGAAAGGAGCTTATTAACATGAGTGCTTTCTCTGTAAGGCACGTCATAGGCTTCCTGTGCTTGAGGACACTAGATAGCACTTCAGCACTATGCCTGAGGGCCATTTTAAGCAAGAAAACTATCAATAATAAAACACAAAAATGTGAAAAATGTAGCATTAAATAGATCACAGAAAGTACACTTGTTTACAGTATGAGACCTGAAATAATAAGAGAATGTCATCTTGTTCAACCTCAGCTGGGACCCTCAACCAGGAATGTGCACATCAGGCCACTTTGCTTTTCCCCATTCTGCACATGGTATGTCCAGCAATGACTACTAAGCATTGGGAGTATTGATTTGGATGTTACAAATAAATCTTAGTGAATAGGTAAACTCACAAATAGGGAATCCCCAAATAATGAGAATTAGCTACAATCACATTCATTATTACAATTTATTAAAATTATTAAATAATAAATTCAAATGGAAAATGCAATAACAATAAATTTAAAATATAAAATTAATTACATATGCATTTGTTTAAAATAAAACAATATCTGATCCCTGTCCTTAGAGAGCTTACAATCTTGTCCCAAAGGCAAGCAGTAAACACATAAACAAACATAAAATACATGGTTTTTAAATATAACTTGCATGAAAGAAAAGAATAGGTCATAGGGGAGCACAACGTGGTGGGGTCCTTTTATCCTGAGTTGTCAGAATTTACTGAAGCTGAGGCTCCAAATTGGGCCATAGAAATTATCAGGGACAATGTCAGCTTAGGAGGAATCTGGTGAACCTCCTCTCCTCCTCTTGCCTGTCTTCCTTCCCTCCTGGAGGGAGGATGAGAGCACTCCTCAGCGCTTCCTGAAGGAGCTGGGTATCTACAGAAGTCAAGGCCCTGCAGGTGAGTCAGCCTGCTCCCCTACCTCTCAGTTATAAATGTGTTCTCAGGCCATTCACTCTGCATGGCAGAAAGGGAATGGAACTATGTGAAGTTCCATTTTTGTATCTATCAACCAAGAGGTGCTGAAATTAATTTTGTCTAAATGAAAAGAGATAAGATCTATTCAAGGGTTTCCTAAGAAATGTGAGATCCTTACTACAGAAGCAGATTAATATATTTTAGAGTTGAAATGAGCTTTAGAATATTTTATTCTAGCCACCTCATCTTACACAGACAGGAACTAAAAGCGCATTTGCTGAAGCTTGTAGAGATAATTACTTGTAGGATCTGGGTAAAATAGACCAGTTTTAGATGATAAATTCACTTGGAAGAAGACACATGTTCATAGGCAACAGACAATAAATGTTTAGTGTTTGATAAAAGTTGAATTGCTAAAGAATATGTGTGGCATATTTAAATGTCAACTGAGTAAATTTTAAACAGTGAATGTATTTTTCAAATGTGTAAGTGCTGATTCGTTTCTTACTAATAGATAATCTGGTACTTTCTATCCATACACCAAAGGCTGATGAGAAAGTGTTAATTCAAGCAAAGATTCCTTTATCTTTCTGAGTGCTATAAGCCATGCAACTTAGAATTGTGTCAGAATTCCTCAAAATCAACTTTAAGCATAAAACCAATAATATACCATTACATTATAAAAAAATCTGGAAGACCGTCTAAAAAGTCCTCTATGTTAGCTTTATTCTTAATAAAAGTATCTTTTCTCCATGAACTGATTATATATCACTGGTGAATTCAAGAAATAAAGACTTTAAAATGTCTTAAGGATGGCAATAAATAAATGAAAAAACATCATAAGCAAATAAAAAGACAAAAAACGAACTGGGGTATTTAACATATCTCAAATAATTAATAATTCCAATATAAAAATAACTCTAGATGGGAAGGGGGACTTACCTTCATAGAAAAATGGGCTAAATATATGAACAGATAGTACCCCGACCAGAAGAAATCAAATGGCTGTTAACCATATGAAAATACAGTCAGCCTTACCAATAAGAGATAATTAAAATTAAAACTATATTGAAAAATAATTTTTCACCTATCAGATGGGCAAAATTTTAAGTGTAAGGAAATAGGCACATTGAAAATTATTGCTCACGAAGCAAAATAATAAAACCCGTATAGAAGGGAATTTGAGACTGTCTTCCAAAACTACCTATGTATTTACCCTTTGACCAGCAATCTCATTTCCAAAACTCCACTGCAAAGTACTCTGGAAAAAATATATAAAATGATGTATTTACAAAGATTTTCATCACAGCATTGTTTCCAAGAGCAGAAGACTAGAAACTACCAAAATGGCAATCAGTAAGTATATTAGTTTCCCAGGATTGCTGTAAAAAAGTAATAACTATGGTGTAAAAAACTATGTGGTTTAAAAAAACAAACAAACAAAAAATTGTGTCCCAGTTCTGAATGCTGGAAATCTAAAATCAGGCTATCAATAGGGCCATACTCCCTCTGAAACCTGTAGGAAGGAATCTTTCCTTGCCTCTTCTGGTTTCTGACAGTCCTTGGCAGTTCTTGTCTCCAATCTCTGTCTCTGTCTCACATGGCTATCTTCTCCCTGTTGGCTTCTCTCCTCTTCTTATAAGATCACCAAAATATTGAATTAGGGCCTAACTAACATAGGAGGATGACCTCATCTTAACTTGATTATATCTGCAAAAACCCTATTTACAAATAAGGTCACATTTACAAGTACCGGGGCTTGAATATATATTTTTTCTTTTTTCTTTTTTTTTTTTTTTGAGACACAGTCTTGCTCTGTTGACCAGGCTGGCATGCAGTGGTGGGATCGCAGCTCACTGCAACCTCTGCCTCCCAGGTTCAAGCGATTCTCCTGCTTCAGCCTCCCAAGTAGCTGGGATAACAGGCATCCGCCACCATGCCCAGCTAATTTTTTTGTATTTTTACTACAGGATTTCACCATGTAGGCCAGGCTGGTCTTGAACTCCTAACCTCAGGTGAACCACCCGCCTCAGCCTCCCAAACTGCTGGGATTGCAGGTGGAGCCACCACACCCTGCCAAATATAGCTTTTTTTTAAGGACTAGAATATATCTTTTATGTCTGTAAACAAAGTTCAAATAACAGTGAAGGATAGATTGAAGAAACTGTGGTATATCAACACAATAGAAATCTATGTACCTATCATAGAAAAGGTTAATATATCTATATATTACTATAGAATAATCTCAGGAATATGTAGTTAAATCAGAAAGGAAGGTGAAAAAGTATGTAGAGTGTATTAGTCCATTTTCACACTGCTGATAAGTACATACCCGAGATTGGGAAGAAAAAGAGGTTTAATGGACTTAACAGTTCCACATGACTGAGGAGGCCCCACAATCATGGCAGAAGGCAAGGTAGAGCAAGTCACATCTACATGGATGGCAGCAGGCAAAGAGAGAGCTTGCGCAGGGAAACTCCTGCTTTTAAAACCATCAAATCTTGTAAGACTTATTCACTATCATGAGAACAGCCTGGGAAATACCTGTCCCCATGATTCAATTACCTCCCACCAGGTCCCTCCCACAACACATGGAAATTCAAGATGAGATTCTGGTGGGGACACAGCCAAACCAGATCATATAGTATGCTGCTAGTTAATGCCTGTATATGCCTATGTGTGTGTCTTAATTACAAAGTAGTAATGATGTAACAGAGTTATCTAAATAGGGAGAGAGTTATATGGAAAAGACAAAAATAGAGGTAAAACTTTTATGAATATAAGTTGTTTTATGGATTTGATTTTAGAACCACATACATATTTTACATATTTATAAAATAAAATTGAAACTTAAAAGTAAGCCCTAAACATCAAGGCAAAATGTATCAAAATGAATCTGTGTACCCAGCTGGTGGAACCAAGATAGAAACTATTCCAAATGACTAAAACACAGTAATTTGAGAGTACATCCCCAAGTACACACAGTTGTAAACAAATCTTAAACTGTTTTTCAGCAATCATATTATTAAAGGGAGTTTTAGGCCTGTTATGAGTGTTATATATAATATAAATAAATAAAGCTATTGAGTGATTATTTTAGCTTCCTTGAATACTAGAAGTTTTGATGTGAAGAAAGGTAATACAAGATGGTTAAGGTTAAGTCAAAACCCTGTAGTTCTTAATTTTATTTGCATGTATTAGTATTTAAATTAACATGTACTATCTAACTGAATCCACAAAAAATCTTAGACAAAAGATTGACCCAGTAGTGATGAGGGCCTAGATTTTGGTCTGTAAATACCATTTCCATAAAAAAGGAATGAAGAATATTTTGAAAGATAGGCAATACTAGCTCTGAGTTAGGAAATACAGGACAAGCTTGGACTATCTTATTGTAATAAAATATAAAGCTATCAATGACTGCTAGATTTACGTCAAAAAGACCCTGGAACCAACAATAGTAAGCTCTCATTATGCAAAGATGGGGCAATATTAATGTCAACAAAGATAATAACTTTTGCAGACTAAAGTATATCAAATATACTTAAATTTATGAATTAATGATTTTATTCAGAAGGAAAAAATTGGTCACCACCAATTTGCTATTTTAAAAAATGATAAAGGGAAGTAAGTATTTATTCACATACAAATTGTATCATAAGGTAAACAAACAATTTGATGAGGGAAAGTTTTTGTTACCAAATGAAGAAGATGTGTAATCATTTTATATCCCATACTAAATGAATAGACCCAGAAAATAAATATCAATAGCTGCTAACATTAAAAAAGAAAGACAAGTAGATATGATTCAGTTCCTGATAGAAGTAAACAATACCTTCTATAATAAAGTCATGCCAAAATATTGACTTTTAATTTGATTAAACCTATAGATAAGTGTCAGTTCATAAGAGAGAAACACATTGGATGAGACTAAGAGTATGCAATATTAAATTCCAGGACATGAGAAACACTACAGGACAAGCAACCTGTTTCCCTCAACAACAACCAAAAATAAACAAACAAAAAACTTCAAGAAAAATAAAAAGGTGAAAGGGAACTTGTAGAGTAAAAGGCTCTTAAGAGACCTTTAGCCAACCTCAGATCTGGAACTTTTTCTATTTCAATTCAATTCAATTCCAATGCAGATGAACTATTAAAAAGCAACAACGTTTGTATGACAACTGAAGTTTGAACCCTGACTGGCTATTTAGTGATATTGAGGAATTATTGTTGACTTCACATAATGAAAGGTAGGGGGTGAAATGTAATGATGGTGTTGTGGTTATATTTAAAAGTGGGGTTCTTGCCTTTTAGAAACAAACACTAGAATACTTACAGATGATATAATATCATGTCTGGGATTTGTTTTGAAATAATCAGGAAGGGGAAAGGGGAAAATGGGTAGGGGTACAAAAGAAATAAATTAGCAATGAGAAGATAATTGTTGACCTGGGTTATCGGTACATGGGGTATTCATTATACCATTGTCTCTACTTTTGTATGTGTTTCAAATTTTCCATAATGTATTTTTTATGGCAAAGATATTATATAAATATATAAAATATATAATATAATAAGTATATATTATGTATAGCTATATATTATATATACTTATAATATATAATATATACTTACATAATATATAAATATATACTTATATATAGTATATATAATATATACTTGTATATTATAGATCTTATAAATATGAATGTGCACACATTGATACACATTTTAAAGTATCTCTACTTATAATATTTTCATATTCATACATGTACATAAGTACATACATCCAGTAAGAACAATAAAAATGTACAAGCTTTTGGTTTGTCCTTTTACCCTATTACTCAACTTATTGGTATTGAATTTGCATTGTCTTTTGAGTAGATCACCCTATGCAATGTCAATTATAGCCATCAAACCAAGCACAATTTTCTTCCCTTTGGGACACTTACCTGCACATATGAGAATTCCATAGGAAGACAATATAAATGATAGTAACTTCCAGATTTCTATTTAATATCTTAGTGCCAGTCACTCCAGATTTCCTGATTCCCATAATAACGTAGGTGTGGCAAACACAGTAACATGTGGATTGTGGGTGTTCTCTTGCTGAATTTGTGCAATAGGGTTGAAATATGTCACCACTGACACCTGTTTCTTTCCTAGGTGACACCAGATGCCTTGTAGTTTACATCTAATTAAATGTTGTATCATTTTACTCTGATTATTTGCTCACCAGATTAATTTGTTAATCAGTGGTAAAGTTCAATAACTCTAAAGTGTGATGATGAATCAGATAAACCATGATTCTTCCCCTAGGAAGGAGTGAGTAAGGATTTGGGGGAGGATCTCAAATTGGTAGTAGATAGATATTTCTACAGTATGAAGTCTCTCCATATGGAAACTTGAGGCCAGAAAAAGAAAGAAAGCCTCCACCTCATTCTTCTTCCCTTCCGAGTCCACACTTTGGCTATTACTGCTTCTCTTTTTTCTCATCACCAAGTTACACTCTTATTTTATTTTAAAGGTGCATATTTGTATGTATATATATGTTTATTCACATTTACACATGTCAGGGTCTAAGTATTGAAAAGCTTTAGTAAAATTGATATATTTGTTTTGCCTTAACTTATATATAAAGAATAGATTTCTGTAGTTCTCTGTCTTCCATAGGTCTCTCTATTCAGCTTTGTCGTTCCAGTCTGTTTCCTCTTGTAGTGCTTCAGAATAGAGCCCTTCCAGAAAAAAAAGAAAAAAACTTCAGTTATTATGGCTGCCTTCCTTTGAGCTCTTTATCTTTCATTATTTCCTTTCAAGGAGTGTTGCATACTAGACAATTTTCTTTGTCTAGTGAGTCTGCAATGGAATGTTACTACCAAGACCCTCACCGAGAGAATCTCTGGACCAGAGCTCTGAAGGTCAATGTAGTGTACAAGAAAGTAAGAGTAGGCTATTGGTGTTAGAAACAGCCTGCTAGGATTTAAATTTAAAATACATGTCTTCTATTTTAGACAAACCATTAACAATTCACATTTTTTGTTATTAAGTTTTTGGATTAGTTTACTATTGGATTACGATTAAACCTACTTGGATTAAACCAATAGGTTACTATTGACCCTGAGCTTATCCCATGTCAAATTATGTGAACAAAATCCTGGGAAAGAGCCCCTCAAAAACTGCCTCTGCCCATGGAGCCCCCATATCTAAAATGAAATGGTGACTAGGAAGTGGTGAGTGGGTCATGCTCCCATAGCAGAAACCCCAGGTGGCTCTTCGCCACCTCAAAATGGTTTCAAATCTTACAATCTTTCTTTTTCTATCATTACTAAATGTATTAACTGCTTCCCTCAAAGTGTGTAGGCTCAAAACTCAATATAGAGTATTTTCCTCATATCCATGGCTTTGCTCTCCACTATTTCAGTTATCTGCAGTCCAAAAATACTCAGTAGAAAATTCCAGCAATATACAATTCATAAGTTCTAAACTAAGTGCCATTCTGAATTCATGATGAAATCTCACCCTCTTGCTCCGTTCCGCCCAGGACGTGAATCATCCATTCTGTCCAGAGTATCCACACTATATATGCTACCTGCTCATTAGTCACTCAGTAGCCCTCTCAGTTATCAGACTGAGAAAACATAGTATATATAGGGCTCAGTACTAACCATACTTCTGGGCATCCACTGGGGTCTTGAAATAAACCCCTTGAGGATAAAGGGGAACTATTGTACTTATCAAATGCCTCAGAGTCTGACTTCTTCTGACTTGGAGCTCTCTTAGAATGGAAGCAACTCTCATAGTGAGAATAATTCTGGAATATCTATGACCAAGGCTTCACCTTGAGTGAGACTGACCACATTAAGCACTTACAATTGGGACTCCAAGGTAATCTGATCATTAGGTACACCATCTGGCTATTAGATGTACCACTATGCAATGAGAGTAAGTTAAGGCAGGATGTCCTGCCAGCTCCTGCATCAGTGGGAAGTAGGTGCACTGACTTCAGGCAGTTTGGCAGGGACATTAATGGGTGGAGAAGACCACATAATGGGATAACTCTTCTGTTCACCTGTGTACAAATGGAGTCAAGGCCACCTGGCCTCCTGTAGTGCAGGGATGACTGTGAATTTCAAAAAAGAGGAGGGTAGGTCACTCTGGAAGACTCAAGATGACGACATAGCCTAATAATTGCTGCAAATGTAGAAGTAGGTAAGCATAAAGCAAAATGGATTAAGTAAGTTCCTCCTCAAATTCAGGAAAGTGTTTCTGAACAAAAACAGTGGTAGGCAGAATATAGCCTCCCAAGATGTTCACAGCCTAATCTCCACAACCTGTAAATGTTACCTTACGTGGCAAAAGGAACTTTGCAGATGTGAATAAGGTTAAGGACCTTGAGATGGGGAGATTATCTTGCATTTCCAGGCCTGCTTACTGTAATCACAGAAATTGTTTCTGAGCTGTGATCAGAGGGCAATGTTAGCAGGGAGAAAAGATGGAGACATGTAAAGTTACCGGATGTGAACATGGAGTAAGGTCAATGAGCCAAAGCATCTCAATGGCCTCTAAAATATGCAAATGGAACAGAAATAGATTCCCCCTGGAACCTCCAGAAAGGAATGCAGCCCTCTGGATACCTTGATTTGAGTGCAGTGAGACCCACATCAAACTTCTAAACAACATCATTATAAGATGATAAATTCGTGGTATTTTGTTTTTGTTTTCTTTCTTTCTTTCTTTCTTTCTTTCTTTCTTTCTTTCTTTCTTTCTTTCTTTTTCTTTCTTTCTTTCTTTCTTTTCTTTACTTTCTTCTTTCTTTCTTTCCTCTTTCTTTCTTTCACTTTAAGTTCTGGGATACATGTGCAGAACATGCAGGTTTGTTACATAGGTATACATATGCCATGGTGGTTTGCTGCACCCATCAGCCCGTCATCTCATCATCCACATTAGGTATTTCTCCTAATGCTATCCCTCCCCTAGCCCCCAACCCTCTTAAAGGCCCCGATGCATAATGTTCCCCTCCCTGTGTCTATGTGTTCTCATTATTCAGCTCCCACTTATGAGTGAGAATATGCGGTGTTTGGTTTTCTGTTCATGTGGTAGTTTGCTGAGAATGATGGTTTACAGCTTCATCCATGTCCCTGCAAAGGACGTGACTTCATCCTATTATATGGCTGCATAGTATTCCATGGTATATATGTGCCACATTTTCTTTATCCAGTCTATCATTGATGGGCATTTGGGTTGGTTCCAAGTCTTTGATATTGTGAACAGTGCTGCAATAAGCATATGTGTGCATGTGCCTTTATAGTAGAATGATTTATAATCCTTTGGGTATTACCTAGTAATGGGATTACTGGGACAAATGGTATTTCTGGTTCAAGATCCTTGAGGAATCGCCACACTGTCTTCCACAATGGTTAAACTAATTTACACCCCCACCAACAGTGTAAAAGCATTCCTATTTCTCCACGTCCTCTCCAGCAACTGTTGTTTCCTGACTTTTGAATGATAGCCATTCTAACTGGCATGAGATGGTATCTCATTGTGGTTTTCATTTGCATTTCTCTAATGACCAGTGATCATGAGCTTTTTTTTAAATATGTTTGGTGGCTTCATAATTGTCTTCTTTTGGGAAGTGTCTGTTCATATCCTTCACCCACTTTTTGTTGGGGTTGGTTTTTTCTTGTAAATTTGTTTAAGTTCCTTATAGATTCAGGATATTAGCCCTTTTTCAGATGGATAGATTCCAAAAATTTTCTCCCATTCTTTAGATTGCCTGTTCACTCTGATAGTTTCTTTTGCTGTGCAGAAGCTCGTTCGTTTAATTAGATGGGGTTGTTTGTTTTTTTCTTCTAAATTTGTTTGAGTTCTTTGAAGATTCTGGATATTAGTCCTTTGTCAGATGAGTAGATTGCAAAAATTTTCTCCCATTCTGTAGGTTGCCTGTTCACTCTGATGGTAGTTTCTTTTGCTGTGCAGAAGCTCTTTAGTTTAATTAGATCCCATTTGTCAATTTTGGCTTTTGTTGCCATTGCTTTTGGTGTTTTAGCCATGAAGTCTTTGACCATGCCTATGTCCTGAATGGTATTGCCTAGGTTTTCTTCTAGGGTTTTTATGGTTTTAGGTCTTAAATTTAAGTCTGTAATCCATCTTGAGTTAATTTTTGTGTAAGGTGTAAGGAAGGGGTCCAGTTTCAGTTTTCGGCATAGGACTAGCCAGTTTTCCCAACATCATTTTTTAAATATGGAATCCTTTCCCCATTGCTTTTTTCTCAGGTTTGTCAAAGATCTGAGGGTTGTAGATGAGTGGTGTTATTTCTTAGGCCTCTGTTCTGTCCCATTGGTTTAGATATCTGTTTTGGTACCAGTATCATGCTATTTTTGTTACTGTAGCCTTGTAATATAGTTTGAAGTCAGGTAGTGTGATGCCTCCAGCTTTGTTCTTTTTGGGATTGTTTTGGCTATACGGGCTCTTTTTTCATTCCATATGAAATTTAAAGTGTTCTTTTTCTAATTCTGTGAAGAAAGTCAATGGTAGCTTGATGGGGATAGCGTGGAATCTGTAAATTACTTTGGGAGGTATGGCCATTTTCACAATATTGATTCTTCCTATCTATGAGCATGGAAGGTTTTTCCATTTGTTTGTGTCCTCTCTTATTTCTTTGAGCAGCGGTTTGTAGTTCTCCTTGAAGAGGTCCTTCACATCCCTTGTAAGTTGTATTCCTAGGTATTTTATTCTCTTTGTAGCAATTGTGAATGGAGTTCACTCATGGTTTGGCTGTTTGTCTAATATTGGTGTATAGGAATGTTTGTGATTTTTGCACATTGATTTTGTATCTTGAGACTTTGCTGAAGTTGCATATCAGCTTAAGGAGTTTTTGGGCTGAGATGATGGGGTTTTCTAAATATGCAAACATGTCATCTGCAAATACAGACAATTTTACTTCCTCTCTTCCTATTTGAATACTCTTTATTTCTTTCTCCTGCCTGATTGCCCTGGCCAGAACCTCCAATACTATGTTGAATAGGAGTAGTGAGATAGGGCATCCTTGTCTTGTACTGGTTTTCAAAGGGAATGCTTCCAGCTTTTGCCCATTCATTATGATATTGGCTGTGGGTTTGTCATAAATAGCTCTTATTATTTTGAGATACATTCCATCAATACCTAGTTTATTGAGTGTTTTTAGCCTAAAGTGGTGTTGAATTTTATCAAAGGCCTTTTCGGCATCTATTGAGATAATCATGTGGTTTTTGTCATTGGTTCTACTTATGTGATGGATTATGTTTATTGATTTGCATTTATTGATTTATTTATTTGGGAACCAGCCTTGCATCCCAGGGATGAAGCCGACTTGATCATGGTGGATAAGCTTTTTGATGTGCTGCTGGATTCAGTTTGCCAGTATTTTATTGAGGATTTTCTCATCAATTTTCATCAGGGACATTGGCCTGAAATTCTCTTTTTTTATTGTGTCTCTGCCAGGTTTTGGTATCAAGATGATGCTGGCCTCATAAAATGAGTTAGGGAGGAGTCCCTTTTTTTCTATTTCTTGGGATAGTTTCAGAAGGAATGGTATCACTTCCTCTTTGTACCTCTGGCAGAATTCAGCTGTGAATCTGTCTGGGCCTGGGCTTTTTTTTTTTGGTTTGTAGGCTATTAATTACTGCCTCAGTTTCAGAACTTGTTATTGGTCTATTCAGGGATTCGACTTCTTCCTGGTTAAGTCTTGGGAGGCTGTATGTGTCCAGGAATTTATCGATTTCTTCTAGATTTTCTAGTTTATTTGCATAGAGGTGTTTATAGCATTCTCTGATGGTAGTTTGTATTTCTGTGGTATCAGTGGTGATATCCCCTTAATCATTTTTTATTGTGTCTATTTGATTCTTCTCTGTTTTCTTCTTTATTAGTCTGCCTGTGGTCTATCTTTTCTGTTAACCTTTTCGAAAAACCAGCTCCTAGATTCATTGAATTTTTGAAGGTTTTTGTGTTTCTCTATTTCCTTCAATTCTGCTTTGATCTTAGTTCTTTCTTGTCTTTTGCTAGCTTTTGGATTTGTTTGCTCTTGCTTCTTTAGTTCTTTTAATTGTGATGTTAGGATGTTGATTTTAGATCTTTCCTACTTTCTCCTGTGGGCAGTTAGTGCTATAAATTTTCCTCTACACACTCCTTTAAATGTGTCCCAGAGATTCTGGTATGTTGCGTCTTTGTTCTCATTGGTTTCAAAGAACATCTTTATTTCTGCCTTCATTTCATTATATACCCAGTAGTCATTCAGGAGCAGGTTGTTCAGTTTTCATGCAGTTGTGCAGTTGTGAGTGAGTTTCTTAATCCTGAGTTCTAATTTGATTGCACTGTGGTCTGAGAGACTATTTGTTATGATTTCCGTTCTTTTGCATTTGGTGAGGAGTGTTTTACTTCCAATTATGTGGTCAATTTTAGAATAAGTGTGATGTGGTGCTGAGAAGAATGTATATTCTATTGATTTGGGGTGGAGAGTTCTGAGGATGCCTATTAGGGTCGCTTGGTCCAGAGATGAGTTCAAGTACTGAATATCCTTGTTAATTTTCTGTCTCATTGATCTGTCTAATATTGACAGTGGGGTGTTCCACTATCAATACTCCCACTATTATTGTGTAGGAGTGTAAGTCTCTGTGTAGGTCTCTAAGAACTTGCTTTATTAATCTGGTTGCTCCTGTATTGGGTACATATATATTTAGGATACTTAGCTCTTGTTTTTGCATTGATCCCTTTACCATTATGTAATGCCCTTCTTTGTCTTTTTTGATCTTTGTTGGTTTAAATCTGTTTTATCAGAGACTAGAATTTCAACCTCTGCTTTCTATTTTTTTTTTTTTTTTTTTTGCTTTCCATTTGCTTGGTATATATTCCTTCATCTCTTTATCTTGAGCCTATGTGTGTCTTTGCACATGAGATGGGTTTCCTGAATACAGCACACCGATGGGTCTTGGCTCTTTATCCAATTTGTCAGTCTGTGTCTTTTAATTGGATCATTTAGTCCATTTACATTTAAGGTTAATATTGTTATGTGTGAATTTGTTCCTGTCATTATGATGCTAGCTGGTTATTTTGTCCGTTAGTTGATGCAGTTTCTTCATCGTGTCGATGGTCTCTACATTTTGGTATGCTTTTGCAGTGGCTGGTACTGGTTTTTCCTTTCCATATTTAGTGCTTCCTTCAGTAGCTCTTGTAAGGCAGGCCTGGTGGTGACAAAATTCATGTTGTTTTAAGCAACCAAGTTGGTGGAAGTTATAGCAGCAATTGAAAATTCATACAGCTATATTATTGCTAAAGCTGTTAAAGAGTTCATGTGGCTCTCCCTGCCTCCACCTGTCTGTGCCATAGATCCCTCCCCTTCTTCCCCCATTTCTTGTCCTAATTGATTCTCGACTGTAGACTTTGAACGTGTTACTTCCTGTTCCTTCAGAGGTTCCCTGTCACCTTCAGGACAAAACTTAGACTCCTCAAACCTGTCTGCGGTTTACCTCTCCAGCTTTATTTCTGGCCACCCATATCCCTTCCTTATTCTAGGCCAGAAGTTCCAAAACGTCCTCAGTTAACAGAATCCTTAGAATCTCAATATGTTCATGTTATCCCTAGGTACAAAGAATTGCCTAACAGTTCCCTCTACTACATAGTGAAGTCCAAACAATATAATGAGCATTTATATCCTAGCAACTTAGTAGCCAGTAAAGATGTAATTCATATAAACTGAAGGAAAAGTATTTTAATTTTTTCTTAAGTAATCCTCATTATAGATACATGTAGAGCATCATTGCATTGCCTACACAGAATTTAAATATCCTGTGATGTCCATGTGAGTTTGCTACAGTGCTCCAGGATGCCTTGGTGCACAGTTTGGGGTCAACAGCTCTGGGTTCCAGGCTGTTGGATACTATCAAGGCAGCCTTAAAATCCTCCATGTATTAAAAGAGGAATAGAGGCAGGGAGATTTCCTTTGCCCATACTTACCATGGGCCTTTCCAAATTTCAGACCTTTTCATACATGGACTCTACCACTTACAGTGTCCAAGCTTCCCAACTCCCTGCCTCTATTTCTCTTTTAACTAGTTCATAGCTCCTTCTTGGGATTCAGCTTAAATTTTGTTTATTTTTCTCTGGGAGTCTTTCTTGCCCTCCTGAAGTCAGGGAGCCCTCCTCTGTGCTTCTTAGCAGGGTCATAGCAGGAGGGGGATTTTAAGGCTGCCTTGATAACATCTAGATGTCTCAGGTTGGGTTTCCCCAGAAGTAAACCCTGAGATAGAGATTTGGATATACTTAGTTTATTTGTGAGGTGATGCCACATGTGGGAAAATGAGACAAAGAGGGGAGAGAAGCAAATGAAAGTGCTTTAGCATAGAGGTTATTTCTATGGGTGAATCGAGTTCAGACCCACTGGGAACTCTGGGAGACAAGATAGAATATGACTAGAGTTATGCCAGTAGAGAGGTAGGCCAGCTGGGCTATATATCCCCAACACCTTTGAGTCACTAGTAGGCTGCTCCCAAGGGACAGTAACTTTTCGAATTTTCCCATCTGTCCTATAGGTTGAATGGTCTCTGGTGGCAGAGAAAGGCCTTCCAAAGAGTCTCAGGGGTTTGCCATTGGAAGTTATCACGTAGAGGATTAAATGGTGAGTGTCCATGGAATACCATCTGTTACACAAAAGAACCCTGGAAGGAAAAACTGAGAAAGAATAAGACATATTTCAAAAGGAAATTGGTGTCAGTGTCCTTTGCCTCTTGTCAAATATCTGTATATTGATTTTTCTTTGAACAAATCTATTTTTACATGCAATGGCCATTTTTCTTACAAGTCTGCAGTATATACCAGCTAACCTACTAAGGGCAGTGGGATCTGGATTGGGGATTATAGTGGAATTTCATTTGTGCTGTCTACAGGGAAACTGTCACCACATCCACGAAGAAGACAACTAGAGCTGCTTATAAAGAGAAATCCAAAGGAAAGGCAATGAGAGTGGCTTCCTTTCACAAATATAATTGTGAAAAATATGTGATAAGGTTAGACTTACCTTCTAACTTGTGGAAAGTTAAGGTAGAAGACAAGGGGCTTTTTGTAAGCTACAGACTCCATTAAAGCTCCTTTTGATTTGATTTCTGGGTTGCAGCTGCCTTTTGCCAAGGGACAGTCACAGTTCTATCCTTGCCAAATTCATTATTTTATTTCATTTATTGACCAACAATTTACAGGATTTTATTTAGGCCAGAGTTTGGATGTCAATATAGGGGACAATTAGTAATTTAGTGAAAGATTTCAGTGTAATTCTTGATCTCTATATCCTAGTTTCATGACCTTGGAATACTCAAAATCTCAGTTTATCTGTGAAAATATGGAGAATAAAATGCCACCACAGGAGTTGTGAAAGGTTTACATAAAGTGATATATGTAAAGTACTTACCATGGCCTGGTATAGTATAAGCATGAAATTAGTTTTAACTATCATTACATTTAGGCATATTGAGTTTGCATTGTCATTAGGATTCTCATTCATTCACTTTTGAATGTGACCTTGAGGTTTTAACATTTCAAATTTACAGCTGGGAAAGAGAAATAAAATCCACACAAAGCTGAATGATTGCTAGTTACATATAACATACGTAATACATAAAGCATATTTACTTTCTACTAGAGCTAAGGGATGGCCAAGTAAACTTGCTTGCAATAATTCCATGTAGTAAATGAAATATCTGAAAGCAAAGCTATGCAAATTTGGCTATTTTGTGGCTATAAACTTAACCACTCAATTCAAGGGAATGTTATCCATAATGTAATCTTTCAAAGTAAGCATGCTAGAAAAATTAAAATTGGGAAAATTTTTACATCTATGTTATGTCTAAACTAGCATTCTTCTGGAAAAAAAATGTCTTTCTCATTCTTCTCCATTTATTTTGACTCCTGCTTTGTTGCCCTCCACAGAATCAAAACTGGGTATTAGTTACTTTTGGAAGTACCTGGTTTGCATTCCCATTGCAAGTGGAGTCATGCTAATGAGTCATTAACAACATAAGCAGCTCTCAGTAATATAAAAATGTTATTAGGTTATGAGATAATAAATAATGAGGTCTAATTGTAAAGTTTGAGTCACTTAATTGTAGTACCATAAATAATCACCTAGAAATTTCAGATTAAAGATTAGAAAACTATCGCTCTCTATTTGGAGAACTATTTTGCTAAAAAACAAGAACATCAGCTTAGAATACTTTGCAAGCTATCTGCAAATAAAAATAAAGCCATAGAGATACATTTACTAAAGATAATATGAGGGGGACTTCAAAAAGTTCAGGAAAAATGTGTATTATGAAAAACTGTTTATTGCAGCACTATTTACAATAGCAAAGAATTGGAACCAACCCAAATGCCCATCAATGATAGACTGGATAAAGAAAATGTGGCACATATACCCATGGAATACTATGCAGCCATAAAAAAGAATGAGTTCATGCCCTTTGCAGGGACATGGATGAAGCTGGAACCATCATTCTCAGCAAACTAACACATGAACAGAAAACCACACACCACATGTTCTCACTCACAAGTGGGAGTTGAACAGTGAGAACACATGGACACAGGGAGGGGAACATAATGCACCAGGGCCTGCTGGGTGGTCGAGGGTAAGGGGAGGAAGAGCACTAGGACAAATATGTAATGCATGCAGGGCTTAAAACCTGGATGATGGGTTGATGGGTGCAGCAAACCACCATAACACAGGTATACCTGTGTAACAAACCTGCACGTTCTGCACATGTATCCCAGAACTTAAAATAAAAATAAATAAATACATAAAAGAAAAACTGTGCATTAAATCAAAAAATTGTTTGCACCAAAATAAACTTATACTAACTTATCGTAACATGCCTGAACAAGGTCTAGTTTGAGGGACTAAAAAGGATAAGATATCAGTTTGAAAAGAGCTCCTGGCAGAGGAACCTGAATTCTGCTAAAATTGAAGCAAGAACAAACACCAAATTTATGGTGATGCTTGGGTGGAAGAATGGTGAAATCATTGAGCCTTTATGAAAAGTTTATGGGGACAATGCCTCAAATAAATCATCAGTCTACAAATGGATAACTTATTTTAAGAAAGGACAAGATAATGTTGAAGATGAAATCTGTAGCGGTGGGCTATTTACATCAGTTTGCAAGAGAAAAAATCATCCTGTTCATGCACTAATTGAAGTGGATCAACAATTAACAGCACCAAAAACAAGCCAACAGCATAGACTTCTCAACTGGGTCAGCTTACACAATTCTGACTAAAAAATTAAAGTTGAGCAAACTTTCCACTTGATGGGTGCCAAAACTGTTGTGCCCAGATCAGCTGCAGACAAGAGCAGAGCTTTCTATGAAAATTTTAAACAGATCGGATCAAGATCCTGAAGCATTTCCTCAAACAATTGTAACAGGAGATGCAACACGGCTTTACCAGCACAATCCCGAAGACAAAGCACAATCAAAGCAATGGCTACCAAGAAGTGGAAAGGGTCCAATCAAAGCAAAAGCAGACCAGTCAAGAGCAAAGTTCACAGCAAGAGTTTTTTAGGATTCTTAAAGCCTTTTGCTTGTTGACTTTATGGAGGACCAAAGAACAATAACATCTGTTTATTATGAGAATAATTTGAGAAAGTTAACTGAAGCTTTAGCGGAAAGACATCTGGAAAAGCTTCACCTGAGAGTCCTTCTCCGTGACAATGCTCCTGCAAACCAGGGTAATTTTTTTTTAGAGAGTTTCAATGGAAAATCATTAGGCATCTACCTTACAATCCTGATTTGGCTCATTCTAACTTCTTTTGGTTTCCCAATCTTAAAAAATCTGGAAAGGTATCCATTTTTCCTCAGTTAACTTTATATATGTAAGATACTGCACTGACATGGTTAAATTCCCAGGACGCTCAGTTCTTTAGTGATTGATAGATTAAATGGCTGGTATCATCACTTACTAAACTGTCTTGAAAGTGACAGAGCTTATGTCAAGAAAGAAATCTTATATGTTTTATCTTTTAATACCAGTTTTCCACAAACTTTTTGAAGTCTCCTTATACATATGAAGAAAAATAGAAGCACTGTCAAGTATGGTTTTATGGGAACAGCTGCCTCTTAAAGTCATTTTGTACCTGAATATTCTGCAGTTCTGAAATTATCAAATCTTGATTGGGAAGGAATGAATTTAACAAACAAAATTCAACAAGTTTTATCCCTGACCCCTATCCTTTGTGTTAAAGTTAACACCATAACACTTCAGGCTTCAAATAAATGTTAGTGTTTCTTTGAAATACCTTTTCCACTATCCAGACTTCTTACTGGGCACTAAGTACAATTGATTCTGCTTCGACAGGGACATTTGTATCTATCCTATCTTTTCCAGGTTTTCAGTCAAAGCCCTAGCTCAAGCTCTCGCTGTTTCTAATGCAGCCTTTTGAAGGAGCCTCCTAGATGCTGTTTATGCTTCCTCTCTTACCTCTTGGAATCCCTCCTGTAAATTGCTGCTGGCTTAATATTCATGAAAAACAGCTTCAATTCTGACATGCATTTGACTCAAATAATTGATGGCTTCCACAGTGCCCAAACTCCAGAGCCCAGCAAGCCAGGCCATCTCTAATGTGGCCACAGTCTTTGACACCCCCCTTGACATGCCTTATATACACCTTACCTTTCAGGCACATCAGAGTTTTACAGCCAAATAACACACAGAAGCCCACCTCTGAATCTGAATTCTATTGATCTTGGTCTCCTTTAAGTAGCAATTAAGGCTCTCATAAACCTTTCCCTATCTACTGCTGACTACTTTTCACACTCCTTTCTGAATTATTAGAATAGGTAGCACTAATCGATATGAAAGTATTTTTTCTTACTTAGATCATCTGCTGCTGAGAATCAGTCTGAATTTACATCCAGTGAACACTGACTGATTTGACCTGGAACTCATGATAAAATGATTTTCCCTTTATCATTTAGTACTTTAATGAAAGTTTGAATTAAAATATGTAGTAAACATTGAATACATTTTGTTAGACTTAGAGGGAAAGGATGAAAGAAATTAACAGTTAGAAAAAGTCAAAGACATTTCTCCAACTGACAGATAGCCGAATCTTGTCCCTTGTAGTAGCAAGAACCTGTATAGACACAGGAATCATCAAATCTACCACACAAAACTGATCAAAACAAGAAAGATTCAATATATCCTGGGTGATTAGAGAGGAGAAAGAGAAATGTTGCCCTGGACTGTTTCAAGGTTCCAATACAGCTTCCTCTGGTACTGCACTGCAGTCTATGAAAGAACATCATCCACAAATCCAGAGACCTAGGCTCCCCTCCTGCTCCGTAACTGCATCCCTGCAGGTCAAGTACATCTTTTCTTTACAGTTTGCTTATCTTTCTGTAGAAGAAATGGACCAGCTCTCTCAAGACCCCTAACACCCTCATTAATTATACTACGATTAATGAACTCTACAAAACCTGCATTTCCATTTTATGCAAATACTTTGAATACTACACAAGCCCAAAAGAATGTTTTAAGATATGGGTGTGTTAAAATATTTTTCAGAAATTTCTCCCTAATCTCCCTTTCATGACATCGAGTTTAAGTCATAATAAAATGCTCCAGTTACTATCGAAGTGAACAGCAAATTGACAGTTTCTTCCAAGATCATCCTTTTCTTTTTTCTCACTTCTAACAAAATCTTTTCTTAGTCATGAAGGGCATGGCCTTCTTAAACAGCAACATGTTTAGCAAGAAAAATAAATTTTAGCTTGCTATTTTCCCTGCATCATTAGTTAGATCACAGCTCTAGTCCCCAAAATCCAACATAGTTTAGCTCCATTACTGACTACATGCCTTAGTAACGTGAGGTAATTCAAAAGTCAGATTTTTCTCAGAAGCAGAATTTGGGTTTTAAAAGCAATGAAATCGATAGTGCCTCCTTTCAATCAAAGGATGCTTACAACACTGGATTCTCATTCAGTTATTATTACTTAACTCAGTTTCCATTTTGCTCTCAATAGTCTCACAATTGTTATAAGAGAAAAACAACAGGGATTCTTAGAACCGTAACCAATTGACTCAATGCTGGATGTTATTTAGTAACTTTCATTTAACAAACACCCTGCACTTACCACAGTAGCTATATGTATTCTCACTGTCATTGACAATGCTTTAAATCCATTGCATTCCCAGAATAGTATTAATAACACATTTTCTACTATTTGCTACACTTATCTAATTTTCTTTCAGGTAATACAGACTGTCTTTTAGATTAATTGAATAGGCCGGTGAACTTCTTTATTATCACCAATCTGCTAAAATGAGAAAAGAAAGAAGAGAATAAAATATCTATTGTACACATCTTAATTATCAAGTGATTTCTAAACCGCTGATAGTAGACTGTTCCCAGCTTCACTCGTTTGCACTTTGGATCAGATTTGAGTCTCTTTTCTGAAGGCTTTGTTGGTTCTGCCTCTGGGTACACTATGACTCACCTTCCGTGGGAAGAGGTTTGTGCTCTGTTTAGGTGAAAACATTAAGACTCCTTAATTTCCTTAACAGAATAACAACATTACTACCTCTCTATTGAGAGCATGCAAATGTCTTTACAATGAACAATAAAACTCAAAAAAGCTGCCTTTCAGTCATTCTCCAGGGAGTTCCTATCAAAAATGGATTTCAGATTAATAATATTCAAGAGACATCATTAAAGTAATATTGATGTCAAATTCTTTTTTTTTTCTAGCAAGTTCTAATAAGCAATGCACTTGGACTACATTTGCTTAATTCCTTTCTGAACTGCTTCCATTTGCCAATACAGCAGCTGTCTCCTCCAAAGGCTGTTCTGCTGTGTTGGGTATCATCACTGTTTTAGGCACCACTGCCACTCTAGCAGATGCTACTCTCTCCTTCTGGGTATCACCAGCTCCTACTGGGTACCACACACTCTGTTGGGTACCACTGCAGATGCCACCATTGAAAAAAACTGATATTCCAAAATGATAACACCAAATGGGCATTCTGTTCTCTAGAATGCACTAGGTGCCAAAACACTTCACAGATCATCAGGAAAATGGTATTCTGATGAGTATCTCCCACTCATTTGTCAAACTTGCTCAGACATTTTTCAAATCCAGCAGAGGATTCCACATGGGTTCAAACGTGCCACACTGTTACTTTAAATGTAAGCTACTTCAATTCCTTTTTAGAAGCAGGAGAGCAATGTTATTATACACACATAAGTAAAAGCTTATATTTTTATCTACAGAAGAAATGCAGAAGAGGCTGTGCTCATAGCCAAAATAAACAGATTCTTATATGGTGTGATCTAATGGTATCAAAGTATAATTTACAGAAGCTCAAATAATTAATTCATATAGATATAAATGTTGCATATTTTTAAATGTTTAAGTTAATAAAGAGGAAACTAGTGGCCGGGCGTGGTTCCTCACGCCTGTAGTTCCAGCACTTTGGGAGGCTGAGGCAGGCGGATCGCGAGGTCAGGAGATCAAGACCATCGTGGCTAACACGGTGGGTGAAACCCCGTCTCTACTAAAAATACAAAAAATTAGCCATGCCTGGTGGCGAGTGCCTGTAGTTCCAGCTACTCGGGAGGCTGAGGCAGAAGAATGGAATGAACCTGGGAGGCGGAGTTTGCAGTGAGCCGAGATGGCACCACTGCACTCCAGCCTGGGTGACAGAGCAAGACTCCGTCTCAAAAAAAAAAAAAAAAAAAAAAACTAGTGAGATGATAAAGCTAGTTTCAAAAACATTTGAGAAACTGGATACTTACAAGCATTAAATAAAAACAAAAAAAAAAAAGAAGGAAGAAGGGAGAGAGTGAGGAAGGAAAGGAAGGAGGGAGGGAGGAAAGGCAGGTTAGAATAAGATTTCTGGGTTAAATTTTAAAAACTACTTAATGTCCTGTAGGGCAATGACAGCACAAAATTTGAGGTTATCTTTTCAACTGAATAGAAGTACACAAATTAACATATGTCTGGATGAAAACTAAATGGTGAATAACAAATTAAACATATACACCCTCCTAGAGAATTAAATAAATCATCCAGTAGTCTTGTTAAACAGCACCCAAGTGATATTGAAAGGACATGCCTTCCCCAACTTTTTACTTATTTTTAGATTTTAGATACTATTTTTTTAAGTCTCCCGTTTTGGTTGCAAATAATCTGCAAAAATATTCTTGATTAACTAAATAAGGCTAGTCTCATATTTTGGCCTGATTACTTACATATGTAGAACAAGAGGAGTTAATTACTTTTGTTAGCCTCCTTGAGTTTGCTCAGTAAATCTAGAGCTATTTGGCATTGAGCAACACTGAACCAGTGATTAGCTTCTGCCTGGAAATTTTTATAAAAACTCTTAGATTTGACTTATAAATGCTTCCAATTATTTATTCTTCTACCTAGGGATAGGAACCATAGCCCAAGAAACTTCCTCACCTGCTTTATTCATAAATGTAAGTGAATTTCTCTCCCTTCAATCTACTTAAAGTAAACTAAGGTCCCTGGTCTGCTAGGGAGTGATTTTTTTTTTTTTAATCAGCTGTGAAGCTGGAACCCTGTAAGAAAGACAGAGACCAACCTGGCTTTCCTGGGAGGATTTTGCAGGCATTAACTTCATATATCAAATCAATCCTTGTACCTTAGTGGTAGGCTTGTCATAGCTGATTAAATGAGCATTACTCTTTATACGACTGACACACCAACCATGGAGTTTGTTGCAAAATCAATTTGATGCAGGACAAGTGAGCCCCAAAGTGGGGCTTAGCCCATAACACTTCTTAGCTTTGCCCAAGAAAGAATTCAAGGGCAAGCCAGAGGCAGAAAAAAAAATAGCTCTATTGAAGTAGCAGTGTTACAGCTCCATGAGTGCTCCTGCAGAGCAAGGCTACCCCACAGGCAGAGAGCAGCAGCTCAGGGCAGTTTTGCAGTCATATTTATTCCTACTTTTAATTATATGTAGATTAAGGAGCAGCTTGTGCAGAAATTTCTAGGGAAGGGGGAGTAACTTTTGAGTCATCAAGTCATTGCCATGGAAAGAGGCAGTAACTCCCTGGTGTTGCCATGGCAATGGTAAACTGGCATGGCACACTGGTGGGTGTTGTTGGTGGAAAGCTGCTTCTACCTCTCCCTGTTTTAGCTAGTCCTGAATTTGGTCCAGTGTCTGAGCTCTGCCTCCAGAGTCAAGTCCTGTCTCCTGAGTCAAGTCTGGCCTCCTATCTCAGATTTGTCTATTTATATCTTGTTAAGTAAGAGAACAGATTTTTATTGAACCTATGCAAATAAATTTATTACCATGAAAAGTAATGAGGCCCAGTAAAAGTATTTTTTCAGAATTCTGAGGAATCAATGAGAATCAGATACCAATTAAAGTTTTGCTTTAGTTACAAAGGCACAGTCTACTAAATTGAGGATTCACAATAAATAAAGAGAAAAGCCCCCTTATATACCAATCAGAAAAAAGAGCATTAAAACAATATCCATGATATTTAAAAAAAAATCACAGGTAATTTTTCTTTATCAGTTCATTCACTTTTCCTTAAGTAATTATTATTTCTGCTAGAGTTTCAGTCAGCAATCTCTTTTAATAAAATCATTTCATTGGACTGAAAAGACTCAGTTTGCTATGGTCAGAAAGCTGTCTAAATTATTTCAGCTTTAAGCACTGAAGCTTGCACCCACATATTTTTTGTTGAAATATCAATAGTTAGGAATATCAGTTATGGTCCTTTTCGCAAGGTTCTGAGACCATCCCACTTTATTGAAGAAACAGACTGTAACTTGAAGTGTATAGCAGAGACTTCAGGCAAGCATCAGATAACTCAGAAACCGTCTGTTGATGAAACTGAAGGGCTGTCATGAATTTATTACAGTAATCAGTAACAAAATTGAAGAAAGTAAAGTGCTCAATTGGGGTGCAGTGCACAGCTATCCCATCAGGGCCTGATCAATGTTTCCCCTGAGGATAAGAACATCTCATCACAGATAGGATATAGACAGACACCAAGGCCCCCCAATTTATTCCTTAAAGTGTACAGTCTTTGGGACATTGATATTAGTAACATTTTATCTCTTTTTTATATATACTTTAAGTTTTAGGGTACCTGTGCACAACGTGCAGGTTAGTTACATATGTATACATGTGCCATGCTGGTGATTTTATCTCTAAAAAATCAACACACGGAAGGCCAATCTTCTCTTTGATTTACAAATCTCCCCATATAGCTCTTACAATAGTGTTAACTAATTTAAAAATATTGAATGTACCAAACATTGAATAGCTTCTCTCATTTCTCCTTTTTACAGGTAAAATAACAAATCCATGTGATTTTCTAGGAGTCTACTAGGAAATCTGAAAGATAATTTTAGTTTCAAAGGATATTTTAAAATTTTATTTTTCTAAATTTAGAAACTGGTCTTGGGAAGGCAAAATCAAAAATGATTGTGAGAGGATATTTGGTTACATGGTTGCAACAGAAGGATGGGTGCCTGATGATAAATGGTTGTAGCATAGCTATCTGATTAACTTGACACTATTTTGGGACAAATTTGCTCTCTTTTTTCATTGATTAGCAAAAACAAACCTCATTGCTTTGCATACACAGTTGAATGTCTTTACTATCTTTATTTCTTGAACAACCTCATCCAGTAAACATACTGTACATATATGTGTGTGTGTGTGTGTGTATGTATATATATACCTATACATACATTGTATTAGTCTGTTCTGGCACTGCTGTAAAGAACTACCTGAGACTGGATAATTTATAAAGAAAGGAGGTTTAATTGGCTCACAGTTGCACAGGCTGTACAGGAGGTATGGCTGGGGAAGCCTCAGGAAACTTACAATCATGGTAGAAGGTGAAGGGGAAATAGCACGTCTTAACATGGCCAAAGCAGGAAGAAGAGAGAGAGGTTGGAGGTGCCACATGCTTTTAAACAATCTGATCTCATGAGAACTTTATCACGAGAATGACACCAAAGGGGGAAATCCATCCCTATGATCCAATCACCTCCCACCAGGCCCCACCTACAACATTGGGGATTACAATTCAACATGAGACTTGGGCTGGGGCACAAATCCAAACTGTATCATTCATACACACATACACACATATACATACATATATTTTTTTCCTTCCTTTTTTTTATATGTGATTTTATATACACAGATGGTCACTGACTTATGATAGTACAACTTATGAATTTTCAACTCTGTGATGATGCAAAGGTGATATGCATTCAGTAGAAACCATATTTCAAATTTTGAATTTTGATCTTTTCCCAGGCTAGCGATATGCGGTAGGATACTCTCTCACTGAGCCACAGCTCCCAATCAGCCACGTGATCAAGAGGGTAGACAAACGACACCCTACAGTGTACTGTGTTGACAGATGATTTTGCCCAACCATAGGCTAATGTAAGTGTTCTGAGCATGTTGAAAATATGCCAGGCTAAGCTATGATGTTTGGTAGGTTAGGTGTGTTACAATTAGTTTGAATGTACCAAACTAATTGAATGGTGTCTCTCATTTCTCCTTTTTACAGGTGAAATCACAAGTACGTGGGATTTTCTAGGAGTCTCCATAGAAATTCTATATAGAAAGACATAAGAAAATCACAGACAAATGTCACCAGGCTTTGCTCAGCAGGTGTATAAGGAAAGCCACTGCCCTGAGTGCTTAAGAGATGACAACGGCAAGTGAAGCTCTCAGGTTAGAAATTTTGGTAAAGTGACAATTTGTGGATTCTAATTAAAATCGGATCAGTAATAGTGATGAGAAGGGAAATAACATTATTTATTACCTATTATTTAGCTACTAGCTATTTCAAGTTAGATAATTTCAACTTAATGATAGGTTTATCAGGATGTAACCCCATCATAAGTTTAGGAGCATCTGTATATATATATCCAATATTTTAATTAAATATGGATCCTGATTATCATCTCAAATTGATCCATCACATAATTAGTACAGATATAATTATAATGATATAAAAATGTTACTATTGGTATAAAAAGTTTGACAAAAATTAAAAAGGATATAAAATAATTTTATAAAGTAGAAAAAATTAAATAGGGAAAAATGTATGTTAGAATTATGTATCCTTGTGTAGGCTGGTTAATGCCCTGATATGATACTAAAAGATATGCTGCTGATAGTTTTTATTCATAAGAGATACATATAAAAAAACCCCTACCCCATGCTCAGATTTCCTGATGTCCTATTGACCATGCAAATAGTTAACCCTACCAATAGTTAATAAGTGTATACTGGATGCAAATCACTGGCCCATGGATAGAGAAGGAGCAATGTGGGGACAATGGAAAGAATGTATATTTCTATACAAATGTTGAATTCACAAGACTGAATCCTTAATTTATGTGAGTCCCAGGATGGCCATGAGGGAGATCACGTGATATTCCCTCACAGAGAGAGAGTACCCAGGAGGGGAGACATAAGAAAATCACAGACAAACGTCATTGTCCTTTGCTCAGTAGGTGTATAAGGAGAGCCACTGCTCCTAGTGCTTAGGCAATGATAATGGGAAGTGAAGCTTTTGGGCTAGAAATCTTGTTAAGGTGATAATTTGTGGATTCTGAATAAAAATTGGATCAGTAATAGTGATGAGAAGGGAAATAACATTATTTATTGCCTATTGTTTAGCAACTAGATATCCTCTGGTAGCAACTTAGGGAGGTGCATCTCCTTTACCCCTATTTCTGTAGTGACTGTGAAAGAGAGATCAACGCTGGTCACATGGGGTATGAGATCTAGTGTGCGAAGCTGACATATAATGGAAAGAAGCAAGTTACCATCCAGTTTTCCGTGTCCATTTGGGAAGGACTAAAGCATCAATACCTCAGGTAACATAAACTGCGTTTGAAGAGTGAAGGCTCAGAGGAGTTTTCTTGGCCTCTAGATAGTTGACCCATGTAATGATTGATATCTTAATAAAACCATTAATAATAGCTGATATTTATTAAACACATACTGTGTGCTAGACATGGTGCTCAGAATTTTACGTTCATTTTTTAAGTATTCACATAATCTTTTAAAGTAAGCACTTTATCGGTTGGGCGCAGTGGCTCATGCCTGTCATCCCAGCACGTTGGGAGGCCGAGGCGGGCCGGTCACGAGGTCAGGAGCTCGAGACAAGCCTGGCCAACATTAAAATGAAACCCCGTCTCTACTAAAAATATAAAAAATTAGCCAGGCATGGTGGCAGGCGCCTGTAATTCCAACTATTCTGGAGGCTCAGGGAGGAGAATTGCTTAAACCTGGGAGGCAGAGGTTGCAGTGAGCTGAGATCACACCACTGCAATCCAGCCTGGGCGACAAGAGTGAAACTCCATCTAAAAAAAAAAAGTGAGCATTTTATTACCAATTTTAGAGTATATCAAGGCTTAGGTAATTTTTCCTGGTCACATAGTTCAGTAACCAGAATGATGAAAATTAAATTCCAGATCTGTTTGACTCTAAAGTTCATGCTCTGTATGTTGCATTTATTGTGGTTCTGTTTCGAAAACTTCTGCAAATAACTCTAGTTATTATTTTTCCTCTATTTCAGATGTTCCCAGGAAGGAAAATAAGGAATTGGAAATGGTGGTAAACGCACCATGTGGCCCAGCAATACTTCATGAAGCTAAACATTCTAGGGACATTAATGAGCATTTTTGTAAATGAATGTGCTGCGCATGGCTATTTCTGCACATAAAAACAGGTGTTCACATATAATATACATAGAGTTGAAGCTAATTTGCATAACTATTCACACAACTCATGCTTTAAGCTGTTTATTTACTTTATATGATTGATTCATGAGTATAAGGTAGAGTAAAAACATATAATAACAGCTAAAACCACAAGTTCTCTTAAAGAAGAAACCAGATTTCTTTTTTCTGTTTGTTTTTTGGCTACCTAAATAAAGTGCTTGGGGCAAAAGATGGGTCAGTAGAAGACCAGGTATTAACAGAGACCTAAATGCTGGTATGTTAGAAATAAACAGGAAGTTGGGAATCAAAATAACACAGAGAAGAAAAGAAAAAAAAATATGAGTGATAAAAGAGAGAGGACACTCAAATAACATAGAAGAATACTCAAGGATTTTTTTAAATAACAGGGATATCTAAGATTCAGTTTTAAGTTACTTTTGTTTTGGAGTCTACATTTTTCCTAAACTTTCAGCAGAGCCTACTGCTTAAACTTTGGTGCACTTGTATACATGTGTGCATGTATATGTGTGTGACAGCAAAAGACTACTGTGCCATGGTGAGGTGCTCTATAAACCGTGTTAATTCAGAGGGAGCAAGACCGCAGAACCTGAAGTGACAGTGATAATAGAAGTCTCTGAAAAGTCAAATGGTGAAATGGGAATGAAAATCAGTCTATTTAGTCTTTAGTGTAAGAATGGCCCTTGCTAAAATGGTGCTATGATCCTATGTCCTCCCTAAAATTCACATTGAAACCTAATCCCCAATGTGATAGTTTTAAGAGGTTGGGCCTTTTGGGGGATGATTAGGTCATGAGAATGGAGCTGTCCTGAATGAGACATGTCATGAAAAGAGGCCTGAGGGAGCTCGTTGACTCCTTGAACCGTGTGAGGACGCAGCAAGATCATGCCATCTCAGGAGCAGAGTGAGTTCTCATCAGCTACCAAATATGCTGGCATCCTGGACTTCCCAGCTTCTAGAATTATAAGCAATACATTTCTATTTTTTATAAGTTGCCCAGTCTAAGGTACCTTGTTATAACAGCCCAAATAAACTGAAGACACAGCACTACAATGAAATCCATGAAAAAGTCAGTATGCCAAAAGAAAAAGGAATAATGTTGAGTATAAGACTGTTGTATAAACAACAACAACAGAAACAGTTGGAAAGACTATAACAGCTTTTCATGAGAATAAAATTAATTTTAAGACCTCATTAGTATCATTCAATATTTAACTGAAAATATGTTTAATTGTGAAGTTTAGCAGACTTCTATGCCTGCACAGGGATATTGATGGAAATGGTCAGGCTATCAACAGTGCAGTAGAAGAAATTCATAAGTTTTACGTTACATATGAACATGTGAATATCTTTGATATGTAGCTGAATAACATTTTGAAGAGAACGGGGTTAGGTGAAGGGAAATAAGGACCATCTGTAGTCGTAATTTCACTGACTTGACTTCTGTCTATTCTAGAGTCACAACCTGGCCTGTTGTTTATGCCAGTCATTCACTGGAAACACAGGTTAGAAAAATCGTATGAAAACTGTACCACCCTGAAAGTGCTCCTCTCACTATATGGAGTGGCAATTCTATCTAAGCAAGGCTACATGGACAGCACAGTTGTGCTTTGGAAAGTCCATACACAACTCCAGAAATACCATGTGCTACATGGAATGTGTCCATTTTCATCATATCCCCAGGCCTTTGGAAATCATTTTGCTTAATAATCTGTAGAGCTGGCTACTTTCCATCAGACCTCACTTGCTCTTCCCCTTATCTAATATGTATAACATGAAGAAGGGTCTACCTGTTTTATGACGGACTTTTAGCAAACATTTGAGTCCTAGAAGATGAATAAAAGTGATTCTTATTTGATCAATGTGGAACTTGACAGATATTATCTGTGCTCTTAATTTTTTTAATATTTGGGCCAAACTTTATGTTAGAGGAATAACAGTTTATTATCTGGAAAATAGCTGTTCTCATTATTTACATATTTTATAACTGTTCTTCTGGGCACCTTGAATTATGCAAATGATTCTAAGAATATATGTAGCTGAGGATCATCCATGATTATTTTTCTCAGTTAATCTAAAAGTTATATGTATAACTTAACAGGGACTCCAATGTCCTTGCTCTGAACAATAACTAACTTTCTGGAAGTGATTTTCTTTGTTCCCCCTTTTTCCCTTTCTTCTTTTCTTCTTCTTTACCTTCTCTGTCATTAGGGATAAAAATGAAAACCAAATAACTTGGATTTTTAAATGCGGCAACTGCAAGACAAAAATTGAGTGCTATTGTTCTTCCCATTTTAAAATTACGACTATTTTCAGCTCTAATGATCAAAGTCTTTATTTAGAAAGTCTATGACTGATTTTAAGTGGTACTGTATTTTCCATGTGCCTTTCATTTTTGCCAGAATGAAGCAGAGGTGACTGAGGCATTTCCTGATGGCTGCGTCTCTGCTGTTGTCATCTCATTTCTCAATGACACATAGGAACTGGAGCTCAAGTTGCCCAGCCCACACAAGCCCACTATATCAGAATCTCAGTACAATTTCTGTACCTTATTTTTAAAATACTACTTTTTAAAAGGTTGAAAACTTCCTAATGAATAAGGTTATCATTTGAGAACCAAAAGTTACCCTGGTGCAGATTTGGAAGTTCTGTAAACAGGGGATGGTCTCTTTGGTATCCCATGGATGCCCTTTGCAGTGGTGCGCTTGGACACGCTTAACTATTGGCTCTCTGAGGGGAAAAACAATCTGATTTGCAGCATTGGCTGATTTCCCTGGTATAAATACTGTCATAATGGCCAATTTCAAGTTACCAATATAATATCAGTAACCATGGAATTGGGAATAGATGTGAAACAGCCCACCAATATATTTCATGATACAGACACAGTAGATTTATATAACCTCAAAAAATAGACAATAGTAAAATAATTAGAAAGTGATGAGTTTTTAGTATTTATTGCCTTTGTTTTTGTATAACTTATTTAATTGTAGGTTTATATAATTTAATTTTTTTAAATAAAATTGTTTGAACATTGGCTCACAACATTCTTCAAAAGTTAACAATTGGTCCTGGGGCAGTGGCTCACACCTGTAATCCCAGAACTTTGAAGAAAGTGTCAGTGGGGTGCTGACACTGAGGCAGGCAGATTGCTTGAGCCCAGGACTTCAAGATCAGCCTGGGCAACATGGTGAAATCTTGTCTCTACAAAAATTACCTGGGCATGGTGGTATGTGCCTATAGTCCCAGCCACTCAGGAGGCTGAGATGGGAGAATTTCTTGAGCTCAAGAAGTTGAGGCTGTAGTGAGCTATCATACCACTGTGCTCTAGCCTGGGCTATGTAATGAGACTCTGTCTCAAAAAAAGAAAGAAAAACCGGTTAATAAGTGGTTCCTGCAGGCTGGTACAAGCCAGTTTCGCACCCCACTGACACCTTCTCTTTCTTGCAGTGTCTGTTTCTTCTCAATATTCAGTGGTTGAAGGTTGGGGAAGATAAGGAAATAAATGTATTGGGCATTAATGTGTTTGAAGCACTGTGCTTGGTAATTTATATATCTTAACAAAAAATAGAATACCATTTATTGAGCACTTATTATACGCCAGAACCATCACTATGCATTTTAAACAATTTACCTTATTTTAAATTTAAATCTATGAAGTAGACATTAATATGCTTTTTACTGATAAAGAGCCTAAGGCTCATAGAGAGAAAGAAACTTCCCCGAGACTATACCATCTAATAGGTGAGGAAGTCAGAATTAATATTCCAGTGTGTTAGACTTGACATTCTTGTCTTGTTATTCATCCTCACAGTAACTTTGTGAGGAAGATTTTACTATTGCTTTATACAGATGGTGAAAACTGAGATTTAGAAACATTAAGGAATATTTTCAAGGGCACATAGATAATAGATGTGGAAGACTGTCCACTTTCAAGGTCTATCTCCTGTCTACTACTGTATGTTCTCTATCTCAACCTCAATATTCTCCTTTTATTTCAGCCTGAAAATGATTTGATTTACTGGGTTACATTTAAATTTTGGAATTGAGGTGTTACCTCCTCAATGGAAGCATTTGTAAATTAAAATAAATCAAAAGTAGAGGACAATGCTCAAGACAAAACAATAGATCCATTACCATGAACTGTCAACCAACAGCTGAGACAGAAGAGGTCATATTTTTGATAGATTGTCCCTCCTAATACTTTTTCAGCAATATTCTTCGTTCCATTCACACAAGAAATAAGTCACTACTCAATATTTGAAACCAATAGTTGAACCTATTACTTGCTTAAACAAGTGAGTGTTATATTTGAAAGTCAGTTTTTCTGGGCAAAAAGATGGTATCAATTTTATGTCTACTTGGCTTCCTTATCCATTCTTACTGAAGACAGGCCTCAGCGTGATGGGAAGATGATTGATAGCAGCCCCAACTTCATACCCTTCTAGTATGTGATTCAAGAGGAAAGAATATTTTTTCTACTTCCCTAAATAACTCAATAGCAAGTCTCTCTGATCGCTTTGAATAACATGTCCCTTACTGGGCCAATCCCAGAGTCCGGAGGAATAAAATATAACAAGCCAGGACTGGGTCACTTCCCTAACTATGTTGTGGGGACTAAGAATGTGGTTACTAGGGTAGGGAGGGTCAGGTAGCATGATATTAAAAATCAGTAATGTGAAGGCTTTCTAATTGCCCAAAACAATAACTGCAAGAGTCTGCTGTAATAAATTTTATTTTTTCATGCTTTCTGCATAATTTGTGCCTGGTAGTCTGACTATTGGGAAAGCAGAACGCTGTGTTTGATTGATACTGACAAGGCTTTTTATAACAGAAAGAATAACAAGTATTAGATGAATTTGTGATATGAAGATCCCTTTATCATTTTATACTTATCCCTGAATTTCCACAATTTGAATTTACAAGTAGTGAATTTGTTAATGAGTTAACAAACAGGAACACCCTTTGCGGAAGCCCCTTCCTAAAGTCTTCTATCTCCATCTGTTCCATTATTATTTTCCCCTCCCCTGTCTGAAATAGGAAGAAAAAGGTAAGCAGAAAACTCCATGCAGGCTGTGTATATAGCACCTTCAGAGAGCTACAGCTTTCAGAGCTAGAGGTCATCACCTCTAGGCACTAAGACCAGATGCATCCACACCCACCTGGAAAGATTGTATGTGCAATAAGAGTCAAGATACTCATTATTTTGCTGGAGGTTCAGGACATATTGAAGAGGAAGGGAAGAAGAGGCCACACTTCTGAGGTTCTTGTACTTCTTGCTGTTGAGTAGTCATGGAGGAGCTTGGATTTTCTGCAACGTTATTAGCCAAAGTAACAATGACAATTACTTAGTTTTATAAATGTTAAGAAAGAGGCAGGACATGGACATTCATTTTATTTTTTTATGTTATTTTAGATTTAATTTAATTTAGCAGTGCAGACCTAAAATATTTAGTATGGATTTAGATGTGCTTTCTATACATGGATTTCAACTACAGTGAGGTAATTCTGTAGCCAAAATTTCCATGTCGGTTTCCTGTTTCCTGATACCCATACCTCAATTATGGCAAGGTTGCTATCTTCCTAGTTTGGCATTTCAGGAATGTGTTTTGAGAGTAATCCCTGAGACAAGTTTAGAATCAACTCTTCTTCTTTTGCAGAGAAAGAGAACTGATAGGACGTGTGTGTGTATACACAGACAGACAGACAGGTTTATTTTAAGCAATTGGCTCACATGATTGTGGAGGCTGGCAAGTCAAAGATCTACAAGATGGGCCAGCAGGTGAGAGAGTCAAGGAAGTTTTGATGTTCCAGTTCAAGTGTAAATGCCATTTGCTGGCAAAATTCACTCTTCTTCAGGAGACCTCAGTTTTTCTTTTCTCTTAAGGCCTTCAACTAATTGAAAGAAAATCACCCACATTATAGGGGGTAACCTGCTTTACTCAAAATCTGCTGATTAAATGTTACCCTCATCTAAAAAATACTTTTACAGGAACATTTAGAATAAGGTTTGATCAAATATCCAGGTATTGTGGTCTAGACAAAGGCACACATAAAATCACACCTTCCAATAATGTGTCAGTGCTCAATCCCCTGTGTCAAATCACTTTTGTTTAAAAGAGCTAGTAGTCTGTTTTACCTGAAACAAAATTCTGACCATTATAGTAGTAGACACCAAAAATGGCCACATGTAATAGTTCTTCAAAGTTAAGAACCTGGGGTTGATTACTTTGTTTATTTGAGTTTAAAGGCAGTGAGGTTCTAGTTAACAACTAGTAGCCTCTTGTCTTCATCATCTGGGGCTGCTATAATTAATACCATGAATGGATGCCTTAAAAAACAAATATTTTATTTCTCACAGTTCTGGAGGCTGAGGAGTCCAGGATCAAGGTGCCAGCAGATTTGGTGTCTGGTGAGAGTCCTCTCCCTGATTTGCAGTTGGTCACCTTCTTGCTGTATTCTCACATGGCAGAGAGAGAGAGAGAGAGAGAGAGAGAGAGAGAGCATCTGTCTGGTGCCATGTCTTATAATGACACTAATCCCATTTATGAAGGCTGTAACCTCATGACCTCATGACCTCCCAAAGGCCTCACCTCCAAATGCCATTACACTGGGGATTGGGGGTTTATTGTTTTGAATTTGGGGAAGACACAAACATTAAGTCCATAGCATTCTGCCCTTGCGCCCACAAATTATGTATTTCTTATATTAAAAATGCATTTATTTCATCTCAATAGCCCCAGAGATCTTCACTCATTCCAACATCTACTCAAGTCTAAACTCCAACATTTCATCTAAATATCAACTAAATCAGATGCAGGTAAGATATAAGGTATGATTCATCTTGAAGGAGTAGAATTTTCAAATTGAAATGGTGATATTTGGGAGGATTTAAATAACTCCAAGTACTCTAAGTCTTACCCTTCACTATGTTTCCTTGCAATCTGAAACATTCTTTATTTTCCTGTTTTATAAGGCCAGTTCTGACTAGCTTGAAGATACTGCGATGACTTCTTTGCAGTACAGTGTCAAATCTTCTCCTCTCCCAATCCCACCATTTTTAATTGCTTCCAAACTTGTAATCAGAATCACATCTCAGCTTTTTCCAGGCAGCCAAGTAAAATGTTTAACCTGCAGGAAGAACATTTAAATGCCACATATTTTGAAAGATTTTTTAGATGTACATCAGCAAATATCTGGAGAATCTTCATGAAAATGGATTTTGAGAGTGATATGGTAAAAAAGGAGAAAATATTTTAGATCAGCATGAATTTTTAAGATGTAATTTTTAAATTACTAGAAATTCTGAATTTGATACACTGACTCAAGAAGCTGAATATAGTTCTAATTTTTGCTCAATGTTTTATTTAAAACTTTATCTCAAGAGTAGTATCTTAGTTAATTCAGGCTGCTATAACAAAATACTATAGGCTGGGTAGCTTTTAAAAACTATTTTATTTCTCACAGTTCTGGAGACTGGTAAGTCTAAGATCAAGGTGGCAGTAGATTCAGTATCTGAATCTACTGGTGTATTCCCTGGTGAGGCCCCTTTTTCTGGTTCATAGATGTCATCTTCTCACTGTGTCCTTATATGATGGAAAGGACAAGGGGTCTCTCTTGGGCCTCATTTATAAAAGCACTAATTCCATTCATAAGAACTCTACCCCATGCCCTCATCATCTCCCAAAGGCCCATCTCCCAATACCACTACCTTGGGGGTGAGAATTTCACCAGAGGAATTTTGGGGGCAAAAAAAAATTCAGATTATAGCAGGTGACATATATTGAATGAGGTTGAAATGCCGTGAATTCCTTGGTAAAATTTAGAAAAGGCAATCTAAAGAGTCAGGGAGACAAGGATTTTGATTTGAAATAAACATATCAAAATATCTCCTGACTTTGTCCTCTGAAAGGAATTCATTCCACAAAGGCATTGAGAAATACATTGGTAATAGAAGCAACAGACACAATGATTGTCATATGAAGATAAGAATGAAGGTGAGAGATGCTATAAGTGGAATGAAACATCATATTTCTTTGAGAATGTTAAGATCCTGAATGAGAACAAGAAGCATCACTGCACCAATGGAAGTATGGTGAGTAGGGACAGACTGGTCATCAGAATGGTTTTACCTACAGGCATTTGAGGAGTGGCTATTTAATTGAACATTCCAAGTACAGATCAGATACAAAGTATACTTTGTTTGTATATAATCTGTATAACTAAAAACAACATAAAACAAAACAAACAGACAAAAACTTTAGGTAGACTGAACAAAAACTTGATTTAAATCACCGTAATGTGAGATCATCATCTCTCAACTACTGCTGAGACCTAAGTAAGTTTACAACACAAATATATCTGGAATGATTGAGAGGCTGAGTATCACTGGGGAATGATGTTGTGATGCTTTCTCCAGTATGAACTGCAAACATTCTTCCTAGTCTTCCCTGAAGAAAACTACAGCTATTTACAAAGGTCATTGCGCATTGGAGAAAGGAAAATCTTCAAACATTTTGGGGATTATTGTTCACTGGCTCTGAGTTAATTCTAATTCTGATGGAACCAGAAAGCCATTATGGTGTATTTGTAAGTCCTCTGTAAGTAAGTACTTACAGAGGTCAGATTATAAATGGAATGTATCTTCCAATAGGCTCTGTAAATCCATAACCAAAATTCACAGGTCCGGGAACAAACAGATTTCTTAAAGAGAAATCAGAATGGATGCCTGTCCCTGTTATACCTAATGTCCACTGACAAAATGTTTGTTTCTATCATTCTGGCTTTTGGCTATGTTGTTTTGGATATTTCAGCACTCAAGAGATCAGGGTACACAACCATAGTTAGTTTAATGAGGGGTTGAAAAAAGCAACTGGCATTTTTTTTTCACCAAACAGTGGGCATAAAAGTCAATTATTTCATTAGCTGAAGTGAATGGTTCAGATTATTATAGGGGAGGGGGTTGCTGTTAAACAACCAATGGGGTCCTCTGAGGCACCTCCTGTACTGTCAGATCCAGGAATAAAAGATGATGGAAAACAACAGCAATTTACTACAGCAGAATCACTAAAGATTCAGACACATCACAAATGAAGGTTTCAGTTCTACCAGATATACGCTAAGAATGTCAAAGCTTTCCACAGCTGAAAAGAATGTGGTGTAGATAATGATAAAGGAAATTAAAAATGCCATCTTCTGACTTTTAGAAATAAGTACTACAGTAGCTAGCCATATCTATGCATGTATGAATTGGTATATTTAATACTAATGTTTCCTTCTTTCTTTACCCTTCTATTTCATATAGGTTTTGTTGTAGGTGGCTAACTTTATAATTCACACATAAGTTACAGGCTATCAAAAGAAGATTGTGATTGAAATGGGAAAGAAATGATCATGTTTTAGTATAATGACTGAAGTGGTGAAGGCTGATCTCCCCTTTGCAGAAGGAGTTGAAGGCTCATTTTCTTTTGAATAATACAGTCAGCCGTCCAAATTCATGGGCTCCACATCTGTGTATTCAACAAAGTGTAGATTGAAAATATTCTTTAAAAATAAGTTTAAGGTGGAGCCAAGATGGCTGAATAGGAACAGCTCCAGTTTACAGCTCCCAGCGTGAGCGACACAGAAGATGGGTGATTTCTGCATTCCCAACCGAGGTACCGGGTTCATCTCACTGGGGAGTGCCAGACAGTGGGTGCAGGACAGTGGGTGCAGTGCACCATGCATGAGCCAAAGCAGGGTGAAGCATCTCCTCACCCAGGAAGCGCAAGGGGTCAGGGAATTCCCTTTCCTAGTCAAAGAAAGGGTGACAGACAGCACCTGGAAAATCAGGTCACTCCCACCCTAATACTGCGCTTTTCCAATGGACTTAACAAATGGCACATGAGGAGATTATATCTCGCACCTGGCTCAGAGGGTCCTGAGCCCATGGAGCCTCGCTCATTGCTAGCACAGCAGTCAGATCAAACTGCAAGGTGGCAGCGAGGCTGGGGGAGGGGCACCCGCCATTGCCGAGGCCTGAGTAGGTAAACAAAGTGGCCTGAAAGCTCGAACTGGGTGGAGCCCACTACAGCTCAAGGAGGTCTGCCTGCCTCTGTAGGCTCCACCTCTGGGGACAGGGCACAGACAAACAAAAGGCAGCAGCAACCTCTGCAGACTTAAATGGCCCTGTCTGACAGTTTGAAGAGAGTAGTGGTTCTCCCAGCATGCAGCTTGATTCTGAGAACAGGCAGACTGCCTCCTCAAGTGGGTCCCTGACCCCTGAGTAGCCTAACTGGGAGGCACCCCCCAGTAGGGGTGGACTGACACCTCACATGGACAGGTACTCGTCTGAGACAAAACTTCCAGAGGAATGATCAGGCATCAGCATTTGAGATTCACCAATATCCACTGTTCTACAGCCACCACTGCTGATACCCAGGCAAACAGGGTCTGGAATGGACCTCCAGCAAACGCCAACAGACCTGCACCTGAGGGTCCTGACTGTTAGAAGAAAAACTAACAAACAGAAAGGACATCCACACCAAAAACCCATCTGTATGTCACTATCATCAAAGACCAAAGGTAGATAAAACCACAAAGATGGGGGAAAAACAGAGCAGAAAAACTGGAAAATCTAAAAATCAAGCGCCTCTCCTCCTCCAAAGGAACGCAGCTCCTCAGCAGCAATGGAACACAGCTGGACAGAGAATGACCTTGACGAGTTGAGAGAAGGCTTCAGAAGATCAAACCACTCAGAGCTAAAAGAGGAAGTTCGAACCAATGGCAAAGAAGTTAAAAACCTTGAAAAAAAAATTAGACGAATAGATAACTAGAATAACTAATGCAGAGAAGTCCTTAAAGGACCTGATGGAGCTGAAAACCACGGCACAAGAACTACGTGACGAAGGCATAAACCTCAGTAGCCGATGCGATCAACTGGAAGAAAGTGTATCAGCGTTGGAAGACGAAATGAATGAAATGAAGCGAGAAGAGAAGTTTAGAGAAAAAAGAATAAAAAGAAACGAACAAAGCCTCCAAGAAATATGGGACTATGTGAAAAGACCAAATCTACATCTGATTGGTGTACCTGAAAGTGACGAGGAGAATGGAACCAAGCTGGAAAACACTCTGCAGGATATTATACAGGAGAACTTCCCCAATCTAGCAAGTCAGGCCAACATTCAGATTCAGGAAATATAGAGAACGCCACAAAGATACTCCTCGAGAAGAGCAACTCCAAGACACATAATTGTCAGATTCACCAAAGTTGAAATGAAGGAAAAAATGTTAAGGGCAGCTAGAGAGAAAGGTCGGGTTACCCACAAAGGGAAGCCCATCAGACTAACAGCGGATCTCTCGGCAGAAACTCTACAAGCCAGAGAGAGTGGGGGCCAATATTCAACATTCTTAAAGAAAAGAATTTTCAACCCAGAATTTCATATCCAGCCAAACTAAGCTTCGTAACTGAAGGAGAAATAAAATCCTTTACAGACAAGCAAATGCTGGGAGATTTTGTCACCACCAGGCCTGCCCTACAAAAGCTAAAGGAAGCACTAAACATGGAAAGGAACAACAGGTATCAGCCACTGCAAAAACATGCCAAATTGTAAAGACCATCAAGGCTAAGAAGAAACTGCCTCAACTAACGAGCAAAATAACCAGCTACCATCATAATGACAGGATCAAATTCACACATAACAATATTAACCTTAAATGTAAATGGGCTAAATGCTCCCATTAAAAGACACAGACTGTCAAATTGGATAAAGAGTCAAGACTCATCAGTGTGCTGTATTCAGGAGACCCATCTCATGTGCAGAGACACACATAGGTTCAAAATATAGGGATGGAAGAAGACCTACCAAGCAAATGGAAAACAAAAAAAGGCAGGGCTTGCAATCCTGGTCTTGGATAAAACAGACTTTAAACCAACAAAGATCAAAAGAGACAAAGAAGGCCATTACATAATGGTAAAGGGATCAATTCAACAAGAAGAGCTAACTATACTAAATATATATGCACCCAATACAGGAGCACCCAGATTCATAAAGCAAGTCCTGAGTGACCTACAAAAAGACTTAGACTCCCACACAATAATAATGGGAGACTTTAACAAACCACTGTCAACATTAGACAGATCAATGAGACAGAAGGTCAACAAGGATATCCAGGAATTGAACTCAGCTCTGCACCAAGCAGACCTAATAGACATCTACAGAACTCTTCACCCCAAATCAACAGAATATACATTCTTTTCAGCACCACCCCACACCTATTCCAAAATTGACCACATACTTGGAAGTAAAGCACTCCTCAGCAAATATAAAAGAACAGAAATTATAACAAACTGTCTCTCCGGCCACAGTGCAATCAAACTGGAACTCAGGATTAAGAAACTCACTCAAAACCGCTCAACTACATGGAAACTGAACAACCTGCTCCTGAATGACTACTGGGTACATAATGAAGTGAAGGCAGAAATAAAGATGTTCTTTGAACCCAACGAGAACGAAGACACAACATACCAGAATCTCTGAGACACATTAAAAGCAGTGTGTAGAAGGAAATTTATAGCAGTAAATGCCCACAAGAGAAAGCAGGAAAGATCTAAAATTGACGTGCTAACATCACAATTAAAAGAACTAGAGAAGCAAGAGCAAACACATCCAAAAGCTAGCAGAAGGCAAGAAACAACTAAGATCAGAGCAGAAGTGAAGGAAATAGAGACACAAAAACCCTTCAAAAAATCAATGAATCCAGGAGCTGGTTTTTTGAAAAGATCAACAAAATTGATAGACCACTAGCAAGACTAATAAAGAAGAAAAGAGAGAAGAATCAAATAGACACAATAAAAAATGACAAAGGGGATATCACCACTGATCCCACAGAAATAAAATCTGCCATCAGAGAATACTATAAACACCTCTACACAAATAAATCTAGAAGAAATGGATAAATTCCTCGACACATACACCCTCCCAAGACTAAACCAGGAAGAAGTTGAATCTTTGAATAGACCAATAACAGGCTCTGAAATTGAGGCAATAATTAATAGCTTACCAACAAAAAAAGTCCAGGACCAGATGGATTCAAAGACGAATTCTACCAGAGGTACAAGGAGGAGCTGGTACCATTCCTTCTGAAACTATTCCAATCAATAGAAAAAGAGGGAATCCTCCCTAACTCATTTTATGAGGCCAGCATCATCCTGATACCAAAGACTGGCAGAGACACAACAAAAAAAGAGAATTTTAGACCAATATCCTTGATGAACATTGACACAAAAATCCTCAATAAAATACTGGCAAACTAAATCCAGCAGCACATCAAAAAGCTTATCCACCATGATCAAGTGGGCTTCATCCCTGGGATGCAAGGCTTGTTCAACATATGCAAATCAATAAATGTAATCCAGCATATAAACAGAACCAAAGACAAAAACCACACGATTATCTCAATATATGCAGAAAAGGCCTTTGACAAAATTCAACAACCCTTCATGCTAAAAACTCTCAATAAATTCGGTATTGATGGGACGTATCTCAAAATAATAAGAGCTATCTATGACAAACCCACAGCCAATATCATACTGAATGGATAGAAACTGGAAGCATTCTCTTTGAAAAATGGCACAAGACAGGGATGCCCTCTCTCAACACTCCTATTCAACATAGTGTTGGAAGTTCTGGCCTGGGCAATCAGGCAGGAGAAAGAAATAAAGGGTATTCAATTAGGAAAAGAGGAAGTCAAATTGTCCCTGTTTGAAGGTGACATGATTGTGTATCTAGAAAACCCCATCATCTCAGCCCAAAATCTCCTTAAGCTGATAAGCAACTTCAGCAAACTCTCAGGATACAAAATCAATGTGCAAAAATCACAAGCATTCTTATACACCAATAACAGACAAACAGAGAGCCAAATCATGAGTGAACTCCCATTCACAATTGCTTCAAAGAGAATAAAATACTTAGGAATTCAACTTACAAGGGATGTGAAGGACCTCTTCAAGGAGAACTATAAACCACTGCTCAACGAAATAAAAGAGGATACAAACAAATGGAAGAACATTCCATGCTCATGGGTAGGAACGTTCAATATCGTGAAAATAGCCATACTGCCCAAGGTAATTTATAGATTCAATGTCATCCCCATCAAGCTACCAATGACTTTCTTCACAGAATTGGAAAAAACTACTTTGAAGTTCATTTGGAACCAAAAAAGATCCCACATTGCCAAGTCAATCCTAAGCCAAAAGAACAAAGCTGGAGGCATCATGCTACCTGACTTCAAACTATACTACAAGGCTACAGTAACCAAAACAGCATGGTACTGGTACCAAAACAGAGATATAGACCAATGGAACAGAACAGAGCCCTCAGAAATAATGCCACATATCTACAACTATCTGATCTTTGACAAACCTGAGAAAAACAAGCAATGGGGAAAGGATTCCTTATTTAATAAATGGTACTGGGAAAACTGGCTAGCCATATGTAGAAAGCTGAAACTGGATCCCTTCCTTACACCTTATACAAAAACTAATTCAAGATGGATTAAAGACTTACATGTTAGACCTAAAACCATAAAAACCCTAGAAGAAAACCTAGGCAATGCCATTCAGGACATAGGCATGGGCAAGGACTTCATGTCTAAAAAACCAAAAGCAATGGCAACAAAAGACAAAATTGACAAATGGGATCTAATTAAACTGACGAGCTTCTGCACAGCAAAGGAAACCACCATCAGAGTGAACAGGCAACCTACAGAATGGGAGAAAATTTTTGCAACCTACTCTTCTGACAAAGGGCTAATATTCCAGAATCTACAATGAACTCAAACAGATTTACAAGAAAAAAACAAACAACCCCATCAAAAAGTGGGCAAAGGATATGAACAGACACTTCTGAAAAGAAGACATTTATGAAACCAAAAAACACATGAAAAAATGCTCGTCATCACTGGCCATCAGAGAAATGCAAATCAAAACCACAATGAGATACCATCTCACACCAGTTACAATGGCGATCATTAAAAAGTCAGGAAACAACAGGTGCTGGAGAGGATGTGGAGAAATGGGAACACTTTTACACTGTTGGTGGCACTGGAGAAATAGGAACACTTTTACACTGTTGCTGACACTGTAAACTAGTTCAACCATTGTGGAAGTCAGTGTGGCAATTCATCAGGGATCTAGAACTAGAAATACCATTTGACCCAGCCATCCTATTACTGGGTATATATCCAAAGGATTATAAATCATGCTGCTATAAAGACACATGCACACGTATGTTTATTGTGGCACTATTCACAATAGCAAAGACTTGGAACCAACCCAAATGTCCAACAATGATAGACTGGATTAAGAAAATGTGGCACATATACACCATGGAACACCATGCAGCCATAAAAAATGATGAGTTCATGTCCTTTGTAGGGACATGGATGAAGCTGGAAATCATCATTCTCAGCAAACTGTCACAAGGACAAAAAACCAAACACCACATGTTCTCACTCATAGGTGGGAATTGAACAGTGAGAACACATGGACACAAGAAGGAGAACATCATACACCGGGGACTGTTGTGGGGTGGGGGCAGGGGGGAGGGATAGCATTAGGAGGTATAGCTAATGCTAAATGACGAGTTAATGGGTGCAGCCCACCAACATGGCACATGTATACATATGTAACAAACCTGCACATTGTGCACATGTACCCTAAAACTTAAAGTATAATAATAATAAAATTTAAAAAAAGAGATCAAATCAAGTATGAAAATCAAAAATGGGTGTCAATAAAACACATAACTATCTGAAAAAAAAGTTTAAAAATTATAATACAGTAGTAAAAGATAATACAAATTTTAATATATATTATAATCATTTTATGTAGTCCCAAATGTTTTGAAGGCTTTATTTATACTTTTCTATTATTTTCTCCTTACTTTTATCTGACTGGATTATTTCAAAAGAACTGTCTTCAAGTTCTGAGATTTTGTTCTTCTGCTTGGTCTAGTCTATTATTGAAGCTTTCTGATGTATTTTGTATTTCCTTCAATGAATTTTTTAATTCCAAAACTTGTTATTTTTTAAAGATATTTATCTCCTTGGTAAATTTCTCATTCATATCCTGAATTTATTTTCTGATTTCTTTGTATTTGTTTTCAGATTTCTTTTGCATCTCATTGAGCCTCTTGAAAATCAATATTTTGAATCCTTTTCTGGTATTTGGTGGATTTCTTTTGGATTGGGATCTGTTGCTGGACAATTGTTGTGGTCCTTTGGCAGTGGTATATTTCCTTGCTTTTTTATACTTCCTGTGTCTTTATATTGATATCTCTGCATCTGATGTAACAGTCCCTTCTTACAATTTTTAAAAATTTCTCTCAAAGGACAGGATTTTTATGCTGAAGATGTATATTTGTTGTTGGTTGAATAGGATGCTTTGGCTTTGATTTTGGGTGCCTATGGTAGTATAATCTCTGCATGATTTTTTCAGCAGTACACAATCAGTTGTATCTGTGATTTCCTTGGTGTCTTAGCATATGATTATTAGTTGAGTCTGTGGTGAAGTTTTACTGAGGACTAGGACACCAGGTGTGCCAGTCTTCAATTCACAGTGGTGGCAGCAGTGGGCTGAATGTGCCTGTTTTTAGGCCCTAGAGTGGCTGATGTTGGGACTGGTGTTACTGGATGCTGGAGGGCCAACTTTGGGGCCTCCAGGTGGCTTGCTTGGATATGGTAGTGGCAGCAGTGGGTTGGCTATGCAGGTGGGTTCTCAGGCCCCCAGGGCAGCTGATGTGATGTGGATGATTACAGCAGCAGTGGTGGAGCAATCCACTGGAACCCAATAAGTTCATGCTTGTGTTACTGGTGATTGCAATAGGTTGGGCAGGCTAGTCCCCTGGCCTGTTGTTAGTGTATGCAGGTGGGTGTCATATTGGTAGGTTGGGTCAGCCCAACCTCAGAATCTGACAGGAGAGATCAGGTGCCAAAGGTGATGGACCAGACTAGACCTAGGAGAGGAAAGAATTTCAGAATTTGAGGAGAGCTATTTTGAAATAATCCAGTCAGACAAAATCTTTAAAAGAATAAAAAGAATGAACAAAGCATTTGAGACATTTGAGACTACAAGGAAACACTGATGAAAGAAATTGTAGATGACACAAACAAATGAAAAAACAGCCCATGCTCATGGATTGGAAGAATTAATATTGTTAAAATGACTGTACTGCCCAAGGCAATCTACAGAGTCAGTACAATCTCTATCAAAATACCAGTCATTTTTCACATAATTAGAAAAAACTACCTATAATTTATTTGGAATTAAAAAGAGCTCAAATAGCCAAGACAATCTTAAGTAAAAACAATAAAGCTGGAGGCATCACATTACCTCACTTCAAATTATGTTACAAGGCTATAGTAACCAAAATAGCATGGTACTGGTATAAATATATGCACATAGGTCAGCGGAACAGAATAGAGAACCCAGAAATAAAGCCACAAATCTACAGATAGTTGATCTTTCACAAAATCAACAAGAACATACACTGGGGAAAAGACACCCTTTTCAATGAATAGTGCTGGGAAAATTTGATCGCCATATGCAGAAGAATGAAACTATCTATCACCACACTCAAAAATCAAGTCAAGATGGATTAAATACTTAGTTGTAAGAGTGGAAACTATAAAAATACTAGAAGAAAACCTAGGAAAAACCCTTCTGCACATTGGGATAGGCAGAAAAGTTATGACTAAGGCATCAAAAGCACAGACATCAAAAACAAAAAGACAAATGGGACATAATTAAACTAAAAATATTTTGCACAGCAAAAGAAATAATCAACAGAGTGAACAAAGAACATGCAGAATGGGAGAAAATATTAGCAACTGTGCATCTGGCAGGGAATTAATATACAGAATTTCCAAAGAACCCAAGCAAGTCGACAACAAAAATCCCGTTAAAAAGTTGGCAAAGGATACGCATAGACATTTTTCAAAAGAAGACATGTAAATGGCCAATAGGCATATGAAAAAATATCCAACATCACTAATCATCAGAGAAATGCTAGTTAAAATAATAATGAGCCATTATCTTACACCAGTCAGAATGGCTATTACTAAAAAGATATAAATAACAATTGGCAAGGATGTGGAGAAAAGGGAAGTCTCATACACTGTTCCTGGGAATGTCAATTAGTACAACCTCAATGGAAAATGGTATGAAGATTTCTCAAAGATATACAAATAGACCTACCATTCTATCCAACTATCCTTCTACTGGGCATTAACCCAAAGAAAAAGAAATCATTATATGAAAACAATATTTGCACTCATATGTCTATCACAGCATTATTCACAATAGCAAAGATATAAAATCAATGCAAGTGTCTATTGATGATTGGATAAAGAAAATATGGTACACATACACAATGGAATACTATACAGCTATAAACAAGAATGAAATCATGTCTTTTGGAGCAACATGGATGGAACTGGAGGTCATTATCTTAAGTGAAACAAGTCAGACATAGAAAGACAAATATCACACATTTTCACTTATAAATGTTAGCTAAATAATATGTACACAAGGATGTAGAGTGTGGAATGATAGACAATGGAGACACAGAAAGGTAAAGGGATGGGAATGTTGTGGATAATGCAAGATTACTTAATGGGTGCAATGTGCATTATGTGCATAATGGATACTCTAAATATTCTGACTCCATCACTATGCAATCTATGCATGCAACAAAATTATACTCATTCTATACATTTATACAAAAATATAAATATCTACTATGGTAAAAAATTAAAGCAATAAAAATAAAAAATATAGTATCTGCCATTTACATAGCAAATACAGTGCATTAAGTATTATAAGTGATCTAGAGATTATTTAAATTGTAAAGAAGGGTGTGCATAGGTTATATGCAAATACTACACTATTTCATATAAAAGCCTTGAGCATTTATGGATTTTGGTATCTTTGGGGTTCCTGAAACCAATCCCCCTTGGATACTGAGGGATGACTGTAGTTGGTTGAACACCAACTACAGTGTACTTGTTGTTATACTTGTTGTTTGAACTCTTAAGTGTATGTAAGGGTAAATATGGAATTCTGGCACTAAAAATTCAACTAATCCACCTTCTAATATACTGTCCTATAACTCAGGGCCTAAAAAGTTAAAAACTGTATTTCCCAGACTCTCTTCCAGCTAGGTTTTGGAATGTGATTTAGATTTTTTTTTATTGGTCGGGCGCAGTGGCTCATGCCTGTAATCCCAGCACTTTGGGAGGCCGAGGCGGGCAGATCACGAGGTCAGGAGATCGAGACCATCCTGGCTAACACAGTGAAACCCCGTCTCTACTAAAAATACAAAAAATTAGCCGGGTGAGGTGGCGGGCACCTGTAGTCCCAGCTACTTGAGAGGCTGAGGCAGAAGAATGGTGTGAACCCCGGGGGGCAGAGCCTGCAGTGAGCCGAGATCATGCCACTGCACTCCAGCTTGGGCGACAGCAAGACTCCATCTCAAAAAAAAAAAAAAAAAAAGTTTTTTCTATCAACTTTTATTTTAAGTTCAGGGGTACATGTGCAAGATGTGCAGGTTTGTTACATAGGTAAACATGTGCCATGTGGTTTGCTTCACAGATCAACCCACCACCTAGGTTTTAAGCCCAGCACCCATTAGCTGTTCTTCTTGATGCTCTCCTTCCCCCCACCCCGACCCCAACAGGCTCCATTGTGCCCATGTGTTCTCATTGTTCAGCTCCCACTTATAAATGAGAACATGCAGTGTTTGGTTTCCTGGTCCTGCGTTAGTTTGCTGAGGATAATAGCTTCCAGCTCTTTCCATGTCCCTGCAAAAGACATGATCGCATTCCTTTTTATGGCTGCATAGTATCCCATGGTATATATATATACCACATTTTTGTATCCAGTCCACTGTTGATGGGCATTTGGGTTGATTCCATATCTTTGTTATTGTGAATAGTACTGCAATGAACATACATACATGTATCTTTATAATAGAATGATTTATATTCCTTTGGATATATATCCAGTAATGAGATTGCTGGATCAAATGATATTTCTGCTTCTAGATCTTTGGGAGTCACCACACTGTCTCCCACAATGGTTGAACTAATTTACATTCCCACCAACAGTGTAGAAGTGTTCCTTTTTCTCTGCAACCTTGCCAGCATCTGTTGTTTCTTCACTTTTTAATAATAGCCATTCTGATGGGTGTGAGATGGTATCTCATTGTGGCTTTGATTTGCATTTCTCTACTGATCAGTGATATTGAGCTTTTTTTCATATGTAAAAAGAACACAGCTGAAAGCATCATGCTGCCAAACTTTGAACTATATTACAAGGCTACCTTAACCAAAACAGCATAGTACTGGTACAAAAACAGACACATAGACCTTTGGAACAGAATAGACAACTCAGAAATAAGACCACACAGCCACAACCATCTGATCTTCAACAAACCTGATAAAATCAAGCAATGGGGAAAGGATTCCCTTTTAAATAAATGGTGCTGGGAGAACTGGCTAGCTATATGCAAAAAAATGGAAACTGGACCTCTTCCTTAAACTTTATACAAAAATTAACTCAAGATGGATTAAAGGCTTAAATGTAAAACCCAAAATTATAAAAATCTAGAAGAAAATCTAGGCAATATCATTCAGGACATAGGCATGGTCAAAGATTTCTTAATGAAAACCCCAAAAGCAATTGCAACAAAAGCAAAAAATTGACAAATGGGATCTAATTAAACTAAAGATCTTCAGCACAGCAAAAGAAACTATCATCAGAGTGAACAGACAACCTACACAATGGGAGAAAATGTTTGCAATCTATACATCTGACAAAGGTCTAATATCCAGCATCTATAAGAAACTTAAACAAATTTACAAGAAAAAAATAACAAGCAACCTTATTAAAAAGTGGGCAAAGGACATGAATAGATTTTTAAAATCATTTGCACTCTCAGAATATTTGGAAGCGGAAATAAAACAAAGGCTGCACTTCCGAGGTTTTTGTTGTAGAGGCTCTGACTTTCTCATAAACAATGTTAATAAAATTCCCACTGTCAAAAAATAAACTTCATGGGTTGTAGAGACTGGCATCCATTTCCTCCCAGTGTAGACCCAACAGTTGTCACATGACTCTGGACACAATAGTCATGTCAGGAGCTTCTTGGTCCCTGCCGCAGCTAAAGTGGTATTTCTAAACTTCAAAGGTCTCTGGTTAGCTTCTCAATTTCCCCTCCTTGTCTTGTTGAGACTGTTCTCTTCCTGTAGCCCCAATCTAAAGCCCATTTTCAGCCCTTCTGATGCTTTTGTAAGCAACTAATTCTGTATATGGACTCTTTCTACCTAAAATCTGTCACTGAATTCCTAACTGACCCTCAGATTACAGAACTAATTTATGAGCAAATGGTGTTATTCTCAGGTTTTTTTTATTTTTAACATAAACTACTTTAAGCAAAGAGGATAACTCCTACACTATGATGACCACACACCGATGGCCACCACACTTTACTGAACTGGATGAGGTCATACTTAGAAACTGTCTGTGTTCTGTAGTACCCTCACTAGGATCTCAGGAAAGCTCCTTGAATACTACAGGATAATTAAAGGAATGATAATGTCCTGGAAAGTCTGACTTCAGGTTGAAAGATCACAAATCTGAAGCCTCTCCATCCAAAAGCACACATACACACAAGAGTACACACACACCCACACACAGACAAGAGGGTGGATAAGCAGTCCCTTGTCTGTCTCAGAAAGGAGAAACACTTTCAACTTCTTTACCCATATAACCGACACTCAATACAAGTTTATTCCTTGAAAACTTCCCAAATTGAAATTGAAATTGTGGCAAAACGGGCAAAACTGTAGACTACATGTCTCCCTTACATGAAATAAACTTTTGTAGAATTAAAATGGAACAAAGATTTTGTAAATCAAAGAATTAGCAGAAATATAATTCTTTCACAGTTATTTGGCATTCTCCATGTTTTTGTTTTTAGCAACAAAATCTTGGATACATAAGCCAAACGCAAAATGGAAATTAGATGAGATTCTGAAATATTAATTTGGGTGGAACCATTTCCTCGAGAATGATGCTTGTACACCTGTACCTGTGTTCAGTGTGTGAAAGGAGATGGGTGGGACTTTGGGGCATTGATGTGGTGAGCTGTATAAGCCTCTTCCTTCCCTATTCCTCTATGCTTTTTAAGCTTCCTTGACTCACAATGATGTCTGCAAGGAAGCTATCATTTTGGTGCCAGGTTTTAATATTACCTTTCCATATGGTAAAATTTTGCATGCTTAATGGGAGTCAGTATTCTCCAGATTTTTCTTAGGGAGTTATGGCAAAGCAAATGGAAATATTCAGAGAAAAATTAATTTAAAAATACTAAAATAAATAGATTAGTGTGGCATTGATAAGATTTTTCTGTGCCCTTGAGAGTAATTTTTGTGCTGAGGAAAGAACATGCAGAGCTTTTACTTTCGTTTAAAACATAGTTAACTTTTTAAAGTTTTAGATGTAAAAATCCAATAATTCCTTAAGATGGTAACTTTAGCCTCCAAATGTTGTTACTCTATGTCTAGGAAATTTTTAAAAATCATTTTGTTGAAAGGGTTCCCATTTCAAAACTTGGTTCAAAAATATAAAACTGCATTTTATATTTTATTTTATTTTCAAGTTATCTTCCCTGAAATAAATAAAAATTCCTTTCAATTATACTTACATTCAAATTATACTTACAGAGCTAATCAACTTAAAAATATTTTGGAACTTTGCACTTTTACCGGTTTCAAAATAATACATAAAATAGGGGAGATTTCCCCCTTAAAGTCACAAGTCTTAATTAGTCACTCAATTATAGATCTGAATATGAATTTTTGAGGCCATCACTCTGACGGGCAAAAATTCTGTTAAAAACTATTTAAAATTCCTAATATTTTCTCATTTTTTAATACAAAATTATTTACAGTATTATCTGGATGCTCTTGAACACTTTTATATTCAGTCTTAAATCTTTTTTAATTGAAAGATACTTCTGTAAAACACAATTACCATCAAGTTAACTGGGATGACTTTGCACCAGTGGTTTTAGCCAAGATGTGGGGACATCCAGGGTAATCCCTTTCCTTGATACCTGAGAAAACTAGTGTAATGTCTTCTCAATCACTTGAGGTTATTAGCAATCAGAGAGTCTGTCTAGGACACCTCATGGAATCTTCTTGACAGCCTGAACAATTTTATAGTTACTGTGCATGAATTCCATAATTTCAAGATGATGTGGTGGGCTTGTTCTGTGGCTTACTCTTCTATATTCGGGAAGTTAATTACATCATTTAACTGTGGTGTCAACTCAAAACACCAATTCAGGTTTACTACATGTATTTATTTGGAACATACAGTGGGTCTAACAGTGTCTAACAATGAAGACATCTGAGCTTGATGGGATTCTTGATTCTCATAAACCAATTTCCTTAGTCTCACACAGACAGTATTGTCCAGTGATGTGAACTTATTCTTGTCCTTTGAACAAGTCGTTTTGCTGTTTAGTGACATAATTTGTGTGTATAAAAAGGAGGCATCTCCACTTGTCACCAATCTCACAGTATTATTAGAATTTATGAATAATATCCCAGACAATTCCTATCAAGAGAATTCCATCCAATAATAACATGCTGTGAGTTGTTAACAAGCCTCCTGTGAGAGGCTCAAAACTAACGGGAAAAACAATGGACAGTGTCTGAATAGCTGCTCAGTGACTTACTAGTGAGTGAGCTTGGAAGAGTCCTTTAACTTTTCTGACCTCTTTTGCCTGGGGATCACCCTACCTGCTTCTTAGGAGTGCGATGAGGTACGGAAGATAGATTATATGTGGATGAACTTGCAATATGTGAACTGATTTACTAAGGTGTGCTGTGTAGAACTATGAAATGATAAATTTCTGTACATTCTGTACCTGTGCTTCCCACACCTGACTTCCCACAGCATTGATCCCAGTGCTCTGTATGGGTGTGAGAAAAGGTATTCAGGGCTCTAGATATCAGTACCAGAAAGATAAATTCCATACTAGCAGCTTTTACTAGTCTGCTCCAAAAGAAAGAAAAAAGAGAGAGACAGAGAAAGAGAATTCTGTTGTATATATAATTCGACCTATGGTTCATATTTGCCTCTACTGGAATAAAAAATGAAGCGACTTCACAGTTCTTAAGGGAATGTTGTAAAAAAGTCCTTCAGCTAACAGCTGATTGTCTTGTTTTCCCCAAAGCCACTCATTTATGCTTATTTTCTACCCTGATCCCTCATCCAAATCCGTGTTTCAGAGAAGAGATCAAAAGGACAATAAGAAATACTAATTAAAGTTTAACGTAAAGCCAGTAGGATCTAGGAGCTGTTTTAAAAATACTGTCTTGGACAAAATAAGGCTGCAAGTACTAAAAGACAGAAAGGAACAAGAATAATGAGAAAAATGATGAACAATTTTTAGAACAAATTTAAAAGAGGCACAAAAAGAGCTGTGTTGAATGAAAGAAGTGACAGGCAAGAATTTGGGGATGAAGCTTGACAATATTCCTGTGGTACATCATGAAAAAACAAACACAGACTGTAATTTTAGGAAATTATGCTTTGGTTGGTTTGAATATTTTTGATCACAGCATCACTTGAATATTCCCTTAGCAAATCACGTTCCTTGAAACAAAATGATACCACAGTTAAAAACCTGATGGCTCAGTTATATCATGAAGTGGAAAATTCTTGATATTTTATCTCTCTCCTTATATTAGTGTGGTAAACATGTGTGAGAGTTTGAATTAAGTTTAAAGGGATAAGGTGATGGGATTCTTAAATTCTGATTCTCAGCTTTATTACTGATGTTCACATAATTTTAACTAAATTTTAACTCAATTTTACTAAAAAACAGAAAAAATAGTGCACTTAAAAATAAAATGATGAGCTTTCAAATTAACTAACTAAAAATCAGCAGGCAACTCAGGATTTTAAAATATGAACATGCAAATATCTCAGAAAGTTTATGGAACTCATGTTATTTGTTTTTCAGGATTGTGGCAGAAAATCCAGGGGTTATAATATGCCACACACTGACTATGAATTTCAATGTGTTAGTCTGAAATAAAAGAAATAAGAAAGATACATTATTTGTTCATTTAAATATTATTTAAGACTTAGAGTACTATGTGTTTTGTCTATTGGGAGTCTTACAACTTAGACATACATGTAGAAAATTGATTAAAAACCCAAGGGAAAAATAAAATAAAAACAATAAAAGGATTAGAAGACAGGCCCTTTCAATAAATATTTAAGAAGTTGTGGTTATTTAACTTGGATACAAAAAGACTGTTTTCATTTATGTGAATGAAGAAGAATGACAGCGGGTTCCATTTCCTCCAGGCCTGCAAAAGAGGAAATAAGGAAGAAAGAAGGTTAGTTATGAAGAACTATCTGCATATAAATGTTTTGAACACCACTAAGATTACCACAGGAAGGTGTGGGCTAGCTTTACCAAGGACCTTTACTTTCGGGAAGGAAACCATCTATCAGGGAGTTTATCATATAAAGCCAGGCCATGGTTTTCCTGAAATCTTTTCCCAACTGTATCTAGCCTTGAGAGAAATATTTCTCTTTCATAGGAAAACGTTCTGTACCTTGCTTCTCCCACTCCTTAACAGCACCCCCAAGAAGCTACTTCATGTCCAAGTAATTCGCGTATCACAGTATAATTAAAGTTTCATTAATCACTAAATAGTCTTAATATTCTCCTTGCTCAGGGATGACTAGTCAAAGAAAAATAAGTACTTAGGAATGAATCAGAATCAAACTGTTCTTCTTGGAAGGATATCATTCAATAAATGCAATCATTCATTTCTAATGCATAGAGTGAGGCTTCAATTTCAATTTATCAAATTGAGTTGTTACTAGGAAACTGTTTTGTCTCTTGAATAAACTTTACCAAGGTAGACTTTTCAAAGGACACAGGAGTAAGTTCAAGAGAAGAAAGGTTGGTAGCATAATTCTAGCTGTCTTCAAGACCACAACATGTTATTTGGGATTCTGAATGCCAGGTTGGTACGGCAGTGCACTCCACCCACTCTTGCCATACCAGCCTCCATGTCAATGTTGAACATATGGTCTTTCAGGGGAAGCTGCCTGCTCCAGCCTCAAAGCTTCCTTGTGTCTCCAAAGAACATTATGTTCTTAGGGAAAAAAGAAAATCATGTTAAAGTTCTAGTACCCAAAACCATTTGGGCTTTGTTTACAAGCTTAACACCAGAACCATTTAAAAACTAATCTAAAACCAACTTTTGGTCAGCAGGTGCCTATTTTTGTGGAATTATAACTAGCAGCTATGCAGAATATCAGTCTCTCCAAATATGTCTCTGGTTCCAAGGATAACGTAAAATTGGGTTAACCAAGAATCAAGAATATTATTCAGAATGATTTTAGAATTAATATATTTCTCTCTGTGTGTGTAGATACTAGGAATTCAGGTAATTAAGAATTAATTGTAGGGGCTAGCATGGCATGGGGCCAACAGGAACTTTGTTTGAATAAGGGTTTACATGCTGAGTGAGAGATAAGAATTTGTCTCTAAGCAGTTGGAGAACAAAAGTCAACTTTTGACCTCCCAGAGAGAATATTGGAGGAAATGGATGTTCACTGCAGCTATAGAGAATCAAGGACCAGAAATTTGTCCAACACTCATTGGGGGTGGACAAGAGAAAACAGGAGGTAGGGATGGTTAGGAGAATTAGCAAAGAGAATTACTTTGAGTGTACTAAGATGGATTGTCAGTCAACTGATAATTCAATCCTAGACCCCCAATAGGGAGCTGATTGATATGAACTAAAAAAGCCTAATATACAGAGAGCTGGACTTCTGAGAATGAGGTAAAAACTAAGGGTAGGTGAGAACCTGTCATGAAAGATCTATTACTGGTAATAGATCATGACTTCAGTCAAGTGTTTGCTAGAAAGAGGCTGAAGAGCCTTGCCTCAGTGTGACAGGAGTAAGTATCATGGGGACAAGGTCAAAAATCAGAAATGCCATAAGCTTTGATAACCTTGATGAATTAGCCATGGCCTTTTGAAATGCACATATCATACTCCTGAAGTCTCTTTCTCTGGAAAGAGGCAAAACTATTTGACTTGTAAAAATTTTCAAATTTATACAAGATATGAAAAAAGTATATACGTATGAACTTCTTTGTACCAATGGTGAAGCTTCAAAAATCCTCCACTCATGACCAAACTTCTTATATCTATAATTCCCATCCGCCAACTCACCCTGAATTTTGAAGCAAATCCCAGATACCTTGTCATTTAATCTATAAACACTTCAGTGTCTCCAAAAAATAGGGTTTCTTCTTTAAAACTTAAAAATATTAACAGAATAATATCACACTTAAAAATACTAGCAAAAAGTCAAAGAATAAAATTTTGAGGTAAGTAAAATTGAGGTTCCAGCAAATTCCCTAGAAAGTACTGAGCCAGACTACTGAATGTGAACATTAGTATAATCTTCTTGTATCCTTGGTTGATGGATCCTGAAAGTGGGAATATGGGGACACTTAAGAGGAGGACTCAGGTGTTTGCTTTAGGAACCCTGTTCTGAGAATGTTTTAGCAGTAATGGAATGAATTTATCCTCAGTGAAGAAGAGATAACAACCCTTGGTTTTCTACCTGTAAAGGGAAACCAATTTCAGTTTTGCTTTAATAAGAAACATTTTCCATGGGCTTGGTGAGAAATAGAAACTGAAATATAAGCAAAGAATAAGCAAAGATTATATTGCTGTTAACTATAAAATAATTATAGGTGAATCCTCTCTAATAAGCTGAGTATAAAGTCTTTTAGAAAGTGCCCTCTCAAGAACACTTAGCTGTGTACATGTACATGGTACAAGATCTGTCACATTTGGTAAGTCTGCAACCCATTTCAGGCAGAATACAATAAACACCAGACCAACAAGAAGTCAATCCAGATGAATTCCTCTGCTCAGGCTACTACAACAAAGTACAAGATTGATGGGCTCAAACAACATAAATTTATTTTCTTAAAGTTCTGGAGACTGGAAGTTGAAGATTATGGTGCTGGCAGGATTAGTCTCTGGTGAGGCCTCTCCCCTTTGCCTGCAGACAGCCATCTTCTTGTGACTTCACATGGCCTTTTCTCTGTGCATGTGCACTCTTGATGTCTCTTCCTCTTCTTATGAGGGCATCGACCCTGTTGGATTAGAGCTCCACCTTTATGACTTCATTTAAGCTTGATTACCTCCTTAAAAAAGTCTTATCTCCAACTACAGCCACACTGGGAGCTGGGGCTTCAACGTATGAATTTTGCAGGGACACAGTTCAGTCCATGATAACATCTCAATCTAAAGCCCTAGAGGCAACCTGCAAAGAAAGCTAGTGTAAGAACATGGTCTGTCAGCTTCCCTGTCTTTAAAATGTGTACTAGAAAATATTGCAAGAATGAGGTAATTAGTGGAGAAGGTAAAACTAGAAGGGCATGCAGACACAAGTTTTTGAGAAATCCCATTTTTACTAACCTATTAAAACTTTTAAAACTCTGCTGGAAGTTAGTAGGAAAATGATAATTATTTTATAGATGGTAAAAACTAAGGTTCAAAGAATTTGTTAGTTACCCAAAAGCTATACCTAATATGCGATACTGTATAAAAACAGTCCTGTCTCCAAGCATTTGTCAAAGCATGCACCATTGGAAGGGCTTCAGAAGATCAGCAGATGGGCCTGCTCTAAACAGGACCCTGATTTAGGCAGTGGGGTAATCTTAGACAAACTGGTTCTTTTCTTCTTGTTCTGTTTTGGAGTCAGTCAGCAACATTTAACACATCAATGTGATAGCCACTTATCTTCTCCATGGTTACCATCCCATTTTTTCCTGCTTATTAACCACTTTTTGAAAAGATTTGAATTAGTTCCACTCTCCCGTTTCCAATCGCAGATGTGCCGCCCTGGAGAAAGACTGATTAAAAGGCTACTAGGTTCTCAATGTTCCAACTAAAGGACTAACCTAATTCAAACAATTCAAAAAGGTTTTTTTTTTTTTCCATGGAATCCTATTTCTAACTCATAACAGAAGCAAACCCATTTTAAATGAGTTTATTCATGAATGTCTATTATTCCTATTTTCCAAATAACTTAAAATAGTTTCTACTATTTCTATTTTCCAAATCGTTTAAAAGTTTTATTGTTTTCATTCCCATTACAATTTATTACAGGGAATATTTTCTCTGTAATAAATTATCACTAAGGTTTATTATTCTACAGTTTTAAAAAGTTGAACCAAGTACCTTAGGTCCATTAATGCAAGTTAAGTGAATCAAAAACTTTTACCAGAACTTAAAAATTAATACCTGTCCTTCTCAAGCATTAATTGCTATAACTGCTCTGATACAGTATGCATACCCTGGCTTCCTAAGAAGATATTTCAGGATAGCAGTGGTAATTGTACCTTTAACATTTATTATAAATTTTCCATATTACCTCAGAATAATTTCATGAGTTTATAGGTTGGTATTATTTTACATAGCTCTATGAACTTCTTTTAATGTTCATGCTAGAAAATTAGGAAAAATTAAAAGCATTATCCCCAGGAAAGAGAGTTTCCACTTCATTTGTTTTGAATATGTTTAGAGTTCCCAGGAATTGCCGAAATGCAATACATTTCACACCTGAGTTTGTAAATTTGACTAAGCTATTCATCTCATCAGTGTGATACTTGTCACTGAAACATCAATTCAAACACCACCACCCTGGGCAAGCTTATGGAACTTGGTGCAGATCAGTATGAAAACGTAATTAATTGGCTGCCCGTATGACCTGCAGTGTTGAATCAAACGTGCTTCTTGGATAATCAACTTCTATACCGTGAATTAATGCCAAATACAATATCAACTCTAGCCAACATGTTTGCCTTGGACATTTCTTTCTCATTAAGGCTTAGGAAAAGGACATAATTTTTAAAAATGGAAAATAATCAGGAAGCTAAAAGACAGATATTGAAATAGCTGAAGACAACTTTACAGAAGAGTCAGAAACCAAATAATAAAATAATCTTACAATGAAATGGACAATCATATTTTCAGAATACTGGGAGAGTTGAATCATTTTGTAAACATGACCATCCACCTAAGGGTCTCTCTTTAAAATGCTGCAAACAGCAAGCTGTTTAATTATTAATATGAGCTATTAGCAAGCAGAAACACTTTATTTCCAAGGTTATTATTACTTTGATAAAGCAGAACCAACTTCCAAGCTGAAATATTTTATTAAGAAAATATTTTATTTGGCTTACACTTCACAATCCTATTTTCTGGAAGAACTTAGCAAAGTAATTGACAGAAAACTGGCTTCTTCCTTAATCGGTACCTGACAACAAAGATCTTCTTCACCTGTGACGACATCTTACCTATGTGGTAATAGTTCCTTTGGTACTATCTCAAAATCCAGAAATCAGGTTTATCTTATGAGAATGCTCAGGGACACATTTGCCATTTTCACTCACAATGGAAGCAGTTACTTTTTGAGGATAAACCATGAAGAGATGCAAATGATTTTACCTTTCTGTACCTGGGCTTCATATTTATTTGTCCTTCACTGAGCCTATTGATAACTGTGCTTGAGCTTATATGTCCAATCTGACAGATGAGATAGCTACATTTAAGTTAAAATGGAAGACTCCTGGCCTAGTGGAATAAATATGTGATAGCCTTCATGTAGCCTCCTTTCTCCTCTGGGACAACTCTGTCTTTGCACCAAGGGACCAACAGCTAGACTATGTCATGCACTTACCTTGGTAATATTTTCACAAGTTCAAGGTTAAAGGAGAAATTGAGGATCATATAGTAAGTTTTCCTTGAAGGTAAGCAAGCTCTTTACTCCTCACTAAACCTTTGGATGCAAAATATTCCTTCTTTTTTTGAAATAATAAATTATTTGTATTTCAGCATCTTTGCTTTGTAAAAGTAGAATGCAGAAGCCCTGGCAGGGAACTCTGAAATGAATATTGTTCAGTAAAGTTATCTCACATTGGACTAAAATGCCTGGGTCTTTATGCCTTTGCTTCTCTTAGACACCAGATGTGGAGCTGTCATCTGAAGGATGTTCCCTACAGTGCAGGTTTCTGTAGCTGAGACAGACCCTGAAGGAGCAGACAGCTAGATGCTGTCTGCTGACTGCATTCCCCATAGCTGGGCAGTGTGTCCTTCCCTGAATAGGGATGTAAGCAGTCCTAATCTGTTGCTATCACAGCTCACCCTTTGTGCCACACAGGTTTCTTTCTTCATACACATTCAGGCAACAGCTCCTCCAGGATTCCTGGGGGCCTTCCTTCTCAAGGAAAAACAAGTGAGAGGTTAATAGGATGAATTTCAGCCACTGCAGCTGGCATTGAGTTACAGTTGTTACTCATTGTTTCTTTCTGCCACAATTGCATCCAAAGTTCTCTTACTCTCAGCTACCAGGTATGCTGCAGCATGACAGAGACCCTTATCACTAGGGGGCCCCTGCTTCTGGTTACCATGCTTTTGCAGTCCAGAGTTGCTGTATTTGTCCATTTACAGTCACAGTTGAGCAAGGAAGTATGTAGAGAGGCCAAGTAGATCCCTTGTATGCCAAACATATTCTTCCCTGCTCCTATTTTTTAATAACAGCCTTACAGCTTCCTGATGATCAAGGTCAATCATCCCTACCAAGGGATGATTTCCTGGTTCCTGGAAAAAGGAAGCCCACAGATCTCAGGGAGGGGCTGTAGCTTATAGCATAATGAGGCTCTTTCTGTGTCCCATGGTGAAAATGTACCCCTTTTGAAGACCAAGACCTCTAGCCCAGAGTTGCATGGGGGAAAGCCAAAGTCCCCCAGTGGGCCATTGGAAGCAACATAAGTGGGGCCATTCCCGCTTCCACCCTTTCAGAGTTTCCTTTTGGGGACAGACCCCCATATAAAGTCTTTTACTCGATGTTGATATGCGTCTTTTGAAGGATGGTGCTCCATCCTTGCAAAGCAGAGCTAGGACTTCAGCCATGTCTTTGGCAGGCTATTCCAATGATCAGATCATACATTGCACCACCCCAAACCAGAAGCTGTGGTTGATCTGACCAGTGTGTGATCTGACCAGTGAATGCCTTAGCGATGATTCCATTTCTGCATTTCTCTTGCTACAAAGTGGGTTCTTTGGTCCAACACGATATAATATGGAGTCCTGGACTGATGGGCCAAATGTTCTATAAGCCCTATCTTGTAAGTCTGTTTCTGTAAAAACAAACCACTGAACTTTCTAAAGCAGAAGGGGCCTAATGTGGTCACCTTGCCACCAGGAGACTGGTTGGCCTCTCCTTGAGAAATGATGTGATTTAATGTTTTCAGCATTGATTGGTTTCTGCTGCCAGCAAGCTGAAAGTCAATGGTGGCACCAGCTAGGTTAGTATAGGTGAGTGGGAATGCCTAGCCTCCGTCTCCACCATAATGGCCACATTGTTTATGTGCCCATCATACCAGCACTGAGTTGGCCAATGAGAGACTGACTGATGCCAACTGAACAAGATATTTTGTCTACTTGTTCATTCAATGTCTCTTCCATTGTCTGCACTCTCTAGTGAATGTTAAGATCTTCACACTTTGTGCCCACTGCCAAATGTCCAGGTAAATGCCTCAACCCCAGAATTTCTTGTCCCAAACCTTCCAATCCTTTTTCTTTCCAGGCCTTTTACCAGCTGGTCAGACCATCTACCGCCGCCCATGGATTAGTATATATTCTAATATCAGGCTACTTTTCCCTAACACAAAGTGGATGGCCTGCCTTTTGGGGGAATTTTCCTTCACTACTGTTTTTCAGGGCTATCCCTAGGTGAAGCTTGATATAGATGGCGTTGACTTACGGCCAACTTGTGTCTAGGCCAACTCACATGTATCCTTGTTGTTCAGCTTATCCACTGAAGAGATACTACTTTTGTACTGCTGCTGTTGTACAGTAGACGGTCACTGGGTCCACCCAACTTTGTAATTTGGTGGGGCTCACTGAACAGCACAATAAGCAGTTTTGAACTCATAGTGACTCAGGGTTCCATGTTTAGGAGTTTTATGTCAACCAGGGGCTGATCAAAAGTTGTTTTTTAAAAGCCATATACTTTTTTCCTGGAGATGGACCCCAGGAGCATACGGTGTGGTTTATATTGAAGGTAAATCTGGGAAACACCAGCAGAAATATAAAGGGGTGAAACAAGGAAGAAAAGAAAATAGGCAAGAAAGTATTTTTTAAATAAAGGAAGTTACACTGTGGGTATCCAGTGGTTAATCTTTCCAGAGAAGGCTGTGTTCCAGTGTAAAATGCATGTCTCAGGTGTATCCCACCTGAGGGATGCGGAACCTGGGTTATTTGTACAACAGCCCTTGTTAGTCATTAGTTGAAGGCTGTTTCTAGACAGGGCAATAATTTCTGCCTCTTCCAGCTTGCCTTATGGGCAGCAAAATGAGCTGTAGAATGTGGAGAAAGCCCCCTGGCAGAGAAATACAGTTGGAATTTGGTCAGAGAGCATTGAACAGATAAAGGTGAGAAGATATAGACAGAGTGCTGACAGTATCTAATATAGTCCCTCTTTTATCACACTTTTGAGGTACCTGATCAGACTTTTTTTTCTAGAAAGTTTTTTTCTAGAAAGTTGTTGAATACTGCTCTTAGAATCAGTTATTTTTCCAATTTATTGGAATTATGACATTTGGTATCATCCTTTACCTCATTGAAAGGATAGTTTATTTGCTTTAAAGTTTGTCACAAACTAAGAGATACTCTAAAGAGACACTTTTCATACTGGGAGTAGGGAGGAAATATAAGGAGCCCTGAATCAGAATTACGTACAGGATTTTGCAAACCACATGCAATAAACTACAATCCTGTTTTGAAAGAAATTTGCCCCCTCCCTACCAAGGTAAGCAAGGCTCTGTGTTAAATATTGAAAGTTTATTGCATACTTCAAGCAACTTAAGACAGGAAGACAATAAAAATTTTTAAAGGGCTCAAACATAAACAGCCTAACTGTCACAGTTACAACCTTAGCACTCAGCAGGGAAAATATGACTTTAAAGAAATTTCAATTTTATTGTAGTAAACCAGACACCATAACAAGTTTCAACTAAAGTAGCTTTTTTGCCCATGGGGTTGACTTAAGCTACCATTCTAAGCAAATAATTTTCTTTATCAATAGAAATAATTGCTTTATTAATTAAATAGAACAGTACTGATAGCTTTATTAATTAAATGGAGCAGTATTGATATATTTATACATGTATTCCCAGAGAAGAAAAAATTAACTGTGATTCTAAGAGCAGTATTCAACAATAAAGAACATTAGCATCTCTGCTTGGGATTTTGTTTCCAGAGTGTTGTCATGGTCTTGAAGAGTCTATGGGCTAAGCATAAGATACTGAAAGTTAGTAAACATTTAGAAAAAAGCAATTCCTAATAGTATGCTAAAATTTCCCTCACTTTCTCTTTTTATATTGAATTTAATACTATATTCATATGGCTCTCTGTTTATTCATCAGAGGTAGGAATTTTTAAAAGATGGCATACAGAGGATTTATGTCCAGCCAAGCAAGAATGTCTTCCTACCAGCTGCAGAGCAAACAGCTTTAGGTAGAAGTTAAGGTGATTATATGCCCACAAAATAAGAAGAGATGCAAAGAACGAAAACAAAAATCCATTTTATTTCTGTTAACTAAACCATTCAATACCAAGAAAACTACAGAATTACGAAAAAGTTCTAAAACCTCAAATTTATTAGAGTCAATTCTGCTGGTAGTTCTTGCCTAAAAATCTCCTCCCTAGGAGGGATGAGAAAGCAATCATTCTGGCAGAAAGTCACGGTGATAACAGATGGCATCCTCCTGCCCGGGAGGCCAGGCTCTTATTCTGTGTGAACTTTGAAGAACTTTCTGCTTTCCAGTTACAAATTTAGTTGGTGGAGTAGTTGCTTCATCATGCCAGATATAGCAGCATTTTAAGAAATCCTCCTCTCAAGAGACTTTCTAGTATATTATTTTTATTTTTGGGTTACCGTTAAAACAAACAAGAAAAAATAATATGATAAGGAAAGGAAGAAAAAAAGTAATTATTGGGTTAAATTTAGATTCAATGCAGGCTTTTTAAAATCATGAAAAGTATCATAAATCAATATAATTAGATAATTATTAAAGCCCATACGCATAAACAAAGATGCCCTCCTGTACAAAAATATGGGACATAAAAATTTTGCCAGCTAAAATTCATTGTTTCGTAGTGTATTGTGTATGACAAATCACCACAATAGTCATAGTTTAAAACAACACAAGTTACAGTTCTGGAAGTCAGAAGTTCAGAACCGGCCTTACTGGGCTAAAATTAAGGCGTTAGCAGGGCTGGGTTTCTTCTGCAGGCTCTAGGGGAGAATTTATCCCCTTTTCAGCTTCTAAAAGCCACTGCATTCCTTGGCTGGTGGCTCCTTCCACCATGTTCAAAGCTAGCAGCATAGCACCTGTAGCATCTTCGAATGTTTCTCTCTAACTCTGACCCACCTGACTCCCTCTTATAATGACCCATGTGATTACATAGAGGCCACACAAATAATCCAGGATGGTCTTCCTATTTCCAAACCATTAATGTGGGGGCAGTTCTAAGATGGCCGAATAGGAACAGCTCCAGTCTACAGCTCATTGAAACCAATGAGAACAAAGACACTACATGCCAGAATCTCTGGGACACATTTAAAGCAGTGTGTAGAGGGAAATTTATAGCACTAAGTGCCCACAAGAGAAAGCAGGAAAGATCTAAAATTGACACCCTAACATCACAATTAAAAGAACCAGAGAAGCAAGAGCAAACACATTCAAAAGCTGGCAGAAGGCAAGAAATAACTAAAATCAGAGCAGAACTGAAGGACATAGAGACACAAAAAACCCTTCAAAAAAATCAATGAATCCAGGAGCTGGTTTTTTGAAAAGATCAACAAAATTGACCAACTACTAGCAAGACTAATAAAGAAGAAAAGAGAGAAAATAGACTCAATAAAAAATGATAAAGGGGATATCACCACCTATCACACAGAAATACAAACTACCATCAGAGAATACTATAAACACCTCTACGCAAACAAACTAGAAAATCTAGAGGAAATGGATAAATTCCTCGACACATACACCCTCCCAAGACTAAACCAGGAAGAAGTTGAATCTTTGAATAGACCAATAACAGGCTCTGAAATTGAGGCAATAATTAATAGCCTACCAACCAAAAAAGGTCCACGACTGGACGGATTCACAGCCGAATTCTACCAGAGCTATAAGGAGGAGCCGGTACCATTCCTTCTGAAACTATTCCAATCAATAGAAAAGAGGGAATCCTCTCTAACTTATTTTATGAGGCCAGCATCATCCTGATACCAAAGCCTGGCAGAGACACAACAAAAAAAAAAGAATTTTAGACCAATATCCCTGATGAACATAGGTGCAAAAATCCTTAATAAAATACTGGCAAACTGAATCCAGCAGCACATCAAAAAGCTTATCCACCATGATCAAGTGGGCTTCATCCCTGGGATGCAAGGCTGGTTCAACATATGAAAATCAGTAAATGTAAACCAGCATATAAACAGAACCAAAGACAAAAACTACATGATTATCCCAATAGATGCAGAAAAGCCCTTTGACAAAATTCAACAGCCCTTCATGGTAAAAACTCTCAATAAATTAGGTATTGATGGAACGTATCTCAAAATAATAAGAGCTATTTATGACAAATCCACAGCCAATTATCATATTGAATGGAGAAAAACTGGAAGCATTCCCTTTGAAAACTGGCACAAGACAGGGATGCCCTCTCTCACCATTCCTATTCAACATAGTGTTGGAAGTTCTGGCCAGGGCAATCAGGCAGGAGAAAGAAATAAAGGTTATTCAATTAGGAAAAGAGGAAGTCAAATTGTCCCTGTTTGAAGATGACATGATTGTGTATCTAGAAAACCCCATCGTCTCAGCCCAAAATCTCCTTAAGCTGATAAGCAACTTCAGCAAACTCTCAGGATACAAAATCAATGTGCAAAAATCACAAGCATTCTTATACACCAATAACAGACAAACAGAGAGCCAAATCATGAGTGAACTCCCATTCACAATTGCTTCAAAGAGAATAAAATACCTTGGAATCCAACTTACAAGGGATGTGAAGGACCTCTTCAAGGAGAACTACAAACCACTGCTCAACAAAATAAAAGAGGATACAAACAAATGGAAGAACATTCCATGCTCATGGAGAGGAAGAATCAATATTGTGACAATGGCCATACCATGCAAGGTAATTTATAGATTCAATGCCATCCCCATCAAGCTACCAATGACTTTCCTCACAGAATTGGAAAAAACTACTTTAAAGTTCACATGGAACGAAAAAACAGCCTGCATCGCCAAGTCATTCCTAAGCCAAAATAACAAAACTGGAGACATCACGCTACCTGACTTCAAACTATACTACAAGGGTACAGTAACCAAAACAGCATGGTACTGGTACCAAAACAGAGATATAGACCAATGGAACAGAACAGAGCCCTCAGAAACAATACCACACATCTACAACTATCTGATCTTTGACAAACCTGACAAAAACAAGAAATGGTGAAAGGATTCCCTATTTAATAAATGGTGCTGGGAAAACTGGCTAGCATATGTAGAAAGCTGAAACTGGATCCCTTCCTTATACCTTATACAAAAATTAATTCAAGGTGGATTAAAGACTTAAATGTTAGACCTAAAACCATAAAAACCCTAGAAGAAAACCTAGGCAATACCATTCAGGACATAGGCATGGGCAAGGACTTCATGTCTAAAACACCAAAAGCAATGGCAACAAAAGCCAAAATTGACAAATGGGATCTAATTAAACTAAAGAGCTTCTGCACAGCAAAAGAAACTACCATCAGAGTGAACAGGCAACCTACAGAATGGGAGAAAATTTTTGCAATCTACTCATCTGACAAAGGGCTAATATCCAGAATCTACAAATAACTCAAACAAATTTACAAGAAAAAAACAAACAACCCATCAAAAAGTGGGCAAATGATATGAACAGACACTTCTCAAAAGAAGACATTTATGCAGCCAACAGACACATGAAAAAATGCTCATCATCACTGGCCATCAGAGAAATGCAAATCAATACCACAATGAGATACCATCTCACACCAGTTAGAATGGCAATCATTCAAAAGTCAGGAAACAACAGGTGCTGGAGAGGTTGTGGAGAAATAGGAACACTTTTACACTGTTGGTGGGACTGTAAACTAGTTCAACCATTGTGGAAGACAGTGTGGTGATTCCTTAAGGATCTAGAGCTGGAAATACCATTTGACCCAGCCATCCCATTACTGGATATATACCCAAAGGATTATAAATCATGCTGCTATAAAGACAAATGCACATGTATGTTTATTGCGGCACTATTCACAATAGCAAAGACTTGGAACCAACCCAAATGTCCAACAATGATAGACTGGATTAAGAAAATGTGGCACATATACACCATGGAATACTATGCAGCCATAAAAAAGGATGAGTTCATGTCCTTTGTAGGGACATAGATGAAGCTGGAAACCATTATTCTCAGCAAACTATTCCAATAACAAAAAACCAAACACCACATGTTCTCACTCATAGGTGGGAATTGAACAATGAGAACACTTGGACACAGGAAGGGGAACATCACACACTGGGGCCTGTTGTGGGATGGGGGGAGGGTGGAGGGGGGAGGGAAAGCATTAGGAGATATATGTAATCTAAATGACGAGTTAATGGGTGCAGCATACCAACATGGCCCATGTATACATAAGTTACAAACCTGCATGTTGCGCACATGTACCCTAGAACTTAAAGTATAATTAAAAAATAAATAGATAAAATAAATTTAAAAAATTTAAAAAAACCTCTAATGTAATTACTTCTACAAAGTCCTTTTTACCACATTGTATAACTTGTTTAAAGGTTCGAAGAGTTAGGATGTGGTCAACTTGGTGGGGTAGGGGTAGGGGGACTTTTCTGTCTATCACACAAATAAATGTTATGAAGAGGAAAAAAAGTTAAGTGGGTTTTAAATAGCAGTATCTGCTCCAGTAAACAAAGGACACAATGCATAAAATAGTAATAACAACAATAATCATGATCATTTACAGACTAATAGACTGAAGCGATTTTGCATTTGCTGTGTTCTATTCATCCTCACGGCATGCCCGTGGAGTCAGGATTATCACATTCTTCTTCCAGGTGGAAAACCTTAATTAAGCTCAGTGAAATTAAGAATGTGACAGACCTAGTAATTTTAGTCCAGGATTTTGGACTATAAGCCAGGCCAGGATTTTAATCTAAGTCTTTTTAATTCCTAAACCAGGCTTTTTTTCATAGTTTCTGGTGTGTATATGCAGATTGTTATTCTACAATGAAACTAAAGAGAGGACCACAGCCTGCCTCTTCATGGTGTAGGGGGGAAAAAAAACTTTCCAGAGAATATTACTAACATATACCCAGGAAATGCTGCCAGGACTTCATAGCTGCAATCTTTTCTCTAGAGCCCAGTACTGTCATTGTTTGTATACCTTCTCTAAACACATCCCTGTATCTGATGTGGATGGTGAGCGGAGGAAAAGCCATTTCAAGTCTTTTGTTTTTTGTTTTTTGGGTTATTTTATTTTATTATTATTATACTTTAAGTTTTAGGGTACATGTGCACAATGTGCAGGTTAGTTACATATGTATACATGTGCCATGCTGGTGTGCTGCACCCATTAACTCGTCATTTAGCATTAGGTATATCTCCTAATGCTATCCCTTCCCCCAATGATAGACTGGATTAAGAAAATGTGGCACATATACACCATGGAATACTATGCAGCCATAAAAAATGATGAGTTCATGTCCTTTGTAGGGACATGGATGAAATTGGAAATCATCATTCTCAGTAAACTATCGCAAGGACAAAAAACAAAACACTGCATGTTCTCACTCATAGGTGGGAATTGAACAATGAGAACACATGGGCACAGGAAGGGGAATATTTCAAGTCTTAACGGACCTGAAATTTAGGTTCCATGTCTGAAATATGACATAGATCACCCCTAAGCTTAAGGGAAAATGGCACTTCCAAATACTCTTTGAAACAAAGGCTCTGAGTTTTGAATCTGAGAGCTTGAATTTATGTTATGCCTTTGTTGCTTTGTCATTCAATTTTTCTGACCCTGGGAAAATTTCTGATTTTTAAAGTGTGGTTAAATTGTTATAATGAAGATATTCTTTTGAAACCACAAATCTGAACAGGGCACCTCTCTACTTAAATTATTTCAATGGCTTCTTCTTATATTAGGCATAAAGCCAATTAATAATCTTTTGTGTGGTCCATGAGGGGCCTGCCACAAAGTGACCCAGGTCCCCAGCCAATCTCTCCCATGCCCCATTGACCATCTTTCTGCCTCTCTCATATTCCATGTTTCTTGCCACCCCAGGTCCTTTCCACACACTGTCTCATCTGCCTGATATTGGCTCCCTCCACTCCATACCGTTGGCTCCTACGTATCCTTCAGATCTCAGTGCAAACATCACTTCTCTCCATTTTCCAACAAGCCATGTGTCCTACCTGCTCAAGTCTCAGAATGCCACCTGTCCTCTCCCTTTTGTTAATTACCAGTCATCCTTCAGAATTCAGCTCTAAAGTCACCTCCAGAGGGAAGCCTTCCCTAAATACCCTCCTGGATTGGTTAGATCTCCCTATTCTACCCACTGCTAGCACACTCAGCCTCTCTTTAATAGAACTTAGCACAATTCAACTAAATGGTTATCTACTTGCTATCTCATGTCTAATTCCCCCACTAAAATGAATTTTTCTGCATGAGAAAACTTTGATTGCTTTTTTGCCTAGCATGGTGTTTAGGCAAGTGCCAGGATACTTCATGGTTGCTCAACGGATGCGGTATATCAGGTAATCACCATCATCCTAACCCGAGTAAGTACTCAATTTATCACCGCCTTTAGATAATGGATCTTTCTATAAAAGTAGCAAAATCAACAGAAATTCTCATATATATAAATATTCCAATTCTTCACTTTGAGCAATACCTCTCAAGCACCTACTGTGGACAAGGCACCACACTAAGAATGACGTCAGATGAAAAATAAATGAGAAGTCATCCTGCCTCCTAAGAGCTTGCCCAGGGTGAGAAGATAATAAATAAATAAATGGCTTTAATTCAAGGTAAAGTATGAGAAGAATAACACAGAACATCCTCCCTCCAAAAAATATTATGGAGGCTTACATGAAAGGAATAAAGTATCTGGTTTGGGGATGAGAAAAGGCTTAATGGAAGACATGGATTTTTGTGGATGGACAGAAATTTCAGACAGCAAAGCTAGCATGGATATGGGCAGATATTTCAGGGAAAGAGTTGAACATAAGCAAAGTAGAGAGGAATACATGATTTATAATACAGCATGGGTAAACTGCACTAATTTGTCAGGCAATTGTTCTCCAAATAAAGGGTCCAAAAATCTTAGAATGAGTCAGCTATGTAGACATAAAAATTAATCAGAACTAGCTCTGTACTAAAATAAATATATCTAGATTCTGAGCATATACATGCAGTATTTTGAGGCAAATCTATGCTTAACACTTCATCTTTAATTCATACAGCACCCTGAACATCTCTGATGTTTTCAAGACAGAGAAAAATCCAGAGAAGAATATGTCTCCTATCTATTTGGATACTTGTAGGTTTTGTGGTGGATTATGAAATTCTTTGACGCTCCTGTCATTGAGTTCTGGGAGTTCATGTCTCTGTCCCTTGAATCTGAGCAGGCTGTGTTAATGATTTTACTGACATAATATGGCAGACGAGATGCTACATCAGTTTCTGGTCCAGGCCTTATGAGATTAGCAACTCCTACTTCTCGCTTCTTGGAAATGTTGTTTTGGGGAAGGCTAGCCACTGTGTAAGAAGCCCAGCTACTGGATTGTGAGGAAATTGAAGCTGAGCATTTTGGAAGGCCACATGAGGAAAGGAGACCAGCCAGCCCCAGAGATTTCACCCATCTAAGCCAGGTTCTGGACATGTGAGTGAATGAAAATAAGACAACTTGGATGTGGAGAAAAATTAAGAAATTCAGACAAAAGCCAGAACTGAGGTGGCAGATAAACGGCCCCATCTGAGCCATCTTCAGCCCATAGAGCCACCCAGCAGAGGCCTCAGCTGTCGTGATCTAAGATGAGCCATTCCTGTGATGTCCTGCCCAATTTTCTGACCCACAAAACTGTGTGCAGAGTAAAATAATTGTGGTTTTACACCACTACGTTTGGGGGAGGTTTTACACAGTAAAAGATAACCAGAGAAGATATTTTCACTAGAGTTGACTATAAGATAAATGAACACACTAGCACTTGCTTCTCAAAGTATTAGTATTTAAAATTGACACCTAGGAAGATATTTACTTATTTCAATAATTTTCCACCCTGATAACATTTTTGAAATTCCCTTCATAGAAACACATTATGATTTATGGAGAAGCAGGAGAAGGAAAGAAGGAGGTAAGAAAGAAAGGAAAGAGGAAGAGAAGAAGGAAGGAAGTGAGGGAGGGAAGGAGGGGGAAAGAGAGGGAAGGAAGGGAGGGAGGGAAGTGGGGAGGAAGTGAGGAGGGAAGCATCATGGTGGTTATTTTATAAACACATTTGAATTGGAGCTTAAATAATGCAATTTTCACCATATTCTCTAGACTTAGCTCTAGATAGCTTTCTCTTTTTCTTTTTTTTTCTCTTCACATTAAAAAAAAAAAGCCACCAACTACTGAAGAGTTGTCACTACTGAAAGTGTTAAAAAGAAAGTGGCAGGCACTCCCAAGGCACCTGAAAGGGAAGAGCTGTGGAAATATTTGGCTTATTTTCTTGATGCTCAGCATCCCCAAAGTGTCTTTTTTAAAGGACACAGAACTCATGTACAGAAATCTGATCCTGTGAGTTAAAAAAATCAATTCCATTATAAAGGGCAACTAAGACAGAATAGAACATAACTGTTATGACAGTAAACGAATTTGCTGCACTTCTCCTCTGTAATGTCAACAAACCTACATGCCACCATGTAGTTAATTTATCTACATAGATTTATCCTGAATCTTTCTGCCATTTATGCAAAGAGAGGATTTAGTTTTAAATAGAGAAGTTTCAAATAGTGAAGTATAAATAGCCCTGTTTCTTACTAGCTCAATGGCCAAGTTATTAACCTTTCTGAAACTTATTTTTTATTTGTAAAAATATAAATTTGATATTCACTGAATAAGGCTGATTTGTAGAAACAATGAATGATTTCAAACCACTCTGTTTATACCTGATACCAGGTATGAATATACTAGGCTCTGAATTTCATATATTCTTGCAAACAAATAAGCAGGCATTTAAGTATGTCATTATTGTGCTCTTCTTTTTTAGTTTTATCTTTAAGAAGGAGCTGTAAACAGTTCCTAAATAGTTGTATCTCTTTTACCAGGGCATATACAAAATGAGATCCCATTCAAACATGAAGAATTGAATTCTAAATTTAGAAAATATTTAAGTTAAAAGTAATAAAGTTAATTATTGAATAATTTTGTCCAAAGAAAGTTAAAGGCAACTTAGTTTACTTATTGTTTTGCTTGAGACCGTGGAAATAAACAGAGGTATAATATGAAAATGATGGTATTGGTATGATGAATAAGGCAATAATGTTTGGACAACAGGAGAATGGTGCTGTGATAAAATACAGTCATTACTTGGTGTTATGAAAAAGATTTTGAGTAATTTTCTTTATATATCAACATAACAATCATGTCCTAAGCAAAACTAAATAAACCATTATTAGATATTTCTGGTGCCACCTTCTGTTAGGCATGATAAACCAAACTTCTCTCTGTTTTATATTCTTCCACAGTACCTGGCTGAGAGCTCTGAAACTGACAAATGCTGTTCCTCTGGAATTTAAAGAAGTGCATAAGCACATGAGATATTTTCACAAAAAAAAAAACACATATGTGGGCTCTTTTGTGTCATGGCATCTCCTAAGTAGCCATATAAACTTTCAGAAATTAAAAAGAAAAGTTGTAAAACTATAAGCACAAAGTAATTGCCAAGCATTAAGCTTTGATAATACCACCTAGAGAAAAGTTAGGAAGAGTCCCAATATACATTCAACTGCTTCTAGATCTTCTTTTATGAGAAGAGAGCTTAAAGTCTGTATAACAGATGCTGCTCCCTCTAGGATGCCAGCTCTAATTGACCACCAAGGGAACTATCTGAACGATAGGCCAGCCTGTATTATTAATGTTGTTCCCATTCTCTGGCAAGAAGCTCTTCAAAAACATGGCAATTTTTTTTTTCCAGAATAGAGATTTTAACAATAACCCTTGCTATATTTCAAATAATTCCAGGAAAGTGTTTGCGTAGCGCAACTGGCAATGCAAATGGGGTATCTGCCATGTTGTGTGGTAGATCAAATGTGTACACCATGTGCTTTCTGCTAACCAAAAGCTTCTGCTACATATTGGCCAGGAATTTGATAGTGGCTGTAATGAATCATCATATTCCAAACCAAACAGAAGAGTGGCCTCCAACCAATTATCACTATAATCATTACAATTTGGAAATATGATAGAGAGTAGGGGGAAAAGAATAAACACAAATTAATTCTTAATCATCGTAATTCATTCTAACACTTCCTGGAAAGTGGAATATGAAACACATACCATGTTCAACAATTCCAAGGGTGGTGAATCAATATCACAGCTTCTCATGTTATCATCCCTGATTATAGTACTTTTACTGTTTCATTATCTTTTAAGAAATAGTTTTACTACAAGTGTTACTGTGTATTTTCATCTCCAGAACTAAGAAGTAAAAGGTTTAATTTTGAAAAAGGAACTCTGGCAGCATCAAGCCTGCTTTCCCACGTGGCACCCATTAGCTGTACTGAACACCAGCTGTGGGCTGTGAAAAATGCACTTTCTGTCTTCAGGGCCTGGACACTGACCTGGAGGTTTGCTCACTTATGCTGCCTATCAGGCCCCTGGAAGCATCTGGGTCCGTGACTCACATACTCCCCAATATTGGTGATGCAAAGAAACAGTTAACTTCCATATTCTTTGGAAATTCTTTTCTCATGATTTCTAATATAAACTACAAAATGCTACAAGCGGAATGTATTTGTAAACTTAAGAAAAAGAATTGAAAACAGTTAAGCAGTAATAATTAAAGAATAAAGAAATAAGCAAATAGAAATAAATGTTACCACTCAGTATGCTTATATTAACAAAAAACAAACCCAAATCCTGATTTATCTTTAGTGAATCTGGTACATTCATATACTGGTACACTCATATACTGCAGTATAATTTGGAATATTCCTTTGTAGAACAATTTGACATCACAAGAAAAATCATTTATTCATTCATTCAGTCATTCAAAAAAAAATGATGAGTGTTGTTTTTAACAATTATAACATGCCAGGCACTGTTATAGATGTATGGGGCACAAAAACAATTAGAAAACGATTGCCAATCGTTTCTAATTGTAGCAGAAAAAAGAGAATGAGAGGAATTTTAATGAAAAATACGTATACACAAAATTCTCTGGGGAATTGAAGAAGGTTGTACAACGGAGATGAAGCTTGGGGCTGGGTCATGTATTATTCATTTATGTGTACTTTAATTCATCAAGTATTTAATGAGTACCTTCTGTATGTCACAAGCTATCATAAGCACTGGAGATTCAGCAGTGAGCATAACAGACAAAAATCTGTGCTCTCCTGAGGGTTACACTCTAGTGAGTGAAACAGGCAAAAAACAAGATAAATAAATGAAATGTGTAGTAGGTTGATAATAAGGGTTAAGCAGAAGAAGTAAAGAGGGATGGGGGAGTATGAGAAGAGACTGACATTTAGGCAAAGTGCCAGGGAGGGCGTCATGGATTTGGTAAAACATCTAAAGGAGGTGAGGGAATGAGCCGTACAGGAACCTTTGGACAGACCATTCCAGGGCGAGATGACTGTGAGTGTCAGGACTCTGAGGGGGAACATGTCTGTGAGGAAGAGTGGGTAAACCCATATGGCTGGAGTGAAGTGAATGACGAGGGAGGAGGATACAGAGGCTGGGAGGCAATGGGGAACCAGTTTATTTAGGTCACTATAAACACTTTACTTTCTCTTTGAATGTGATATCTGGTCACTGGAGAATTTGACAACAAGAATGACAGGTCATGTTTATGGATTGATCAGTTCACTCTGCTCTACTGCAGAAAAAGAGGACTGGAAACAAGGAGACCAGTTAGGAGGATGAGTGATTTAGGAGAAAGATGATAATGTTATTGATAAAGGTGGGAGCCATGGAGGAGATAAACAGTCATATTCAGGATATATTTTAAGGCAATGTTACAGCAGTTTCCAATGGACAATGAGTCATGGGTTCTTAAGAACCCATCAGTGTTATAATGTGTTAGAAGAACTCATAGGGGCTGGGCGCGGTGGCTCACGCTTGTAATCCCAGCACTTTGGGAGGCCGAGGCGGGCGGATCACAAGGTCAGGAGATCGAGACCACGGTGAAACCCCATCTCTACTAAAAATATAAAAAATTAGCTGGGCGTGGTGGCGGGTGCCTGTAATCCCAGCTACTCGGAGAGACTGAGGCAGGAGAATGGCGTGAACCCGGGAGGCGGAGCTTGCAGTGAGCTGAGATCGCGCCACTGCACTCCAGCACTCCAGCCTGGGTGACAGAGCGAGACTCCGTCTCAAAAAAAAAAAAACAGAAGAACTCATAGGACCCAGTATAAATTTGTACTTGCAATTATGATTTATTATAGCAAAAAGATACAAAACAAAATCAGCAAAAGGAAAAGGTACATGAGGAGAAGCTCAGAGGAAATGAGACACAAGCTCCCAGGACTCCCCACCCCACGAAGTCAGGTATTTCTCCAGTACTGAACTGTGACAACACATGTGAAATATTGTCTACAAGGAAGCTGATTAGAGACTCAGTACCCAAGATTTATTGAGGGCTGACCATGTAGACACCCTCTGCCTAACATGTACCAAAATTCCAGACTCCCAGAAGGAAGCAGGTAGGTGCTCAGCATGAACTTTTTTTTTTGCACAGTTTCAGCACCATGAGCCACTCTTATCAGTAAGGGAATCATGAGAATCCTCCAGAAGTTTAAGTTCCTGACACCAACCAGGGGCCAACCACACAAGCAGACCTTCTAAGGATGGCAGTCTCAGCTCTACTATGTTAAGCTCTTTTTTTTTTTACAGATGGAATATGAGAAATGAGATAAATAACTATTCAAGAAGAGAAATAGATGCTGTGGACTCTACTGTGAAGGACCAGAAGAACAGAAATAGATGGTATCTCATCCTTCACTTATGTATTAGTCTGTTCCCACAGTGCTATAAAGAACTACCTGAGACTGGGTAATTTATTAAGAAAAGAGGTTTTGATTCATGGTTCCACAGGCTGTTCAGGATGCATGGCTGTGGAGGCCACAGGAAACTTAGAATCACAGCAGAAGGGGAAGGGGAAGCAGTACATCTTACATGGCTGGAGTAGGGGATCAAAGTGGGAGGTGCTACACACTTCTAAACAACCAGATCTCATGAGAACTCACTCACTATCATGAGAACAGCAAGGAAGAAATCTGCCTCCATGATCCAAATTCGCCTCCATGATCATATCACCTCCCTCCAGGCCCCTCCTCCAATATTGGGGATTACAATTTGACATGAGATTTGGGTGGAGACGCAAATTCAAACCACATCAATTTAGATGTGTGCAATAAAACGCATGGAGATATGACGGTGATTTCAACAGACACAGTCCCTCTTCTTGTGGAGCTTATTTGCAATTTAATAGGAGAGCCAGATACTAAGAAAATTATCCCCATATCTGTCCTTCTGTTACTAACACAGGAGTAGTCAGCCCAGGCGGAGCAAACAGTATCATGAGGAAAGACCCTGACGGGGTGAGTAACACAGCCCCATCTCACTCCTGAAGGAAGGCCAGCATTATCGAATGTATTAAGCAAACAGGATAATGGTGAACAGGAGTATGGACTTCGATGGGAGTTTTTCATGCTTTCTGAGGCCTCAGTTCTGCCAACTATTGATTAACCATTTATTGACGTCTCTGCCAAGGACTGGCCCTACTTTGTTTATTCATCCAATAAATACGTATTGAGCATTTACTGATGCCAATCATGTGCTAAGCAACGGGGATACCGTTTCTGATGCAGTGGTGTTTGCAGTCCAAGAGAAGAGAGAAAGTCATTTGGTCTTGATGACGTCCTTTTTGTCTTCTCATAGTTTGCCCTTCCTTTTTATTCCTATTACCCACAATGAAATCTCTCTCAACCCTGGATCACCATGAAATCCTTTCCCTCGGTGACCTCTCTCTCTCTCAATTGATCCTCTAGTCTAAAACCAAATTATTTTCTTAGCATCTGATTCCAAGACAATTTCTAACATAAATTTTTTTTAATATTTTCCTACTTCTCAAATTGTGTTCCAAGTTAAGAAATTAACATTTAAGGCTGTTACACACACACACACCATAAACCTCCCACAATGAGCTTGCTCATTTCTATCACCATCTCTTCTCATCCTATTTTTCCCCATCAAGAAAACCTCTCTTCAATCTATTTTTAATTCTTCTTTTGTGGGACACCTCAGGTGCTACCTTCTCCACAAGTGATTAACTATCTGGTCTACCTTACAATGTTCTCTCCTTTCTACAGCTTATAATATCTGCAAAATATAAGTATATCTTTCTACTTGCTCTTTTCCTTATCTGAAGATGGGGATTTTGTGGGGTTTTTTTATTCTAACTGCAATGTCTGAAATTATTCTGGGCCATGGCAGGCCCCTGAGTCACAATTATTTAGTTAATTTATTGGCTTTTCTAGCTAAACCTCCAGCCTGGATTTTTGCCTTACACATATGTATTCATTATCTATTGCTGCATAACAAACTGCCCCAAAATCTACTAGCTTAAAACAACAATAAACATTTATTATCTCTCATATCCTCTGGGAGTCCGGAATTTGGAAGCAGCTTAGATGTTTCTGGCTTAGGGTCTCTCATGAGAATGGAATCAAAATGTCCGTTGGGCTGTGGTCATTTGAAGTCTGGCTATGGCTGGAAGATCTGCTTTGGGAATGTTGTCATTCATAAAGCTGGCAAGTTGGAGCTTGTTGACAGATCTTCCTCTTCTCATGGGCTTTCCATGGACTGCTTGTGTACTCATCACATGACACCTGGCTTCCTCCAGAGCAAGTGATGCAATAAAGTATGAGACAAAAGGGTCAGTGGGTTTACAGCCTCACCTTGCAGAAAGTCACATGCCATCACTGTTACAATATCCATTTGTCGCATGGTCAACAATATTCACTATCAGAAAAGACTACACAAAGACATGGATACAAAGAGACAAGAGTTACTGGGGGCCCATCTGGGAGGCTTGCTAATACACTACATCTGATTACATACATTTTGCTGCCTAGGTTTTAATTTCTGCACAAAAGTGCTTACTTTAAACAAGTCTAACATGAAAGAAGTGAAAAGACTAGCAAAATAAATAACATCATGAAGCTTTTCCATAAAGACTTAGCATTTTTCAAAAAGAATGTCTTTATATAGCAAGCTGACTTCAACCCCTCACCATCACACAAATATTCTCCTTTCTTTTTTCCTCCACTGATCCTCACAGATTTCCACTCCTCTCTCTCACCATTTCCCTTAAATCCTGGCTTTCTATCCTAGAAGTACAGCCTTTCTTATGTGTAGGTAGAGCAAGTAGCCGCTGAAGAGTAATGTTCATGAAACTTAAGATCCTCTTCCCCCATCAAAATATGTTTTCAACCTGCTCATTAATGTCGAACATTTTGAAATTCACAGATTCTTTTTTCTTAACACGTAGGGTTTTTTTTTGTCTGAGGTTAAAATATCAATGTTTCTGCTAAAAGGAACATATTACTATTTTAAAATCTGTCTGCTCCTGCTCGTTAGTATGTTTTTTTTTTCTGCATATCTCCTGAAACTAAGTTTCCAGAAGGGAGAAGAAGTAAAAAACAAACACAAAAAACAAAAACAAAAAACAAAAACAAAAACAAACAAACAAAAAAAAGCACTGGAGAGAGACAATTTCCCAAAAAGCAAGTCAGCATAGAGAAAGGGGAACTTCATGGAATGGGAGGGTGCACTTCCTCATAATTTTGCTCAGGACCAACTCTTTTCTAAGATTTTTACCAGGGGTAGAAAATCAAGGTCCTCTTACTTGATTATTGTATCAACCAAGCTCACTATAGTAAGCCATATTTTCTTTATTCATCAACTGCCAAAGGCCATCAAAATGGAAAAATGAAGACAATCCCTTAAGAAAAATGAAGAAAGAAATTATTTGGGAACATAAGCCACAAAGTTGACAATAAAGAACTGGGAATGCACTACTTGCAGAGTGGCTGACTTGTTAAAGCTTGAACTAGAGCTTGTTTATTTTAATGATAACTTTGGTCTGTAAGCCCTTAACCATGTTATTTATTCATAACCTTGCAGGGGTCTTGGATTCCTAATTTGCAAGCACAAAAATGAGAAGCAATTTGCACACACCAGGTGTCTGGACAAATGCTCTCCATTATCTGCATAACCAGATGCTCAGTGATTTGAACCAAGTTGATCAGAATGCATACATACTGTTCACTCACAAGCTGGCATCACACTCCTACAGCAACCCTGGGTTTTGCAAAGACTGTTCTGTAGAGCTTTTACCAATTATGGTAAAACCATTGTCAAAAAACAACAACAACAAACTTTTCTTGATGATGTGCTGCTGACTGTAATGATTACACTGTCCAGTAGAATTTAACAGCCTCAGACTCTTCTTATGATGCTTAAAATATGCCCCTAGGAAAACAGATTTAGAATATAGACACTAAAGCCAGGTTTATCCACTGCATCAAAGGAGTACTTTTCTATTTTATTTGACCTGACGGCCAGAGGAAAGAAAACTAGCATTTGTTAACACACATACTGTGGACCAGAAATCATGCTAGGAGCTTGAGGCACATTATCTCATTTAAGCAACTGATTGGGTCATAAAATATCCAATTCAAGTTTTTTTATTAACCCAATTAGACTGTGCTTTGCCCATGTTTTTATTTGGCAGAATAGGCTGTCTTAACAGCAAAAAAAGAAATAAAATTCAGCTCCCCATAATTGAATGTGTTCACAGCCTTACCTTGTTTTTAGTACATTTGTGTTCTCATGCTCAGGCACAATAAAAAGTACCTACAGTGCCTCTTTCTATGTGCAGGGCAAGGGATGCTCATGGTTTGTGAACTACATGAGGCAGAGCAAGCCTGGAAGGGTAAAATCAGAAGCTGGGGGCAACCAAGAGTGTATGAATAGCCCTATAGATATCATCCATGCAACTATGGTGTGCACTGAGAGTAGAGTCCACTGCCAGGCATAGCTAGAGAATACAATTTTCAGAATCAAGAGAGGGGTGGTCATATGAGTATTAGGATGCTCAAGAAGGACAAAAAGACACAAGAAAAACTTGGCAAGGCTATTCAGACCAGAACCCAGCCCACAGAAGTCTGAGCTGGACAGGAGTGGCTATACATAGCTAGGAGTCAGAAATCTGCTGGGCTGGAAGAGAACGGTCAAAGTGTAAACCAGGAGGACAGAAAAGCACCAAGAACCTGAAACACACAAGTAATGTCATAGAACAGTTTAAATCACCTGGATAGCACAAATGAGCTTATGTTCCCGTTCACAAGCAGATCCACCAGTTATGCTCTGGAATGGATTACATGAGCTCCTCATGTAAGGTCTACAAGGCCTTGAAATGGACCTTGAAAATGATGCTCTGGGATATCTGTCTCGGTAGAAGAAACTTTAAAGAGGAATGTTTTGAACAGTAAACACCATTTACTAGCACAGTTTTCTCCAGCTGATGAACAGTGCTATGCTGCATATGCATTCTAGGTATGCCAACATATTTATCCCCTCTTTGGGCACATTTGGTAAATAGCTGCTTATACCTGTGGAAGATCATAGTTTTATGTTAGTACTTAAACATATACTACTCCAGAAAAGCACTTCCCTAACTTTAATGTGCATGCAAATCATCTTGATTCTTGGTAAAATGCAGATTCTGATTCAATAGGTCTGGGTGGACCTGAGAGTCCTCATTTCCAACAAACTCTCAGGTGAAGCATATGTTGCTGGCCTTGGAGGTCACACTTCAAGGAGCAAGGTCCTAAATTAAAGATAAGAGCCTTATTTTTGTTTTCTACAAACAATTGATATACATAAAAATTCAACAACAGGTCATACACAACTAGCATCTGAAAGAACATAGATCATTGTTTTCTTGGTGATTTATATGTTTGGATAATTGTTTACATTAAACAAAATCCGACGTAAGGAGTATTAGCCAGGGATCTCCAGAGAAACAGAACCAATAGAATATGAATATATATAGAATTGGCTCACACAGTTATGAAGACTGAGAAGTTGAGACGTCCCACGACCTGCTGTCTATAAGCTGGAGACCCAGGAAAGCTGGCGGTGTAGTTCCAGCTCAAGTCTAAAGACCCGAGAACAAGAAGCACCAATGGTATAAGCCTCAGTCTGAGGCCAGGACAATATTAAGCTTCTCAAGCTGTCAGGCAGACAGTGAATCCTCCCTTTCTCTGCCTTTTTGTTCTATTCAGGCCCTGGATACATTGGACGATATCCACTTGCATTGGGCAGGGGCCATCAGCTTTATAGAGTTCACCAATTCAAATGCTAATCTCATCCAGAAACAATGTTTAAACAAATATCTGGACATTCTATAACCTAGCCAAATTGAAACATGAAATTAACCAGCATACAAGTAAATATATATTTTTAACTTACTTTGGTTGTTTCTGCAGGTTAGCAAAATGTGTAACCTTGGGCAAATTGCTTAACCTGAGTCTCAGAGAGTAAATAAAATAGAAATAATTCTAGGACTTCAAAGGGATGGCATAAAGATAAAATGTGTTATTATTTTTAAAACATTTAAAATAGTGCATGAAATATGGTAATTACTGTTTTAGTGTTTGTTAAACTAAAATACATGAATAAATTTATGAAAAGTTACTTAGAATTTATATTAAATCTACCATTTAAATAGGATAGTATATTGTGCATTACATTTGTTTTTATTTTGTTTGATTTCTTTTATTTTTTTAATTATACTTTAATTTCTAGGGTACATGAGCACAAAGTGCAGGTTTGTTACATATGTATACATGTGCCATGTTGGTGTGCTGCACCCATTAACTCATCATTTACATTAGGTATATCTCCTAATCCTTTCCCTCCCCCCTACCCCACCCCACGACAGGCCCCGGTGTGTGACATTCCCCTTCCTGTGCCCATGTGTTCTTATTGTTCAATTCCCACCTATGAGTGAGAACATGAGGTGTTTGGTTTTTTGTTCTTGAGATAGTTTGCTGAGAATAATGGTTTCAAGCTTCATCCATGTCTCTACAAAGGACATGAACTCATCCTTTTTTATGGCTTCATAGTATTCCATGGTGGATATGTGCCACATTTTCTTAATCCAGTCTATCATTGTTAGACATTTGGGTTGGTTCCAAGTCTTGGAACCACTATTGTGAATAGTGCTGCAATAAACATACATGTGCATGTGCCTTTATAGCAGCATGATTTATAATCCTTTGGGTATATATCCAGTAATGGCATGCCGGGGTCAAATGGTATTTCTAGTTCTAGATCCTTGAGGAATCGCCAAACTGTCTTCCACAATGGTTGCAGTAGTTTACAGTCCCACCAACATTGTAAAAGTGTTCCTATTTCTCCACATCCTCTCCAGCATCTGTTGTTTCCTGACTTTTGAATGATCGCCATTCTAACTGGTGTGAGATGATACTTCATTGTGGTTTTGATTTGCATTTCTCTGATGGCCAGTGATGATGAGCATTTTTTCATGTGTCTGTTGGCTGCATAAATGTCTTCTTTTCAGAAGTGCTTGTTCATATCGTTTGCCCACTTCTTGATGGGGTTGTCTGTTTTTTTCTTGTAAATTTGTTTGAGTTATTTGTAGATTCTGGATATTAGCCCTTTGTCAGATGAGTAGATTGCAAAAATTTTCTCCCATTCTGTAGGTTGCCTGTTCACTCTGATGGTAGTTTCTTTTGCTGTGCAGAAGCTCTTTAGTTTAATTAGATCCCATTTGTCAATTTTGGCTTTTGTTGCCATTGCTTTTGGTGTTTTAGACATGAAGTCCTTGCCCATGCCTATGTCCTGAATGGTATTGCCTAGGTTTTCTTCTAGTGTTCTTATGGTTTTAGGTCTAACATTTAAGTCTTTAATCCATCTTGAATTAATTTTTATATAAGGTATAAGGAAGGGATCCAGTTTCAGCTTTCTACATATGCTAGCCAGTTTTCCCAGCACCATTTGTTAAATAGGGAATCCTTTCCCCATTGCTTGTTTTTGTCAGGTTTGTCAAAGATCAGATAGTTGTAGATGTGTGGTATTATTTCTGAGGGCTCTGTTCTGTTCCATTGGTCTATAAGTACCATGCTGTTTTGGTTACTGTACCCTTGTAGTATAGTTTGAAGTCAGGTAGCGTGATGTCTCCAGTTTTGTTATTTTGGCTTAGGAATGACTTGGCAATGCAGGCTGTTTTTTCGTTCCATATGAACTTTAAAGTAGTTTTTTTCCAATTCTGTGAAGAAAGTCATTGGTAGCTTGATGGGGATGACATTGAATCTATAAATTACCTTGGGCAGTATGGCCATTTTCACAATATTGATTCTTCCTATCCATAAGCATGGAATGTTCTTCCATTTGTTTGTATCCTCTTTTATTTCATTGAGCAGTGGTTTGCAGTTCTCCTTGAAGAGGTCCTTCACATCCCTTGTAAGTTGGATTCCAAGGTATTTTATTCTCTTTGAAGAAATTGTGAGTGGGAGTTCACTCATGATTTGGCTTTCTGTCTGTTATTGGTGTATAAGAATGCTTGTGATTTTTGCACATTGATTTTGTATCCTGAGACTTTGCTGAAGTTGCTTATCAGCTTAAGGAGATTTTGGGCTGAGACAATGGGGTTTTCTAGATACACAATCATGTCATCTTCAAACAGGGACAATTTGACTTCCTCTTTTCCTAATTGAATACCCTTTATTTCTTTCTCCTGCCTGATTGCCCTGGCCAGAATTTCCAACACTATGTTGAATAGGAGTGGTGAGAGAGAGCATCCCTGTCTTGTGCCTGTTTTCAAAGGGAATGCTTCCAGTTTTTGCCCATTCAGTATATATTGGCTATGGATTTGTCATAAATAGCTCTTATTATTTTGAGATATGTCCCATCAATACCTAATTTATTGAGAGTTTTTAGCATGAAGGGCTGTGGAATTTTGTCAAAGGCCTTTTCTGTATCTATAATCATGTGGCTTTTGTCTTTGGTTCTGTTTATATGCTGGATTACATTTATTGATTTTCATATGTCGAACCAGCCTTGCATCCCAGGGATGAAGCCCACTTGATCATGGTGGATAAGCTTTTTGATGTGCTGATGGATTCGGTTTGCTAGTATTTTATTAAGGATATTTGCATCGATGTCCATCATGGATATTGGTCTAAAATTCTCTTTTTTTGTTGTGTCTCTGCCAGGCTTTGGTATCAGGATGATGCTGGCCTCATAAAATGAATTAGGGAGGATTCTCTCTTTTTCTATTGATTGGAATAGTCTCTGAAGGAATGGTACCAGCTCCTCGTTATATCTCTGGTAGAATTCGGCTGTGAATCCGTCCGGTCCTGCACTTTTTTTGGTTGGTAGGCCATTAATTATTGCCTCAATTTCAGAGCCTGTTATTGGTCTATTCAAAGATTCAACTTCTTCCTGGTTTAGTCTTGGGAGAGTGCATGTGTCGAGGAATTTTTCCATTTCTTCTAGATTTTCTAGTTTATTTGTGTAGAGGTGTTTATAGTATTCTCTGATGGTAGTTTGTATTTCTGTGGGATCGGTGGTGATATCCCCTTTATCATTTTTTATTGCGTCTGATTCTTCTCTCTTTTCTTCTTTATTAGTCTTGCTAGCGGTCTATCAATTTTGTTGATCTTTTCAAAAAACCAGCATCTGGATTCATTGATTTTTTGAAGGGTTTTTTGTGTCTCTATCTCCTTCAGTTCTGCTCTGATCTTAGTTATTTCTTGCCTTCTGCTGGCTTTTGAATGTGTTTGCTCTTGTTTCTCTAGTTCTTTTACTTGTGATGTTAGGGTGTCAATTTTAGATCTTTCCTGCTTTCTCTTGTGGGCCTTTAGTGCTATACATTTCCCTCTACACACTGCTTTAAATGTGTCCCAGAGATTCTGGTATGTTGTGTCTTTGTTATCATTGGTTTCAAAGAACATCTTTATTTCTGCCTTCACTTCATTATGTACCCAGTAGTCATTCAGGAGCAGGTTGTTCAGTTTCCATGTAGTTGAGCGGTTTTGAGTGAGTTTCTTAATCCTGAGTTCTAGTTCGATTGCACTCTAGTCCGAGAGAGAGTTTGTTATAATTTCTGTTCTTTTACATTTGCTGAGCAGTGCTTTACTTCCAACTACGTGGTCAATTTTGGAATAGGAGTGGTGTGGTGCTGCGAAGAATGTGTATTCTGTTGATTTGGGGTGAAGAGTTCTGTATATGTCTATTAGGTCCACTTGGTGCAGAGCTGAGTTCAATTCCTGGATATCCTTGTTAACTTTCTGTCTCATTGATCTGTCTAATGTTGACAGTGGGTTGTTAAAGCCTCTCATTATTATTGTGTGGGAGTCTAAGTCTCTTTGTAGGTCTCTAAGGACTTGGTTTATGAATCTGGGTGCTCCTGTATTGGGTGCATATATATTTAGGATAGTTAGCTCTTCTTGTTGAATTGATCCCTTTACCATTATGTAATGGCCTTCTTTGTCTCTTTTGATCTTTGTTGGTTTAAAGTCTGTTTTATCCGAGACCAGGATCACAACCCTGCCTTTTTTTGTTTTCCATTTGCTTGGTAGACTTCCTCCATCCCTTTATTTTGAGCCTATGTGTGTCTCTGCACGTGAAATGGGTTTCCTGAATACAGCACACTGATGGGTCTTGACTCTATCCAATTTGCCAGTCTGTGTCTTTTAATTGGAGCATTTAGCCCCTTTACATTTAAGGTTAATATTGTTATGTGTGAATCTGATCCTGTCATTATGATGTTAGCTGGTTATTTTGCTCGTTAGTTGCTGCAGTTTCTTCCTTCCTAGCCTTGATGGTGTTTACAATTTGGCATGTTTTTGCAGTGGCTGGTAACTGTTGTTCCTTTCCATGTTTAGTGCTTCCTTCAGGAGCTCTTGTAGGGCAGGCCTGGTGGTGACAAAATCTCTCAGCATTTGCTTGTCTGTAAAGGATTTTATTTCTCCTTCACTTATGAAGCTTAGTTTGGCTGGATATGAAATTCTGGGTCGGAAATTCTTTTCTTTAAGAATGTTGAATATTGGCCCCCACTCTCTTCTGGCTTGTAGAGTTTCTGCCAAGAGATCAGCTATTAGTCTGATGGGCTTCCCTTTGTGGGTAACCCGACCTTTCTCTCTGGCTGCCCTTAACCTTTTTTCCTTCATTTCAACTTTGGTGAATCTGACACTTATGTGTCTTGGAGTTGCTCTTCTCGAGAAGTATCTTTGTGGTATTCTCTGTATTTCCTGAATTTGAATGTTGGCTTGCCTTGCTAGGTTGGGGAAGTTCTCCTGGGTAATATCCTGCAGAGTGTTTTCCAACCTGGTTCCATTCTCTCCGTCACTCTCAGGTACACCAATCAGACATAGATTTGATCTTTTCACATAGTCCCTTATTTCTTGGAGGCTTTGTTCATTTCTTTTTATTCTTTTTCCTGTAAACTTGTCTTCTCACTTCATTTCATTCATTTGATCTTCAATCACTGATACTCTTTCTTCCAGTTGATCGCATCGGCTACTGAAGCTTGTGCATTGATCACATAGTTCTTGTGCCATGGTTTTGAGCTCCATCAGGTCCTTTAAGGACTTCTCTGCATTGGTTATTCTAGTTAGCCATTCGTCTAATCTTTTTTCAAGGTTTTTAACTTCTTTGTGATGGGTTTGAACTTCCTCCTTTAGCTTGGAGAAGTTTTATTGTCTGAAGCCTTCTTTTCTCAACTCATCAAAGTCATTCTCCATCCAGCTTTGTTCCATTACTGATGAGGAGCTGCGTTCCTTTGGAGGAAGAGAAGCACTCTGATTTTTAGAAGTTTCAGTTTTTCTGCTCTGTTTTTTCCCCTTCTTTGTGGTTTTATCTACCTTTGGTCTTTGATGATGGTGACATACAGATGGGGTTTTGGTGTGCATGTCCTTTCTGTTTGTTAGTTATCCTTTTAACAGTCAGGACCCTCAGCTGCAGGTCTGTTGGAGTTTGCTGGAGGTCCACTCCGGACCCTGTTTGCCTGGGTATCAGCAGCGGAGGCTGCAGAACAGCGAATATATTGCTGAACAGCAAATGTTGCTGTCTGATCATTCCTCTGGAGGTTTCATCTCAGACGAGTACTGGTCCTTGTGAGGTGTCAGTCTGCCCCTAGTGGGGGATGCCTCCCAGATAGGCTACTCAGGGGTCAGGGACCCACTTGAGGAGGCAGTCTGTCCATTCTCAGATCTCAAAATCCCTGCTGGGAGAACCACTACTCTCTTCAAAGCTGTCAGACAGGGACATTTAAGTCTGCAGAGGTTTCTGCTGCCTTTTGTTTGGCTATGCCCTGCCCCCAGAGGTGGAGTCTACAGAGGCAGGGAGGCCTCCTTGAGCTGATGTGGGCTCCACCCAGTTCGAGCTTCCTGGCCACTTTGTTTAACTACTCAAACCTCAGCAATGGCAGGCACACCTCCTCCAGCCTCGCTGCTGCCTTGCAGTTCGATCTCAGACTGCTGTGCTAGCAACGAGCAAGGCTCCATGGGTGTGGGACCCTCTGAGCCAGGCGTGGGATATAATCTCCTGGTATGCCGTTTGCTAAGACCATTGGAAAAGCACAGTATTAGGGTGGGAGTGACCCAATTTTCCAAGTGCTGTTTGTCACAGATTTGCTTGGCTATGAAAGGGAATTCCCTGACCCCTTGTGCTTCCCGTGTGAGGCAATGCCTCACCTTGCTTTGGCTCACACTCAGTGCGCTGCACCCACTGTCCTGCACCCACTGTCTGACAAGCCTCTGTGATATGAACCCAGTACCTCAGTTGGAAATGGAGAAATCACCCATCTTCTACGTCGCTCACGCTGGGAGCTGTAGACTGGAGCTGTTCCTATTCAACCATCTTGGAACCACCTCCTCGCATTACATTTGATCCTTAAAAACCTTATAAAGGATTTTTCATCTTCATTTAACATATTAGGAATTGACAATAGAAAGACATAAAAAGTGATTCTTGAGATGGACACACATTATTTGAAATCTTCAGAAGAAATATATAGAGAACTAGACTAAATGTGGTATAACTGCAGTATTTTACACTGGGCTCGCATTTAAGGCGGAATAACTCAGTGCATTAGTCCATCCTCACACTGCTATGAAGAAATGCCCAAGACTGCATAATTTATAAAGGAAAGCAGTTTAATTGACTCACAGTTCTGCATGGCTGGGAAGGCCTCAGGAAACTTACAATCATGGCAGAAGGCAAAGGGGAAGCAAGAACCTTCTTCACATGGCAGCAAGAGAGAGAAGTGCCAGTGCAGGGAAAACTACCATTTATAAAACCATCAGATCTCACAAGAATTTACTCACTATCGTGAGAACAGCATGGGGGAAACTGCCCCTATAATCCAATCACTTCCTACCAGGTCTCTCCCTAAACACCTGAGAATTACAATTCAAGATGAGATTTGGGTAGGGACGCAAAGCCTAACCATGTCACTCAGACCCTAATTAATGTACTTACGTCTGACTTTAACTAATATACTAATGTTTCACTAAACTAACTGTGTTTTCGGATCTGTAGGAACATTCCACATCCCTCTGGGTAGAACTAAGATTTCTCCTATAGTGAATGGATGCTGCTATTGTTAATAATTCGGGAAAGAGATAAAACCTGGAGCATAAATTGAAGATTATGAAGATAGGTCTTAAAATAAGATGAGGGAAAAAAAAATTTCCCTTTCTGTGGCTGAGAATCAGTTATGCTTGGAATCTAATGTCTGGAGAGGCCCAGAGCTCTTGCCAGTCCTTTCAGGTGAACTGCTGCTGAGAAGTGAAGACAGGCTGTAGTAACCCAGGGAGCCAGCCCAGAAGAGGACACCAGGGCCTGTTGAGTAGGTATGAGTTTTTCTTGGTGTTGAACTTTTCATCCGCTATTTATATTCACTATTTATGATGTGTTAATAAAGACATCAACACAGTCTGGTCTCTGTCTTACAGGGGAACTTATAAACTGGGTTATGCAAGCATGAAGCTAGGGAGAATATCAGGACTAGAATTTGAGTTTCCTCATCTCAAACCTACTACTATTTCCAGTGTATCACAAGACAATCATATCATTAGGATAATCTTTGTCATTATCATTGTCTTTATGAAAACTCCAGAAATTTTAATGATGCCCCCATTTTAAAATCTTGACCTTTAACATTGTCTGGAAATGTTGAAGGCTATCAGGCCATTGATTTGTTTTGTTTGTATGCCTCTTTGTTTTTAAATGCAAGTCACAACCAAAGTTGACTAAATTGTTCTTGATCAAAAAGAAAAACAAATTCTTATATGGCAAGGAACCACTTTTAATAAACAAATAGAGCATTGCTAAACAACTTTGATGAAACTACATGGGCATCTCAAAGAATATGCAAGAATAATTTCCAGCGTTTGCAGAAAGAACACTGGATTAAGCCAAATGACTTTGGGCTGATCACTGTGAAACCTTGGAAGAAATATTCATCCTCTCTGAACTCTCAAGCTCTTCATGTCTTAAATGGGGATGATAATCCTTGGGTTGCTTACTGCAGGGTTGCCACCAACACATGGCACAACTTTGTGAGAATTAGAAGATCTCCCCTCTGGGAAAATCCAGCCTAGTGTATGCATACCTATTAACACTAAGTGTGTGGACTGGGTTTGAGGCCCACATGTTCCCTCAACCAGGTACTCATGTGCAGTGAGCCAACTTATACATCCATGTACATTGGCCATGGTCTATCTCACAGGATAGTTGGTTGTGAGGATGAAATAAGACACTCTGCAAAATTTGAAGTGCAATACAAACCTAAAGGTATGTACAGACATGAATATCATCAAATTTTAGCTTCGAAACGGGAAATTTAGAAAGATCCCATAGCATGTGAATTTTTCAGAAAATTTAAATCATGAGACAGAAATCAAAAGTGCACTTACAAAATATATGATATAGTTTTGTAGTTCTTAGCCAGTGTGAAGGGCCAGAGGCATCTGAAATCTATTTGAAAAAATGCATTCAGGGCCCTTTCCCTGGAGGTTTCTGAAACAAGATGTCTGAGATGACTGTAACATTCTTGTTTTACAAAGCTCCTCAAATTTTCTTTGATATACACTCTTATTTGAACATCATTAGCTTAGAGAATTCAAGCCTAGCAGCCAATTCAGGTATTTTTAAACCATACTCACCTCTCTCTCTCTCTCTCTCTCTGTCTTTTTTTTCCCTTGTGCCTGAATCATCCAGAGAGCCATCAAATGAAAAAATAAAAAAAGCATATTACATGAAGAATAAAAACAAACTAAAAAAGATGTCATTTTCTCCACTTAAAAAAGCAGCTAAGATAGTTCTCAATAAATTGATAGTTCATAAAATATTTATTAGAATGCATTTTTCTGAGTACGTTGCACATGGCACAAAGCATCTCACTGAGCTACAAGGGTAAAAATCCTAATTCTATTCCCTATGTGGTATGAGCCCACTGAAATGCAATGAAAATACTAGACCAGCATGTCTGTCACCATTCTGATATCCACTGAGGCCATTATGAATCATGTCAAAGTAAGCAACTGGTAAGCATTCTGCTTTTATGTAAAGCCAACATTATCACATGAAAGTAATAATTTAAACCCAGTCATTTATAGTGAAACACTATACAGTAAATCCTTCTTGAAAGTACACTTTTCACTTTCAACTTAGATATTAAAACAATTAGTTATATTCTTCTCTCCCTTCTGCTATTCTGTGTTTCAGGAGTGAAATGAGTAGATGTCATGTAGCACCTTTCTTAAGGTATTATTAATACCACTGGTAGGGGAAGCTATAAGATTTTGAACAAAATTGAAAGGACCCATTTCAACCTACAAAGAATAAGCCAGTGGATTTCTCCACAGTGACACCTTAAAGTATTAAATGCAGGATATGAGCACTCTACTTTTATAAATTTCTATAATTGCATCTAATTATCTCAGAAAAGTAAAAAGTGGAAGATATAATGGACAAATGGAAGGGACTCTGGGTTTTGGATGGACACTATTAGTGTTTCCAAACTCATTAAATAGGCATTGTCATTTACTTCAGGCTGTTGCCACACTCGTTAATGAAGAAACCAGTTTGGAATTCAATATCTAATTTATTCCAAAATATTCTACAAAAAAGGCATCTACATGTGGTTGATTAAATGTGACAAGTGGAGCCTTTTTATATAATAGAGTCATAAAGTAATAATTGATAACAACATTAGAAAAATGAATTTCTGGTTACTATGACAAGAAAGCTCACACTACCTATTCCAACAGCAAGACTTAAATAACAAGCAGAGACAGGTAATGGAGCCCACACAGAAGTACATATCAAAAGCTAAGAAGTCAAATGCTAATAGATTAACATAGGAAGAGACCAGTGAGTAATGAGGAAATTCTCTTCACGTAGAGCTTAGTCTGCTAAAATACAAGATGGTTCACAAATATCTACATTCTGCCATGTGGCAATAGACACTAAGCTGTCATTCCTATGGCAATAGGCAATTGCAGCTGACAATTTCACAGAGTGCTTATCAGAAAGAGGATAGAACAGGATTTAGGCCCCCACTCATCATGTAAATGAATGATAAGTAGCAGGTATGAGTGTATAGTTAAAGCTATGAAAAGAAAGGCTGGTGAAAATGTTCTATTTTAAACTGTGAATTACGAGAAATGAAAATATCATCTCCTAATACAATTAAGGGATAGGCCTACCTAGCAGGAATACATAGTGCACAGGTAAAGTGATGGTATGAACTGCATTTCACTGAGTATACCAAACTGAGTATATATTGAATTTTAAAAACTAAGCCGGGCACAGTGGCTCACGCCTGTAATCCCAGCACTTTGGGAGGCCGAGGCAGGTGGATCACCTGGAGTCAGGAGTTTGAGACCAGCCTGGCCAACATGGTGAAACCCTGTCTCTACTAAAAAAAATACAAAAATTAACCAGGTGTGGTAGCACACACATGTAGTCCCTGCTACTCAGGACGCTGAGGCAGGAGAATCACTTGAACCTGGGAGACGGAGGTTGCCATGAGCCAAGATCACGCCACTGCACTCCAGCCTGGTGACAGAGTGAGACTCTGTCTCAAAAAAAAAAAAAAAAAGTCAAAAAGTCATATGTTGGTGAGGGTGTGGAGAAAAGGGAACACTTAGATACTGTTGGTAGGAGTGTAAATTATTTCAACCATTGTGAAAAGAATGTCAAAGAACTAATCACAGAACTACCATTTGACCCAGCAAGCCCATTGCTGGGTATATACCCAAAGAAATAAAAATCATTTTACCATAAAGATGCATGCACAAAAATGTTCATTGCAGCACTATTCACAATAACAAAGACATAGAATCAATTAAATGCCCATCAATAACATATTGGATAAAGAAAATGTGGTACATATACACCATGGAATATTATGCAGCCATAACAAATAACAAGATCATGTCTTTTGTGCAACTTTGATGGGGCTGGAGGCTATTATCCTTAGCAAACTAATTCAGGAACAGAAAGCAAATACCACATATTCTCTCTTATAAGTGGGAGTTAAATGATGAGAACTCTCGGACACAACAAGGGGAATAACAGAGACTGGGACCTACTTGAGGATGGAGTGTGGCAAGAGGGAGAGGATCAGAAAAAATAACCATTGGGTACTAGGCTTAGTACCTGGGTGATGAAATAATCTGTACAACAAACCCTCATGAGACAAGTTTACTTACGTTACAAACCTGCACATATAACCCTGAACCTAAAAGTTTAAAAAAAAAAAAAAACCATGATATATATACACAATGGAATACTATTCTGGTATAAAAAAAATGAGATCGTGTCATTCATGGCAACATGGATGGAACTGGGAGACATTAAGAGAAATAAGCCAGGTACAGAAAGGTAATCACCACATGTTCTCACTCATGTAGAAGCTAAAAAAAAATTAGCCTGGGCATGGTGGCTAACATCTGTAATTCCAGTACTTTGAGAGGCTGAGGCAGGTGGATCCCTTGATCCCAGAAGTTTGAGACCAGCCTGGGCAATATCGCGAGACCCTGTCTCTACAAAATATATAAAAATTCAGCTGGAATTGGTGTCATGTGCCTGTAGTCTCAGCTACTCAGGAGGCTAAGATGGGAGGATCACTTGAGCCCAGGAGGCGGAAGTTGCAGTGAGCCAAGATCACACCACTGCACTCTGGCCTGAGAGACAAAGCAAAACCCTGTCTCAAAATAATAATAAAATAAATAATAAAGTTAATGTGATAAAAGTAAAAAGTAGAACAGAGGATATTAGAAGCTTGGAAGAATAGAGGGAAGGGAGGGCTATGGAGTGATTTGTTAAAGGATACAAAATTATAGCTAGATAGGAGAAATAGGTTCTAGTGTTTTATAGCACTACAAGATGACTATAGTTAACAATAATAAACTATATAGTTTCAAATGGCTAAAAGGAGGATATTGAATGTTCCCAACACAAAGCAATGATAAATGCTTGAGACAATGAATATGCTAATTACGCTGATCTGATCAGTGTACATTATGCATCTCGCCACATCACTCTGTACCTCATAAATATGTACAATGGGTATGTGTAAACTAATAATATTTTTTAAACTGTCATTTAAGTGGTGTAATAATCATAACTACCATTTAAGTGGTAGTAAATATAGACATGCACCAAGCATTTAACATTGATTATAACACAACATTTGATTGGTACAAAAGGTCTTATATGGTGGCTTCTTTTCCTCTCATTTTATAAATGAAGAAAATGAAGTCATAAAACTAGAAGCTATAAGCCATTATAAATAATGGAACTGAAATTTGAACACAGACCCTGTGCTTTTGATGACCATATTTACTACCACTTTTTAATTATATAGTATATGTTTTTATTTATGTACATACCTCACTACTTTGCAATTAACTGTTCATATGTCTGTCTTTCCTGATAGATTTTATTCTTCAAGGCTGAGGGGTTTTCTTTGCTTTTTGTTTCCACAGCCTAACAGTAACTGGTTAGCAGATACCTGATATTAAAACAATGTTGGTCAGAATAAATTTTAAAAATATTAGCCTTCAGTAAATCACTCCCAGAATAAGAGAGTATCACTTCCTGTAGTTTCTGGTGCTCTATTCTGAGAATAGAATCAATTTCCAGATGAATATTCATGATATACTACAAAATGAGCTAAACATCTTTATCCTATTTTTTAGATAAACTGAAGATTGAACATTTATGACATATTTATATTGGTCTTTCCTGACATCTTTCTTGACTGACTTATTCAAGGAAACATCTCGAGCTGAATTTCCAAAGTATTTAATATGTCAATTTATTAACGTTTTAATTATCAGTCAGAACAGAGTAATGAAAGCAAGAATCTTGAAGAGCATCTAGTCCACTGCTAAAGAAAGAGATTAACAAAGGAATTATTTCTCCAGATAAAATGTTCTAAGAAAGCCCACTATCCACAGAAGAAAAAAGTGGAGGTTCCAGTTAAAGTGGATGTGGAAACATGGAACACGCCCTAAGGATGTTTTCTACGCTACACTTCTTTTAGGGGCCTTTTAGGGGTCCTGGGAAGCCTTACATTTTCTGAGGGACACAGATTGAAATTAGCTGACCTAGTCCATTCTCATTTTTGAGTTGACATACTTAAGATTTATGACAGTTCATCCAGTATCTTTACATAGCAAATAAACCTTACCTAAGAATTCAGACTTTCACACTCTCAGTCCAGTGCTCACTCCACTCACTGCCCCAGAAGTATAATAACATGGCAATTTCCATTTTACCCCAAATGAGGTTATTATAAATGGAAATTACTAAAGCCTAAGTTATAAACGCCAACATGATAGCATCATGCTGGGAACAATCTGCTCAAACTTCAGAGGAAGTTTGTCAAGAAGCCTACATCTAATTTTCCTTCTCCATTAACATGAATGCCATAACGTCTAAAAATCAGCACCTCTCAGAGACAGGTGTTTCCTTTTTTAGTTCAGAAAGTGGGCTGGTTCACCTTCCTCCTCTCTGAGATGACTGGAATTTTGGTGCCTTCATAGCAAAATTATGAGATTTGCTTTGATAATACTTAGAACATTAACTCTTGGGGGGAAATTCCTAACCAATGCACAACTTCAAAGTAAAGATTTTCATCAAATATAATCTAAACACGAAAATAGTGCCTGCCAGCAGTCCCTGCCAAACCTCTTTCCTCTCGAGGGATCTTACTTAAGCCTATAACAGCATTGATCTGTCTGAAAGGGGTAAAACCCTTGATCTAACATTATCCCAGAGGTGATGTGCAAATGGCTTATTTTCATTCAAATTTCTATCCCACCCAACTGCCTTTTTCCTCCCTCAAATCATGACAAAGTTACAAGAGCTCTAAAAACACCCTCAAGACTAGGAAAAGCTGAGATATGCTCTACTATATGGGTAGGAGCCACCTCTAGGGCACCAACAGTGACATACGTAACAGACGTAATAGTCACAGCCACACACGTCTGTGGACAAGTCCTAATTCCATTTCAATATTAATAGTCGCAATGATTCCTCCCAAGAAAGAGTATCAGAATATAATGAATGAATGTAGTAGTATTAGTAGGAAAATATCAAATCTTCTCTAATTTGTTATTTATTTATTTATTTCTAAATTAGTTTTAAAAAATAATAAATTGCAAGCCACGGTGCTACATGGTTATTAGTTGCATTATCTGTGACATTATCTCACAACTGACTCTGATATACCCCAGTGTTGTGAAGAACTGTGTTTCTGGGGACCCTTGTGATGACAGAGCCTGAAAACTAAGCAGTGACCCAGTGAATACTAAAAAGTGCTTCGGATGGGTGTATTTCTATATATATATGTATAATAATAATAAAATAACAATATATATGTATATATATTAATATAATAATATATACGTGTATATACATGTGTATACATGTATATATATACATATATATACAAATACACCATTCGAAGCACTTTTATACTTTTTATACTTTTTACACTTTTATACTTTTTATAAGAGCACAAAATGTACTCTTCTCTCTCTCTCTCTATATATATATATATTTTGTGCTTCCTCTCTCTATATATAGACACAAGAGTATATTTTATCCATATATAAGACAATATTCTTTCTCCACTGGACTGAGTACTCAACACTGTCCAAACATATCATGTTCGTTACTTATTTTATATGAAATATTCCCAGCTAAACAAGAATTTTATCACCATACCATGTGAATGGAGAAGAATAAATGACGTTTCAACAGTGCCTGGTATAATACCCACACCCTACAATAAATACACATGCCTTGAATTCGGTACGTTTGAATAAGTTCTATCAGTACGACCCCCACATTACTTGGCTTCCGTCTATATCTATTGAGTTGTTGCCCTTTGGGGACTTTTCTCCCATTGATTTGTCAATTTAACCAACAAATTTCATTACACCTCAAGGATGGGGCAGAAACTGGCACAAGTATAGGTACTGCGATATTATAAGGAACAAGTCAAACATCAAAGCATCTTTCCAGAGCCCAGTGGGGAAGAGAGTTAAGAACACAGGAGAACACGACATATTGTAAGACATGCTGAGAAAGGAGAACTGAAGATTCCTGAGAGAGCACTAAGAAAGGACACCTGACTTAAACACAGGAGATCTGAAAGACTTCACGGAGAAGGTGATGCCTAAATTGAGACAAGAAAAACCTGATAATCTAGCCTTCACGCATATTTCTCTAACTGCTAGAACTATCTTCTATTCATACTTCATTCAACCAGTTCTTAGCATTGTTTAGGTTTCAGTATAAATGTCCCTTCCTCAGGGATATCTTCCTTCTCCTCTACTTCACTTTCTGAACACTAATGACACTTTCCTTTATTACTTAATGCCGCTTTCTGTAATCACTCTGAAGGTCCATGAGAGTAAGAACTACGTCTGTTTTGTTGTATTGATTTATTTTGGGGGTTGTTCAGGTAAGAGAATGGAAAGGCGATGGGACGAGAGAAGTGAGAATATGGGCAAGGAAGTGGTTAAGCTGAATATGAATCTGATTATTAATACTTCTGCTACCACTAGCAGATAACAATCATTAAGCATTTTTTATGAGCTAGACAATATTCCAGTAAAGAGAGGAGAGGATTTACATATAGGGTAAACATGAGAGGGGCAGAGGCTCTAGATCTCAATGACATTGAAGAACATATGTTGTGGGGGTAAGTGAATAAGAGATTTGGAAGGAAGTCCTAGGTGTGTTAAATTTAAAGGCAAGAGGTGAAGCAATTCAGGGTTATAACAAAACATGGATATAGTCATAAAGTGGGGTGGCTCAGACAGAGAGGAAGTGAAGGTAGTGATATCTAGAAAGAGACAGAGAACTTGGAAATTGACTGAGTTACCCGTGGAGATGCAAATTTGGAAGAGGAAGAAAACTGCAAATTAAAGCAAAGTGGAGGGGAGCATGTGATGGTATAACAGGATAGTATCTGTTTCAAATGTGCGGGAGTTTTGCAAAGAAATAAAGGAACATGCGGCTTCAAAGTAGTGCTGGACTGCAAGAAGCATATCAAACCACTCTAGTGGTTTGAATAGTGGCTCACAAAAAAATATGTCCACGTTCTAACCCCCAGAATACCCACTGTGTTGGCAAAACATAAAACATAAAAGTTTGATAAGATTGAATGTTATTCAAATTTGGACCATAAGAAATCCTATGTATTTGGTGTATAAGTTGGTAGGGGTTTAACTTGTTTAACCAGTAAGAAAATAATTTGGCATTATCTTAAGTTAAAGATTGTATGTATACCCTATGACTCAGAAATTCTACTTCTAGAGAAATCTTTGCACATATGGAGATAATAGGAGAATATTTATAATAACATAACTAAACAAAGGAGACAAAGTTGACAGCTCAGAAACTGAAAATGGTGAAATGTGAGAAAGGCTTCTTAGCTACACTCAGAGGCTGATATTAGCTCATGGATTTTCACGGATAGAAAAATCATGAAATATCAGTTCTTTAGTCTTTTGTGTATCTCATCCTTTTACTTGATAGATAAAATCAGAAGACAGAAGCTACCATATTTTGGCATATTTATCTCTCCATCAGTTGTAAGATGTACTGTAATATTATATATCAACAAGGAAAAAACCACTGTAATTAAACTATGAAACACCACGCATTCAGATTTTAGGAGCAAGATAGGAATTGGTACAATACAGTAGAGAAAGAGAAAGCATAAACTTCCGTCTGTATCTGATTTCTAAACTGTCAGCCACCTAGCATCTATTTTCACAGCTCATAAAGACAGATCTATGTTCTGGAATAGCCTCAGAAGAACTGAGTCTGTCAGTTTTTAAGGTTTTTCTGATAACACCCATGGCTAAATCATAGGCTTATCAAACTCCACAGTGGGGTAAATATGTAATAAATGTTTATTATTATTTTAATGCAAAGTGGCTAGAAGGAAATCAGAGGCATGATTTGGGGCTAGGTTCTATTTACAGAAAATAGAACTCTAGAGCCCTTTAAAATATTGCACATTATATTTCTGGCATCACAGTGAATAAGGTGTCATTTCAAATATTCCTAAATCTTAACGTATCAGTTTTAAGTATAAGAAAGAAGGCTTTCATCAGTCAAATAGTTTCTGTCATCTACGTAAGACTGTTTAATCAGTAATTAAGACCAATTATTTTTATGGCTGACAGTCATTGTCTCATACAGCCAGATCCTAAATTTCCTTGCATTCTTTCATTCCATCTACTAACAGAATTCTTTTTTGCATAAACAAAAAATGTCCATGGGTTGTTAGTAATTTAGTCAGTGCCTTATACACATTTTTTAAATTAAAGTATTAATTTGGTATATTTTAATTATACTGCACAAATATAAAATGTTTGAGGTTCTTTAAGGAAAAAGTAATCCTTCTGACTAAACATATTTTGGTTTAAACTTTCCTGAAAGGAAATTAGTACGTGACTCACTTCAAAGATAGAGATTACAATAGGTTGGCCCTTAAGTGAGTAGAGCCTTTTCTTCATATAACAGCTTAAGAGGTCAAAGCTATTAACTTTTTTTTTTTGGTAACTTAAGCTGGGCACATTTGGAAGGGCATCTCAAACTTGTCACATTGCTCAAGCAGAAGCTGGAGGCTCAAATGCACTAGAGCTTAAAACCATTTCTGATCTGTGATCTTTTACAAACCCAAGCTATTGAGGAGTCAGCAAAAGCCATGCCACAATGCCCTCCATCCCCCTTCTCTCGTTTCCCCACTCCTGGCCAGACCAAAAGTATGTATGCGACACAGATACAACATGTACCCCCAAAGAAATACTAAACTGCTTTCACATTTCTAAATATTCATCTGGTATAGACACTACGAGTCTTTCCTCAGTAAAATACAATCCGTTCACATGGAGGCGCAATGAAGAGCAATAAATACATAAAGTGTTAAGAGGTCAAATTTCAATAAGCAAAGAGAAATATGTCAATGCAGAATTAATTTGACTAGGCAGCTTTGATCTTTTTTTCAAAATCAGGTTGACTATTGGGTCAAATTCTCATGAGAAAAATTTATTATAATTGTTTAGTGTGTCATCAAATAGCCTGCACAAATTGAAATATGAATTGAGCTGGAAATATGTTTCTGTTAAAACATATTTTATAGTTAAAAAGAAAGTAATAGTTTATACTTTGAACTATTATTTAGGGTATTATTTTATTTTTGACTATGCAAAATGTATAGTTAAAGTATACAGCAGGTCATCATGCAGGGTATGACTTTTTTAACTATATATTTCTTATTTAATTTTAGAACAAAGACATATTTTAATGGATATGGTTGCTACGTAGCCATCAAGTTAAATTAAAATTTGTTGTACATGTGATCAATGACATGCTGTAATACTTTCCTTTTATATTTTTCCCAAATTACTTCTATGGCCCTTGGATTTTTTCTTTTCTTAACTCTTCTCATTCATATTGAGATCTGAATTGGAAGGAACTGTATAGAAATTTTCAGCTTTTATTTTTATTTTTATTTTTTTGAAACAGACTCTTGCTCTGTTGCCCAGGCTGGAGTGCAGTGGTGGTGCCATCACGGTTCACTGTTAACCTCTGTCTCCCAGATTCAAGCGATTCTCATGCCTCAGCCCTCTGAGCAGCTGGGACTACAGGTGTGTGCCACCACACTCAGCTAATTTTTGTTTCTTTTTGTTTTTTTTAGTAGAGACAGGTTTTTGCCATGTTGGCCAGACTGGTCTTGAATTCCTGGCCTCAAGTGACCTGTCCCCCTCAGCCTCTGAAAGTGCTTGGATTACAGGCATGAGCCACCATGTTTGGCCTCAGTTCTTTCAATAAATAACTATAAATAACCAATTTACTTGAAATCCTTATAGTTCTAGATTACGTTTATTTTAAAAACTATTGTGTACAGTTCTAATACATGTTGGTGACCTAAGTGGAGAATTCAACTGAATAAACTGGTGCCACAGATGTTTTATTATGAATGGTTAAAGTTTTATTCTCACCATTTTAATATCCACAAAGTACAATATTTAATAAATTTTCAATGAAGGAATAGTAATTGTTGTGAGTGTACAAATATATGAGCTCAACTAAATTTGACTGAATAAATATATGATAGATATCATCTATGTACTTGTATTTTTGAATATTTGTCCATATGAACAAATTAAGTCCTAAATGTCCTTATTTTAAAATGGTTAAACCAGTGCAATCAGGCTGCTAGAAGCAGATATGAAGATGATAATTCCCAAGAAGGCTGCAGGCAGCCCCTTGTTTATGTACTACCGTGAACATTTACTATGTCACTATTTCTTCCATAGAAATTTTTCTAGACCCTCGCAAATATTACCCTATCTATCTTGGCCATTTTAAATATTTTCTTGAATAATTCAAAAATAATATTTACCCATTACATGTGGCAAATGAGTGCTTGATACAATATTTTATTATTCTCTTTGTAGAGTTGAATTGATAGAAAAATAAAAGAAATAAGATTAAAAAGAAAGCAAATAAAAATTAAGAAATGAGGTTTTAAAAGGGCATAAGAGCACTTTTAATCTTCATATGTTTTTTCATGTGGTGGTATCTATTCCTATGGAGATGATACCTAGCAAATAAAAAAGGGGAAAAGGAGCATGAAGAAGGAGTGGGTCCCTCTGTGATCTCCAGAAGAAGCAGGGAAAGAGGTGGTAGTGAGTGTTATCAGATAGCCCTGGAGAGTTTTATAAAATTACAGAGACCATCACACACACCCAATCACCAGAACATTCCAGCCATGATTGTTCTTCCCTTAGCAATGAATGACAATCTAGCTTCTACTGAGACAGGCAGGAAAAACGTTAGAAAGAAATCCAGATTAATAGTGGTCATCATATCATCTACTGCTTGCAAAAATATGTTACCAAGCCATTAAATAATATATTTCATTATGATCATATTTTATTGTTTCTCTAATAAGTAAGAACTTTATTTTAGGTATTGGCCGGGCACGGTGGCTCATGCCTGTAATCCCAGCACTTTGGGAGGCCAGGGAGGGCGGATCGAGACCATCCTGGCTAACATGATGAAACCCCATCTCTACTAAAAATACAAAAAATTAGCCAGGCGTGGTGGTGGGCGCTTATAGTTCCAGCTACTGGGGAGGCTGAGGCAGGAGAATGGTGTGAACCTGGGAGGCGGAGCTTGCAATTTGAAGAATCTGCATAAAAACATGATAAAAGTGCAGAGCAGAACCTCAACGAATATTTTTAATTTAACAATTTGCTTGGAATAAGGACGAATTACATCAGTCACATGTCAGACATGTCCACCCAGCAAACCATCACCATACCCAAAAAAGAGTATTTGGTCAAGTAGAGCAAACAGTGTTAATGACCTCAGTGACCCATGCTTGACAGCAAGCCAAAGGTGACTGTTTCCCTCCCAAGCCACCTTTTCATTATGGAGATAATGTTGTTTATAACATGTCATCACCAAATTGCCTTAGGACTTGGGCATGGTTAAGAACAATCCTAAAAAGGACAATGAGTAGTAGAAATATCAGTCAGTAAAATGAATTTTCATGCAGGTGTCTTGAAAAAAGTGCAATGGAGAGAGTGAGACAGCTACGTAGAAAAGAGAGTTTGTAAAAGTTGGTGTTTTCAAATGGTGATATGTCCAACGTGTAAGACTGAGCAGGCATACAGTTTAAATCTTGTAAAAGCCTTCATAGCCATGACTATAAATAAAATGATGGAATTCTTCAAAATAGGTACTTTAAAGTACATATTTATTTGGTCTGGGATCATGCTAGCAGGAGTTTAAAAATTAGAAAGAAAGGGGAGGCATCCGTGAGTGTTATAAATTTTGGGTACTGGGGACGTAAAAAGCATGGACACAATATAATAATACTGATGATAATAACAGTGTTCACAGCCAGTATTTATTGAGTCTACCTATATGCAAGACATTTTAAATGCCTGACATATATTATCTCAATTAATTCTTATAACAATATAATGAGATAACACTATTATTATCCCTGTGTTATTGGTGAAGATACCTAGACCTAAGATATTATGGAACATGCCCATAATTAGTTAGTTTCCACCAAAGCCTGAACTCAAAAGCAGATCTGAGTTTCTTTTCTTAACTATCATACATACAATCTATGACACAAAAGATATCATAATTATCTTCTTTTATGTGGTCATCATTAAGCCATGAACAGGTCCACACCCCAGGTGAATGTTGATTTCCACTCTTATTCTTTCAAAATTTCTACTTTGGCATAAGGCCTTGGTGGTCATTCCTAAATACTTAAATACAAAAATTTACCATCGTGTAATCACAAAGATATCCAATGAGACAAAGAAAGAAAATGATGAGAGTGTTTTATCAATATGCTTATCTATCTGTCCCCTTCAGCCTCCATTCCCCTTTTGTTTACGAGCTCCTATCAGAGTTTAGTATTCATTTTGGTACTTAACATTCTCTATGGTTAGTAACTCCAACATCATAGAATAGTCAAGCTATTAAGCAAACAAAACTCTGCCCTTAATTTCACCATTTAAACTCGAATATGAGCTTGTTCATGGTGTTTTTGTTGGACCTTATTATCTCCATTGCAAGGAAAGAACTCCATCTATTCCTCATACTTTATTTCTCTCTACTCCTTTGTAATCAGTAAAATTCTTAAGACATGGTTATTCACTTAAATATTACATATGAAATGATTCCCATGAACCCCACAGCACTTTTTTTCTGCTGAAATTGGTTTTATTTATGCAGAGAAGGCTAAAAATTGTTATAATAATGACTGAAAAGTTCCATACACATTTTCATAGCCAAAAGTCTAGACAATGGCCATCCAAGAATCTGAAAATCTGTTATTAGATTAGTAATGAGTGAGGTCAAATATTTTTCTACTTAGGCTTTACGTCTAGGAAGACCATTTGGACCCATAATTTCCAGAGTCATTTATTTGTCTGACTGCTCAGAATGAAAGAAGAATTATCACATATCTATCTAAAACAACAACAACAAAAACGCTGCTCTTTGATTAAAATTCACATTACCCATTATGCAACAGTTAAGAATGGGGTGTATCCACAAATATAACCATTTAAAAGTCCGCCCTAAGAAACAGATTTAAACTTCATGGCCAAGTCCCCATAATGCTTTGGTTTTTGCAAATTTGGCAAGTTCAAGGAGTTCACGGGAGTGCTGTAATGCCAATGTGATTTATTTAATAAAGATGAGACCTGTCATTACCCAGGGATGCGCTGTGCTGTGGGTGTGGGGAGGAAAAAGCAGAGCTGCCTTGTCCTGGGAAGCAGAGTCAGCAGTGTTGTGTGTGTTTGTTGGACATCTTCATTGTGGCCTTGGCAGAGCCCAGTTGTCTAGTGACAAATACGGGACCCAGGCTGGATCCTGGCCCACATTTTGGGGATCGTTTGGACCAACTTGCCCAGACTGCTTTCAAACAATCTTACAGGCTTGGCCGTCATCATTGTTCTGACTGCCGTTTGCTGATACTCAGCCCAGGAATGAAATCGAGTTCCTGCCCTCTAAGAGGCCCTTTAGAAATGCCAAAGTTTTGGCATACTGCAAAATAAAGAGGTAACTCTCTCAGAAATCCCTGTAATCTCTGGAGACAAAAACCAATAACGAAGTTTGAGGAAAATAAAGAAGAAGAAAAAAACCTATAATAGGAAAAGGAAAAAATATCATTTTGACTAAAAATACTCAAGGATAAGTATGATAGATTAGAGATGGCCACAAATTTTGGAAAGATGGAATTTATTTCTCTTCCCTTTGAATCTAGGCTAGTCTTGTGATAAATCTGACCAAAGCTTTCCATTTTATAGAAAGCCCAATCTAGTCACATAAAAGGATGGTGTGGAGAAAGAGATGTCCTAGCGTCCAGATGTCCCCTCCAATCATCAGGTATCTGAGTAAGCCATTTAGAAGCTCTAGGCTCAGCTACCACCCCACTGCATCTGCGTGAAAGACTCCTAACAACAAACCCGCACGTTGTGCACATGTACCCTAGAACTTAAAGTATAATAAAAAAAAAAAAAAAAAAAAAGAAAGACCCCTAACAAGACTAGCAGAACGCTTTTTTAATGTTTTTTTTTTTTTTTTTTTGAGACGGAATCTCACTCTGTCACCCAGGCTGGAGTGCAGTGGCGCGATCTTGGCTCACTGCAACCTCTGCCTCCCGGGTTCAAGTGATTCTCCTGCCTCAGCCTCCCAAGTAGCTGAGACTACAGGGGCGTGCCACCATGTCTGGCTACTGTTTTGTATTTTTTAGTAGAGACGGGGTTTCACCATGTTAGCCAGGATGGTCTCAATCTTCTGACCTCGTGATCTGCCCTCCTTGGCCTCCCAAAGTGCTGAGATTACAGGCATGAGCCACCGCGCCTGGCCTAAAATAATTTCTTTATATGCCACTACATTTAGGCATGGCTTTTTATGGAACAATAGATAGCTGAAACAGCTATTAGTAGCATTCTTGACAAAGATTTTTCTCCATCTTCGCATAGACACACTACTGAGTTTATTACGATGAATTGAGCCAAGCCTATAAATGACAAGGCCTGAAAAAAAAAAAGAAGTCATGAGTCCAATAATTCCCTAGACTTAAAGAACTTCAATGTCTAGCCAATGACCCCTTTTTGGTTAATAGTCAACATGAGTATCTTGTTTATTGGTCTAGGCATGAAACACAACCTGAATTTGCAAAAGAATAATTTTAGGTTAAAATTTAAAATAGGAAAAGCATTCTAATGATGGCTTTTAATCTTGAACTACTCAAGAACAAAACAGCTATAAAATGGGGAAAAAAAAGAAAAATATTTTGGCTATGTCTCAAGGGCTGTACTACCGTGAAGCAACATAGCCTTTTCTTCCAAAATATACTTTATTGCTTTTGTATATTGTGAAAGGCAAATTGCTTTCCAATTTTTGCCAGAGAGGAAAAGTGCCATCTATACATTCAATTTTCTTCTCCAGTGATCCTAAGTAAGATCATGTGCTGAGAGGCTGAGCTACAAACTCACCTTTAAAAAAAAAAAAAATTTAGATTTGAAAGCACATGTGAAGATTTGTTACATAGACAAACACATGTCACAAGGGTTTGTTGTACATATTATTACATCACCCAGGTATTTTAAGCTCAGTACCTAATAGTTATCATTTCTGCTCCTCTCCCTCCTCCCAACCTCCCCGCTCAAGTAGTCTGTGTCTGTTTCCTTCTTTGTGTTCATAAGTTCTTAGCATTTAGCTCCCACTTATAAGTGAGAACATGCAGCATTTGGTTTTCTGTTCCTGTGTTAGTTCTCTAAGGAGGGTAGTCTTCAGCTAAATCCATGTAAGAACTTTCTTAAGTAAGTGATCTTACTCAGGAATCCTCTGCTCCTTTTCTCCATATAGACCTGGACATTTTCATTTTCCCTGCTTCAGGCTTTGAGTTCCTAAATAAACTCTACATGTTTAATTTCCTTGATAGAGATCTGAACATGTGTCACATGTCCATTATATAATTTAATTCATATGTCTATTTTTTTAAACATTAAGATTAGCATCCACTTTCATTAATTCACAAAAATTAAGAATTAAAAATACATCTCAAAAATTTTAAGCTAAATTTAACTCAAATTATATCTAATATTTAGATTAGAATATATTTATAACACTTGTGATATAAACATTATTTTACCATAGAATCTAACTTACTGATTAATAGAGGGCTGAACATGTCATGCTGTCACTGAGTAGCATTAGTGTTAACCTCCATTTCAGTAGGAGAGAGTAGAAGTATGTTTGCTTATGTCCCTAGCTGCTATTTCTGTGATACCTCTCTGGTGGTATCTATTTCATCCTGTTATCTAAAAAGCTCCCAACCCACAAAGCAGGTTGTTCTGGGGTACACCTGTGCTTTACCTGCTGTATTCCTCAGCTGGTTGCCCACACAAGCTCTTCTCTCTGACTTGGTCCTTTTCAGAGGTTTATGAGGTCCCCAAAAGAGAAGGTGGTAATGCTTCTTTTGTCCTTTTCTCAAGGAATTTTCATGCTATGCCAATTTTACACAGGAGCGATCAGAAGCTCAGAGTTTAGTCATGTCCCAAGATCACAAAGCTAATAAGTGGTAGAATTGAGATTTGAACTTATGTCTACTTGACTGTAAACCCCATCCTACAACAGAAATATTTTCCAGTAACAACTTATTATTCACCTTAATCCATCAAGGAGTCCAAAAATAAACCAGTGTTTTGAGCATCTGGAGCTGTTGCCTCTTCAAATACATGTAAGTGAATTCCTTTTCTGGCTTAAGACAATCTGAGTTGGGTTGCTGTCTCCCACAGCTATGAGGGTCCTGAATAATACACTCATGGTAATGTCAAAGTCTCAGAAAAAAATGAAAAGTTTATCCCTCATGTGATGGTTGAGGAAGTCTTCCATAGTAGATAATGTGTTTATAGTTGAATGGTGGATTGGATAGTAGTTGTAACTGGAGAATAGCCAAGACATTTGAGGAACTCTCATTTTCAGCAGCTTGGCAATCTCAAAGCCTCATAATAACAGAGATGTCATTATTGCAAAAACTGGTGTTTCCCACATGCTTCCCACCTTTTAAGAGCTATGTGTATATTTCTTACATAATTCTCTTTCTCTGTGAGCATGAAAAAACTCTGCCTACTTTTGAATTTTGTTCACTCACAGATTTCACCTTCATTGCTGTTACTTGTGTAGTATGTCTTATGCAAAAGGCATGCTTTAAAATCTTTTTCCTACACTTTTGCACATTTATGTATGCCCTGTGGTTTGAAACATAGAAAGCAGTTATATAATTCAGGATGTCTGAGTTTCAGAGTCAGGGATCAAACATTTTGTTTTTTACCTAAGTAACATCTATTTAGCTCTTTTAGTATCATCATATTTATAATTTCTTTTCTTTTTCTTGAAAGTTAAATCAGTTGGGCTTCCTAAGATATTTGTTATTTCATACAGCTATCTATAAGTTACAAGTGAGGGAGATCAGATTTCAAAGTCTGCTCATGAGATGACGATGGGCAAGAATGATGACTTGGACTCAATTCAATGTTGCTTTTACTCTTCTTCATTCCAAAATCAGCTAAGGAGTATAAAGAATTTACACGGGGTAAAGATGTAAGTGGATGGGCATGAGCCCCATTGTCTCATTTGTGTTTTCCTGTATTGAGGGTCTTGGAAGCCTGGGTGGAGGGAGAAGTCCACAAAGTCAGATAACTATAGCACTACTGTCTCCTATACTCAGGGCACATTGACATCCAGAAATAACTTATCAGGCAATAGAACTACTACTTAGCATGCTACCCAGGCTGTATATTCAGGCTCCAAAACTTGGAATGTTTGTTCTGCCAGTGCTGAGCAACCTCCCCTGATCTGCACCCAACAATGCTCTATGAATGTCCACTGAGGGGCTTTTTATAGGCAAGCCCGGCCAAGGCCTTTTGCCACAAGTAACTGAGTTTTGCACTTTTCTTAGATACTGATTTTCAAGAAATAGTAATAATAGTGGGTTACAGTGGAGTATGACAATCTCCTTTTACATTCTGCACTTTGCATCACACCTAATCTGTATAACTTGGAGAGTATAAAGGCAAATATAAGTTTGATTTCAAGATTTATCAAATAAAGCAGTAGATATTATTCTATCTTCTCTTTCATATGTTTGTAACATTTGTTGTTTCTTTAAATACTAGATGAAATTGCCTTTCATCCACAGAAGGATGGAACAGTCCATTATCGTGCCTGCTGCTCAAGAAGTCACTTTAATGACAGGATTTTTAGTAGCAACCACAAAGCCTGGATGATAGCCCACAAGATGAAAATGTTTAAGAAGCATTGCTTTAGATATATGTTATATCCCAAACAGAAGACTCATTTGTCTGGCTTATGGGTGAGGCTCTGTATTAAGTTCCCATACCAGGGAATTGTGCCAAAGACTAGGATTTGGCACTCATAAATCAAATGGAGCTAACCTACTTAGACTGAAATTTTATCTCTCAGTGCTGAGGGGTTTTGAACAGGCTAATGCAAGAACGCAATTTTCATAAATACCAGTGGTTTCACCTCAGTATATATCTTTATGTGAGTTTGAAGCATTGTCGAATTACATAAAAATAAAACTGGATATTAAAATCTGAAATTTAGCAAATATGACCTAAAGAGTTCACGGAATAAAGAGAAATTGGACACTGAATTAGATAGATCTCTAAGGTGTATTGAAAAATATGTAATTATCACCTGGCCACCAAACATGAGCTTACTCTAAGAAGAATATAATGGGATATAAACAAATTTCCAAAATTGTTCGTTTGTATACTTGCAATCTAACAGATATGACTGAAAATGAACATAAATTCCATTTTGCAAATGAGACTGGTGTAGGCAGGTCTAATTTGAATAGGGGAAGTATAGGATCTCCTGGGATTATGGCAAAGATGGTGGTGAGGAGCATGCTTTGATTATGGTAGGTGATAGAAATAACTCCTAGCTTACTCCTAGAACCTGAAATGAATCATAAAATTGACCTATGAAAATAAGTTAATTGGCTTGTTGAGAAACTTGTTACAACTGTAAGGATGAAAATCTATGTGGGAATAGGGAATGCAATATATTAGTTACGCCAAATGTTTCTGCTCTTGGATTTGGCTTTAAATTAAACAGAGTCAGGTTTAAATCTCATTTCTATGGCATAGTTATGTGAACTTCAGAAATCGTTACTGTTACTATTATTTTTCTTTTTTTTTTTTTTGGAGATGGAGTCTCGCTCTGTTGCCCAGGCTGGAGTGCAAGGTGCAATCTCAGCTCACTGCAACCTCCACCTCCAGAGTTCAAGTGATTCTCCTGCCTCAGCCTTCTGAGTAGCTGGGATTACAGGCATCCGCCACCACCCTCGGCTAATTTTTGTATTTTAGTAGAGACGGGATTTCACCTTGTTGGCCAGGCTGGTCTCGAACTCCTGACCTCAGGTAATCCACCCACCTCGGCCTCCCAAAGAGCTGAGATTACAGGCATGAGCCACCGTGCCCAGCCCAGAAACTATTTTTTGTAAGTCTATGCTTCATCTTAGATATATCAAATAGGCACACAAATCTGTGGGATTCTGTGAGGGATTAATTAGATAAAATATTAAAGGCCTAAATCTGTACCTAATCCATCCTAGGTCTTCAATACATAGAAGCTATTATTTTTTTCTTATTATGTTATTTTTAATCTTGCAGCATAAGAGGCAATACATAGAAATAGAAAATTGGTAGGCAGTGTTTAGGTCAACATATTTTTATTATCTCATTTCAGTCTTGAAAAAATAATATCTAATGATTCTCTGTGAAACCTGCAGGAGCCTGTAAATGAAACTTCTGACAGTCATTCCCACCAGGCATCCAGCCACATAGCTCATGCTCCCTGGTGCCCTGCATACATATTCCAAAATGCTGTCATTCCACGTTCCTATATTTACTGGGACCTTGGAAAATGCCCTATTTCTCTCCTCTGTATTCAAAAATTCCTCAGATCAGTTGCTCTCACCAAAAACAGAAGTAGTTTCATTGGGCTTTCTGCCAAATGCCTGAGCAGGGAGGACTACCTTTTCTAGTGAGAGAACTGCAAGCAAGTAGGTCAAGCTATAACCCACAGGCCTGCACGGTAGTCCTGGATGTTCTACTGCAAATATCCCTTTCCCTACGATGATCACTGAAGACATCGCTAAGCCCCATCTTATTTTCAGGGCTTAAAATAAAATATTCAGCTGCCTCAATCATGCTTGCAAGAACTGGGTAAAAATTATAATTAAAATGCAGTGCAAACGCAGCATTTTAAAATTACACAGACTTAAAAAATAATGCACAGTTCAGGCTTGACACTACAATCTTTTAAGGTAAAAACTGTGGAATATAATGAATTATTATTAGATGAATAGTCAAATAAACAGTATCTTAGTATATGAAATATGTACTACAGTGTCCAAAGTGTCACTGTTCATTTAGCCAAGGTGAACTGAACACTGCACAGCTGCATAAATAGAAAACGTCACGTACTACAGTAGTTTCTGAAAGGTACTAGGAGTGTGGTAAAATCACACAGACTAGCTACAAACCATACTGTGTTGGTTAGCTCAGGCTGCTGTAATAGAATACCATAGGCTGGGTGGCTTAAACAACAGATATTTATTTATCACAGTTCTGGAGACTGTAAGTCCAAGATCAAGGTGGCAGTAGATTCCATTGCTGGTGATGGTTCTCTCACTTGTCTATGGAGGACTACCTTCTGGCTCTGTCCTCATATGGCAGAGAGAGAGAGAGAGAGCGAGAGAGCGAGAGAGAGAGAGAGAGCACTCTGACCTCTCTTCTTCTTCTTTTTTTTTTTTTTTTTTTTTTTTTTTTTTTTTTTTTTTTTTTTTTTTTTTGAGACGAAGTATCACTCTGTCGCCCAGGCTGGAGTGCAGTGGCGCAATCTCGGCTCACTGCAAGCTCCGTCTCCCGGGTTCATGCCATTCTCCTGCCTCAGCCTCTCGAGTAGCTGGGACTATAGGTGCCTGCCACCACGCCCGCTGATTTTTTCTATTTTTCAGTAGAGACAGGGTTTCACCGTGTTAGCCAGGATGGTCTCGATCTCCTGACCTCGTGATACTCCTGCCTCAGCCTCCCAAAGTGCTGGGATTACAGGCGTGAGCCACCGTGCCAGGCCTCTTCTTCATTTTATAAGGGGCCACTGACCTCATCACGGGGGCCACTGACCTCATCTAAACCTAAAAGCTAATTTACCTCCCAAAGGTCTCACTTCCAAAAACCATCCTAAGGGGAGTAGGACTTCAACATATGAATTTGGGGGGACACAAACATTCAGTCCATAACACACACACTGAAAAGTAAACTGGTGCTGAATTATTTTCTAGCAGCTATTGGGAAGCAGAAGAGTGAGATGGGCAAGATACGAAGCCATTCATCATTTCCTTGAAAGGCTAAGAAGAAGGGATTCATGCAAGTACAACAAGGGCAGTATAGAGTCAAAAAGCAACACTGGAAAAGGGAGAGAAAAGAGCAAAACAAAATTAGGCTGGAGTGGGTTTTTTAGTTTAGTTTAGTTTAGTTTTGTTTTGTTTGTGCATTAAGAAGCATAGCAGGCTTCAACATGACTTGCTGGCTAAAAGTTCTAACATGAAGAGTCTTTTCAAGCAAATACCCCACAGAATTCCTCTTATACATCAAATGGAGTATCAGAATCCTTTGGTCATAACCTTAATATCAGACAATTATATGTGGATATTTGTAAAGATACATTTTCAACAATTCAATTAAATACAATGGACCAAAATCTGATAGATTCCAAAAAGTTTTGCCTTTCCCTTTTCATCAAATCTTACGTACCTGAAATTCTCTTGCATAGGGCTGTTCACTTACACTCAGACTTTAAGCTCCTTTAAAGGCACCTGTGCTCTAAGAGAAAGGATTTCAATGAAAGGTATGCTAAGACTCGGGCTCTGCCACTTATTTAGGCCTGTGAGTAAGGGCAAGCCACCGACCTGTTTATGCTCTGATTGGCTTATCTGTATAATGAAGTTACTAATACCTACCACGGGAGATTGTAAGAATTTCTAAAATTCAATGAATTTGAACTATTTTATAAATGCTGAAGTTGCACTGGGGTTCACACCTGGAATCCCAGCACTTTGAGAGGCTGAGGCAGGAGGATAGCTTCAGGGGAGGAGTTCAAGACCAGTCTGGTCAACATAATGAGATCCTCTCTCTAAAAAGAAATTGAAAAAATTAGACGGATGGTGGCACACACCTCTAGTCCCCACCACTCAGGAAGCTTGAGGTGGGGGGATTGCTTGATTCCAGAAGTTCAAGGCTGTTGTGAACTATGAATCACAACACTGCACTCCAGCCCGGGCAACAGAGTAACACCCTGTCTCTAAAAAAATTGAAATTAACTTTAAAAAATATATAGCACTGGGTTATTCCATGAAAATGCTCCTGGAATTGGTGATCTTCTAAACAAGGGGTCCCCAAATCCCATGGCGCAGACTGGTATGAGTCCATGGCCTGTTAGGAACTAGGCCACACAGGAGGAGGTGAGCAGCAGGCAAGCTAGCATTGCTACCTGAGCTCCGCCCCCTGTCAGATCAGCGGTGGCATTAGATTCCCATAGGAGCGCAAGCCTTACTGTGAACTGTACATGCGAGAGATCTAGATTGTATGCTTCTTATGAGAATCTAACTAATGCCTGATGATCTGAGGTGGAACAGTTTCATCCTGAAACCTTTCCCAACCTCCATCCGTGGAAAAATTGTCTTCCATGAAACCGGTCCCTGGTGCCAAAAAGGTTGGGGACCGCTGCTTTAAACTATTTCCATTCTCTTATGCAGAAGTGATATGCATAGCAAATTTTTCCATCAGAACAAGTTTTGATTAAACTTGACAGCTTGAGGAGAATGCAGGGAGCATTAAGAAGGAGGATGTTTAAAGGAGGAAATGGGGGAAAATGGCCCATTGTGAAAACAAATTTCTGTATCTCATAACTATGTATTGGTAAAGTATGCTTTGCTTTCACTTGTAAACCTGAAGGAAACAAGTTAGTGAATAGAGATCATTTAATACATGTTCTCTATACTATGACTATTTGTTTTATTGCAGTTTTTAAGATGAGATCTTAGTGGGTTGGATTAGACTTGACATTTTTTTCTGGGGATGAGCTCTTGTGATCGCTAGAGAAGAAAGGGAGTAGAGAAAATCCAGCCTTGGTTGAAGTGGAGAGGGGTCAAGATGCCACAGGTGGAGAAGAGGATACAGCTCCCATTAGAGGAACATTTTAAAGTGTGTGGCTACCCATCTTGTAAACCTGTAAAAGATTTCTCTAGCTCAGAACTATGTACTGGTAAAGTATGCTTTGACTATATCAGGGGAAATCTTTAGGTTGTTTTTATTTCTACTTACCATGAACTCAATCTAGGCTTAATTTTAGCTCTATCTTTTGGAAATCCTAAAAAATAAAATTGTTCAGTGTAAGTTTGTATTCTCTCCTCCTCCCGCAGAACCAGAAAACATGATTGATCTTTATTTTTATTTTTATTTTTATTTTTATTTTTTATTTTTTAGATGGATTTTTGCTCTTGTTGCTCAGGGTGGAGTGCAATGGCGTGATCTTGGCTCACTGCAACCTCCAACTCACGGATTCAGGGGATTCTCCTCTCTCAGCCTCCCATCTTGCTTCTATTATAATTTGTATTCAGTTAATCATACTGAGATTGGCTTGAAATCATTTGTTTACTTATTACTATTTTTAAACATATTAGTTTATTATTTTTAAACATACTCATTGAATTAGTAATGAGTAGAAGCCTTCTTTGGCCTGGGATACAATTACTCAAGTCACTTTAGGTCATGATAAAAGTTGTACAAATCTCAGTACTCATGGAGTTGCTCATTTTCTGTTTGTTTTGGGGAATTTAAGCTACAGAGCTAGGTTCTTCTTACATATCATCCAGGGCCAGAGGGCATTCATCTCCTTACCTTTCTTTCAGTTGGGATGTTTGACTGGAATAATAGAGGTTGAAATTACTAAAGTATCTACAACACATATAATATATATCATAGGAAAGAGAAGAGGTGGAACATGAAGAAGTAATGAAGAAAGAATAAATTTCAGGAATTTTAGGAGTTTTCAGAATAATTACACATGCTATTGGATAAGTGATATGAAATACCATTTCTATCCACCAAAGGAAGCTGATTTAATAGCAATTGCTATGCATATTAGCATCTTAATTAAGACTTTAATTTATCACAAGCATTTACTAGGAATCCTTGTGGCACAATCCAAGGCACTTCAAGAGAGTGGAACACAGCTCCTCAAAATAGGCATGTTGGTAGTTGAAAATGTATGCCAGTGGAAACCATTCATGATCAATTACATCATAGATAGATAGGTACTGGGGAATTAAGTTAAAGGACATAATTTTTTAATTAGCCTAAACTTTCTTTGAATGAACTTGTACCAAGATTTAATAGTAAGAAAGATCTGAAATTTCTATCCTTATTAGAAAGCAGCAGGCTGCTGCATGACTTGGGGAATTCCTAGCCACAAAATGTTGTGGAATGCTGTTTTTTGGAAGTATCAACAGTTGATTTCAAGCAAAGTGAAGATATAATATTAGGGTAGAATGAGCATTTGTCTCCCTTCGGATGCCAAGTATTTAAGACTGTAACAAGAAATTGAAAACAGGAATTTAAGAAGGAGAAAAGTTTTTATCATTTGAAACTTGAAACCAAGGAATTTAATACAAGTGATGACCAACTTATGCACAGAAGGGATTTTTAAAGCCTGGAAAGATAAGCACAGAGAAGCATTGCATCTCATGGCACAGATACAATAGAAGACAGGGGATCCAGTGAAGGCCAAGGCAAAGATGGTCATGGCCTCTACGTGAAAGCACATCAGTTCTTGAGTGGTGAGGTAGGAAAGAGGCAGGGATTTGGCAGAGCAATACTGTGTGGAATAGGCTGGCTTTTGAGATTACTGATTCTCTCTGGTAAGTGGAGAGTTACCTACCTACGTGTTATCTTCTAGGATGTGGAAACAGACTCTAGTGTATAGACTTGGAAAAGTGTCAAATTGATATCATTGACTTAATATCTTAACTTAAAAATTACATGTAGAGAAAGCCTTACAAAAAAGCGTCCTTTATTGTACTTGTTTATATGCTATATACCCTGCTAATCTCTTTGATTTTTAAGATTCTCCATGAGATACATGACGACAAACATACAATGTTAATGTTTTCTGTAGGATGATACAATTGTAATATCTCTGTCAAATTGGAACAAATATACAACAATCAGCAGCAATTACCTTGGGAAACAGAGGTCAAGGTTGGGGTGAGAGAACTTTTACTTTTAATCCTTTGGTAATAGATTTTTTATTATAAATATAATTAAAAACTAATTAGGAAACAAAATTATTTCATGTTATTATTTCAGTTTTGATGCAATATACAAACATGTATAATTTCCCAAGATATCTATTTGTAGTATATCACAATACTGAGAATTATTTCTGAGTAGTATATTAATGAAATTTTTAATTCTTTCTTCTTTCTTCTCTCTTTCTTCTCTTTCTTTCTTTCCTTCTTTCCTTCTTTCTTTCTTTCTTTCTTTTCAAGGTCTTGCTATGTTGGTTAGGCTGGACTTGAACCCCTGGGCTCAAACAATCCTCCCACTTCAGCCACCTGAGTAGCTGGGAATATGAGTACGTGCCACTACACCTAACTACAATTTCTTTTCTAAGCAAATTGCTGTATTTTCCAAATTCTTTAAAATAACTGTTTAATATTTTTATAATCGGAGAAAAGAAAATTTACAATTAAGTTATAAAAGAAGGTTCTTTTGTTATTTGTTCTAATTAACAACCATTTTTTAAAACCCCATTAATTATTAGAATGTATCACATCTTTGAATTTATTTTGATCCATACCAATGGAAAGAATATTCTGATTTTAGAACAATGATGAAATATTTTATGAAATAAAAGATGGATTTAAATAATCTTTCTTAATGTTTTTATACAGCTGAAAGTTATCGTAAATAGAGATGCCTTTGATTCTGGGTTTTAAATATTCCACACCCACTTTCTTTTTAGACCTTAAATCTCACTCAAGTTATTCTGCATAAACACAGTTAGAATCTATATGCCAGATTTCATTACAGCTTCAAAGAAAGAAATGTAAACATAGTGTAAATTCAAGGACATCAGAGAGATTTTCTTCCACTGCTTGTATAAATATTAAGAGACATGATTTGGTTTCATTCTGTAACAGATTTAGTATCTTTACATTCATTTTTCTTATAAATAAATAAAGTTTGCATAATCAAATAAATTTAACAGTATCATACACAAAAACCAAACAAATATTTGACATTACATTAATATAACAAGTTGATCCTCACTGATTTTAACCAAGCCCCTTGCTTTCTTTCCTAACTTTATCCAATCTTGCTGAGAAAGAATCACTGGAATTGAGAACTTTTCCCAAATGTGTCCCCTTTTGATCTGATTCGAAAGAAGAGAGCAAGACTGACTGAAGTCTTTGAGAATGTTTCCAAGAGCCCAAATTCTCATCATCAAAGCTGTGGTGAGGAACTCTTCTTTGCTTCATCACTGCATAATTAGGGAGGATTTAATCCACAGATCATGACATAATAACTCCCTGAGCACATTTTCAATGCACCCAGTTGGGTCAGTAAACTCTCCCAAGACTTTGCTCCATGGACCAGCATTTGTACCCTGTTTGCGATCATGTCTGCACATTCTCTTAAAGGGTAGGACAGCTCATGCCCTTCTGAGAAAAACAAAACTTCACATGTGAACAGCCATGCATCAGTTCCACTGCTCTTAGAAGCAATTGCTCAAGTCTATCCTGCCTTCCATCTCCAATGTGAACTTGGGTCTGTTATTGACCCAAGCTTTTGCTGAAGAACTTGGGCTGAAGAAAGTTTGAGCAGGTCTTTTGACTGATTCTTTTGTCACCTTTAAAGGAAAGCCTTTAAAAATAAAGGAAAGGAATTCTTTCTGGTTCACTCTGCTCTAGTAGTATCAGCCTTCTCCATGCACACAATGTACACACTCATATCTTTGACCACGCACTGGGTCTTCCAGCTGCTGGAATGCTCTTCCTCTAAGTATCTGTGGGGCTATATACTTCCCTTCCCTTCTGTCTTTGATCATAGATTAGCCTATGCTGGCCTTCCTATGTAAAGCAGCAACTGTCTCCACTCCTGATCTCCCTATCCTTCACTTATTTCTTTCTCCATCTCATTTATCATCTCTTTCCTTTCACTGGAATTTAATTCCATGAACTGAGCATTTGGTCCATTTTGTTCTTTGGTGAATCTTAAGTGCCTGGGGCATAGTAGGTACCCAGCAAATATTTGTTAAATGAATGAGAGATTCAGTGAATTAATAAATAAATTCAATGGCCCATCAGAGAACAGAATGATTCAGCTCTTACATAGAAACAAAATGTATTTTCATGGACATGAAAAATGTTGTAAATCATGTGATTTTCTTTTGCCTCCCTTAAAATTTTTCAGCAGTATCTAATGATATAAAAAGTGTTGGGATATTTCAGTGGAATGATTGAAACAACATATCTGTACCTATCTACCTGTGTTGGCATAGTAAAGCATAGCAGATAAGGGAGTTTTAGTTCTGGGTGTGAATCCATCTCTACTACTCACTAGTCATTACTTTCGGGTGGAAGTTACTTAGTTTCTCATAGGCTCCACCTCATCATTTCTAAAAGAGACTTTAATAAACTGCTATCTAAAGCACTTGGTGCCTGTCACATAGTAAGCTTTTGGTGGATGATAGTTATTATTATTATTTATTTATTTATTTATTTTTGCAAGACAGAGTCTCACTCTGTTGCCCAGGCTGGAGTTCAGTGTTGTGATCTCAGCTCACTGCAACCTCCGCCTCCCAGGTTCAAGCGATTCTCCTGCCTCAGCCTCCCGAGTAGCTGAGACTACAGGCTTGTGCCACCACACCCAGCTAATTTTTGTACTTTTAGTAGAGATAGGGTTTCACCATGTTGGCCAGACTGGTCTCAAACTCCTGACCTCAGGTGATCCACCTGCCTTGACCTCTCAAAAAGCTGGGATTACAGGTGTGAGCCACCGTGTCCAGCCAATATAATATTATTTTGACTTCCATACTATATTTATTCCCATAACCTCTAATCACATTTTAAAGGTGAAGAATAGATTAAAAAATATTAAATTAACAATATCAAGGATTTATCATGGGATATTAGAATAGAAGATGAGAGGACAATGAAATAGTAAAGGAACCATGTTGACATTGCAAGCCCAAGCCGTTTCTACAATAAGAGACTCACAAGAATCACAAATTTATAACTACAGCATTCCAAAATGGCATAATGCAAATATTTTCCATACAGTACAAAGAAGTTATGTATCACATTTGATAAATTCCTTGTTATGACATTGTTAGTGTCCAAAAGGTTATACCTCTGTATTTGGCAATATTATTGAGGAACTACAGGAAAACTAAAGATATCACAAATTTACAAATGAGAAATAAGTATCTAGACTGCACATAAGTAACATTAGATAACTACATATTTCTGCACGTCAACCTGTGATGGATGCTGTAATGTCACCTAGAGTCCCCTTTAGGACTGAAGTACTCATTCCCTTAGTGACTAGGAGCATTGCTGAGGGACAACCTCCCCTGTCAGCCACTTCCACGATTATCTCTACTGAAGAGAGCCACCTTGCCCAAGGTCAGGTCGCCTTCCCAGGTGACCCACAACCAATGACTAATCTGCATGGGAGTTTACTATCCCAGCCATTCCACCTCAACTCAGATCAGCTCTGAAGGGTCATTTATCTTCTGAGTTTCCCTATGATAGGCAAGGGTGCCCATAGTGACTGTATCACATTTCCTCTTCCTCCTGTCTCCAGCCCTGCTTCCTTCCTTTCCCTTGCATAGGGGCTGTTCCCAGGGACACTCCACAGTAAACTTCCTGCATGGCAAACTCCATCTCAGAGCTGGCTTTCTGGGAACCTGAGACACAGCTCTTTCTTTTGAAATTTAAAATTTAAATTACAAATTCAGATAACTTGAGTAGAGAATGCCAAGCATCTGTGTTTTCGACTGAGTGACTGGGTGGTTTTTTACTTTTTAACTAAATAGGTAGGGTAGCAGAGTTATATCCACCTACTTGCTTTTTATTTTTCTGAAAGTTAGAGAGACTTGCAAATCTCAAGAAAGAAAAATATCCTGTCAACTGCCTTGTCTTAAAGCATAGCACCTGACAATATCATCGGGGACTTTTGGGGTGTGTCATTTTAAAGTTAAATGAATTACTACTGAAGTCAGTCTTACTCAACAGCAGGTCAATTCACTGCATTACATCACAATATCCAAAAATCATAATTGGCTTTTGGTAACCGATATTCTTGTTAGAAAGATAGTTCTATAACATGCTATAATGAATGCATACACTGTTCAAGTTTAAATATACAGGTTAGGAAATACAGCAGCTAGAAGTATCTTTTAATATGGCTACAGTGTATTTTTAATATGGAAGAAATACAATGACCAGAATTCTTTAGTATTTATGAAGTTCTGCAAACAATTGCTCAGTTTAAAGGTTTTTTATGCATTCTACATATAGAAATCCCCTCTTCATTTAAAATAATTCAAGTAGCTAAAGATGTTATCAAAGATTGCATTTTTGACTGTTCATTTCTTAGGTTATGGCACTTGCTGTAGAGTTAACTAAAATATATTGGATACGCAATTTAAAATATGTAAAGAAAAATTACTCAGTATTACATTCAATGATATGCTAGATATGTTTTTAAATGAGAAAAGATTTTAAAATGCTAGCATAAGAATTGAACATTTCTTTGTAAATGCAAAGCCATAGTTTTACTTCATATGAAAAAAATGTCTTGCTGCTTTTGTTGTCTACAGCCCACCATGGAATAAGACAATATTTATCAATTAGGCTGATCAAGTGCTTTTTCTTAAAAAAAACAAACACCCAACTTATAATTTATTTTGTTATGGTCAAATGGTATATTTTATAGATAGATCCTGATAAAGTAATAATTCTCAGATTAAAATCCAGACTTGTTTTTGCAATTTGGAACATTCTGAGAAGACTAGTTGCTACTTACTTCAAATTCTCTTACCTTTGTAGGTGGAATCAGATCTCAGTGATGAGACTCACATGAAAGAAACAGCTTAATCTTAACCTGTATCCTGTAAGTTTAAAATTAAACTATCATTAACCATCAAAATATGGCACTCCTGTAGACAAACTCACATCTATAACTTCCCAAATAAGCAATATATGCCCAATGCAGTATTCTAGCTCTGCAAAACCGTGTTAAATTACACTGACCTCTCTTGTTTCACTGATAAATCAATAGCCTTAAGATGGTGACATTTAAAACCAGTTGAATTATCAAGATTGAAGTAGAGACTGTGGTTCTCTTGGTATCACCACATTATAGCAGCATGACTACTTTGGCATTATTTTAATTTTCTGAGTATATTTTCCCTATTTGGAAAATGAAAATTACTTTGCAGGGTGTCAGGAGAATAAAATGAAACTAGGCAGGTAATTCACCCAGTACGGTGGCTGGGATATAGAGGTCCTCAATAAATGTAACTGTTAAGTGCAGAAGCAGAAGTGGAGGCTGGTGGAATTAAGTGAGCAGGAAGATGGTCAGCTGCAGAATCAAGGTCTGCTTTCTGGACCTGGTGCAGAGCTCCACCTACTGTAGTTGACCTTCCTCTCCAGTGCAGGTTGGAGAGTGAGAGCAGCAGTACAGTGCTGAGGCTAGGCCTCCTACAACTCTGGTACAGCACCAAGCATTTGAATCGTTTTGATTATTCCACACCAACCTTTGGGCATTCTGTACTCACATGTGCTCTCGCCCATTTGTGGTCAGTCAGGGCATGCCTGTGGAATTCCTTTTCCCGTAACAGTTGACTCATGGCAAAGCGCGCTTCATTTGTCAGGTTGCAGGAGAGAAAATTCCAATCATGCTCCAACTTGCAGGGTGGCCTCAGACCCTGGAGGTGAACTGCCCCTCAGAGCACACTGACTTTCGTCTACCCTCCCTTCAAGTCATCTCACCACTTCCTACTCAACCTTCACATATAACACAAATGCTACCTTCTCTGTAGCCTTCACTGACCTGTGTCATCAGTGACAATTGAGAAAACTCCACCTGTGACCTCATGTGACACTGTACATACTGTATCTTTACTATATGACAATTCTAATGTAGTCTTCTGATTACTTGCTCGTGTAACTGTCAGCCTCTACAATAGTTTTTACATCAATCCCTTTAAAGATTGTTCTAAATCTTGGATTTTTCTCATAGTTAAAGCACACACACATCTTAGGAGGATTACAGACATCTTGAAGTAGTCGTTCACTTTTAGGAATCTGTGGATCCAATGTTAGGAACTCCCACTCAAGCCCTGTATATCATCATTTGTGTTTTCTTTGCAAATCACAGCGACTGGAGCAGCATAGGCATTTGAAAAACAAATGAATAAATGAATGAACAAATGACAGTCTACCTAAAAGAATGACAAGATTTGTCCTAAAAATGAATGCAAAAGGATCTACAATTGCCCCAGAGAAAACTGGGTATTAGAGGGCCTCTGGAGAAACTGATCAACTCGTGGTGGCAATACATTCCAAAAAAGGCTTTATAGATTCATTGATCTGATCCGATTTTGATTCTCTTTCTAATGCTGCTGTGTAGTGAAGACCATGGATAGAGGGCAAAATTAGTTACACTCAGTTTCTGAAATACAAGCTATCACAATTTTTCACAGGGGCACAGGTTAAATGAGGGGAGATTATTTTCCCTTTTGGTCCTCTGTTTCTACTGCAGACTATTCAAAGGCAAATGGAGATTAATGTGTTTTGCGTTTTTGGAAAAACGGTGAAACTTCATCTACCAGTCTCTCCTTACAGATGTATCCCATCTGTTTCTGTTGCATGGGATTACAGCTATAGGCCTGGCATTGAAGGTGGTATGCACCCGGAGGGCTACCATCCTTCACATATAGGGGGCTGCAGTAAAAGGCTGGGGCATGGTGGGGCACAGGGAGCACTTTGTTCAGCTTCACAATAATGCCTAAAAGCTCTCAGACTGCGAGTAAACTCATTCTCCCTCATACCTGTCAGGAGAAGCTCTCAAACACTGAGAATTGAGGCTGGCCTCCAAATATCAGTATGAACAGCCCCTTAGAGAAGGGGCCTTTCAATCTATAAAAATCTCTATTTTGTCTTTTGTATGCCATAGCTTTAAGACACAGAAATTATTTCCTCTTCAGTGTTTCACAATATACCTACTTGAATAAGCCTCAATTTGCTTTAAAAAAAAATGAGAGAGAGAAAGATTATACAGAATTATTTTCCTTTGATGGTAAAGTCCACCTTCTCCCAGGGGCAACTGGCAAACTCTTATCCTCTGCTGCTTCTAGAGAAACGCCCAGTAATGAGAGCTGCTTTCCAGGCTCCTGTGATCAGCTAGAGGTCTCTAGTGGAAATCTAGGGCAATCACAGCTTTCGTCAGGTGTGGCTGCCTGGAAGGGCCCTGACAATAGTGCACATGGTTAAGAAGAACTGATAACAGCCACTTTCCAAACACATAAATATGTGGATTGACTAGAATTCCATTAGCTACATGTCTCCAACTTTAAGGATTCTTGGGAATTTCGAGATCTGGCTTTGAAAAGCGAACAAAAGATGCAATCAGTTTTTGCCTCTTTTTCCTTCTTGCCTGCTCAGAAACCATCTCTAGTTAGAGAGGTTAGAATCCTGAGGAGCTCTGAGAATATTACAAATGTGAGACACATTCTGCCATAAAAATTAGGGGCGGTGTGAGACTATGTAAATTCTCACAAGCTTGTCAAAAGCGGTAGGTTTGTAAATATCCAAGCTCCATGACAGTAGCATAAGGATAAGAATCTTTTCTTATACACAAGATGCCCAAGTGTTGCAGATTCTCCTTATCAGGCATTGCAGCATTTCAGTGTCTTTTTCTTTTTTTTTTTCAAATAAGGAATGACCACATGATTCTTTTAAGAAGGAAAAGACCAGCAAGAATAGAGAAACCCATTATTGGGTTTCATTTGTTTGTAGAGCCAACAATATCATTTCAGTAAAAAACAAAACACAACAAAAAAAGTGCTTCTAATACATAGTCAATAGGAGCCTTTAAACTTGCATGGATGTTTGGGAAGAAACTCTATTCTAATGAATAAGAATCTTCCTGCTTTTCATCCTTGAGGATAGAATGTGATTTACTGCAGTACCAAAAAGTATGTTGAAAATATTTACCCCACAGGGGGCAAGTAAAATTACAGTAGAGGACACGGTGGCTCAAGCCTATAATCCCAGCACTTTGAGAGGCCGAGGAGGGCAGATTACGAGATCAGGAGATCGAGACCATCCTGGTCAACATGGTGAAATCCCTTCTCTACTAAAATACAAAAATAATAATAATGATAATTAGCTGGGGGTGGTGGCGCGCGCCTGTAATCCCAGCTACTCCAGAGGCTGAGGTAGGGGAATCGCCTGAACCCAGGAAGCGGAGCTTGCAGCGAGCCGAGATCATGCCGGGCCACTGCACTCCAGCCTGGCGACAGAGCGAGACTCTGTCTCGCAGGGGGCAGGGGGGAATTACAGTAGAGGAAGCACGGGTAATTTAGCAAATAAGTGGATTGATCGTGCCAGTTTCCATTGCAATCACAAGATCCAAAACCTTCAGCTGGCAGTTGCCGCTATCAATAGGATTGTGGCAGGCCTGTAAAGGGTAGGGATTGGTTTTGGTCACCCGCATTAACAATTTTGAAAAGCGTACCATAATTATGACTACAAAGTCAGCACATTTTAAAGCCTAAATTAGGGAATCAAACAAACACATAAAATAAGTAAAGAAAAAATGTTCATGAAAGGGGAGGATTTTTATAGCAACACCAACAACAACAAATACCTCTAAGCATTGTTTCTCAACGTCAGAATGTTCAGATTCTCTTAAGGCCCCCACCTTAGGCACCTCTGTAATACTGCATGGTTCTGTATTTGTGCTACCAAGAAGCACAATTGCTTGCACTTGCTTGTTACATGACTCTATTCCTGTTGTAATAAATACTTCTTTATGTGTGGCAATATCAGTCCTCTTTAGCCCTGTGTCTGGAGTGTCTGGTGCAGTGTAACTTTTATCACAGATTTGTGAATTGCATTCATAATTAACACATGAATGTAATACAGTGACATATTTTCCAAAAGAATACTATTAATTATAATAGTAATGAATAGGTCCCAAGTAATAGGTCCCAATAGATAGGTCCCAAAGACATTTGACCAAACTGTTTATATTAGATTGATGATGTTCTTGTATTGGCAGACCATAAAGCTAGAAACAAACAAAGAAACAAAAAAATGGGTTATAGTTAAAATACTTAATAAAAGGAAAAATAAAATTCAAAAAAGAAAGTAATTTTTTTAAAGTTTCAGGAAATTTCATTACTCTTTTAATGGCTAAATCTCATTTGTTTCTCCTAACAACTCACTGAGGCAGATGTTACACCCATTTTACAGAAGAGGAGAAGAAAGATTAAGGGATTTTAAGAAGAGAGGATGGGCTTTTAATTCTTGTGACTCAAACAACAAACAAAATCACTGGCCTCTTTTTAAGGAGGGAGAAGGGGTAGTTTAAATCTGACAAAACACATTCTAACAAGGAAGTATGGTTTGGGATGGAAGTTTGGGAAAAGGTCTTATGGAATAAGGAAGAAATGGAAGAACTAAAAAGAGAGCAAAGAGAAACGCGGAGTGGAATGTGTAAGAGAAAGCAACTATCCAAGACTTACTTCAAGACAAGATTAACCCTAGCTGCAGCTCAGAAAGCTGTGGAAATCTGTGCCATTATTTAACGGACCACCAGCTGATGGTTCCGCTGAATCTCAGTCACCAGTGATTCTAATTTCAAAATTAATAAACACCTGTTAAAACATGAAAATAATTACAAATGTATACCCTGGTGCTGTTCGAGGGCAGACATGTCCCTCTGGGGAAGACACTTCCATAGATAATTGCAGGTCATCTTGTGCTCAGAATCTTCCAGATGCTTCACAGCTCTCTCAGAACACAGCCTGGTCTAGCTACTACAGGGCCTTACAGAAGCCAGCTCCAAGTTGGCCCTTTGCTCTCATCTCCTTCCACTTTCCCCATATTCAATCTTCTCCAGTCACACTGGCCTCCTCACTATTTTTAAAACTTTGTTTATAGAACACATATTTTTATCCAAATATCCACTTGGCTAACCCCTCACTTCCAATAGGTCTCTCGCTTAGAGATCCTATCTAAAATTTCACACACACACACACACACACACACACACACACACACCCTGCTTCATTCTCCAACTCTGTATTTCATAACCTCCTTCCTTGTTTATTGTTTTCTCCTTAGCTCTTATCACTATCTAACATAATATTTTCCTTATCTTGATCATTGTCTCTCTCCCTTACTTGAATGTAAGCTCCATAAGGGTAGACATTTGTATCTATTTCATTAGGCACACGCTTCAAGGAGCGCCTAGCACATAATAGTGTTTAGAAATGCTGGTTGAATGGCTGGGTAGAGCACAGAAGAGTTGGTCATCTTTCCTCTCCAAAGTCAAGAAAAGCAGGCTCAAAGGCTGACTTCTACCTCTATGCCTCTTGCGGTTGCAGCAGGCAATGACCAACCTTCCCAGGGGCTAGACTGAAGTTTCTGACACAGTTCAAATGAGGCAGGAGCTTGAGAGGTGTGTTCTTTGCAGAAACTTCTCTGGGATAATTTGTTTCTTTCTTGCAGATTCAGGCTTTCTAAGGGAATTACCCTTTAAACCACTGTACATTTGACTGGATCCATCTCGTAGACTCCATGTTTGCCCAAGAACATAGTAAAAAGAGCCACATTGCTTTTGAACCAATCCATACCTGTTTCTCAGGAATGGCAACTTCCAGCCCCAAGATATGGTAGGGTATGCATGTGATAGCTCAGGCTCCTCTCAGAAGAGGAAAAAAGTCTGGTAATGTGGCTGCAGTCATGAGGGCACCTCTCCTGAGAAGGACGTAGAAAGGCTACATCCCAGACTGCTGAGTGTTAGAAAAGCTCTAAGTGCTTTTCTGTTCTCAAGGATGACTCTTCTTCCAGACAAGTCTCAAAAATATACAATTATACTCATCTTTTGAAAGCATACAATGTATATCAATCTTTGAAGCTCTACAAAAATAGGATTTAATGAATTTTTCAAATAATGCCTTTAAGATATCAGGTTTCCCTGCTGAGAAACAAAGACAATAAGAATAAGTAAAGAGGGAGAGACTTGCCAGAAACATCTATACTGCAACTGTCATTAGAAGTTAGGTTTCAGCTGACTCCTAGTTGTAAACTCATTGTCTGTGCCTCTCTCTTAAAATAACTTTGAAATCTATCAGTGGCTTTAGCACTGCGCCATGATAGATCAAAGATCTATCTAGAATGATCAAAGTGTCTAATCAAAGGCCATGAGAACATCACCTTAAATCAAGGTTTTTATTTCTATAGGTTTGGTGATTGAAATACTTTGCCCACATGCTAGAGAGAGATTTTCTAGGAAGCTTCAGATAATGTTAGTGCTTAGAAAGACACTAAGTGGCTATCTGGGCCATTTATCCACTCAGAAACTATCCCAGATAAATAGAAATATGCCCTATTTACAAATACTTTTATGTAAAACTTGACAGTCTCCCTTGGGAAGCAATTTTAATGCTTAACAGCCTTTGCTATGAAGAAAATAGCTATTTATATTAAGCTCAAGTCACTAAAACTGCAGTCTAAGCTGTTTCCCACATATTTGGGCAAGGAGATCAGTGGCATGTAAAAGCATACATTCTGCGGGTGACATGTAAATGAGTTTGGGCTTTTAGGGTGCTGACTGAGACTACATCAGGGACCCGGTCCCCAGCGGCTTCATTCTGGTGCTGCAGATGAATGAACTTGGGTCTTAGCTTATCTTCATGCTAGCCTAGCAAAGCTACACAGCTACCAGGAGGTACATTAGTCCTGACCACACAGTGCTAGGGAGGAACTGCCTTCCTGACAGCCACTAGTCTGGAGATTTCAGGTAACTCACCCCAAATGGGAGTGGAAATGCCGGCAAACTTTTCTTAGATTTCCTAAGGCAGAGAGTAAATAACACTATCCTGTTTCCTTCTTCATATCCCAGACTTTCCTAGGGACCTTAGGAGAAGAATGGGAGAAAATCTACGCACTGAGGCAAAACTCCTACAGTGATTTGTGTGGGTGTGTATGCATGTGTGCATGTACTTATGTAAACGTGTGTGTTTGTGTGTTCACGTATGTCTTAATCTGCGTGGGCTGGTATAATGAATAGCATAACTTAGACTGAGTGTTTTATAACAACAGAAATTTATTTCTCATAGTTCTGGCAGCTGGAAAGCTCAAGTTTAAGGTGTCTGGAGAGGGCCGTCTTCTGGATGGCATACTGCTGACTTCAGATTGTATCCTCACATGGCAGAAAGACAGCAAGAGAGCTCCCTGGGGTCTCTTTTATAAGTACACTAGTCCCATTCATGAGGGCTCCACCCTCATGACCTAGTCACCTCCCAAAGACCCCACCTCCAAAAATCATCATATTAGGGATTAGGCTTCAACATATAGGTTTTGAGGGGACATAAGCATATAGTCCATAATAATGTAGATGCATGTCCGCGTGTGTGTGCTGTGTATGTTCATATTTGCACATTTTGTGTATTTGAGTAATTATATATGTATGTGCCTATGTATGTGTGTGTATATATACGCATGTATTAGTGAAAGTGGTTTATGTGTTTGAGTATGTATGTATGTGCTTGTGTGTGCATATAAATATTTGCATATATGTGTCTGTATATTTGTGTGTGCCTGTGTGTATATGTGGCAGGGAAGTCTAAGCTGTGGATTTGAAAAGGCTTCCTGAACAGCACTGACAATAAATTAAACTAATCCTCAGAAGAGGATCCTCCTGAAAGAATATTTGGAGCTAAATCATGCAAGGACTGTTTCTCTAAGGTAAAGAGCTATTGTTATTGCCACATCACCTCTTGAACAAAGGTGATGTGGCCTCTGCCTTCATAAGAGTTAATTACCCTGCCTTCCCACTTGAGGACCCCACTTACTGAGACCTCTCACTCCACTCCATGATTAGTATGTGTGATGGTTTGCAGAATGGAAAAAACTCAATGCCAGATTAAGAACTCAAAGAATTTAATATAATTTCACTCATTATTCACTACCTAAATTTTGAGGAATAATTATTGCTATTCCACATTCATAGGAGAAAAATGGAGAGGCAGAACAGCCAAAGACAACATCTGCATGTATGATTATCTTTACTATTCAATATCAGTAATAACAAATGAATAAATTGGTGGATCACATTTTATTTTTATGTTGACATTTTATTTCTTTTTGAGTCCAAGCATTTTAGTAACTGAAATACACTAAACTGTATGGCAACACTATAAACTGTTGCAACGTAATATTGATAAAGATACAGCTGTAAAGTTCAAATTACTTTATGAAAGGATATATTAATATGATAATAGGATGGGCACAGTGGCTCACGCCTGTAATTCCCGCACTTAGGGAGGCCAAGGCAGGCCAATTGCCTGAGGTCAGGAGTTCAAGACTAGTCTGACCAACATGGTGAAACACCGTCTCTACTAAAAATACAAAAAAATTAGCCAGGCATGGTGGTGTGCACCTGTAATCCCAGCTAGTCGGGAGGCTGAGGCGGGGGAATTGCTTGAACCAGGGAGGTGGAGGTTGCAGTGAGCCAAGATTGTGCGACTCCAGCTCCAGCCTGGGTGACAGAGCTAGATTCTGCCTCAACAAACAAACAAACAAACAAAAATATGATAATGAACACCTATCAGGTGTTGGGAAGGCTAAGTGTAGGGCACAGTCCCTGCCCTTAAGGAAACACAGGTCAGGTGAGGACATAGAGCAGTAAATAGATAATTAGTATGTAACGAGCTAAAGAAGCACCTGCCTGTGCTGAAGTACATGAAGCAGAAAATGAAGAGGATGGCCTGGAGAACTGAAGAAGCTGTAAGGTAAAGGCACTGTATCACCTGTGTCTTTCATAAAGGATGAATGGGGGACAACATGCAACAACCTATACCCTATACCCACACCTACCCCACCCCGAATTGAAAAGAAAAATAAACTATCAGTAGGGTTTTTAGTCATGGAGGTATTGCATACAAATATTATTTTCAGGAAACATATAGCTTCTGTGGCTTTTAAGTTGGTACATCTCTGAGTTACCAACCAATAAGCCAGCCCCTGCACCTTGTTTCTTTTGAAACTGGCCAATACATATTAATAAAAATTCTGGTGGGAAGTCAGCTGAACCATTTATTATTTCTCTGAGTCTCTAAATTGATCCACATGATGGAGAGAGAAGATGTTCTTGTTTTTTTGTTTGTTTGTTTTGTTTTTCTTTACCTGAAATTAAATTGAACTGCAATCTTTGGGACTGGTAGTAAGCAGCATTCTGGCTAAAGAAAAGATTGGCATCAAAGTACAACTTGCAGGTCTGTGAAGAAACAGCAGCTGGGAGGCCAAGCTGGGTGGATCACTTGAGCCCGGGAGTTTGAGACCAACCTGGGCAACATGGTGAAATCTTGTCTCTACAAAAATAGAAAAATTAGCCAGTTATGGTGGCAGGCACCAGTAGACCAGTAGTCCCAGCTACTCGGGAGACAGAGCTGAGAGAATTGCTTGAACCCAGGAAGCAGAGGTTGCAGTGAGCCGAAATTGTGCCACTGCACTCCAGCCTGGGTAACTTAGTGAGACCCTGTCTCAAAAAATTAAAAGAAAGAATGAAAGAAAAAGAAAAGAAAAGAAACAGAAACACGAGCTTCTGATTAAGAGCAGGGTCTCCTGTTTGCTACATCACTTAGAAGTACCCTGATGAGTCTGGGGCCTCAGTGGGAGGCAAACAGGTAGTAGGATTGTACTATTCCAGGAATGGGGGAAATGGATCATCTGGTGTCATCTGCCTCACACGTTCCAGCTCAGCATTTGCACTTGAAATTTAGTACCTTTCACAGAGAAGGAGAAAATGCTATGCCAGTGACAAAACTGGGACACTGGCTGAAAATTAATAACACTTTGCACTCCAGGCTTCCTGGGAGAATGCACCATACATATTAAGTGAGCATGACACAATTTCACAGCAATAGCCTGGCTGGGCCCAAGCTCTTCATTTTAAATTTCAAGTACTGTGAGGAAGAGTTGATTTGATGGATGGCGAGGTGGTTAATGTAAAAACTTTCAGGAAGAGGAAAATAAAGATGCTCTTTCAGGGAATTCTCAGCCTAAAACCAAAAAGGCTTGCGAAGATTATCCTACTCCACACTTAAAGGAAACTCATGGAAATTTTGAATGATATTTACATCAGGGAATTTTTTTAGAATAAAAGCACATTGGAGTTATAGTTGTGCTGGAATTAACAGGCACAGAAACACTAGAGTAGGTGATGCTATTTCGTGAAAGCTGGACATCGAGCAAATATGCAGTAAGAGCCTGTGGACTCTCCTGTGCAGTGTGGTTGTTACCAGCACGAGCTTCGATAGGAGGCAGGCCTAGATTTTGATTTCCGGTTCTGCACCTTGCTAGCTGTGGGAACTTGGACAAGTTACTTCATTCCTCTGAACTTTAATTTCCTCATCTGTCAAAAAGAGATAATTATACTTACCTCATAGGGAAGTTGAGAGAACAAAATTGCATAGCATATATAAAGAATGTAGGCTAGTGGCTGGCAAGTGGCAATGAATAAAAAGCTAAGACAAGTAGAAATAGACTTCCTTTTGTTGCATTTGTGTTTAATTATTTCTTAGGTGATAGCAATAGAACACGAGAACTAAAAGTAGTTGTAGTACAAGCACCATTAGTAGTATTAATAGTCAACTATCGTATTAAGTACTTACCTATCATATTGAGTAATGACTATATTAAGATATTGTACTCTGTACCTTATAGAAATTATTTCATTTAATATGTATACAACCTCAAATAATAAGAGGTTAGTTTTCCTTCATTTTTTTAAAATGAATAGACTGAAAAATTAAGGAACTTTTTTGAGGTCACACAGAACTGCTAACATGCTGAGCTCCAATTGAAACCTAAATGGTCTGTCTTACTCTGAAACCTGAGATTTTCATTATTAATTCCTAAATATTGGGTAAGCACAGCTGGGATAAGTATTCCTTCTCCCCAAGGGAGTTTAGCAAGCTTGTACAAAAAAGATAATATTTGAGCTAAGTATTAGAGAGAAGCTTTTTCGAGGATGGGAAGCGCATTCTAGACAGAAAGAATGGCTTAAACAGCTAACACAGGCCTGAAAATACACAGCACACCTAGCATGTATCAGGCATGGAAGTCAGGGCCCATGAGAGGGAGCAGAGGCATAGGCATTCAGAGGTGCTGCGGCATCCACCAGTGTCACAGAATTTCAAAAAGAACTCTTTCTTAGCTGGAGGTGGTGGCTCATGCCTATAATCCTAGCACTTTGGGAGGCTGAAGCAGAAGGATCACTTGAGCCCAGGAATTTGAGGCCAGCCTAGGCAACATGGTGAAACCCCATCTCTAGAAAAAATACAAAAAAATTAGCCAGGCATGATGGTGTGTGCCTGTAATCCTAGCTACCTGAGAAGCTGTGGTGGGAGGATTACCTGAGCCCTGGAGGTTGAGGTTGCAGTGAGCCAAGATCACACCATTGTACTCCAGCCCGGGCAAAAGAGTGAGACCCTGTCTCAAAAGAAAAAAAAAAAAAGAAAAGAAAAGAAAAGAAAAAGAAAACTCTTTCTGTTGCTCTGGAATTTTGGCACAGATGCAAAAACCAAGAAAAAAACAGTAGATACCATGTATTCACAAAGTCTAGACCGAGCTGCTAGACCATTTTTGTAAGATTAGAGGAGAAGACAGCCCCCAGCCAGGTCTGCGAGAATTAGGTGATCACCACTCCGCCCACATAAAAGGCTGAGGTTGAAAAAAATAAGAGAGAAAATATCTGTGGAAAAAGTTGTTGGCTATTTTACTTCCTCTCAAATAAAGGTAGGGAGGAGCTTCAGCCTGACTTCAAACCTCAAATAACAGGTTTAAAAGAGATTAATGAGAGAGCTTGACATGCGTCTTCAGAAATCAGGGGGTGAAAGGGACTGGTGTTTGACAGATGTTAGAAAAAGTTGAAAGGTGAAAGTCTGGATGGAGCTGGTAGAACAAAGAAGGGAGCTGTGTGGAAAATGAAATGTTTCTCCCCCAAGGAAATGGTAAAGGGGTTTATTTCCCTGGTTCTAGATGTAGATCCTGTGGAGGGGAAAAAAAAAAAAAGCTACTCCAACTCACTCAAATAGGACCATTCCAAAGAGGAACATATGGGTTACACTGTGCCCCATAGTGAAGTACCCCTTAAGACGCCTCAGGAATGAGGTAGACTGTTTTAAGTGACCAGCAAGTGAGAATTAGTCCCCCTTTATAAGTTTACTGCAGTCTGAAATCTCAGCAGAGGAACTCCAAAAATCCCACAGTTGCATCCCCCAAGAGGAGGAGCCAGCAATGAGTTTATTATCCATGGGGCAGAAAGACAGATAACAACTGCACTTGCCTCGCTTACCTTCTCCCTATGAGCTCATTGCTCTTTCTGATGCCTCCATGCCTCCATTTTGGCACAGATGCAAAAACCAAGATTAAAAACAAAACAAAACGAAACCAAAAAAACAGTAGATACCATGTATTCACAAAGTCTACAATGAGCTGATAGACCCATAGATCCTTTTTTTTCCTTTTTTTTTTTTTTTTTTTTTTTTTTGAGATGGAGTCTCGCTCTGTCCCCCAGGCTGGAGTGCAGTGGCGCGATCTCGGCTCACTGCAAGCTCCGACTCCCGGGTTCACGCCATGCTCCTGCCTCAGCCTCCCGAGTAGCTGGGACTACAGCCACCCGTCACCACGCCTGGATAATTTTGTTTTTGTATTTTTAGTAGAGACGGGGTTTCACTGTGTTAGCCAGGATGTTCTCCATCTCCTGACCTCGTGATCCGCCGTCCTCAGCCTCCCAAAATGCTGGGATTACAGGCCTGAGCCACCGTGCCTGGCCAGACCATTTCTATAATATTAGAAGAGAGGACAGCTCCATGGCGAAGAGTTGCTTTTAAACTGGTCTCAACTCTTTAATTCTTTAAAGTAATGGGAGTCTTTTTATTATTTAAGAGTGACTGGGGGCCAGGCGCGGTGGCTCAGGCCTGTTATCCCAGCACTTGGGGAGGCCGAGGAGGGTGGATCACGAGGTCAGAAGACAGAGACCATCCTGGCTAACAGGGTGAAACCCAGTCTCTACTAAAAATACAAAAAATTAGCCGGGCGTGGTGGCGGGCACCTGTAGTCCCAGCTACTCCAGAGGCTGAAGCGGGAGAATCGCGTCAACCCGGGAGGTGGAGGTTGCAGAAAGCTGAGATCTCGCCACTGCACTCCAGCCTGGGCGACAGAGCAAGACTCCGTCTCAAAAAAAAAAAAAAAAAAAAAAAAAGAGGGAGGAAAAGAGTGACTGGAAAAGCTATTTTAGCCTGGGGTGGGAAAAACCGGTTTTACATAGTCTACATCAAGGAGTGGTGAGAAAACATAAAGCTGCTTTCAAGCTTGTATCCTACTGAGACTAGCTAATAGAACAAAAATCAATTAGTATCATAGTAATAACAATAAAGGGGCATGGTGACTCACATCTGTAATCCTAGTGCTTTGGAAGGCCAAGACAGGAAGATCGCTTGAATGCAGGAGTTCAAGACCAGCCTAGGCAACACAGTGAGACCCTGTCTCTACAAAAATGCAAAAAATACAAATAAAAATAAATTAGCCAGGCATGGTGGTGTGCATCTGTGGTCTCAACTACTTGGGAGGCTGAAGTGACAGGGTTGCTTGAACCCAGGAGTTCAAGACTGCAGTGAGCTATGATTGCACCGCTGCATTCCAGCCTAGGTGACAGAGTGAGACCTCATCTCTAAAGAATAAAATAATAATAATAATAATAATAATGATGTAAATTTTTAACCTACCACATAAACTTCCTCATCTTTTTGCCTATTATCATCAACTTGTGTGGAATATGGGTTTGATTTTTGTCCTTAGTGGCCCTTTTCTTGTTATATTCTAGAAGCTGGGGTTGCCACAAAGATTTTTCTCTTTAATAACCACCAGACTGGTTTGGTTTTGCCACACTGATATTAATGTTGACTGTTTGAATGGCATGAAAAAGATAATGTTTTTAAGTGAGGGAGTGATCCATGACAAAATTTGAAAACTATGTTTGGTCCTTATTTCAAAGTGATAGGAATGTCATTCTAATCAGTTTAAAACTTTGGGGTTTTTTTCTCTCTTTCTTTTTTTTTTTTTTTTTGAAGATATGAGGAGACACTGAAGATTTTAATCTTAGCAGTGACATAGTCATATTTTGGGGTTTTTGTTTTTGATCAGTTTGTCAGCAAATATGGAGAATAGATTGAATTAGAAATAAATTAGAGATAGGAAAATCAATTAAGAGGTAACCCTAGGATAAATCACCTATAAAATTAATGAAAAAAAGTTAAAATTCTCCAGTGATCCATCTGAAGGTAGTAGTAGCAGTATTGAATTGCAGTAAGCAGGCAAACACTGAAAAAACAGACTAATAAATCAGGATGAATAATCATCTGAAAATAAAGATTTTTATCTGAGCTACAGACTACATATTGATAAGTTAGTACTCTGGGTCTTTGGACTATCACAAATTTTATTTTTATGAATTATCCTGGAGTCCTGATTATGAATTTCCGTGAGATTTCCTGTCATATGGATTTCATTCAGATTCTATGGATCTTCATGCAAAGTTAGGAAAGGAGAAAATAACTTCATGTCTCCTAAGCATCTTCTCTCCTTTGACCAAAAGGAAACTATCTTCTCCGCTCCCTCCCAAATACTTCTTACATCTAAATGGCAAATGGGTGTTTTATGAATCAGTCTTTTTTTTTAAGCAAAAAGTTACTTGTATTTCCCTCTCCGCCACATCTGGAATGGCTTATTTTATTTTACATTAGCTTTAAGTTTGGTCTTATTATTTTCACAAACATTTTGAAAACTTCTTTGAAAATGGTGTTAAATGCTTTAGGGCATTAGTCAAATGCAATTCCCTGGAAAACATCACAAGAAAAGTTGGACTTGAAAGAACAATTTTCCATTGTAATATATGAATGTAACAATCACATTTTTTGTTAGAGAAAGAACATGATAATACTCTGTGCCAATCTGTATATCCTGCTTTTTCCTGTAATTAATATGCTATCCATTCCTGCTTCAGTTACCAAGAGCCATCTGGTCACACACTTGATCCTTTTTTACTTTGTTTCCCTAGTCACAAATAGCAAAGGATTCAGCTTAGTAACTATTTTATTTTGGACATACTCTGTCTTTTACCCTTTTCAAGCTTCCATACTTATTAGGCTCTTTTCCTTGGCAAATTCAGAGAATAATTAAAATTAATATTAATACTAAGAGCTACCATTTACTGAATACCTACTACATGCCAGGTGTCACGTTCAAAATTTTCCTATAACAACTCAATTCACCTGCACAACGAGCGCAGGCTATAGGAATATTATTTCCATTTAACAAATAATAAAACAAACTCAAAGATTGTAAGTGATCTTCTTGCAGCTAATAAGAAACTTAGCCAGATTAAATCTGACTCCAAACTAGAGCTCTTCACTATTGAGCCATTTTGCCTTCCACATCTGGGCAATCACTAGGATTTCCTACTTATGGCACAGTTCTGACCACAAAGATAAATTCCTATCCTTAGGTTAATACTTTTCAGTCCCTGAAGAGGATTTTATGAAATGATTCCATAGATTAGACAAGAAAAATTTTGTAAACTTATCCATAAGGAGAAAAATATTGTAGGCAAAGTCATTTGAGCTAAAATCTTCGAAATTCCTCAAATTAACCTGAAGACACAGGTGTGAAGTGAGGCTGAACCACTTAAACTGAAAAAGAGGTATGGCTTACCTAAGACTGTGAACTGTATCTCAATCCTTGGAGCCAGTTCATAGGATTTAGGTTATTAGTGGCAGGTAGTCAATTTCTAATTCTTCTGATTCAGAGCGAATTAAATCAGCATTACAGACTGTTATTTTTCTAGCGATAAGATGCTATTTAGCCTCGTAAAACTTCTGCTACAACATAGCATGGAGCAGAGCAGGATATGAAAATCTACAGGTAATTCATTGGCATCACCTTAGTGCTGACTTTCAACATTTGTTCCCACTCTGTACTTTTGCTAGACAAGAGTTATTATAACAACTGATTGGAGCTTTATAGCCTATATATGCCTAGCTGTACTCGTCCATTGGTGGATGAGCTTGAGAAGCTAAAAAACCTCCCAAGAGTTAAGAACAGAAATAGGTTGGGAAAAGGGAAGCATCAGATCACCTAAGCACTGCAATGCTACATCTGAATTTTGGGAGTCAGTGGTTGTTACCTGGTAACCTGATACCCTCTATCCTTGAAACTATAAAGCACTAATTAGCTCAAGGTGGAAAACTTTTGAACAGGCCTTAAAAACACTAAGTCCCCTTCCTGACACTGACTCATTTTGTGTCCCTGTGCTAGTCCCATAACCTTGTTGAGCCTCAGTTTCTTCACTGGCAACATGGAAATAATAATATGTTTAGCAAAGGGGTGTTCTGGAGTTTAATTAGAGTTTCTAAAATACTTTGAGATGATCAGATGAAAGGTACGCTTTAAACATACATCATTAATTATTATTTTTATTGGACATAGTAATTTGAAAATACTAGAAGCTGCTGGTTGTTGTTCTATTGTCACCGAATCTATATATTCTAGTGCAGTTGTCTTTCTGAAAAGTATATTCTCATGGTCAAGATGATTAACTCATTTATAGATTATTCTCCCAAAAAATTAACTTGGGAAAATATGCAAAATAGGATAAGTAACAGGAATAGGGAAAAGCATAACAGGTAAGTATTAGTTTGCCTAGTTAAAATAGACACACCTAACTGTTGAAGTAAACATAACAGCAGAAGGGATAATTGAAGGAAAAGAAGATATAACATGATTGCACAACAATATAATGGTGCTTCTATTTGAAGTGTGCTTTTCTTCTTAGGAACTCAAAGCAATTTACCAATATTATCTCCCTGATGCTCATAACATCCCCATAAGGAAGAGAGCAAAGAGGAGTCTACTTTAGAGAGAGATTAATAGAGACATAGTGACTAAGTGATTTGCCCAAGGTCACAGAGTCCATTGCTAGCAACAAGGTTTAAGTGTCATTTTCCTGGACAAGGTCAAAGAGTTTGCTAGAGGTAGAGTTGGGACTGGAAATCAGATGTATTGTATCTAATAACTAAGTGATGTTACCTCTCTTCAAACAAATGAGTATAGTCTGAGGATAAAGACATTTTATTATATTGCTGCAAAAGTAATTGTGATTTTTGTCATTACTTTTATTAGCATTTTGCCATTACTTTTAATGGCAAAAATTGCAATTACTTTTGCACCAACCTAATACAAACAAATCCTCTTCAATATCTAAGTAAAGGTTGAGCAGGTCTCCTCTAGATTAACAGTACCGGAGAAAGCATGTCTCTTATTCCATGTTGATACAATTTCTGTTTCCATCAGTGATTATGAAGATTTAAAAGAAGTTTTCTAAGGAACACTTCATATCACTGGGGAAAAGTTTAGCCTCCTGTGGAGGGTAATTAGAACCTGAGAACATGTTCAATAGATCATTGCTTCATATCAGGATTTTTTTTGATTTTTGATTCTCACCTAAGTCTCAGGAAGTATTAGAATGTATTCATCTGAGATAAATTAGACCTCAAAACTCTCTTTCCACATATGTCTACTTTTTTGGCTTCATAAACATCCTTAATACAATTCTCACCCAAACTTCCAAGATACAGAATGTGAGAAAGATCTCACTGATATTAAACTTCATGTGTCTTGCAATATTTGAGACTATTCAACTGTCAAAAACTGCCAAAAACGCCATTCCCAGTTTTTACGTTAATTTGACTGAGGCTATTAGTAGAAATATTTTATATGGTTAGGATCCATCATGAGATAACACTTTGATGATATTTCTGAATATTGGGCAAGTACTCACCATTGATGGTCTGTTTTCAAGTTCAAGGAGTTCTCTTTCTTTCTCTTCTCTCTTTAAAGAAAAAGACATACTGTAAATTTTAAATAATTATTTCATATAGAGACTCAGAAAATAAGTAAAATACAAAGACAAAAGATAAAAAGCAAAGATGGAGCAGTAGAAGGTGATAACCTACTAAAAACTCACCATAAAAACCTATGTATGGAAAACCTCCCTGTTAAGACCAAACACACCTGTTTGAGAAAAGGTAAATTGATGAGGGATTTCATACGGTCTAACAAATTGTTACACTAAGGATGTGTTTATACACTTGCAACTTGTTACAAATAATAACTCCTAGAATTCTTTCTGTTTAAGTCTTTATGATTTAACAGGTGTTTATTATTGAATGAATTTATAAATAAGATTATGTTGAGTCACAATGCTTTAAATCAGGAATCAGTTCTAAACTTTTTAATCATTTTTTTCTTTTTCTATTTCTTGTTTTTGGGGGTTTGTTTGTTTGTTTGTTTGTTTGTTTGTTTGTATAGCCTGAAGATCCTGAATGGTGGTTGTCTTTCATCTAGAGAAGAGTAGAAGACCAATTCTACCTAGTTGACTGACCATGACTCACTCCATTCAGGTTCACAGGATTGTGATTAATCAGTGGGTTAACTTTCTACTTTGCATTATTTACCACATGATCTCCAGCTCCAAGACCTGTATGAACTCTCTGGACCAAACAACGTAACATACAACAACTAGTACAGAGTTCTTTGAAAAGAAACTCAGCTTCAAAATAACCAACACCCAGCCTAGCCTGCAATGGTTAGTCCTCTGAAACCCAGACACATCATTGAAAAGTGTAGTGATAAGCCCCAGTTACAATGGCTGTTATCCAAAATATAGGCAGTAACAAATGCTGGCAAGGATGTGGAGAAATGGGAATCATCGTACACTGCGTGTGAGAATGTAAATTAGTACAACCACGATGGAAAACAGTCTGGAGTTTCCTCAAAAAAACTAAAAGTAGAGCTACCATATGATCCAGCAATCCGACTACTGGGTATATACCTAAAGGAAAGGAAATCAGTATATTGAAGAGATATCTACACTCCTGTGTTTGTTGCAGCACTCTTCACAATAGCCAAGATTTGGAAGCAACCTAAGGGTCCATCAACATACAAATGGATAAAGAAAATGTGGTACTTATACACAACGGAGTACTATTCAGCCATAAAAAGGAAAGAGATCCTGTCATTTGCAACAACACAGATGGGACTGGAGGTCATTTTGTTAAGTGAAATAAGCAAGGCACAGAAAGACAAGATTTTTATGTTCTCGTTTACTTGGTGGAGCTAAAAATTAAAACAATTGAACTCATGGAGATAGAGAGTAGAAGAATGGTTACCAGAGGCTGGGAAGGTTAGTAGGGGTCTGGGGGAGATGTGATGAAGGTCAATGGGTATAAAAAGTAGTTGGGAAGATGGCTGAATACGAACAGCTCCAGTCTACAGCTCCCAGCGTGAGTGACGCAGAAGACGGGTGATTTCTGCATTTCCATTTGAGGTACCGGGTTCATCTCACTAGGGAGTGCCAGACAGTGGGCGCAGGTCAGTGGGTGCGCGCACAATGCGCCAGCCGAAGCAGGGTGAGGCATTGCCTCACTCGGGAAGCGCAAGGGGTCAGGGAGTTCCCTTTCCTAGTCAAAGAAAGGGGTGACGGATGGCACCTGGAAAATCGGGTCACTCCCACCCGAATACTGCGCTTTTCCGATGGGCTTAAAAAACGGCGCACCACGAGATTATATCCCGCACCTGGCTCGGAGGGTCCTACACCCACGGAGTCTCGCTGATTGCTAGCGCAGCAGTCTGAGATCAAACTGCAAGGCAGCAGCCAGGCTGGGGGAGGGGCACCCGCCATTGCCCAGGCTTGCTTAGGCAAACAAAGCAGCCAGGAAGCTCCAACTGGGTGGAGCCCACCACAGCTCAAGGAGGCCTGCCTGCCTCTGTAGGCTCCACCTCTGGGGGCAGGGCACAGACAAACAAAAAGACAGCAGTAACCTCTGCAGACTTAAATGTCCCTGTCTGACAGCTTTGAAGAGAGCAGTGGTTCTCCCAGCATGCAGCTGGAGATCTGAGAATGGGCAGACTGCCTCCTCAACTGGGTCCCTGACCCCTGACCCCCGAGCAGCCTAACTGGGAGGCACCCCCCAGCAGGGGCAGACTGACACCTCACACGGCCGGGTACTCCAACAGACCTGCAGCTGAGGGTCCTGTCTGTTAGAAGGAAAACGAACAAACAGAAAGGACATTCACACCAAAAACCCATCTGTACATCACCGTCATCGAAGACCAAAAGTAGATAAAACCACAAAGATGGGGAAAAAACAGAACAGAAAAACTGGAAACTCTAAAAAGCAGAGCAACTCTCCTCCTCCAAAGGAACACAGTTCCTCACCAGCAATGGAACAAAGCTGGACAGAGAACGACCAATTTGACGAGCTGAGAGAAGAAGGCTTCAGACGATCAAATTACTCTGAGCTACGGAAGGACATCCAAACCAAAGGCAAAGAAGTTGAAAACTTCGAAAAAAATTTAGAAGAATGTATAACTAGAATAACCAATACAGAGAAGTGCTTAAAGGAGCTGATGGAGCTGAAAACCAAGGCTCGAGAACTACGTGAAGAATGCAGAAGCCTCAGGAGCCGATGCGATCAACTGGAAGAAAGGGTATCAGTGATGGAAGATGAAATGAATGAAATGAAGCGAGAAGGGAAGTCTAGAGAAAAAAGAATAAAAAGAAATGAGCAAAGCCTCCAAGAAATATGGGACTATGTGAAAAGACCAAATCTACGTCTGATTGGTGTACCTGAAAGTGACGGGGAGAATGGAACCAAGTTGGAAAACACTATGCAGGATATTATCCAGGAGAATTTCCCCAACCTATCAAGGCAGGCCAACATTCAAATTCACCCATAACAATATTAACCTTAAATGTAAATGGACTAAATGCTCCAATTAAAAGACACAGACTGGCAAATTGGATAAAGAGTCAAGACCCATCAGTGTGCTGTATTCAGGAAACCCATCTCACGTGCAGAGACACAAATAGGCTCAAAATAAAAGGATGGAGGAAGATCTACCAAGCAAATGGAAAACAGAAAAAGGCAGGGGATGCAATCCTAGTCTCTGATAAAACAGACTTTAAACCAATAAAGATCAAAAGAGACAAAGAAGGCCATTACATAATGGTAAAGGGATCAATTCAACAAGAAGAGCTAACTATACTAAATATATATGCACCCAATACAGGAGCACCCAGATTCATAAAGCAAGTCCTGAGTGACCTACAAAGAGACTTAGACTCCCACACATTAATAATGGGAGACTTTAACACGCCACTGTCAATATTAGACAGATCAACAAGACAGAAAGTCAACAAGGATACCCAGGAATTGAACTCAGCTCTGCACCCAGCAGACCTAACAGACATCTACAGAACTTTCCACCCCAAATCAGCAGAATATACATTTTTTTCAGCACCACACCACACCTATTCCAAAATTGACCACATACTTGGAAGTAAAGCTCTCCTCAACAAATGTAAAAGAACAGAAATTATAACAAACTATCTCTCAGACCACAGTGCAATCAAACTAGAACTCAGGATTAAGAATTTCACTCAAAACCGCTCAACTACATGGAAACTGAACAACCTGCTCCTGAATGACTGCTGGGTACATAACGAAATGAAGGCAGAAATAAAGATGTTCTTTGAAACCAACGAGAACAAAGACACAACATACCAGAATCTCTGGGACACATTCAAAGCAGTGTGTAGAGGGAAATTTATAGCACTAAATGCCCACAAGAGAAAGCAGGAAAGATCCAAAATTGACACCCTAACATCACAAGTAAAAGAACTAGAGAAGCAAGAGCAAACACATTCAAAAGCTAGCAGAAGGCAAGAAATAACTAAAATCAGAGCAGAACTGAAGGAAATAGAGACACAAAAAACCCTTCAAAAATTAATGAATCCAGGAGCTGGTTTTTTGAAAGGATCAACAAAATAGATAGACTGCTAGCAAGACTAATAAAGAAAAAAAGAGAGAAGAATCAAATAGATGCAATAAAAAATGATAAAGAGGATATCACCACCGATCCCACAGAAATACAAACTACCATTAGAGAATACTACAAACACCTCTACACAAATAAACTAGAAAATCTAGAAGAAATGGATAAATTCCTTGACACTTACACTCTCCCAAGACTAAACCAGGAAGAAGTTGAATCTCTGAATAGACCAATAACAGGATCTGAAATTGTGGCAATAATCAATAGCTTACCAACCAAAAAGAGTTCAGGACCAGATGGACTCACAGCCAAATTCTACCAGAGGTACAAGGAGGAACTGGTACCATTCCTTCTGAAACTATTCCAATCAATAGAAAAAGAGGGAATCCTCCCTAACTCATTTTATGAGGCCAGCATCATTCTGATACCAAAGCCGGGCAGAGACACAACCAAAAAAGAGAATTTTAGTCCAATATCCTTGATGAACATTGATGCAAAAATCCTCAATAAAATACTGGCAAACCGAATCCAGCAGCACATCAAAAAGCTTATCCACCATGATCAAGCAGGCTTCATCCCTGGGATGCAAGGCTGGTTCAATATACGCAAATCAATAAATGTAATCCAGCATATAAACAGAACCAAAGGCAAAAGCCACATGATTATCTCTATAGATGCAGAAAAGGCCTTTGACAAAATTCAACAGCCCTTCATGCTAAAAACTATCAAGAAATTCGGTATTGATGGGACATATCTCAAAATAATAAGAGCTATTTATGACAAATCCATAGCCAATACATACTGAATGGGCAAAAACTGGAAGCATTCCCTTCAAAAACTGGCACAAGACAGGGATGCCCTCTCTCACCACTCCTATTCAACATAGTGTTGGAAGTTCTAGCCAGGGCAATTAGGCAGGAGAAGGAAATAAAGGGTATTCAATTAGGAAAAGAGGAAGTCAAATTGTCCCTGTTTGCAGATGACATGATTGTATATCTAGAAAACCCCATTGTCTCAGCCCAAAATCTCCTTAAGCTGATAAGCAACTTCAGCAAAGTCTCAGGATACAAAATCAATGTACAAAAATCACAAGCATTCTTATACACCAACAACAGACAAACAGAGAGCCAAATCATGAGTGAAATCCCATTCACAATTGCTTCAAAGAGAATAAAATATCTAGGAATCCAACTTACAAGGGATGTGAAGGACTTCTTCAAGGAGAACTACAAACCACTGCTCAATGAAATAAAAGAGGATACAAACAAATGGAAGAACATTCCATGCTCATGGGTAGGAAGAATCAATATCATGAAAATGGCCATACTGCCCAAGGTAATTTACAGATTCAATGCCATCCCCATCAAGCTACCAATGCCTTTCTTCACAGAATTGGAAAAAACTACTTTAAAGTTCATATGGAACCAAAAAAGAGCCCGCATCGCCAAGTCAATCCTAAGCCAGAAGAACAAAGCTGGAGGCATCACACTACCTGACTTCAAACTATACTACAAGGCTACAGTAACCAAAACAGCATGGTGCTGGTACCAAAACAGAGATATAGATCAATGGAACAGAACAGAGCCCTCAGAAATAACGCCTCATATCTACAACTATCTGATCTTTGACAAACCTGAGAAAAACAAGCAATGGGGAAAGGATTCCTTATTTAATAAATGGTGCTGGGAAAACTGGCTAGCCATATGTAGAAAGCTGAAACTGGATCCCTTCCTTACACCTTATACAAAAATCAATTCAAGATGGATTAAAGACTTAAACATTAGACTTAAACCATAAAAACCCTAGAAGAAAACCTATGCAATACCATTCAGGACATAGGCATGGACAAGGACTTCATGTCTAAAACACCAAAAGCAATGGCAACAAAAGACAAAATTGACAAATTGGATCTAATTAAACTAAAGAGCTTCTGCACAGCAAAAGAAACTACCGTCAGAGTGAACAGGCAACCTACAAAATGGGAGAAAATTTTTGCAACCTACTCATCTGACAAAGGGCTAATATCCAGAATCTACGATGAACTCAAACAAATTTACAAGAAAAAAACAAACAACCCCATCAAAAAGTGGGCGAAGGACATGAACAGACACTTCTCAAAAGAAGACATTTATGCAGCCAAAAAACACATGAAAAAATGCTCATCATCACTGGCCATCAGAGAAATGCAAATCAAAACCACAATGAGATACCATCTCACACCACTTAGAATGGCAATCATTAAAAAGTCAGGAAACAACAGGTGCTGGAGAGGATGTGGAGAAATAGGAACACTTTTACACTGTTGGTGGGACTGTAAACTAGTTCAACCATTGTGGAAGTCAGTGTGGCGATTCCTCAGGGATCTAGAATTAGAAATACTATTTGACCCAGCCATCCCATTACTGGGTATATACCCAAAGGACTATAAATCATGCTGCTATAAGGACAGATGCACACGTATGTTTATTGCGGCACTATTCACAATAGCAAAGACTTGGAACCAACCCAAATGTCCAACAATGATAGACTGGATTAAGAAAATGTGGCACATATCCACCATGGAATACTATGCCGCCATAAAAAAGGATGAGTTCATGTCCTTTGTAGGGACATGGATGAAATTGGAAATCATCATTCTCAGTAAACTATCGCAAGAACAAAAAACCAAACATCGCATATTCTCACTCATAGGTGGGAATTGAACAATGAGAACACATGGACACAGGAAGGGGAACATCACACTCTGGGGACTGTTGTGGGGTGGGGGGAGGGGGGAGAGATAGCATTGGGAGATATACCTAATGCTAGATGACGAGTTAGTGGGTGCAGCGCACCAGCGTGGCACATGTATACATATGTAACTAACCTGCACAATGTGCACATGTACCCTAAAACTTAAAGTATAATAATAAAAGAAAAAATAAATAAATAAATAAATAAATAAATAAATAAAAAGTAGTTGGAAAGAATGAAGAAGACCTAGTATTTGATGGCACAACAAGTGATTTTAGTCAATAATAATTTAATTGTATATTTTTAAATAACTAAAAGAGTATAATTGGATTGTTTGTAACACGAAGAATAAATGCTTGAGTGGATAGATATCCCATTTACCCTGGTGTGATTATTACCCATTGCATGCCTGTATTAAAGTATCTCATGTACCCCATAAATATGTATATGTACACATACCTATGATATACACACAAAATTTTTTTAAAATTATATGTATTATATATAATCTATACCTATATATAACTTAATAATGTATATAACGTTAATATGAGGTAAAAGTGTAGTGATGATATAACCCAGAGTTAATAATCTAGTAGCTTGATTTACCTGGGGTTGAGAAGAAAGCGACTTGTATGATTTGGATTTTCCCAATACTATTTAGGAATCTTGAAAGGGTATTACATGGTAGGCTTTTTAAAAATTTCTCTGTGAGTAAATTTTCTAGGCCAAAAGGATAAATTGTATTAATTGCCAAACACTCAGAATCTTGCAATCGGCATTTCCTTGGATTTTCTACAACAGTTTCTGTGCCAGTTGGACTTTCTCTCCACTCACAATTCCCCTTGGAGTGGTGTGGCGGCAGGGGTGCTAAGTACCTATATCTGCAGAAGAGGACCCAATGCCTGTGGATAGATCAATTAGAAATCACAACTTCCCACGTTAAAGTTGAGTTAGAGAATCCAGTAGATGAGAGAAGCATTTATTGTAAAGGCAGAATTCAGTTTATATTTATGATTATAAGAAGCCTAAAAACGCCAATTCTAGCTCAGCATGAGGTTCAGCTCAAGGGGAATAATGATGCCACTGATAAGATATAATAAAATCCTACCTGAAACATGATGTTCTGTTTTACTTACTTGCCTTAAAGAGTTACTTACGTTTAGTCTATAAGTGGGCTACAGGTATTCCAATATAATTCTAAGGGTCCTCATACAAAGCCCTATTCATGGTCCACTCTACCTGCAAACTGCTGCGTGTAGTGCTTCTGGGGCTGCAGCTAAAGTATTTAAAAGTTTTTAGTAGAGACTTCTTTCCTTGAAGGTAATGAAAACCTACCATATTTTGTAGTGTGAGGAGCCATAGATAGAATCTGTTTGCATCAAAGAACAATGGCCAGATGACACTGCAGTTGAACAGCAGCATGCCCCTACACAGGAACCCACTCAGCTCTAATCCTTGTGGATTCAATATGGCCAACCCAGGTCTCCAGGAAAAACCTACATAAACCTCTTAGTGTTCCTCCCATTTCTTTAGTTTCCAAACGTGAATAGGACCAGAACCACCCCATGCCTGCCTCTTGCCTTATAAGTGCTTCTGTGGTTGAGGAAGCTGCTTAATAGTGTAACCTGTAACTCACACCCAACTCTACGCTAATTCAGGAACTCTGAAGCCAAGCAAAAGGAATCCCAGGATGATCTCTCCTTACTCCCTATAAATCTGCTTTGGCTGAGCTGGTTGTCCAGTGGACTGAGTCATGTAATTACCCCATGGGAAACACAGGATGGAACTGCATTTAAATGCTGTGGACTGATCCCATAAGCTCCTTTATTTATTTTAATAAAACATGGTTGTGCTTGTTTGGTGTATGCATTTGTTTTAACAGTAATCAAAACTATATGGCCTCTAATTTTTAATGAATGCATCTTAATCATACATAAAGGTATAATTAATTAGTTTGTTAGAGGAAGCCTTTGGTTTTCACACACACACTGCCTCTCTTGCCTCCCCTACTTCCTACCACTCCCTGTTTTAGGCCATGAAGGCATATAAGTTGTTTTGGGCTTTCTTCTCTTAGCAAACATTGGGACTTTTATGGTCCTCCCCCAAAGCATTGAACCAAAACGCTGACCATTCTGTCATTTATATTTCAACTAAATATCCCAATATGAGAGTTTCCTGTGAATGTCAATTCAATTTATCAAATAACATAGCTTATGGCTCATTCCATGCAAAGCATTGCAAAGGCGTATTCAAAGGCCCGTTGCTGCATATGTTTATGATTTAATGTTATGTGGGTAGGAGCTTTCACTAGATGAAGATGTCTTGGCTCAGATATTAAATCATGATCAGACACACTCTGGGTGACATTTTTCTCTTCTTAATTCCCACATAAAACTCCCACTGAAGTGACAAAGAAGACTCATGTGTGTGGGAGGCTGACTCGGTATTCACATAGGTTCTTTTGCAAAAAGGAGTTACATTTGGTCTGCTCACAGTGCATCAATACATGTAATAATCTCCCTTCTTGGCATCAACAATTTCAGCTTAGAAACTAGGACGGTAAGTATCACACATGCTCCAAAATACAAGCATACAGCCTCTTATCAAATAATATGGCTTTTAAAGAATTTAGCAGCACAAATGGCTTAATGTAAACTAAGCTCAATATGGCAAAATCCTACGCAGCTTGAAAACTCAGTGGTAGGAGTTGAAGTCAGCCTGCCCAGTTGACAAGTGACTCAATACTGAAGTTTAATTGTCTTTGCTGTTTGCCAGTAACTCTAAGAAGATACTTATCTTGGTCTTGCTGTGCTGGTTCACCAGCATTTTTCAGTTGGGAAAGTAACTATGTGAACCACAGTGGCTCTGCTAGATAAAAATAGGTGTATTATCATTGGCATTTTAGACAAGCCTTCGGAGTTTCACTGCTCTGGAACGGCACACGAGAGCATTACACTGTGCAAAGAGATGGGCCAAGATGATGAAATGTTGGCCTTTCTCCAATATTTCAAGTGGTTTACACCCAGTATCGGCTGGAAGGCATTTGTTCACACATATGGTGATAGTCTCAGCTGAGAAAAGCCTGGGAACTCACCTTCGTTTCTTCACTCACACACTCATAACTAAAACCCATCATGCTTCTAACAGAATACAAATCATGAGAAACCCATAGATTAAAGACTAAGGATGTAGGTGATTGAATAATGTTTAAAATATGAGTTTTGGATTGGGAAACGTTGAAGATTTTGCAGGATAAGAATGTCAATGTATTTTTTGTGAAGCTCTCGATTTTTTTATGTCATTAATACCTTGGAACAAATGAAAGTCACAGGTAATCATCTTAAAAATCTTTTATTTCATTTTTTCCACCAACCCTCCCTCTCTCCCCTAACACCCACCAAACCACTAATAAGTAAAAGAATGACTATGGGTTTTACCTCCTTTACTTTTCTCTCCTCTCAGAACTAATTAATGAACAGGGAAGTAAACCAACAATGAATGGGAAGAGCTCAAGATAATTGATCTTTTGAATAATGAAGGACAAGCTATAGTCCTCAGAAGGGAGTAGCTTCCTTATGGCATGTGAGGAGGATGCCATATTCTATAAAACCCATTTTGATGAGAAGGAACTCTGTTCTAGGAAACAATAAGTCTGAAAACCAATAAACATTACAGCATTGGGGACCACTTTAGATGATCAGAGAGCTTTGTGGCCTTGGGCAAACCACTTGACCTTTGTGGACTTCAGTTTCCTCATCAGTAAAGGATTCAGCTGAATTATTTTTAGGAACCCTTCCAACCTGACTTATCTGGTCATGTCACAACCACTGGACTATCATTTTAAAATGACTTTGCTGTTCTACTTTACTAGAAGAACTAGAGAATTTGATTTTCTCATATTTCCTTATTATTATCTACCTCTGGGAAATGTATGATTTGCAAAGCCAGTGGTGGAGCAAAAATGGTGCTTATGCTTCTACATGCTGCCTTCAGCAGGAGAAATGCATATTCGTTCCAATCTTTCCATACCACCAAGTTCTGTCATGACTTTTAGAAGTACCCAGAATATCTCTGATATTCCAGACATATGTAGAAATGTATATGATGCCATCACCAGTAAATGACTAAACAGTATTGTAATTCCCTACCACTCTAGACCTTTCAAGATCTTTAAGATGTCATGGACCTATAGAAGCAATTAGGGTTTTTGTTGGCCGGAGTGGGGAATTGGCATGAAGGGAGCTGGAAAGATAATTTTTAGTCCTTACCAACCCTAAAGTGCCTTGATGTTTTTTGCTGTGTTCTATGCTCATGAAAAAAAATAAAAAATAAAAAAAAGGTTCTATACTAACGGTAAAGCAAAGGAAATCTCCCCCACCTCCACCTTAGCCTCAGTAACAAACAATTAAAGATGACCTAACTTTGCTTTCAAAGCATTCTTTAAACTGACATTACATTTATCATTGGTGCCATTAAACAATGGCTATCTGGATCCTTTAAACTTCTGATAGACATGATTACAGCCTATCCCCAAAGCCTTGCATTTTCAGAATTAAATATATTTACAATGATGAAATAAAACATATTGCATAAGACCACTATCATAATGGAGTGAATCTCCCATACCAAATAATAAATTACTAATTGAGGTAAGTCAGAGAATCTCAGAACTGCAACAGAAGAGGACCCCATATACAGTATGTCCAGTGAGGCCTTTCTGATGCCAAGGTGGCAGACACATGTGGCTGCCTTATTTTCCCTCATCCCCTCTGCCGTACATTCTGGTCACACAGAACTCTTTGGAATCCTCTGTCTTATTATTCCTTTGTGCCTCTGCACATCCTGCATGCCCTTCAGTTCCTTGCCTGCCTGAAGGGAAACTGCCAGACAGGGCAAGTTTCATCTCCTCAATCTCTATCTAATCACTCCTTCCTTTGTACCTGCACTAAATCCCATCTCATATCTAGAAAATATCTATAATATTTCATTTCTCTTATATTATCACATGTTTGTCTCCCTCTAGCAGACTATAACTTTCTTAAAGTCCGAGACAGTTCACCTTTTAACCCACTGATTAGGCCTTTCACTAATCCAGGGTTCTCTTTTAGAGGTGATAGTTTTCAGTGGCTCATTTATTTTCCAGTTTCCAAACACACATATGGATTAGTTGTCCAGAATTGAAGAGTACAGAGCAGATACACCTTAGCAACAGTTAAAATTTGCATCTGTGATTAACCCAGAGACTTACAACAGTAAATGAAACATTTATAGGCAGCAAGGTAGGCAAACACTGATCACTGATGAAGAATAAGTGATAGGTAAACAATAATAATTTCTGGCATTGTATAACACTTTTATTACCCAACATTCATATATCTCATTTACCTTTATCTTTATAAAAATGATATAAAGTAAGGAGAGAACTTATCTACATTTTACAGAAGGTGAAACATATGAGGAGATTGAGTGACTTATCTGTAATCTGTTTATGACAAAGTAAGGACTCAAATTGGATTTCTTAACTCTAGTTCTGTGTCCTTCTTCTATGGCATGAATGATAATATTTTTGATGGGTTCATCCATTTAACATACATGATACATGAAAGGCACCATACTGGTTCTGCTCCTTAAATATACACCAGTAAAAGAAAAGATAAAATCTCCAAGAAATGAACAGCCCAGTGAAAAATATAGCAGATGACTACATAATGAAAACTCAGGGTAGGCCAGGCGTGGTGACTCATACCTGTAATCCCAGCAATTTGGGAGGCCAAGGCAAGCGGATCACCTGAGGTCAGGAGTTCAATATCAGCCTAGCCAACATGGTAAAACCCTGTCTCTACTAAAAATACAAAAATTAGCCAGGTATGGTGGTGCACTCAGGAGGCTGAGACACGAGAATTGCTTGAACCTGGGAGACGGAAGTTGCAGTGAGCGGAGATAGGCGCCAATGCACTCCAGCCTGGACGATAGAGTAAGACTATGTCTCAAAAAACAAAACAAAACAAAAAAAACCTCAGGGTGATAAGCATTAAGTATTAATATATAGGCATCTTAAAAGTCTCACAGGAAAACACAGGAACATTTCACCAGTCAGGGAGTTTGTTTGGCAAGGAGACTTGGGAGTGGGGTTGAAAGGGAATCTATTCTGCAATGGCTTCTTTGGGAAGGCAATGCTTGAAGGACACGTTCTAGTTAGCAAAGAAAGGAATGAAGAGTGGGGAAAAATCATTTGGTGTAGAAACAGAAGAATGTGCAAAGGCACAGGGTCATACAGAAAGATGGCACAGTCTTTCTGAAAGCTACTTTCAAGCCTCCTCAAATTGCTACTTCCCTAAAAGGATTAGTTCTAGGGTCCAGATCCTTCCTCAGTGAAGGGCTTGTTGACCCAGCTGTTTGGAGACATGTCAGCAGGCAGCTGTTAGCTATCAGCCCCTTCAAGGATTGCCTCAGCTGCAGAACCCTCTTGTTTAAGGTCATGCTCTTTCCCAGGGACACACACATCCAACAACTGATTAGTGCAGAAGAATAAAGACCTGATGATCTTCATCTGGCTCAGGATACCTCTGAAGGACCATTTTAGCACCAAGTGTCCCTGCAGTGTTGGCTGAGGCTGCTGTCAAGCCTGCATTTCAGCTAACTTCTCCTTCTCCTTTTGCCTAATCCTGTTTTCTTATCTCCCTTTCCATATGTGTCTATCCATAGGGCGTTCTTTAATAAATATGTAGCATGTTCTAATCCCCATCTCAGAGTCTGCTTCCTGGGAAACTGTAACCTGTGACAGTTGGTACCCGGAGTACTCTAAGAATTGTAGGAAAGAAGATGGGGTTTGGAGCTGGATCACTTGTGGCTTTGCTGGCAATGAGAACCACATCACTTGTGGTAGGGCACAGGCAGTCCTGATACTAGGTAAGGTTCCTATTGGTCAAAATTTCACTGGTGAATTGGGATGATATAAAGGTGGATGGGATGCTCTAGCTACTGCTACATATCAGACATTTGAAAAATAAGCCAGCAATAGAAACTATAAGAACAATACAATCATGTGGCTATTTTTTTTTTCCTTGGGATGGAGACTCGTCCTGTCGCCCGGGCTGGAGTACATTGGCACAATCTCGGCTCACTGCAACCTCCGCCTCCTGGGTTCATAAGATTCTCCTGCCTCAGCCTCCTGAGTAGCTGGGATTACAGGTGCCCGCCAGCAAGCCTGGCTAATTTTTTGTATTTTTAGTAGAGACGGGGTTTCACTATTTTGGCCAGGCTGATCTCGAACTCCTGACCTCGTGATCTGCCCATCTCGGCCTCCCAAAGTGCTGGGATTACAGGCATGAGCCACCATGCCCAGCCCATGTGGCTATTTTCTAAGCTCCCTTTTCTGAAAGAAAGAAAAAGCTGAGAGAAATTTACAGGTAATTGAAAGCAGGTGTGAAAGTAAAGCGCCTTCTTGGTAACATATATAAAGGATCTAATTTTCTGCAGCAGGAGGGCCTAGAAATCATAGGACAGGAATAGGATTTAATAATCAGAGTTGCCAAGCTCTGAAGAAGGTTAAACTCCTTATCAAGACATACCTTCTATGCCAGGATTAGGGCCTTGGCTTGAAAAAAATAATAGGCCCCTGATGCATTGGATAGGTATCTATGTGTATGTCCAAACAAGTCCTGAATCCTTAGATTTCCTGAAATCTTCTGAGATTGCAGAAGGGCTCTCCTTCCCCAGTCAAGAGTTAACCTCCCTCCCCTCTTGTAGGAAGAAAATTCAGAGGCCTGCCCCCTGCAAGACAATTTTGTCTCCCTCAGGATATGCCCCTACTTCTTTTTGGCTATGATAGCTATGGTTAAGCTGCAGGAAAACCAAGCCAGGGACATACTGGGCCTAATTAGGGAAGAAAGATACTGTAACCCAAAGGAGCTACAAGAAACAGAATGTACCAGCAGGAATTGGAAAAGTATACATGTGATTGCATGTTGAGTGTGCTTGATCAAGGTGGTTATACCGTAAGGTTGGATAAGGGAGAGTTTGTCATTTGGGGAGCACTCTCTCAGTATACAGGATTTAGAATCTTGGCAAAGGCCCCAGGAAATAGTGACAACTCACTTCTCTGCACCTTGACCATCTACTTTGTGTGGAAAGAGAAGCAGATTAGACTACACATAAGTAGATTAGACTACACTTACGGACTAATCAGCAGTGGCAAGTGGCCTGGCAGGTTAATTGGGGCCTGGAGAGAGAAAATGGGAAGATCAGCGACAAAAAGATCAGGGGTAGAGGCATGTGGGTAAACATGAGAGTGGGCTCAAATTATAAAATCTTTGTATCACATGATTACACCCACCAGATAGCATTCAACACAGTGGAGTTACTAAATAACCATGAAACCAAAATGATTCAGCCAGATAACATCAGCCTGCCTCTGTCATTGTCTACCTCAAAACTGATATAATGGGCATATGAACAGAGTTGCTAAGCTGATAAAAATAGAAGTCTCCAAGAGCATGGGTTCCTAACTTAACAAGAAGTAATTTAGCTATTACTTCTGCTAAATATTCAACCTGCCAGCAACAGAGACCAACATTGACTCTGAATTATGGCACTACCCCTTGAGGAAACCAACTTGCCACTTGGTTTGCCTTCTTGCAAGCAGACACTTAGTCATTACCACTATCCAAGAGTTTATACGGCTGGGCGCGGTGGCTCACGCCTGTAATCCCAGCACTTTTGGAGGCTGAGACTGGTGGATTGCCTGAGGTCAGGAGTTTGAGACCAGTCTGGCCAACATGGTGAAAACCCTGTCTCTACTAACAATATAAAAAAATTAGCCGGGCATGGTGGTGTGCGCCTGGAATCCCAGCTACTCGGGAGGCTGAGGCAGGGAAATCACTTGAACCAGGGAGGTGAAGGTTACAGTAAGTCAAGATCACGCCACTGCACTCCAGCCTGGGCCACAGAGCAAGACTCCATCTGGAAAAAAAAAAAAACAAAGTTTACAAAGTGCTTAATCCATTGCTATGGGATCTCACATAATCAGGAGAACTATAGCAAAACAGAGATGGAGTTGGCCCCAAATCAGGAGATCCTCTGGGCATATTATTTGTCTCCTTACATCAAAGTTAGTAGCCTGATAGAGCATTGAAACAGTCTTCTGAAGACACAACTAAAATCTCAGCTCAGGGCCAATGGCCAATGCTTTACAATGACAGGTTGTCAGCTTCTAGGACTAGTATACACTTTGATTCAAAGACCTTCATGTGGTTCTATTTCCCCAAAAGGAAAAATACATGGTTCTAAGAACTAAGGGGTAGAAGAAAAAGTGGTCTCACCTCCTTTCTTTCCCAGTGACTTGATTGAATAATTCATTACTCTGAAACTCTGGATCCTATGGATTTTGAGATCCTGGTTCTCAAAGGGAGAACACTTCTGCCAAAGGATATAGTAACAATCCCATTGTCTTACAAGCTTTGACTGTAGCCTAGGCATTTAGGTTTCTTGTGCCAAGGAACCAGATGGCAACAGGAGGAGTCATCATTTTGGCAAGGTAATTAACCAAACTATCAAGTAGAAGTAGGGCTGCTATTACACAATGGAACAAGGAAGAATAAGTCTAGCAACCCAGGTAACTCACCTGGGTATTTTCGATATTCTCTTTGCCAATTATGATGGCAAATGGACCGAGTTCAGCAATCCTGGTTTTGAGAATGGCATGGTGACCAGAAACTAAGACTACTCAAGGCTGAGAGTATGGGTAGTGCCCAGCTAAACACTGAAACCAACAGAGATGCAAAGTAAAAATAAAGAAAAGCAGGCCAGGCACAGTGTGCATGCCTGTAATTTCAACTAGTCTGGAGGCCGAGGTGGGAAGATCACTTGAGCCAGAAGTTCACGACTAGCCTGTGAAACACAGCAGGATTTCATCTCAACAAAAAAGAAAATAGAAGAAAAGATTCTAAGCTCATTCTTGTTGGAAGAAAGAGAGAGAGAAAGAAAATCTAGACTCAATAGTAGAGGGGAACAATGAGTTTAAGTTGTGACTCTGAGATCAGCTGCAGTATTGGGGCTATAGTTTGTCCTAATATCTTCCTATTCTCAGTTTAGCTCATGAGGAGTCCAGCAGAATTCCAAATAACTGCTTCCTAAATGTGTATTAATAAGAGAATCTGAATGGAGCAAAGGGTAGCCTATGGTAGACGCTATAGTACACCACACAGATTTCTCTTTAATAAAAGAGTTGTTGTCCCAGGTACTTTACCATAGAATGCTGTCAGAAGACTGCCATCATCTGTCAGCCCTTTCAGGGATTGTCTCAGTGCCATAAGTGTCCTCTAGCCCAAGGTTATGTCTTTGCTAGGGATACTCACATGTGATCACCAAATGATGCAGGAACATAAAGGACTGGTCATCTTGGGTCAACTGAGAACAGCTCTGGGGGGCCATTCTGGCTCCAGAGATCCCTGTGGAATTCACGAAGCATGTTGAGTCTGTGTCTCAACTCAATACCTCCTCCTTCTAATCCTGCTTCTTTTTCCACCCTCCAGAGATGTTGGTCCCAAGGATATTCCATTAAAAAAAAATTCTGTACTTTAAACTCCAACACAGAGTTTCTCAATATAACCCAAACTACAATAAAAGAGAATATCTGGAGAAAGAAATAACAAATTCCAGGTCATTTACCTTTTGAAGGAAGAATATACTTTTTGTTTTCTAAAGCAATAGGGTAGTAGGGTGTTAGGGGGCCAAGAGTGAAGTTATTTAATGGAAATGAGGAGGGAGTAAAGTTTCCCAAGCTTTGCATTCCTCTCTAGTAATTTTGTCAAGATGTGGAGGATGGGGACTGGCATGTAAGAGGAACAAGAAAAAAGTGGCCTTGTGACTGGTCATGGACATTGTGCAGATCTATTGGTTGTCCTCATGAAAGCGATGCCCTACAGCAATCTCTGGGTTTCTGCCCAATCCAGACTTGTCAAAAGCCTTTTGCTTGGCATGGAGAAGAGATGAGGAGGCTACCATGGGGCAACTCCAGAGTGAGGCCTGCCATTTAGAGAGAAAAGACATAGGCATGTCCCCTCCTTCCTGCTAACAGCTCTCAGAGGCAGCTCTTGACTCAAGAGGCCCCAGAGGCCCAGCAAATCACAGGATCACAAATGAAAAAGAGCAGGAAAGAATACAGCCACCAATGCCTTAATAGAGATTGCAACTGGCCAAATTTCCAGCCCAAATAATTATCACCTTGGCAGACAAATAGAATTCTTAGGACAAAAGGAAATCTTCAAATGTTTATGTAATTTTTCTACAGGGGAAGAGTTTACTGATTCTAGGAAGGGTGGGCCCTTCGAGGGCTAGCTGCCACACTCCGGTGATTACTCTGAGCATTAACACTTTGGAAATTTTCACCTTTAAAATTTCTTCTCTGTGCTTCAAGTCACAATGGGCAATTCATTCATTTCCTCCCAGAGGGCCTAGCACATGTGACAATCTCCTGAGAAAGACAATTATTACTTCAAGGTGGTCTGCCTGAAGCATCCTTCTCTAATACTGATTTACAGGAAATGGGCCCATGTGAGTGTCTCAGAAGGATAATCACAAGATTGGGAAACTAGATTGGGAGGAATTTTTATAATATGCTTCTCGTTTAAGCACACATACAACTTAAAAACCTGGAAAATGTTTTTCTAAATTCTCTTATTGTCATTTATTTTCATCACAATTTTTAGGCAGGCAGAATTTCTACTAATTTGTTATTATACTCTTTAAACTCATTTCTTTGAGGACCAAAATTATATTCACTCTGTGTGATATAATACACAGAGATATCTATACTCAGGTAGAGAAAACATAGGTAGAGAATATGTTTTTAATAAGGACAACATGAAAGATAAAGATGGTGATGTTTGTGAGATGCTCTAAGGTCCTTTTATAAAAGTCTTCAGATAGTGTTTCTGTTATTAGTAATAAAAATCAGCTTCTCCTGAAAGACCTTCACATCCACAGAAGCAAACAGAAAGGCAAAGTTATAAGGGAGTTGTTATGTTGGTGATAAATCAAATGAGGCTGAACTGCACAGTGTGTTAGGGAAATATAAAAGGGAAGATGAGCCAAGAGATTAGCTGAAGAAACATGTTGCATAGCTGTGCAGGTGGGAAGCACACTAATAAGCAGTGAGCATTCTGGGGAGAGCAGGAAAGCAGTGTTGAACACTATGTCATAGAACAAAGAGAAGCACTCATTAGGAAATGTAATAACTGTGGAAGTAAAAATTGCACAAGGTGGGACAACAACAATTCTGAGGAAGTTGAATTGTAGGTGAAAGCATGTAGGTTAAAAAAAATAAAAACAAAACTCTGAGAAAGGAGGAAGAGATTAAACAAACCCAGATAAATATTAGTCAAGTCAGGACAATGACACCTGTCTGCAAAAGCCAAGGGCTGCTATTCGTCTATCTACCTGCTGAATTTACTTCAACAAAAATACAACATGGAAACCTTCCTAGGTGCAAGTCAACTGCACTTAGCCATTGCAAATGATGCTAAGTCCTAGTGATGGACAAGGAAATGCCATTTGGTTGTCTTTGGAAAGAGTCATGTAAAGCTATTGGCTATTTTTGTCAAAACCAAAATTTAAGCTGAGGTGTCAAGTAGTATAGAGATGGAAAATATGTGCCTTAATATGAATTTGAATCCAACCAGTTATTCTTACATAAGAGGCATAAAATCCATGTAATATGACATTTTCTGCAGGTTGGTATCATTCTATTGTTTAGTAATTTTCACTTAACAGTATGAATCTTTCCCATTGCTGCTCACTGCAATTCATGCTTCCTCTTATCGATCTACTGCCACAACTGCAAATGAGGCTCAAAAACAAGAGGACCTCATAGCCTCTTCATATCTCAGCTTTCTACTGCTCTCTCAGGAATGAGAGGCTACAAAACCTGGAAGAAGGCAGGTAAACAGAAGGAACTAGATGCATAGTGTGAAATCCTCAAATGCTCAAACAAAATTCTTCCCATTTTAAACTGTTGATATCTGTGAAGAGATAATAATTTTTCATTGCACAAAAGTTCATTGTAATAAATTGATGATTACAGAGAATAACAAAATTAATGATTTTCAACTCCAGGTTCTATAGTCTCCCTTAGAAACCCCTGGACTTGATCTAACAGAAATATCTCTTATGGAAATAAGACTAATGTCAGGAACTATTCGGTATGCACTTAATTAAAACCATTAAGTTGACAGAATAGTGTTATAGGTCTAAGGACACTAAAATACATTTATTTCCAAAATGTAGTGTCATCATCCCTTTATATTTTTGTCCAGACTTTTGTTCCACAATTATCTGAAACAAAGATTAAACAGATAAAGAAATCCACAGACTTACCATGATATTATTTTGTTTCATATTCCTAGGCCAGGAATTTACAAATTACGTGCCTAAACTAATTGGTATAAAGTTTGAGAAAACAAAACAGTTAAGTAAAAGAATGGCAAAGTATAGAGTCTGAGATTTGCTATTTTGTATCCTACACAGTCTATCAAAGTGATTTTACTTCATTTTCCCAGATCTGGCACCCAGCTTGTCTTAAGTATCTTATGTGTGCTAACCATACCACACACCAAAGAAACTGTAATACTGTATTCAGTATTACAGGCTCCTCCCCACTGACTCAGATAGCTAATTACCACCACCTATCTCACTACCCAGTTACTAAGTTGAAGGCAAAATAAATTTAAGAGCAAAGCATCCAAAAAGTTGACCACCAATAATTTCACTATCTGAAAATATGCCACATAAAAATATTTTAAATGTCAAAAGCTCTGTGATCTAATTTCAGTAGATAATAACTTGAGCAGTTTTGAACGAACTTATATTTCTAGATTTCCCACACACCTCACAAAGGAGAACCTTATTATTTTAATGATTTTTTAAAGATTTATTTTAGTGTTTTGACTAATAGAGATTAGAATGTAGTTCTCTCTTAGAAGCCACGTCCTTCTATTTTGTATTAATTAAGTCTAACCATTGCTCAAAATCCTTGGATTTGGGGAATATAGAGGTGAATGAAGAACAAAATCTTTTCACTTAAACCAATGAACTTTGTTCTGATTGGACATCACATTTACATTCAAAACAGTCATCATAAGCACTTAAAAATGTAATTTTAATTAAGAGATTAATTTGATAGAGTCATTAATTAAACCACCACTAGTAGAAGGGAAAGAATTACTTGAGATATCGATTTAATTTTTGCTTTACTCTTTCTAACAAAAGAATGACAAAATGAACTCTCTGGAGAATAAAATGGAATTATCGTACCTTCAGAACCAACTCTCATTGGCTGAAGTACTCAGTAAGCACTGCAACAGAAACAAGTTTGTTTGGCTTACCAACCTATTGTCAGCTACTAATGCATAGTAAATGCTTCAGAGTTTTGAAAGTCTAAATATCATTTTAGCTGGTATTTAGACCTTCTAACTGGTATTTGCATCAGAAGTGTGATGCTTCCAAACAATTTATTTATGGAAAGATAGATAAATACTAATCCAAAAAGACAAAGGAAGTATCGTTGTCCCACTGAATTAAGTAACAATGAGTTAGAGACATGCATGATAATATAAATAATTCATTTATTTATTCCATAAATATGTATGTACTATAATACACTAGAATCTCTCGATCTTCAGTGATAGATTATATACCTGCCAAATACAAAATATGTGCACTCCACAAGGCTGAGATTATCACATTCTTTTAAATTAGTCTTCTGGAGTTGAATTTAAAGCAATTTAACTGTGTTTGAAATGAGATATTTCTGAAGAAGATTTGGTCTGCTCCATGGACCAATGGTTAGGAAATTCCTAAATGGAACATTTAAGCTGAACATTTTAAAGAGCATCAGCAAAAAAAGAGCTAATGGACTGTGACTCCATTTCCCCCAGGAAAGTAATAAAAGGGTCCCAAAAATAATTACACTCACATTGGGCAAAAATAACCTCCTGGCAGAGATTCAAATAGTTGTTCCAATTGGGCCATTAGGAAAATGCTTAGATCAAAAGTCGCCACTGGAATTGTTCTTTATAACAGTTCTACTGTCAAGCAGAAAGAAATGAACCATTTCTTGTTTGATGCTTTAAGACTTTGAAATAGGACTAAGATATAACAGCATGTTGCAGGAGAAGAATTCTACAATGAGTTTGAACTGGATGACCTGCTAAATGTTTACCACCTTTTATTTCTGTGACTCATCCCTATGCAGTTAAGCACACCATAAAAATAAAGCTGTGTGGGAACATGGCTATCAATAACAACAAAAATAATAACACTCTGTCTCCTTCCTTAGATGAAAGGGTCTGTGTTTTTACAAAGCACTCTGCAAACTTTATCTTTTTAATTCTCACAACACTCAAGGAGTGTAGGAGGCAAGTATTATTATCCCATTTTGCAAATGGAGAAATTGAGGTTCATGGAGTTTGACTTGCCTATGGCCACAAAACAAGTAAACAAAACAAAGCACACCTATAATCCCAGCCACTTGGGAGGCTGAGGCAGGAGAATCACTTGAACCCAGGAGGCGGAGGTTGCAGTCAGCTGAGATCTCCACCGCGCTTCAACCTGGGTGATAAGAGTGAAACAACTCCGGCTCAAAAAAAAAAAAAAAAAGGCTGGGAGGCCGAGGAGGACGGACCATTTGAGGTCAGGATTTGGAGACCAGCCTGGCCAACATGGTGAAACCCCATCTCTACCAAAAATACAAAAAATTAGCCAGGCGTGGTGGCAGGCGCCTGTAATCACAGCTACTCAGGAGGCTGAGGCGGGAGAATCGCTTGAACCCAGGAGGTGGAGGCTGCAGTCAGCTGAGGTCGTGCCATTGCACTGCACTCCAGCTTGGGCAGTAAGAGCAAAACTCCATCTCAAAAGCAAACAAACAAAAAACTACTGGGAGAAAATGAATTAAGGTACTCTCTCAAAGGATGGCTTTGAAAAGGATGAAAAGAAAAACAAGAGCTTCTGAAGTAAAGTATGTGGCAGTATTTTGAGAAAATTAAGAAAAAAATAAATGGAAGATAGTTAGCTGTCTGCTGTTTCATTACAGTGATAATCATACAAACTGGAATTCTACTATCCTAAACATTCAGGTTCAAATTTTCAAGCAATATTCAATGCAGTTCTATATGTCAGCCTTAGAGCAAGTACCTGCACTATCTGGCCACAAAACAAAACAATTAATTAATTTTAAATGAATGTGAAAACAATTGAATGAGTTAATAAATGAATGAATGGATAAAATAAACTTTTAAGAAACAAAGTAAAGAAATATATTTGGCCCATCCACATCTTTTGGGGCATGACTAAGACTTTCTTGTATAAATAGTAGCCAAAGCAGACCTAACATTGTCCGAAAGGACAGTGTCTTTGTTTGCTCCTATAATAGAATACCACAGATTGGGTAATTTATAATGAACATAAATTTATTGGCTCACAGTTCTGGAGGCTAGAAGTCCAATATCAAGGTGCTGGCATCTGGCAAGGACTTTCTAGCTATGACATAACATGGCAGAAGGCACCACATAGTGGAAGGGCAAAAAGGGAGAGAAAGAGAGGAAGATAGGGCAAACCCACTCCAGTGATAATAATGGAGTGATAATAACAAACCACTCCTGCAAAAACGGGCATGACTCCATTCATAAGCATGGACCCCAAAAGACCTAAACACCTCATAAAGGTCTCACCTCCCAATACAATCAACATGGCAATTAAATTTCATCATGAGTTTTGGAGAAAACAAACATTCAAATCACAGAACACAAGAAAGAACTAATAGAAGAAAAGTGTAACAATGATGACAATTGTCATTTTAGATGGGCCAATGTTCTCCAGATTTCCTTGGGCACCTGTGTTTCCTAATTCAAAGCACAGCTCAGCTCATTCTAGGCATGCACTGTGAAACCCGAAAATTTGAGAGTTTTCAGTTAATTTAGAAAGTTTATTTTGCCAAGGTTGAGGACACGCCTGTGACACAGCCTCAGGAAGTCCTGATGACGTGTGCCCAAGGTGGTCAGGGCACAGCTTGGTTTTATACATTTAGGGAGACATAAAACATCAACCTATATATGTAAGAAGTACATTGGTTCAGTCTGGGAAGGCGGGACCACTTGAAGCAAAGGCAGGAAGACTCCAAGGTGGGAGGGAGCTTCCAGGTCACAAATAGGTGATACACAAATGGTTATATTCTTTTGAGTTTCTGATTAGGATTTCAAAAGGAGACAAATCAGATATGCATCAATCTATTTCAGTGAGCACAGGAGTGACTTTGAATAGAATGGGAGGCAGGTTTGCCCTAATCAGTTCCCGGCTTGAGTTCTCCTTAGTGATTTGGGGGACATGAGATATTTTCCTTTCACACACTCCATGCACTACCGCATCACCTGAACAAATTTAAGTCACTCATCCTTTCAATCATTGTGATCATGTTACACACGCCCTTTGGGCACTAGATATTAGGGACTGTACCTCAAGGAGCCACAGAGATCTTATGTACCCTTGATTTAGATGGCTGAGTCAGAAGCAGGATGGGCACAGCAAAGGAGACAGCAGGCAGAGTCTCAGCAGCCTCGCAGTTAACCCAAAAGGAAGGAATACGTTAGTCCTCTTCTTTCTTTTCACCTTGACATTTTGGGATTCTCTACATTTATTATTTGTGGTTACATATTTGGCTTCTCAAACTTCTAAAATACAGCTAAGTTGATGAAAATGGGTCAAATGGGAAGAAGTTGACCAAGTAAATAGAGGAAGGCCAATGCAATTTCGGGGAAATGAATGTTTACTTTTTTAAAAACAGTTTTTACCACATGTTGATTTTATATTTTTTCAGTTGTCATCTATTATTAGTCTTTAGAACCAGAAAACATACAAAAACAAAGTCAGTAAGCTTAGCACCCTTCTCTGTACATAGTAAAATAAACACAATCCCACGGCAGACAGACCTTTGCATTTCTATTATCAGCACAGCAACAGTACATATGGTGGCAAAAGCAAGACAGCCTTAAGAAGTTCTGTGTTTCTGCTCTCTCTTGAACCACAGATGGGCACCCTGCATATTTAATTTGTAGGCACTACATTGACCAATTTATTTATTCTTACAAGTCCAGCTTTTATACTGATACAGGTAGTTACTGCATTTATCATTTGGTTATAAAATAAGCATAATTTTATAATTATATAAAGTAAATGTTTATATATCAGATATATTTATATATCTTACCATGTGTTATATATTTAATAGATAGATACATTTATTTTATGTACAGAGATTTATTAAGAATTATGTTCATCATTGTGATCAATGGTGTAACATGTCATTCAGAGCTCCCTTAAGGAATGAAGGGCTTATGCCCCCAGCTATCAGGAAATAGTCCTCTTTCTTAGTCCTGCTTTGGAATTCTCTCACCAGAGTAAAAATATCGCAGCTAAAGATACATTTCCTTCCAGTTACTGATCAACATGGGGAGCTCTCTTTATCCAACTCAGAACAACTCAGAAGGGCCATCCCAGCTCCAGGGCTCCGAGCAAGGTGGGCTAGTCCCTTGTGGATATTGCAGCATGGCTCAACTTTTTTCTATTCCAAATTCTGCTTCCTTGCCCTCTCTTCCACAGGATTGATTTTCAAGAACCCTTTTTAAAAATACTCTGCATGCTTATTCCCATCTCAGAGAACTGCTTTCTGGGGACTTCTGCCAACACATCACAGTTATAGTAATCAGTGTCTCTTCCTAAAGACGGAAAATAAGATAATAAATATATTCAAAGGCTGGGCAGATCAAAGATATCATGGGTAAACCTGGAGTTTGAGAAATGTAGGGTGAATGGTTTTATAAATCAGTAGGAAAATAAACCTTTAAAATGAATTCCACAGTTTTCAGAAATCTTTTATATAGGATTTTAAAATGATTCTATTTAGAAATATATTCAAATGTTATTTTAACATTCTCAATGAGAAAGCTGAATTCAATACCAAGTGATTCTTATTTGTACTCCATCATGAGGATTGCCTATTAACAGACAAAAGCCAGCATGGAGTAGAAGGACAACTAGGATGAAATACCAACTCTCCTCGCTTTCTGTGCAGCCTTCAGCAAGTCACTTAACATCTTTGAGCCTTGTTTCCCCTGTCTGTTAAATAAAAAATATAACAAAATGAAACACATTATGGAATCTGCCCAGCTCAATGCTTGGCACATTGTGTTAGCCCAATAAATTTTTGGTTTTCTTCTAAGGTTGAAGAGTAGTGTTATCTTTTAACCTCATCATAAGGGAGGTTTACATTCCAGTAAGACTCCAGATAAATTCAAAGAAATTCCTATGTATGTATGGTATCATACAGATATTCTTAAAAATCTAGAAGTTATGGAAACTTCATCAAAACTTTCTCTGACTTCTCAAATGCACACTTTCTACCTTCTGTTTGTCCTCATCATATCTTCTAGGACTTGATTATTCCCTAAGAGGCTCATGTATGTTAATTTCTCTCATTTTAATTAAGCCCCAGGATCACAAATAAATAGCCTCTAGTGCTTATCAGAAATGAGCCTTTCATATTCATTTATTCTGCTAGAGATCTGTTTCCTGGAGGATTAACTTTAGTAACAATAGCCTTAGCAACATCTTTGGACATTGACTTCTATTCTCAACCAAATGTAATCTTTGTTTCCTCAAAGTTAACCAACCTGATGGATTTCATTAAGAATCATTCAGCCGGGAACGATGGCTCATGCCTGTAATCCCAGCACTTTGGGAGGCCAAGGCGGGCGGATCACAAGGTCGTGAGATCAAGACCATCCTGGCTAACACGGTGAAACCCCATCTCTACTAAAAATACAAAATATTAGCCGGGCGTGGTGGCACGCGCCTGTAGTCCCAGCTACTCAGGAGGCTGAGGCGGGAGAATAGCGTGAACCCGGGAGGCGGATGTTGCTTAGTGAGCCAAGATCGCGCCACTGCACTCCAGCCTGAGCGGCAGAGCAAGACTCTGTCTCAAAAAAAAAAAAAAGGAATAATTCAAATCTCACTTAATCGTGTCCTTAATCTCACATCATCATGAGTTGATGTCCTTTCAAGGCTCTTCGGTTTCTCCTCCCATTTGTCCTTTGTGCTCTCACTGAGTACTCTTTCACTCTCCAGACCTGCTCATGGTGGCATCCAGAAGCCTCTTTAGAGTGACAGCTTTGGTGCCCCCGCCATGCCCTCCATGACAACCCTCATGCCTGGGTGCCTCCTTCTGAAGTCTACAAAGTGAACAACACTTAAGTAGCTAACACCACTCTGTGTCCCCTGAAGTCTTGCAAACACTCAAGCTGAATCATGCAGTGAGTTGTGGGAAATGAGCCAGAGAGGAAGGCAGGGACCAGAGACAAGAGCTTTTCCGCCATGCTAAAAACTTGGACTTAGCCTGTAGTTAGCAGGGGGTCATATCAAGGTTTAAGCAGGGACTTGACATATATATTTGTGTTTCAACAAAAATCACTCTAGCTGAAGTATAGAGAATGAGTTGGAGGAAGACTGAGATTGTTGAATCAAAAAGAAAGGTTAAAAAGATTCTGTAGTGGTGCAAGAAAGAGATGGTGGAGACCTCAAATGAAGCCATTGCCATGTTTCTGTGCTGTCTGGAAGGGGGACTGATTTCTCTGGACTATCTTTACTGGGTTTCTATGTCAGGTAGTTTTTTATTAGATTTGGCCAGCGGTATTTACTGGAAGGAGATTGGGAAGAAAGAAGAAAAAAAATCAACGCATTTCATCCTCTGTCTAGGCCTCAGGTGACACCTCCAGCAGCCATTGTATTCTCTTCTTGCCTCTAGCTGCCTCCCTGCACATATGCCACAGTTCTGGCTTCTGCCCAAGGATCCCACCCCTGGGCTCTGGGAACCCCATTTCCTCCCTTTGTTTCTCCAGCCCGGAGTTGATTGTAGCTTCCTGCTGTTACTAACATTGAGTTGTCTCATTGTCTCCTATTTGGCTTCTCACCTTTTCCATCACCTGTACAACAATCTGCTCTATAAATTCTCTCTTTTAAAATATTTGAAGAGATTTTTCATTTCCTGGTTGGACCCTGACTGACACAGGAGGGGATGCATTTGAGAAATATTAGAATGACTCTATTAGAAGGCAGAGTCATTGGAACTTTGTGGAGATAAACCTTACTCCCTAACTAAAGTTGGCCTCACTCTTTTGCAAATTACTGAACTGAAGTGTGTTGTTTTGATTCCTCATCTACCTGGCTTCTCCCTCTTCCATAGGAAGTTATTTGCCGTATTGGAGAGACTGTCAGTTCTTAAATTCTTTTTTAAAATACTCAAAAACGCCGCCCGTGTGAGCCAGAGAAGTCTCTGTGGGTGCTTGATTTCCACAGGAACCATTCATGGTCTAGGTCTCCCAGGCTTCAGACTGGCAGCTTCCACAGAATGAGCGAAACCCTGCAGGACAGGGCCAAATCTGATGGCCCAGGTATCAGTACTGGATTAAGAATACACCACTTAAAGATCCAAAGGAGCAAAGTTGTTAAGATACTATTTTATTGGGTGGAATCAGGACAAGGGCTACCAGTTTCTACTGAACAGGAAAAGGGCAAGGAAATGATGCTGAGTACATTGATATACAGGTTAAAGAGGATGGTGTTGCAAAAATGTATGATCTGCGTGGCCTGACCAGGTAAGAGGCCAAGAAACAAATGGGCACAGATGCCCTGTGAGATGCTGAAGATGCTGCCGTGCTGCCTGCCTGAGTAGCAGAGAGAACGTGCCAAAGAGGAGTTGCCTTTTCTAGAGAACTGTTTAGTTTGCAACTAATACATGCTTAATGGGGGTTGATCAGTCTAGCAGATATTTTCTTTTCGTTTCTTTTTTGATTAAGTAAATTTTTAATTTCAGAAGAGTTTTAGATTTACAGAAAAGTTACAAAGATATTATAATACAGAGAACCCCTGTGTATTCCTTACCCATTTTCCCCTGTTGTTAACATCTTACAATTGTATATTTGTCACAACTGAGAAACCGATATTGATGCATTATGCCTCACTTTATGTGAATTGCACTAGCGTTTCCTTCATAGCCATTTTTTCCCAGGATCCCACTACTTTACATTTAGAGGCATTTTATGTTTATTTTCAATCTACCTTAATTTTTAAAGAGAAAAATATTTGCTCACATTTATTAAAGGAGTACTCAAATAAATCCCCAAAATGTATTAATATTATTTTAAACTGTAGTACACTTTCTCCAGGCAGATCAAGCTAAATTCTCTTGTGTATAAGAGTGTACTTAGAGTGCACAGAGGCGCAGTAGCCAAACCACATGGTTCAAATCACAGTGCACCGCTTTCTATCTGGGCAGCCTTGGAAAAATACTTAAGTATTTAATCCCTCTGGGCTTTAATTTTCACATCTATAAAATGGAAAGTGATAGTACATTACCTCATGGATGTGATATGTACATTAAAATTAATAATACATATAAATCACTGAGAAGAGTGCCTGGGTACATAGTGAGCATGGAATTAACCTTAGTTGTTATTACTGTTACTATCGCTATTTGATTCCAGAGTATCCTATGTATTTCTTTTCTTGACACTCATCACACTTTTAAGTATGTCTCATATTTGTCTTCACTTCCAGATGGCAATTTTCATGAGTTCAAAGACATTCCTACCCAACTCATAGTGGATGTTCGGGAAACAGTCTCTTAATTGTCCATCCTGACTGCAGAGCCATCAAACAATGACATGCAATGTGAAAGCTTGAAGGAAGAGAAAGTGAATGAGGTGAAGATAGACAGACAAGCAGATAAATGGGATATAGAGACACAGAAATATAGTCAGGGAAGTACAAAGGTCAAATGAGAACAATTTTTTAAATTGCAAAATAAAAACTATATTTATATGTACAACATGATGTTTTGAAATACGTATATATTGTGGAATGGCTATATCAAGCTAATCAACATATGCATTACCTCACATACCTATCATTTTTTTGTGGTGAACACACTTCAAATTGATTCTCTTATTAATTTTTAAGTATGTAAAACATTGTTATTAACTATAGTCTTTATGCTGTAGATCTCTTGAGTTCATTCTCTTTAAATTTTGTTTCCCAGCCATTGATATATGACACTCTGTCTCCACTCTTAAACTCATTTTCTCTTCGTGTGTTACATAAAACTGAAAGGGAATGTATTTTTCTGAAATTAACAATTTAAAAGTTCAGCAGGAGGACACTGCCCTTTCAAGCACTGGTAATGAAGAATGGCAGAAAGAATTCTGGATGGAATTCTCAGCTACAGCTTTCTGGTAAAACTGGCATTAGTGATGCACAGGAGATGAACACGTATTATATTGAAATGGCATCAATATTCCAGTTTCTTGCCAAATGCCTTGAATAGCTGATTGTGCTTCATGTACAAATGTACACTTGGGCTCTGTGAATCCCAGGCACAGATGTCTGTAAAGCCACATGTATTTCTGCCATAAAGTCCACTTTAAAATGTGCTCCACTCTTATCCAGACCTCCAGTCAAGGAAGTTGTTAAATCCATTTTTTTTCTTTTTTCCTGTACTTTGTTTTTGCCTTTGAAATATTGCTAAGCAGTTGTCCCACAGGGTGGAGGTGGAATTAGCAGCTGCAGCATTTCTTGTGCCACCGTCATCTCTTTGGTATGTGGCTTCCTTTCACTCTCATGCTGGGGAAGATCCCACCCATCCTTTGCATTCCTCCTGAGCAAGTTGTGTCAAGGAAAGTCGAGAGAGGAAGCGATTCCCATCCTATGGGTGTCATCAAATAGGAAGGTTTTAATTAGTTTCTCAGGATGTTCTCAGTTTCTGCACTGAGCAGCCCTTCCCTTCTTTGGCATTAAAGCACTTGGATTCTTCAAGAAACACACAATTTTGCTCTGTTAGGCACTAAACTCTGTGTATTCAAATGTAATAAGGAGTCATGAAGCCTGTCTTTCCTAGCACTTACCATGGTTGTAATCTTACATTTATTTGTATAATTAGTTGAGCCATGACTGTCTCTTCACTATGCTCAGGATTCTAGGAAGGCAGTGACATGTCTAATTTTGCAATCCATTGTATCTGCAGGCACTCAATAAATGGTTTCAAGATAAAATAACGAACATATGATTGAAAAAACTTCTCCTACAGCAAACAAAATAGAACCTGATGCATAAGTGACCCTTAGAGATTGCTTCTGCCTGACGTTCCTAGAAGAAGAAATGATGATCATATAGTATTTTCTGTGTACCAGACACTATTCTAAGTGCATCACATTGATTTTATCTATTAACCTTCATAAAACACTATGACCTAGATTCCACCATTATCCCCATTTTACAGATAAGAAATATAAGACATGAAGGGAGAGGTTTAGTGAAATAGCTCAACATCACATGGCAAGAAGGTAAAGGGAGACCCTGGAGTGGAGCACGGTCCAATTGGCTATAGAGACTGTTCCCCAATCCACGATGTGATTCTGCCTTCTGGGATGCAAATGGAGATAGTGCTTTGGATTCACAGAGTGTAAGTGGCATGAGTGATAGTAGTCCTAGCTAGCCATGAAAAAAAAAAAAACCTCAAGTCTGGACAGATGTAGATATGATCATAAACCATATTTGAATATTTGACAGAGAGATACAGACATACACTTCATATGTAACAAGATCAAGGACTATGTATTATCAGTGGAAAAAAAATACAGGCAAAAATTCTCTCTTGAATGTCTTTAAAGTCAAATATACTCATAGACATGTATTGAAAAATCTTACTCTTTTTTTCTAAAATATCACCTTAAGGGTTGTTGTCATTTGAGAATTCATATTATTGCCCACTCCTCTCCAGTTACTTCATGGAATACTGTCAAATTCCAACTGGCTGAAGAATAGAGGTTTTATCCCTTAAAATAAGATTTCGGTATGAAGAAATGTTCCTACAGAACTGAAAGACGTGTAGTTCATGCCAAGTGGCATTTCAGACACAAAGAAATGGGTAGGAAAACATTTCTCTTTTCTCTGAATTCCCATTGCACATTGGGCCATTTTTCTTTTTCTTGACATTTAATGTATTGTATTCTTACATCTGTGCACAAGTTTTACCTCCCCACAAAAACTATAAACTCTTTAAAACGGGAACTGTGCCTTACAGTAAAAGGCAGTGTGCTGGAAAGAAACTAACAAGACTTTTATTAGCAAGTGGAATCATCACTTACTATTTGCACAACCTTGGGCAAGTTAACTTCTCCTAGTCTTGATTTATTCCTCTATAAAAAAAAGATTCATAACGGTATATAGTATTATTAGCTAGAATTTCAAAAGAGTATTTGGGACTTGGATTAAATGTGGAAGATTGAAACATATGTGCTTTACTCCAGTAACACATTAAAATTTCAGTAAATAAATTAAAACTTTTTAAACCCTAGGGCAAAGAAAGCAAAGGAAAAGATAAAAGAGAAAACAAGATTATATATACATATATGGAAAGCAATGGACTGACTTGAAGTAACCAATTTGGCAAACATGGAGTCTCTGCAGTGAATGAAATCATGAAGAAGGCTTATTTGCACTTCAGAATCTCAGAGGGCTCAGGAGTTCAGGCAGGAGGTGCCTTGAAAGTAGGGTGTTGATGGTGATAAAAAGATGAGGGCCAACTGAAAATCTTTGTAAGGAGCAGTGAAAACCTTGGATCTCTTCCCTTCCTGCACAACAGAATGTCTACATGGCTTAACTGTGCATAATATTTATATAAACATAGCAATGTATAGGCTGAACAGTGATCTGATAAAAATTATAATGTTCATGATCTTAGGAAACAGAAGTGGAAGTGTGTGTTAGGGTGAGGGCAGGTATTTAAGGAAGCTAAACAAATGCCTTCCATTGTAGGATGTTTATAGGCGATATTTAAAATCAACAAATGAATAAATAGCAGAATAGCATGTTATGTAACCCTAAAGGCAAATACCAGAAGAAACAGCTAAAAGGATTAAAAGTGGCTTCCTCTAGGTGATGAGAGGTGAGAAGGGCTGTGGAAGACAGAATTTGGTGTTTTATATTATAAGCCTTGAAGAAGATTTGACTTTGATATACATGTATATTTTTAATTATAAAAATATTTTTTAAAATGAATGCTGGGCTACAGAAGGCAGTCAAGAAACATCAACAGTAGCTCCCTTTAATTCCTGATCATTATTATTTTCCCCACATATTTATTTATATTCATGTTTATTGTGCTGCAGGTTCTCATTAAATGTTTGCTAAATGACTAAGCGAATAACTCATCAAGGTTTACAGATTGAATCACCAACAAAATCATCAGAAGAGAAAAAAAGAAGAGACATATATATTGCCTTCTATTTTATAATGGGACTGTCGCCCATGAATAAAGTTTTGACCAATTTATGGTCAGTCTTTTTGGCATTTTTTTATGGGACGGACAGGGAGAAGCTGCTATAAATACAAAATCAAGTAATTGTTCCAAAGGTGTGTCCTGTGAAATATGAGAATTATGTGCAACTTGAAAAACTCCCTTAAAATACTATTAGCTACCTAAACATGACAGGTTAATTAATCTGACAGCATCAACTCTTAAAATGACCTTTGCCGTCACCAGTGTTACATGTGTCCATATTTCTCTACACCCTCCCCACTTCCACAAGCATGGTGGTGATTGATACATTATTTGTATTGATCAGGAAACGAGACCCCTGACTCTAGGCATATTTACTCTTGGGGAGTATAGCACACCTCAGCACAAACACACACTCAGACTTCACAGAGCATGAACAAGCAACTGTCACTTTCAAGAACAAATTTCACATTTTGGTTTTGTATTTACTATTCTGTCCAGAGAGATTCTGCTCTCCACAATTTTCCTCTCCACCAGCTCTCTCCTCCAGCCTGCTTTCATTAGGATTAATGAGTATAAAGAGATTAGGGTAGGAAGAGAGAAACAGAGCCACATGGACAAGCTCTATTTCCTCCATTAGTCTGCTCTGCTGTCTCATTTATTTAGTGACCCCTGCCTGCCATGGCCACAACTCCTTCACTGAATCCATAGTCTGGACCTCAACCAAGGAAGAAACAATGCAGGTCTATCACTTTGTTTGCTTGCTTGTTTGTTTGCTTGTTTGTTTTGAGACAGAATCTCTCTCTAGTCTCTGCACCCAGGCTAGAGTGCAGTGGCATGATCCCGGCTGACTGCAACCTCCCAGGTTCAAGCAATTCCCATGCCTCAGCCTCTGGAGTAGCTGGGATTATAGGCGCATACCACCATGCCTGGCTATTTTTTTTTTCAATAGAGACGGGGTTTCACCATGTTGGCCAGGCTGGTCTCGAACTCCTGGCCTCAAGTGATTCACCCACCTCGGCCTCCCATGGTGCTGGGATTACAGGCATGAGCCACCACACCCAGCCCTTGCTTATTTGTTGAAATGCATGAAGGGAGAACAACACAAGGGGATGAGACAGAGCTTTTCTTTTCTAAAACAGTTGCTTCTGAACAATCCAAATGACACGCACTTTTGAAGAACTTTTTAAAAATTATGTTTCCAATAGTAACAATAAGTTAAACTCTCTGTCCCAACAACCACACATGCTGCTCAGCTGGTGACTTATGATTAACAGTCCCTATGAAATACAAAACTCAGTCAAATAGCAACAATTCAGATTAAACACAAGCCAAATCAGCAGATGCCTGGCACCATGTACTAAATGCCAGCAAAGGAAGCTCTGTTGGAATGCAAGAGGGAGGGAATTCCAGAGACACTGAGTCAGCCTGGAAGCCATCTTAATACTGCCAGGCATGGGGAGGGACATGGGAAAAGTCCCAGGTGAAGAGTTCAAAGTTTGCTGAATCGACTTTCTTATTAAAAACCTTCAATGATGTAAGTTTTCTAACCATGGGATAATTATCTGAATGCTCAGTTTTACTATTTTATACGAATCAAACATCAAAAAAGGACAAGGATGGAGTCCCAAAGGAGAATAGAATACTTGCATTTCGAGAAAATGTCCATGGATATGTGCTATGAATTAACGTAAGCTAATTTTGCTGTTTGTAATTATTAAGTTCTTTGGGGTAGACATGTCCTATTGTAAGAGAGATGTGAGTGTTCTTGGTCACCTTTCTACAGCCTTGCTATCACGTATGACATCAAGTCTCAAACTGAATTCTGCTACAACTACAAACATTTATTTTCAAGCAGTCAGAGAAACCATCACAACACACAACTGGTACTGCATGTTCTCTAGCTCCCTCTCTGATATTTTAGTGCTTGGACTACATTCTGGATTAAAAGTTCTCTCAAAGCAGATGCAAAAGTATTTCAGAGGCAAGGTGTAGGCAAATCCAGGCAAACCAGCACTCTGAGTCAGCAGACCAATGGGAGACTGTCAGCATCAGGCCTTGGGCACCATGCTGAAGTGTACAGACCGCAGAGCTCCCCATACTTGTATGCCTCATCTGGCAAAGGGGGAGGATCATGTTTTTAATAATTCCAGTCAGTGCACATATCTAAAGACACTAATTTGATGAATGAAAACATATTTCTAACATTTGCCATGCCACTTTACAAACTTTGACTTCATCAGGCCGCTAAATTTCTTGCTATAGCTAACTCTGTAACAGGACTTTTTAATTAGATGCTAACTGGGTTGAAGTGTGTGCCCCAAAAATTCATATCCACCAGGAACTCATGAACATGACCCAATTTGGAAATAGGATTTTTGCAGATGTAATCAAGATAGAGTCATACTGAGTTAGAGTGAGCCCTAATCCAATCACTGGTGTTCTTATAAGAGGAAAGTTTGGACATAGAAACATACAAAGGAGACCGCCCTGTGAAGATGGAGGCAGAGATTGAAGTGATGCATCTACAAGACAAGGAACATTAAGGATTGCTGGCAACCATCTGAAGCTAGGAGAGGGGCATGGAACAGATTCTCCCTCAGATCCTCCAGAAGGAACCAACCCTGCCAACACCTTAATTTTGGACTTCCAGCCTCCAAAACTGTGAGAAAATAAGTTTCAGTTGTTTTAAGTCACATAGTCTGTGTGAATTTGTTACAACAGCCCTAGGAAACCAATATGCCATGGAAATGTATTTCCATCTAGGGCAATTAACCACCCCAGGGAATAGTATGAAACAACCGCCCCCCAACCCCCCACCCAAAACACACACATCTCACCATGTTAATGCTGAAGTATGTCAAAGTAAATTACAGACAACTTGACAATATTCTAGTAGCATGTCCTTATATACATTGTTAACAGCTGAACAAAGAAGCTAAGCACACACATAAGATGTAGACTGCCTTTACATCCTTGAGCTGGCATATTCATTCCAGCTTTCACACAATAGAAGACGAAGTGCTTCCTATTTCTTCTTTTCCAAAGAGTTTTGGAGGCTTTATAAGTCACGGCTCATTCACAGATATAGTTTTCCATTGGTCAACAGATGTCTATTTGAGCCACTGTGAGAAATCAAGTCCGATATATAAAGTATGACCTCACTTGACCAAAAGTTTTATTATGAAATCCTGTTTGATGTTGTTTGATTTTATATAATCCTTTATGATTTTGTTTTATTGCAGAAATCCCAAAAAAGAAAATAAAAGAGCAGCATTTTGTGGATAGAAAATGAAAAACACAATTTGTTTTAATTTATTCAGAATATTTGTAGTTTCTCAACATAAACACTTTTTGCTTAACTCCTAATATTTTTGTGTCTGTCAAATCTTTGGTGTTAAATCATCCTAAGTGTCAATTGCAGTTTTGAAACTTCTTGCCTGTGTGACCTGAAGGAAGCCTCTGTTTAACATTTTTGCAACAAAAACAAGGTGCACCTTAGAAGCTTGTAGTGAGGATTCAATGAGATCACATATGTGAAATCCCAAATGCAGTGCACAGTGCCAGATAAATGTTTTGCTTTTTTTCCTCCATTGACATATGTTTTGCTTTTTTTTTTTTCAGATCTCATTTTTTAAATATGAATGTCACCATTTTCTGTTGTGGGACCCAGGACAAGTAAAGGGATAAGTGACAGGCACAGATGCTCTCTTCTAGGTTTGCCTATAGACTCCAGAGTGCTGTGGATCATGCCTGGGCAAGCCCCAGCCTGGGAACTGTCAGGCCCCTGCAGAGAGGAGAGTCTGTGTACCTTTGCTCCAGGCTCCTTCCCCCACAGAGTGACAATAGCTGGAATAACATTCGGCCGAAACACTTTCCAGAGAAGCAGAGTTCCACCCCTTGCACTAGGGAATGAAAACAACCTCCAGAAGGTTAGGACTAAAACTAGAAAAAGCTGTATGCACTCAAAAGCGGGGCTCTATCATGTGAGTTAATGACCACAGCACTATCCTGCCTCAGTTGAAAGCACGTGACCCCAGGAGCCAGAGAGAATGGGTTCCGATCCAGGCCCCACCTCTTACTACCAGTGTTATCTTGGAAACTGACTTAAAGTTCCTCAGCCTCAACTTCTCACTGGAAAAAATAGAGCTATTATTTCCCCTGTTGTTTACTTGCAGTGTGAATTATATAAGATAATGTGCATAAAATACTTTTTGATAGTGCCTGACTCATAATTGGCCTTCAACAAACAATAGTCTCCCCAATCTTAAATAGATTTCATTCAATGTGACTTCCTCCACCTCTACTGTCGTAGAAATCTCATTCTTCACTCAGAAGCTGACTTGCCACAATTCTGTGATTTTCCTTTGTCCCCTCATGCTTGGTGGACTCTTCCTACACTACTTCTCCTGGTCTTCCTTTTAATGGTAACCAGGGCATTGGTAACCAGGTAACCGAAAACCTGGTAACCAGGTTTTGGTTTTTGTTTTTGTTTTCTGTTTTTTGTTTGTTTGTTTTTTTTTTGAGAAGGAGTCTCCCTCTGTCGCCCAGGTTGGAGTGCAGTGGCGTGATCTCGGCTCACTGCAAGCTCTGCCTCCCAGGCTCAGGCCATTCTCCTGCCTCAGCCTCCCAAGTAGCTGGAACTACAGGTGCCCGCCACCATGCCCGGCTAATTTTTTTGTATTTTTTTGAGTAGAGACAGGGTTTCACCATGTTAGCCAGGATGGTCTCTATCTCTTGACCTTGTGATCCACCCACCTCAGCCTCCCAAAGTGCCACCGTGCCCAGCTGTAACCAGATTTTTGAGGCTTACTTTGTGCCAAAAGCTGCATAAATGCTCTCAGATTCTCACTGTAACTCTCCAATACAGGTAGTGTTGTCCCTCATTTAGAGAAAAAGAAATCTAGCCTGAGAAAGATTAAACTTCCTAAGACAACAAGTGAGGGGGTCAAGATTGGAACCAGGTGTGTCTAACTCTACAGCCTCTACACCACATCACCCATATTGCTATTAATGTTATGTCACACTTCATGTATGTAAGTCATATGCCAATGGATAACACACATGAGGACAGGTTCAGCCCCATGCGTAGTCCATAGTAAATGCTAAATAAATGTTAGTTAATGATTATTACAATTAGATCATTAGCAATTGATTAGATGATGATGATTAAGTAATGCAAGCGTTTTTAGTAACCCATGGATTTTTTCAGGCCAGAAAAAAAAAAAAAACACTAAAGCGAGGAAAAATTTACTTCATATTTATTCAGGAAAGATGATTTTTAAAAGGTTATGGATTAAGCCAGAATCCAGCCATGTTTTTAATAAAACCAGACGATTGAGAGATAACTGGGAAAAGGACATGGGTCCATTCCAGAAGTACACCTGGGCTCCTACTCAGCATAATCTCCAAAAGAGGCACATTTCGATAATGTCTTAAAGGTAGTATGTTGACGTGCTGGCATGATAGTTGTTAAGGCTATGATGAAGCAACATTAAAAGAAGGGTGAAAACAAGACCATAAGCCGTGGAGAGATGGTAATCAGGAAATAGCCCATTTTTATGCACTTGCTCATTGCACCAGCCAACAGTGAAGGCCCTACCCCACCCTCACTAACTCAATGTTAAAATCCAGCTACATCACAGCCTTAAGTTAGGGTAGCACAAGAATATTTCTGTAGTGATGGAATATTCTATTTCTTCTTTTCCAAAGCAGAAATATAGTCAATTCTAGTTACAGTGAAAGACTTCTTATTACACATTAATTTCGTCAAGACTAGCCTGAACTGATTTTCTCATTTGTTTAAAATGGCTTTGATTCCTAATTCAAGCAGAGAGTGCTCATTTTTCTCTGGCCAGTTTAAGACCAAGTGGCCAGGAACACAGGAAGGCCAGACCTCTGTTTCAGAGCTTATGAAGGAGTGGCAGTGAGTGAGTGCCTAGGACTCTTACCATCTCAATGGTGACAAGCCCAGGGCAGTGTCCATGCCCATGTGATGATGGAATTACCCTGATAAAAATCTCACCACTGATTTCCTGAGAATGGAAACACGAGATATAATGTGTTTTCTGGCAGAGCTACTGATGCTGAGTGGTCCAAGGTGGTTGTTATTGTTTCATTTTGTTTTGTTTCCCTGCAGGAGGAGGTGAACGCATGTTTTGGCATTACATCTGGCTTCCAGCCCTCATCAAGGGAAGGGCTTCTGACTCCTGCCAGCAAAGGACTTAGTTGCTTTCAAGTGGATTTTATTCACCTGGACAGTCATGCAACCAAATCACAAGCAGAAAGGAGGCTTCCCCAACCCAGAGTCCCCACACGTGACCCTTAATATAATGTGTATTGATGACAACCTGAAGCAGCCTTGACTTCAGTCCTCAGGAGAACAATATGCAACTCTTTATAACAACTGGAGTTTCCCAGATTTCCAAAGTTCAAATGAAGTGAAAGACAATTTCTGGTGAGCATAGACATTAAAAATGAGAAAACAAATTTCAAAAACCTCTTGACTGACCATCATTACTTCATAAAACAAGGACATTTTAACAACAAAAAAGTAAGACGGTTATAACGATATAATTTTTAAAATACCAATTTAGTACTATACCAAAAACAAACAAAACAAGTATTCTAATTGTCCTTACAAAATTGAAAACCAGTGAAAACCTCAAAAACCCAGGGTGCCCTTTCCCATATTCTGGGAAATTCTTAACTGTGATTGAATGAATGATCCTGGGATGAGGGTACAGCATCCATAAGACACATTTAAAGTATACATATAAAAATTTTGTTATGGAATTCATAAAAATGTAAGTTTGAATGAAAAAATTTTAATGAAATCCTGGAGACAGATTTATCTTCTAAAGGCTGAACACACTGCAGAGCCCCAGCTCCCTCATGGTGCTATCCTTGATCCCGCCAGCCATGTGCTCACTCTCCCTCTGAACTCTCTCCTGTGGAGCCATGATTAGCCATACTACCTGGTGTTGGATTCCACAGCACCCGATACCATTTCTGATATGGATGGCTCACAGAACTTATCACACCTATAGAATGCTATGAGTGGAAAAGAGGCATCCCATACATATTTTCTGGATGAGTAGAATTTCTGGGTTACTTCCCTGTCCAAGGGCAAGAAAGTCTCTAGGGAAATTTGAAGCTGAAAAATAAATATGGTAGCCTCTGTAGTAAGATTAGGAATCACAAATACCTACATAAATAGGATGATAAGATGAATATAGAAAATGTGTAAACATGTAAATCTAATTTAAAAAAAAATTGAGGCATCTAAAAAGAAGTCTGGGAACAAAAACCAGGCCTTCCAAGCACCATGTCTTTTCATCTGCCACACTTCCACCACAGCTCCACTTAGGACGGCTTTGCCTTTCTTCCTTTCAGGTCCAACTTGTCTTCTCTGAAGCCTTTTCAACTATCTCAGCCTTCAGTGATTTGTCCCTCCTCCAAATTGATGCAACTTTTATTATCTCTTCTCTGCTCCCCTAAATTAAGAATTTAAGCTTATTACAGACACAAGGAGAACTAAATAATAGACCTTTTTTTCTTCCTGCTTCCATTTTCCAGTACACTTGGCAAGATATTTCCATTCCCACCTTCTCTATACCAGAAAAATCCTACTCATTCCTCATGGCCAGATCAGCCCCATTGCTTTTTCTCTTTTACACCTGTCTGGACTCTCCTCACTTCTACCCTACACTAATTATTTCCTCCTCCATGGCCCTCATGTAAATTTTTCTCATTAAACAAAAGTAGCAATTATATTATTGTGAAATTGTTGAGATTAAAACTCAAGTGGGCCACTCACACTGCTTGACATCCTTTTGGGTTGCTCAATCCAATTCACAATAACTAGTTACACCTCCTCTCCCTTCAAACCTCTGAAACAGTTTTGTTCCTTCTGGTATTTAGCATATGAACTTGCCTGTTAGTTTAAAGGGTTCTCAGCCTTTAGAATATAAATCTGTCTCCAGGATTTCATTAAAATATTTTTAACTCAAACTTACACTTGTATGAATTCCATAACAAAACTTCTATAAGTATACCTTAAATGTGTTTTATGGATGGCTGTACTGTATTAGTCCGTTTTCCCGCTGCTGATAAAGACATACTTGAAACTGGGAAATTTACAAATAAAAGGTTTTATTGAACTTACAGTTCCACATGGCTGGGGAGGCCTCACAGTCAAGGCAGAAGGCAAGGAGGAACAAGTCACATCTTACATGGATGGCAGCAGGCAAAAAATAAAAAGTGAGAGAGCGAGAGAGCTTGTACAGAGAAACTCCCCCTTACAATACTATCAGATCTCATGAGAACAGCTATCATGAGAACAGCACAGGAAAGATCTGCTGCCATGATTCAATTAACTCCCACCAGGTCCCTCCACAACATGTGGGAATTCAAGATGAGAATTGGTTGGGGATACAGCCAAACCGTGTCATGTAACCTCATCCAGGATTATTCATTAAATCATAGTTAAGAATTTCCCAGAATATGGGAAACAGAGAGTATGTGATTATCTGATGAGAATCCCAAATATTAAATATTTCCCTAATATTAAATACTCAAAACAATCCACAGTGAACCATTGCTGCCCTCCTGCCTTCTTGTTGCAGTGGAAGACATGCCTCTTCTTCTATCTAAAACCATCATTTGTATGTATCCCATCATTTATCACTTTTCTATGAGCTATAAATATTTAACATCCCTTCTTTATTGCCTTTTATATAATCAAATTCTCAGGTAGATTCTGTCATCTGGCTCTTAACCATGCATGTGCCTCTTCCACTCAAAAAACAAAAACAGCCTCATTCAACTCTTCATTCTCCTATTCCTATCCTCAGCTCCTTAGACCTTTCACAGCTAAATTTCTGCAAGCTTGCCTATACCTGCTGTCACCATTCTCTCACTTCCCACAAATTTAATCCACTTCAATCTAACAATCTAAAGAGGCATAGACATTTCTCTATACCTATTTGCCATCAACTTTCACCATGTATCCTCTTTCTGGGGTGGCAAGATTTTGCATATAAAAATACAGAATGCCCAGTTAAATTTAAATTTCAGATAAGCAAATATTTTTGTCAGATTTCTAGATGTAATATGGGACTCACATGCTAAGGGTATTTGTTGTTTTCTGAAATTAAAATATAACTAGCCATCTTGTATTTTATCCAGCAACCCTACTGCTACCACACAGTGTCCAGCTATCCTGGATTTCTTCTGGTTCTTTCTATTTGAAATGTTTTTTATTGCCACGGCGCTTTTACTGATGCTGGTTGTATTAGTTTCCTAGGGCTGTTGTAACAAAGAACCACAGACTAGGTGGCTTAACATGATACAAATGTGTCGTCTCACAGAATTAAAGGCTAGAAATCCAAAGTCAAGGTGATGGCAGGGCTATACTCTGGGTCTTTGGGAAAGGATCTTTCCTTGTCTCTTCTGATCTGTGGCAGCCCAGGTGTTCCTTGGCTTGTGGTAGCATAATTCCAGTCTCTGGCTCAGTCTTCATAAGGCAACCTTCCCCATCTGTGTCTTCTCCTCTACATATAAGGACACTAGTCATATTGGAATAAGGGCTCATCCTACTCCAGTATGACTTCATCTTAACTAATTACATCTGCAATGATCTTATTTCCAAGTATGATCACATGGTACTAGGGGTTAGGACTTGAATATATATTTTGGGAGGACACGAGTCAATCCACAGTACTGGTTATTTTGCTGGGAATGTGCTGTTTTCTCCTTTTTTCCTAGATGCTCCTACTCATATCTACCCACTGTTTATGATTTTAACATAATTAGCACCTTTCTCACTTTCTTGACCAAATCCTATCCCACACTTTTGTGCTTATATAGAACCATATACTTCTTATCGCGCGTTTGGATTCCATGTGATGATTCTACATGCACTTGCTTGATAATCTGATGAGTGTCTATGCTCCCCACTGGACTGTATACTCCATGAAGGGAGGAACCAGGCCTGTTTGGTTCATTAATACATCCTTACCTCTGAGCAGAGTGCCTTACCTTTAGTAGGTGCTTCATAAAGACTTGTCTAGAAATCAGTGGATTAATTATTTAACAGTGTGAGTGCTGTGAGGAAAAAACATAATTTTTATATCCTCAAAGCCTGGTACAGGCCAGGAAGAAAATCAGTATTCAATAAGAAATGTCTTAGTAAGTAATTAGTTGTTTCTACCCCTACTCTTTAGTGTGTGTTTGTGTGTGTGTGCCTGTGTGTGTATGTTTCCTAAAAAGAGTATTAGGAAGACAATTACCCAGCAAAACAGAGATGGGTGTTTGCTTATTAAATATGTAAAACCCTAAATTCATTTTCCTTTGAGTTTCTTAGATCTAGATCTTGTCCCAAAAAGATCGTGTTTGACTTGTGTTTGATTAGTAAATGTACAAGCTCAATCAATTCCAAACACTTAGAGGAAAAGTTACTCCCCAAAATTTAGTTAAAACATGTTTATTAACCTTTTAAAATATTCTTTAATTTTATAGGATAAATTCTACTTACATGTCTTTTAAATGGCAAAGTATAAAAATGTCTCTAAATAGTTAGGTTTTTAAATTTACTCTTATAAGCTATGAAATGACAAAAACAGTGTCAGAATACCAAGAGTACTTTTGAGATGTTTTTAGGATTACATGGGTGCTTAAAATATAAGGAGGCCTAGGAACTTACAAGTTTTTGATACTGGATTTCAAAACAAAGCTTATTCATTGTTTCCATCCTCCTTTGTTAACTCCTTGGAAGATGTAATGCATCTCTGTATCTGAATCAGTGGAATCTTTTAGCCATATTTTTAAATGACGATGAACAAGTGGATTTTGCCAAAGTCTGTGTGGAGATAAAGGAACATTTATTGAAAACACATCTGCTTTGAGATTTCATTAGTTTGAATTTGGGGTTAGCCTCCATAGGTCCTTAAGTTCATTAGGAACCTATTTTTGATTGCTTTTGGTGTGGCATAGAATTGAAATAAACCAAAATAGTGTCTTCTAAGAATTTAACTGCTTTGATAAATTAGTGTTAAAAGTTGAACTTGTTAACATTTAGGAGATATGGTTTGGCTGTGCCCCCACCCAAATCTCATCTTGATTTGTAGTTCCCATAATCCCCACGTGTCATGGGAGGGAACTCATGGGAGGTGATTATGGGGGCAGTCTCCCCATGCTGTTCTCCTGATAGTGAGTGAGTTCTCATGAGATCTGATGGTTTTATAAGGGGCTTCCCCCTTTACTCAGCACTCATTCTCTCTCCTGCTGCCCTGTGAAGAGATGCCTTCTGCTATGATTGTAAGTTTCCTGAGGCCTCCCCAGCCATGCAGAACTGTAAGTCAATTAAATCCCTTTTCTTTATAAATTACTCAGTCTCAGGTATGCCCTTATAGTAGTGTGAGAATGAACTAATACATTAGGTGAGCAAAGGATATAATCAATTTTGCCTAAAAGGACTTAGGCAAGTAGATTTTTAATATTTCTCATGTAGTCTAAATCTCATTATGCCCAGAGCTGCTGGCTTTAATTATGTTTAATAGACACTTGACATAGTCATACTGTGTGCAATAGCATGTTATTGTATGCTTTGTAATTTAATGAGGTAATAAATATTAAGTGAACTTTCTTATGTATTTACTCTTCCCATGGAACTAGCCTGATCATTTTATCACTGTACAAGTATTACATATTATATATGATGAGTTAAGGTTTCTTTCAAATGGCTTCACTTGAGGGATACTCTAGGATTTGCTTTTGTTATGTGGTTCTCTAAATAATATCTATGTTTTAAAATAAATCTCATTGTTTTGTACTTTCTTGTAACTAATCTAGCACATCTAATTTATATACATTTCAATAAATTCCAGTAGTATTACAAATATTTATAGACAAGCAAAATAAGTTTCTTCAACTCTATTTTTTCTTTGTTTTTAAACAAGGTGTTTTAATGTAAAAGCATTTAAAAGTTTTTATTAAATCAAATGAAGAAGAAATGATTCAAGCTCTATCAAAGTAAAAGGGGTAGGGAAGAGACAAATTTGCAAGGAGTTTTTTTTTAACCTCCAAATAAAAATGCTTTTTTAATCTTAAATGTTGTTCTACCTATTTCTATTTTTGAATAAAAATAGAACATTATTGAGTTAGAGAATGAAAAAGGCTATGACTAGGCTACAGGCTAACGTCAAGGATGCAGAGATAGTTCTAAAGAGGTTTAAGAGTAGTAAAGGCAGGTGCAGTGGCTCATGCCTGTAATCCCAGCATTTTGGGAGGGCAAGGTGGGAGTATCACTGGAGCCCAGGAGTTCGAGACCAGCCTGAGCAACATGGTGAAACCCCATCTCTACTAAAAATACAAAAAAAAAAAAAGTTAGCCAGGCATGGTAGTGCATGCTTGTAGTCCTAGCTACTTGGGAGGCTGAGGTGGGAGGATTGCTTGAGCCAGGAGGCAAAGGTTTCAGTGAGCATGGGTGACAGAGCAAGATCCTGTCTCAAAACAAAACAAAACAAAACAAACAAACAAACAAAGAGATTAGATCAAGCTGTAAATTTGCTGTCTTAGGTAATATGAAAAGCTGCAAGTGGAGATAAGGAGCTGAAGCGATCATTCATGAACACTAACCTCTTAGCTGGGTGGAGAAAAATGGCAAGAAGCAGCTGGGTGTGGTGGCTCACGCCTGTAATTCCAGCACTTTGGGAGGCCAAGGATGGTAGATCACCTGAGGTCAGGGGTTCGAGACCAGCCTGGCCAACATGGCGTAACTCCATCTCTACTAAAAATACAAAAATTAGCCAGGGGTGGTGGCCCATACCTATAATCCCAGCTACTCAGGAGGCTGAAGTGGGAGAATCTCTTGAACCTGGGAGGCAGAGGTTGCAGTGAGCTGAGATCACACCATTGCACTTCAGTCTGGGCAACAGAGCAAGACACTGTCTCAAAAAAAAAAAAAAAAGGCTACAAGCAACCCAATTATTATCCATTTACCAAAGCATAGTAAACCCAATGTTATCCAGGATACTAATCTTGTTCAGTGTTTTATCAGCATCACAATACAATGGTTTTAAATTAAATTTAAATGCAACAAGCATTCCTATTCATGAATACCATCACCAAGCTATGAATGAAGCTAGAGATCTTCTTCAGATTGCTAGAGAAGCCAAGATAAAAGCATAGATTAGGAACACCTATAGTGACCCAGAGAGTACCACCATTTCTCAACTCTTCTCAGATAGGACTCTGGAGATGGCTTAGTGATTCTTCTCTTAATGCTATTTAGATAATGCAAAAACATGGGCCTCAACATGGAGCATCTGAAGGTGGAATATATCCAAACAACAGGCAGAGTCCTGCCTAACACAGGATTAACAAACTTGATACAGACATGGAGTTGTTCTTCTGCAGAGCTGCAACAGACAAGTTAGCTAAGTGATTGTTTGAGAGCTTCTTCTGAAATAGAAGGAAGATTCACTCATTCGTCTCTGGGCTCAGGGGAGGAAGAATTTGAACCCAAGTTTTACTAATAATCCTTCCATTTTGTTGAAAATATTGACCATTAAATGCTACATATTAAAATTGTTATCAGGAATCAACATATAGTTCAAGTCATCAAGTTTATCAGTCAAAGGGTAAAGAGAATAGGAAAGAAAGGATCAAAGAGAGACTGGAGAAGCACTACAGGAGTGGGAAATTATGGGCTGTGCAGGCTAATGAATCTGTATCAGATTCAACAACTTCCTAGCTGAATGGCCTAGAGCAAATTCCTTAACTATCGAGTTTCCTTTCTACAGTGGTCAATGGAGGCAAGACACCTATTGTAAAGAGTAGTGATGCAGAACAAATGAGATAAATTATGCTTATTGGCTGGCATGCAGAGCCAGGGTCTACCCATGTGTAAAGGAATGTGGTTGAGGAAGCAAGCAAATATGTAGTGGTTGGATTAAATATTTATATAAGTTCCTGAATGTAGAAATAGTTGTAAAATAAACCATTTCAGTAGACTCACCAGCAACTGCTTTTCTACTTTAAAAAATTACACTTTGTTATGCACTCATGAAATGTACTAAAACTATTAGCAAGACACACCCAACTGGCAGCTGCGGGAAAGAGGAATTAGGAATAAAGGCTTTTGGCTCCATGTTTTCTTCCTGAACCAGGTGTTACCATTAACAAGACATTCTCCATATTCTTTTCATCTTTGCATTTATCATGTTGAACTGATACCAAATGGAGGGGACGAATTTGTAGGAGTATGGTTTTTCCCCATGCTCTGTCCTCTCCACATCCACAGGCACCCAGATACATAGACACACACTCCACACACACAGACACACTCCTCCCCAGAGACACATATGCAATCATAGATACACATATATTCACACATACGCCCTTTTCAGACTGTCTTGACCCACACATAATCTCACTTAACTTATTAGGAGATACAAGGGTTTCTAAATGATTTCCAAAAGAATATATATACTTCTTAAAAAATTTATAGACTAAATTTTAAAAATTATTTATGATTTTCCCAAAAACCAGCTATACTTTTCTTTTTACTTGACATTAGGTTATGCTGCTTAAACAAATAGAAGATGTATCATAAGTATCATACCAGTTACTGGATTTAAATCTGATAATTTTTTTTTTTAGCTACTAAGATAGTCAACAGGAGAAAGTTCTGTTCAAAATTGAATACTTGGCAATGAATTTTAATAATAGATTGGTATCTGTATTCTATAGGTGTGCAGTACAGATTATTGTAAAGGAAAAAAAAACAATCCTGCATTTCATCTATGACCGAAGACAGGGAAAATATGACAAAGAAAGAAACAAGACAGCCTACTCTCCTTATATAGGGAGTAGAAGCAATGGAATGAGGTGGAGATGATAGTAATTGAATGAACAAGGCTACCGACAGAGTGACTCTCAGGATAGTCATGCAGACCAGGCAGCAGCCCAATGATTAGAGAGCACCACCTTGAACCACAAAGCTTTCATATTTCCATAGTGAGAAAGAATCAATATGTGGGAACAGAACTTGAAAAGACTAGTATGAAAGTGCAGAATTACAAGAGTTTTCTCAAATACATGTGTTATATTTGATCCATGACTACACAAACCTCTGAGGAAAGTCCCACCACTGCATTTGACAACCATTCTAAGTGCAGAGAAAGAAGAGATTGTTTAACATATATTTTGTAGAAAATATTGTTCCATTGACATATATGCTGTTAAGCAATGCACAGAAACATCTCCCATTAGCTCTTATTCTGTGTTCTCTCTATTCAACAATAATTTCAGTTCATACAGTGACCCTCTTCCACAATACTGTGCATCCTGCCTTGCCTAGTACATTGCTGTACACAGTTTGTTATTTAATGCCAAAAGGGGACATTTAGTTCACTTTTCTTCAGTACTTTAATTATGCTGAAGACTCCAGTGTTAATGGTGAATACAGGAAAGACTTCAACTAGGAGTGATCATATAGACCAAGTAGCAGCTATGGTCTAAAATCAACATGTTGGGAGGATTAAATGAGATAATGTCTGTGAAAGTACTTGTAAAAGGGAGCACACTAATAACTGTTATGAAGACATGGTTGGTAAATTTAATAGATGCAAATATAAATTTCTTGCATCCACATTACAATACATCCATTGTATGAACAACAGATGAGAGAGACCTGTCTGGAGAGCATTTCAACAGAAACCAGAAGTCTCACTTGGCTGGTGAAAAGGTTTAGGTAATCTGTAATTATAGGTAGGTAGATCACATCTGGGCTATCGTATTTATTTTGGGGAGCCACGTTTTAAGAGTGTTCAAGAGTGTATGATCAAACTGGACCTCACTCCTCACTCTCATAGAAGAGAGTGGCCAAGTTAAAGAGAAGTTAAAAGCTTTTATCATATGGGGCGTGGTTGAAAGAGATGGAAGTAAATAGCTGTCCTCAAACATTTGAAGAAAACAGAACTAGGATGAGGTACAAAAGGACAAAACAAAATTGAGGTGGAAGTTACATAATGGTAGAATTCAGCTCAATATAAGAGAAAACTTCTAATCATGAGAACTCTCTGAAAATATATAATAGATTGGCCCTCTCTTCCTTCATTTCTTTTTCCTCCTTCCCTTTCTCACTCCCTCTCTCCCTCCCTTCGTCCTTTCCTCCCTTCCTTTTTCACTAATTACAACACTGACCTTTTCAGAGCAGTCTCTGAGTGTCTACCACATGGTGAAAGGTACTTCCTCAGCGTGGCTGCCATGTTCTGTAGTGTGTGTTTCTATCCACTGGCCATGGCTGACTGGAACAGGAATGGCGCCAGCCAATGAGCTGGCTGAGCCTGAAATACCTGCCTAAAAGAGGCCCTCTATTCAGGATAATGGTTAATGAAGCCAAACAGATTCTCTCTATTTCCTTTTTTCTTTCTTTTTTATTTTTTTTGAGGTGGAGTCTCACTCTGTCGCCCAGGCTGGAGTGCAGCGGCATGATCTCAGCTCACTGCAGCCTCCACCTCCTGGGTTCAAGCAATTCTCCTGCTTCAGCCTCCTGAGTAGCTGGGATTACAGGTGCCTGCCACCACACCTGGCTAATTTTTGTATTTGTAGTAAAGATGAGGTTTTACCATATTGGCCAGGTTGGTCTCCGAGCTCCTGACCTCAAGTGATCCACCCTCCTCGGCCTCCCAAAATGCCGGGATTACAGGTGTGAGCCACCATGCCCGTCTGATCCTCTCTCTTTTAAAATTGGATTTTTATAGGCACATAAAAAGAATCTTCTAGTTGACAGCAGCCGGAGAAGTAGAAACAGAGAGAACAAGAGCAAGACAAGAGGAAGATAAGGAGCAAGAGAAAACCTGCAGCAACAGGGAACCAGGCAGAGGTGAAGAGTCAGGATCAATGAAAACAGGATTTAAGAAATGCTGGTTTAATATCGTATGTAGATGACAAATTAACAGTTATAGGTCTGTGTCCTGACTAGTATTCAAGGGTCTGATGTGGAGGCTTGACTGTGATGTTAGTTGTATCATCCATGGTTCCACTTATAAGATCTTTTCTTTCTCTCTAGTTTCCCATGTGTATTAATACTTAGTTCCCAGTTACAGAGGTAACAGGATCATGTTTCACGGTAAACTTTCAACTTGAAGGAGTTCTAGCACTATTACAGTATAATATGGATAAACAAAAAGAGAGGAAAAAAAGAGTATCACCAATGATTGTACCTTAGAAATAAAGACTGTAACAACTGAGTGATATTATAAACCCTAAGGCAACCACTAAAATACTAAAATAACACTAATATTAAAATACTAAAAATGCCACTAAAATACCACTAATGCTATTAAAATACTAAAATTAAATCAGTTATTGCTAATAAGCCACAACATTTTAAAAAACGGAATCATAAAAATTACTCAGTTAATCTGAAAGAAGCCATTAAAAATAGAAAAAAAGGAAATCAGACAAATAGAACACAACAAAATGATATACTTAATACTAATTATAGCAATACTCACATTTAATGTAAATACCCCAAATAAAACTCACTGAGCATTACATTAGATGAAAAAGCAAGACCAACTAAATTCTGCATACAGAAAATCAACTTTAAATGTAAAAGCAACAAAAAAGTTAATCATAAAAGAATGGAAAAATATATACATACTCTAACACCAATTTTTAAAAAACTTCTGGAGTGTCAGTATTAGGCAAAGCAGATATAAGGGCAAAGATTACTACCAGGAATAATGGTTATTTCATAATAATAAAGAGGCCAATTCATCAAAGGGATATAAGAATTCTAATCATTGGCTGGATGAGGTGGCTCACGCCTATAATCCCAGCACTTTGGGAGGCTGAGACAGGTAGATCACCTGATGTCAGGAGTTCAAGACAAGCCTGACCAATATGGTGAAACCCCACCTCTACTAAAAATACAAAATTAGCTGGGCGTGGTGGTGAGCACCTGTAATCCCAGCTACTCGGGAGGCTGAGACAGGAGAATTGCTTGTACCCAGGAGGTGGAGGTTGCAGTGAGCCGAGATTGTGCCACTACACTCCAGCCCGGGCAACAGAGTGAGACTCTGTCTCAAAAAAAAAAAAAATCTAATTATTTATGTACTTAATAACAGAGCTTCAAAATACATAAAGCAAAAGTTGGTAGAAATGCAATGAGAAATAGATAAATCCACAATTATTGTCAGAGATTTTCATGCAGCTTTTTAAATAATTGTTAGAACAAGTTGACAAAAAGAATATAGAAAATTTGAACAACACTAACAACTAATATGACCTAATTAATATTTATAGAATATTACACCCCAAAATGGCAGAATACATATTCTTTTCAAGTGCATATGGAACATTTATTAAGATAGACATATTCTGGGTCATAAAATGTCTCAATGAATATAAAAGTTTTCTATAATACTTTGAGAGCATCAAAGGATGCCCTCTGACTTCAGTGGAATTAAATTAGAAATCAATAACAAAAGCATTCTTATAATATCTCCAAAAATGTGGAAACTTAATAACACAGTTATAAATAATCCATCAGTCAAAGAAGAAATCAAAATGAAAAATATAAAAATTTTGATCTCAATAAAATTTTAAGCAAAATATTTAAAATTTTCTGAGATGCTGCTAAAGCAGTAGTTATAGGAAAATTTATAGCACTAAACACTTATATTAGAAAAGGAGAAAAGTCTCAAATAAATAACCTCAAATGAATGACCTTAGGAAAACAGATAAAAAGTGAATTCAATCCAATATAAGTATAAAAAGAAAATAAGTCAAAAGCTGGATTTTTGAAAAAATAATAAAACTTATAAACCTCTAGCCAGAATGATCAGAAGTAAAGAGAAGATACTAATTTATAATATCAGAAATGAAAAAGGAAACATCACTATGGATTCTACAGATACTACAAAGATAATAGGAAATGTTATAAACAATTTTATACCATTAAGTTTTAAAACTTAGATGAAATTGGAATATATTTTAAGATTAACTTTCTCAACCTGATAAAGGGCACACATCTATGCAAAAACCACACCCAGCAGCACATGTTATAAAGGAAATCTAAAACCTTTTCACCTAAGATCAAAAACAAAACAAATGTCTGCACTTAATAGAAACAGAAATTCAACATTCTATTTAACTGATGTATTCTAGCTCAAGCACAAGAAATGAAAGGTATACAGATTAAAAATGAACACTCTCTATTTGTATATGACATGATTATCTTTGTAGAAAATCCAATGGAATCTACAAAAAAGCTACTAGAACTAATAAGTGAACTTTCAGGAAGGTTAAGGAATAGAAGAGCAACATAAAAATCAATTTTATTTCTGAAGAAAAATGAACAGTAAGACATTTAAATTAAAAAACAAAACCATTTACAACAGCATAAAATATGTAAAATACTTAGGAATATAAATAGGACAAAAGATGTGCAAGACCTACACACTGAAAACTGTAAAATGTCACTGACAGAAATTTTTTTTTTTTTTTTTTTTGAGATGGAGTCTCGCTCTGTCACCGAGGCTGGAGTGCAGTGACGCAATCTCGGCTCACTGCAACCTCCGCCTCCTGGGTTCATGCCATTCTCCTGCCTCAGCCTCCCAAGTAGCTGGGACTACAGGCACCCGCCACCATGCCCGGCTAATTTTTTGTATTTTTAGTAGAGACGGGGTTTCACCGTGTTAGCCAGGAGGATCTCGATCTCCTGACCTTGTGATCCACCCGCCTCAGCCTCCCAATGACAGAAATTTTTAAAGGCATAAATAAGTATATTTTGTTCATAACTTAAAGAATTCAATGTTGTTCAAATGTCAAATCTCTTTAAATATCCATAAAGCCAACAGAATTCTAGCAGCCATCTCTGTAGACATTGATAAGCTTATTCTGATATTCACATGGAAGTACAAAGGATCTGGAATATCCCAAACAAGTTAGAAAAAGAACAAAGTTGGAGGACCAAAACTTCCTGATTTCAAAACTCATTATAAAGCTACAGTAAAAAAGACTGTGGCATTGGCATCAAAATGGCTAAATAGATCAATGGAAGAGAACAGAGTACAGAAGTTGCTCATATACATGGAATAATGATTTTTAACCAAGATGCAATAGCAAATCAGTGGAGCATGAACAGTATTTTCAATAAATGATGCTTAAACAATTGGATATTTATATGTAAAATAGTAAACTTTAATGAATGCTTTTCACCATATACACAATTAACTCAAAATGGATCATAGGCCTAATTTTAAAACCTAAAACTATGTAACTTCAAGTGGAAAACCTTCGTGACCCTGAGTTAAAGATTTGTTAGATATGACACCAAAAACAAAAATCCATAAAAAGAAAAAAATGATAATTTGTACTTCATTACAATTAAAAACTGCTCTTTGAAACATTATGAAAGGAGAATGAAAACACAAGCTATAGCCTGGGAGACAATATTTGCAAATCACATATCTGATAAAGAATTTTGCATCTACAAGAGCCTCTATGGTGTCTGGTTAAGTGTATGGATTCTAAAGTCAGGCTGCCTGGGTGGTATCATTATTAACTATGGTATAACCCTTTACAAGTTTCTTAACTTTTAAATGCTTTCATTTTTAAAACTTTTGAATCTACATCCAAGCAGTCTTATGAGAACTAAATGTGTTAATTAATATAGGGTTTATTGACTAATATTTAACATGGAAAGAATGTTCAATAAGTTTGAGAGAGAGAGGGAGAGTGAATGACAGTGAGTGTAAACCTATTATTGCTTACCTCTGTAATATTGGAATTATTAGAATTATAACCATTTCTGGTAGTTGTTGGATTTTAAACATTAGCCTGATAATTTGTTTGTCTCAAAACATAAGTGAGAAAGCCTATTATGCTGACACATAGGGCATAGAAGTGAAATCTACCTCCAAGAAGTACCAGTATGTCTGACAAGAGTAAAAGAAAAAAACAAGGTCAAGAATCGGATTTCCTGCTTTGACCACTGCTTTTCTAGCTGGCCGAGAAATCACATAACACCTCCTTATTAAAAGGGTAACCGAACATCTGTCACTGAACAATGTTCAACCTAGGGTGTTAAAGCAAATCTTGGTCACAGATGACAAATGTGTCAGGAAAAGAATCCTGAACAGGAAAGCAAAATATGATTGTATGAATTTCTGCTTTGGCTAAGAGTTGATTATAAAAACATTGTGGTCTGTGCCAAAAAAAAAAAAAAAAACTGAGAAAATGTATGCCAAATAAAAGGTTAAATTGATCTACTTCTTGCATAAGCAATTGGCTTGCCTACTGACAAAAGATATTATGGATATTTAAATGGCCTTTATGGTTGTTGATTTTACAAGTGATGCACAGATTCACAATACTTCAGACTTTAATACCAAAGCTGCAGAGGAGTAAATTCTCACAACATGTTACACACCATGCACTGAGTCCACTTACACTTCCACCTCCTGCGAACCTTTCAACTGAACAGCAACATCATACATCTTGGTATCGGTGAGGTGCCTCTTTCCCATTGTTTCTGGCTTATGAAGCACTAACATCAGTTTTGAGGGACAAAGCTAGAAGTTAGATATAAAATAAGAAAGAAAAGAAGTTAAAAATGAAGCAACAGAAGTCTGTGTCACTTCAAAAGTCAACTTAGGAAAAGCATTAGATCACTTGGGAAAAGGTGTATTCCACACTCAGCTCATTGATGTTCGATGTGGCTATTGAATTTTGGCATGAAGCACACTGTGATTCAAAAGTGAAGATTGCTTCATACAATTCTGCATTGGAAGGCAATTCTCACCTTTTTTTTCCCCAAGCTGTTCTTCACAGACCTCTCTTGTTTCTTACAGGCTAGATATGATACAGCCCTTCAAGGCAGAAACAGGAGCATTTTCAGAGACGGAAAATTTGTGAATCTCTTGTCTATCTTGGAAAATGGGTACTGAAAATTCCAAATGAATACAAACTAGTTGTAGATCTCTTTGGCACCATTCCAAGCTATGCTGTTGAAAGCATTGACAAGCTTAGAGACAGGAATGGTTAGTTTTGGAGCTTAGACAGGCAAAGGAAGTACTCTCCTTTGGCATATAAAATATGTAGACACAGAAGAATGATCTCAGTCACAGTAGCAGCCTGGTTCTGCTAGGGTTTTTTTTTTTCAGCAGAGACTGTCCCTCAGGTAACAAAAATCCCAAACCAAGACCAGCCATGTGAATGGCAAACCAACCACATTCTCTCGTCTTGGACTTGGTGAGCTTGGACCTTCTACAGCTGTACTCATTTAAAACTGCAGCCTAACAAATATTTCTCACTTATTCATTAAATCAACAAATATCTGTTAAGTTCCTACTAAGTGCCAAGCACCATTATACAATTACTCAAACAATTCCACCTCTAAAGGAGCAGTAGTTCTTAAAAGATGAGGCTTTTTCTGATTTATGGGGTTTCTCTTATTCCTGAAGGCATTAAGAAAAAGTAAAGAAGAAATTTGTTGTGATGAGAATTAGTGCACCAGGTTTATATCCTAGATCCTTGAGAGAATGTTAGTGGTTATTTAAGATGGAGAGGTAAGTAAAACTTGCTCCACTCTGTTCATTCTGTATTTGAGGAATGTACAGAATACTGAAGAAGGGGAGGGGGTAGTGCCAGGCCTCTTTGAAAAGGTGCATATGGACTAATTCCTGCAGAGCCTCCCCATTTCCTTTGTATAAAATGCACAGAAGCCCTGTCCAGCTTTAACCTGACCTGTCTCTCCTTATTTGGATGTGAAGACTGAAGTCAGCCAAGTAGTGTCCCTGGTATTTGTAATTGGCAGAGATGGCCAGGGAAACCACCACTGAGATTTCATAGTTGCATGACTATTGCTGATGAAATGATTCATTTGCCTTAGAATGAATTGCTAACCATGAGGTCAACTTCAGAGCAGTCAACAGCACTCAGCAAGAGACCAATCAGTAGGAGGTGTATTCTTCAAAGATAAGAGTGAATCTTTCCAGTCATACATAGTAAAAGAGAAGTACAGCTAGAGGATATATATTGAACTTTTACCATAAATTTATGAAAGAACCAACTCAGCAGGTCTAGCTAGACTCATATTGACTTAAAGAGCTTGAATAAAAATATGTTTTTTTCTAGAATATAAATAGTTTTGTAGAAAAATAGCAAACAGGAGCTATAAAATGAAATTGAATGAGCTTATATAGGAACTTGAATCTTCTCTTATAATGCCTTAAAATGCTATTTCATGTCATCCTAGAGGTTGAAATGTCTATTAATCAGCTTGCACAGGTTTTACCAGTACCACTGTTAAGTTGTGTCCTTCAGGTATTTTACCCTTCTCACTACTTTTTTTTTTTTTTTTTTTTTTTTTGAGGAGGAGTCTCGGTCTATCACCAAGCTGGAGTTCAGTGGTACGATCTCGGCTCACTGCAACCTCCACCTCCCTGGTTCAAGTGATTCTCCTGCTTCAGCCTCCCGAGTAGCTAGGATTACAGGCATGTGCCACCACACCTAGCTAATTTTTGTATTTTTAGTAGAGACGGGATTTCACCATGTTGGCCAGGATGGTCTTGATCTCCTGACCTCGTGATCCACCCACCTCGGCCTCCCAGGGTGCTGGGATTACAGGCGTGAGCCACCTTGCCCGGCCCTTCTCACTGTTTTGAATCATCAAAATAAATGTTCGATACTGCTTTTTAGTTAGTTAGATTTTATTGACCTTTGGATGACTCTAACACTTGAAAAATCAAGAAAGGATCTAACAAAAGACTAGACCAAGAGGACTCAAGATTCTTCTCATTCATTTTTGAGATGCTTCTTTAATTGATAAATTATATCTGTTTGAATGACCAAGACACAAAAAGTTTTATCATAGAGGATTTTCAAAACAACATAATAGGGAGATTAATATGTTTCCTGGCTTTTCAGAATTTGGGTGGTAGGCTAGTGAGTGCTAGGAACAGCAACCTTTAAAATCATTGGTAATGGTTCCATTATTTGAAGTTTCCCTTCCCTAACCCCACCTTGTTGGTGCAGGCTCTTCATAGCTACTAAGCAGCATTAACAAGTAAGAACACCAAAAATTGTTGATGGTCTTCTCCACCCACTAGAAGATAAATTTCATGTGGGCAAAATTTTGGGTATTTTGTTGGCAGCCGTATATCTAGTATTTGAAACAATGCATATCACTTAGGGAGTACATAATATTTAGGAATGCGTTGAATAAATTCACAGGAAGTTTTCATCTGCCAAGGGATATTGTAGTTCACACTGTCAAATAAATACCCAGGAGCTTAACTTTTGTCTAATTACTGCCTCTTCAGTATTCGAGGGACTCACAGAGCCTAGCTATTTGAAACAGGCTTTTTCTGATAATTTAAATACTTGGTTTTAGTCAAGTACACACAAATTTGTATAGAGAAGTTTGGTATGGATATTAGTGAAGCCTAAACTATAAACACTCCCTGGGAATTTTAGATTGACTTTGGCAGATCACCAAAGGGTATAACAATTCTAGTTTAGAAGTAGGATCAGCAAGAACCAAAATTGGGTCAACATTCACTGAAGGTGAAGGTGGACAGCATCTTTGCTGAAGCCCTAGGTCACATGAGTTCAGGATGAGAGAGGACCTATGGTTGCCTCCCTACTGACTATATAAGAGAATAATAGACACCTGACTATATAAGAGAATAGTAGACACCAGCCACTAAAGTTGTGGAAGAGAGGCTAGGTATTCTGATAAAATAATTACCTGGGAGGAGCTGATATAAAAGAACTCTGATTATAAATTGGGTCTTTATTTCCCATCGTGATTGAAGACTGGGGAAAAATGGTTATGCATGAATTTTAAGGATCCTGTTAAAAATAAATTGCTTGAGAAACAGTGTATACCATCAAAGTAGATAATTTTAGAGAGTAAAATCAATATTTGGGGAATAAATGTGAAATCTCTAAGTTCTAAAAGGTAATTGTATCTTTCCTTTCTAGTTTATGACCATTACTAAGAGGAATCACTTAAACCAACATTAGCTTAGAGGTAAAGGTCTCTAGCTGCTGAATAATTAATTTCAGAAGTTCCAACTATACATCCCTGAACATTATCTAAGCTGCCAACTCATTTATTCCCTGTATCAAATCTTTCCTTTTCTTTGGACCACGTAAGACCTTTCCTCAGCTATATTCATTCACACTTTTTTCCCAGTTCATTAACCAATAGTCAATCTTTCTAAAACTCTGAGGCAGAAAGTTTAAAAAAGGGGTTATAGATGAGAACTATGAGACTCTGCTGTATGTATCTGTGGTAATTCTACTAATTAGAGAAAACCTTGTCAACTGAAACACACACACACACACACACACACACACACACACACACATGCATACACATAGACAAAGAAATCAAAATCAAAACACAGTACTTAGCTCTTCCACCCCTCCCAGCCCCCACGGTGGCCTTTGCAGACAGTGTCTAATTAAGGTATCCACTTATAGTTACTTGTCAGTTATCAACTTTTAGTTGGTTATCCTTAGCAACATTTCTGCTCTAGATTTAGTTAGAAATAAATCTTTAATTACATGGATTAGATCTAAATGCCATACGAAGCAGCAAATGAAATAAGTCACTTCATCAAACTTAATTATTTTTACTAAACTTTTGAATAAAATAGATTTTCCTGATGCAGTTTAAAAGAAGTAGAGCAAATAGCCATGCGTGTGATCTACCGTCCTTCTGGAGCAAGGATAGCTAGTCTTACACTACAGTAAAAAAAAAAATTACTCATTTTTATATTTTATTCCCCTAAAATTTTACATTCAAATGATACCTTCCTTAACGATTTAATAGAAATTTTTCTCCAGCCTTAACTTTCAATATTTCAAAATATCATTGTTAATCTTTGACCTTCTGTCATGGGGTGAGAAACATAATAAAAATATATAATAATATATGAGAAATAATGTATATAATTTAATAGTAAATAATATACTTCGGTCATAAGAGACATTTTCTTCATATTTTCTGAGCAATGGAACACAGTCTGTAATAGTTTCATAGCTTTCTTTTCTACACAGCAGTTCCCAAACTAGTGTTTCTAATATGTATGTTTGGCAGAAATAGAATCACTCACAAAAGGAATTTTCAAGATTCTGTTCTCTAACTAGCCAATATCTTGTCTTTTCCATCCATGAAAATGATAACTGCCCTATTTTATCAAGGTTTCTTTGGTTCTCACCAATACATTTGTTTTATTTAATGGTAGGCATGTAGGAGAGAAATCTTGGTTCATATTGTGAAAGTAAAGTCACACACAGTTAAAAAAAAAAGTTATTTACATGATCCTATAGCCAGGAGCAAGATATTGATTAGATTTTCAATTGTGAACAAAAGCATCTAAGGATGAGAATTCTTTCCAAATCTTTCCTGAAGAGACCTATAACAAATAAGACTTCCTGGACTGACACAATAATGTTTTCTGCTAAATCTTTTCTAGTTTTAAGAAAGTTATGTGAATGTGAAAATTGTGCCTGCTACTTTATATTCCAGGAAATTATATAAGGTGATTTCTAAGGCAATTTTCATAGATGTAGTAACATTCAAATGACCTTCTCCAAGTCACAATCACTCTTCCTTCCTCAACACCCACCAGTTTATTTCTCTTGACAGATGTTTCCTTCTCTCCTTCTCTCATTTATTTTTTCTTTCAACTCAATTAACTCCAGTTCATAATTATTTATTTAGTCCTTGTTATGTGTAAGACACTATAAGGATTTGAAATATTAATAAAGCATTGTAAGTCCACTGGAATTAGAGATCCTTTAAAAGGGGAATTCAGTGAACATAATATGGATGGGAATGAAAATGAGGCTTGTAAGAGACTCTGAGAAAGAAATTGAGAAGGAGGAACCTAGATAATGCGCTCCTTAGGGACAGGGCCTGTGCCTTCATATTCACTTGCCAAGCCTGGGGCCAGACTACAAATTAAAGTCCATATGTAGTATCTCTAAATACATAAAAGTTAATCAAGTAGACTCTCAGATGGTGATTTAACCATGGTCTACCCTCTTAATCTTGACAAATATATTTTTGAATGACAGAATTAAAAATATATAAAAGTTATGTTTTGATATGACTAAAAGTCAGCCAAATTTTAAAAATAACTAAATTTACTTATTCTTTTACATATCTGAGGACACTGTTCATGGATCAACAATGTTTGGATAAGCAATAGAGTAAAAATATGTATAAGTCATAAACTAGTAATATGCTTATTCAATTAATTTATTTTTCAGCCTTTATTTCAGTAGGATGACTATGCTGCATGACCAAGTTTTACACAACTTGTGTTCTATTAACATCAATGATCTAAAGGAATAAAAGTACAAGCACATAAATAGTTTTCAAAATTTAAGTGTATTTTTGTCAAACTTGCATAAGAAAGTAAATATTAATATAAATAAGTGAAGGTTATTTTTCATAAGTTTTTAAAATATTACTTTTCTTCTAAAATACTCAAAATTTTCAAAATTATAAGCAAAATACAAAATGTAATTTATGGTAATCAAAATTTATAATTATTTTATAAATCTAAAGTTTGTCATTTAATTTTGAAAAACATGCCACTTATTCTTATGAAATACATTTATAAAAATAAAACTATTTGAAATTTTAGTGATCAACATCCATTTAGTTGCTAATATTAAAGAATTGGCTCCACTGTGTTACAGCTAGACCTATGTTTATTTATAAGCTCTATGAATTATTTAATATTGTAAAATGTTCCTTGTTCTCCATGTGCAAGAGTGACACATAATGTGCTAATTTAAAAGTACTTCCTGAGCCATGAACTGTAAATCAGAAGCAACATAAAATAGATGCTAGCACTACTGGTAGTTTGCTATAGTTGAATTTATTGCATTTATGCTGAGAGAAAGAATATGACAAGTTAAAATAATTTTTTCTTTTTTTATTACACTTTAAGTTATACAGTACATGTGCACAACGTGCAGACTTGTTACATATGTATACATGTGCCATGTTGGTGTGCTCCACCCATTAACTCATCATTTACATTAGGTGTATCTCCTAATGCTATCCCTCCCCCCTCTCCCCACCCTACAACAGGCCCCAGTTTGTGATGTTCCCCTTCCTGTGTCCATGTGTTCTCATTGTTCAATTCCCACCTATGAGTGAGAACATGCCGTGTTTGGTTTTTTGTCCTTGTGATAGTTTGCTGAGAATAATGGTTTCCAGCTTCATCCATGTCCCTACAAAGGACGTGAACTCATCATTTTTTATGGCTGCATAGTATTCCATGGTGTATATGTGCCACATTTTCTTAATCCAGTCTATCATTGTTGGACATTTGGGTTGGTTCCAAGTCTTTGCTATTGTGAATAGTGCCGCAATAAACATACGTGTGCATCTGTCTTTATAGCAGCATGATTTATAGTCTTTTGGGTATACACCCAGTAATGGGATGGCAGAGTCAAATGGTATTTCTAGTTCTAGATCCCTGAGGAATCGCCACACTGACTTCCACAATGGTTGAACTAGTTTACAGTCCCACCAACAGTGTAAAAGTGTTCCTATTTCTCCACATCCTCTCCAGCACCTGTTGTTTCCTGACTTTTTAATGATCGCCATTCTAAGTGGTGTGAGATGGTATCTCATTGTGGTTTTGATTTGCATTTCTCTGATGGCCAGTGATGATGAGCATTTTTTCATGTGTCTTTTGGCTGCATAAATGTCTTCTTTTGAGAAGTGTCTGTTCATATCCTTCACCCACTTTTTGATGGGGTTGTTTTCTTCTTAAAATAATTTGTATTTTCTTTCTTAAGAGCTTCCACTGCTCAAATCCTCCTGATACTCCAAAGAGGCATCCAAATGCAACATGGACAGGGGCACCATCCTTCAATGTTCATGGCGTTTGGGGATTTGGGGCAGCCACTTTTTCTTTCAAGGTAATAGGGCAAGAGATGTGGAGAAGGATTTCCTTGGGCCATAAGAACATCTGTGCAGGTACTGAGCTCTGGATCCTAAGTGAAAGAGATGCCTATGAGTTTTTAAATAATTTTTAATGTAGATTTATGACATGTAGGATCCTTAAAAACTTAAGAACTCAGGGGAGAAACACCTTTAATCCAAGTCCAAGGCCATTACTATCCAACACCTTGCACACTACCTTATGTATAGTGAGGTTCGATAAATGCCTTAGTTATTACAAAAGTTATTAATTAATTATAAATATGTGGAGTGAGGAGAATATAAAAGAGCTAAACTTTGAAGACTGCTAAAAGGGAGTTTCATAATCCTAGAAAAATAGATTTGTAGAAAAAAACGAGGATGAATTTATCTCTAAAAAGTGAAAGTTTGATGTATTGGTAGAATTTCTATAAGGAAGTGTCTGTTAAGCAACTGAAAATCATAGCCTTGATCAAAATAAAATAATCAGTAAAGGCTGAAATATTATGACTCATACCTTAGGGTTTGTTTGTTTGTTTTTGGAAAAGTTAAAAAAATACAAAGTATTCCACAAAATAATGCATGAGGTTCCTATTTTAAAGATGGTGGTGGAAGGTGGGTGTTTCTGTCTTTCTTTCCTAAGAATAAAATCAAAACTCAGAATGCAAACTTCATTTTTGGTAAAAATAGAAAACAGCTGAAGTGCCAAACTACAAAATAGGTCTAGAGGACTGTTCACGTCTTGTTAAGGGCAGTGCAGAAAGAATCAGGTGGAGGGACTCACAGCAGTAGGTCTAGGGGGAAAAAACAGTAAAGATATTTTCTTGAAAGAGAAGAACACAACCTGAGTCCCAGTTGCTAAATCCTTTGTTTTTAACAGCTGGACAATGGTACACACACTGGGGGCAGCAGCAAATAAGGGTGGAGCTAAAAACAAAAATCACATAGTCAAGCTATATTTCCAGGAAGCTGGCTGTCTCTGCAGCAGCAAGGCAGACGAGAGACCTTACACTGTAAACAATCCCAAAGCTGGGGAGAAGTAAATGCTATATGAACTTCCTACACACCCAAGGATAAGAAAACTCCAGTTAGCCTGGGATTCTGTGCTCGCTCCTCTGCACATCAATTTCCTATCAATACCTGATCCAGGGAAATTTTACCTCCTTCAAAGATGAACACTGAACATAAAAAGCAGCAAAATTTCTATACAAAATTTTGACAAGAGAAAAATGCAGAAAGAAATATATAAAATAAAAGTCAAAAAAGAAAAGCCACTAGAAAAAATTAGCACATAACAGATAAAAATTGTACCAAAATATACCATCATGAATAGCCCCTCTGAATTAAAGGATTAATTATCCCTATAAAAAAAAAGGAGACAAAACAGAAATATAAAGGTTCACAGATGAAATGCTGATGAAAGAGGAGACAAAATGTGAACAAAAGAGCTCGGGAAAAAAAATGAAACAAAACACATAAATGAAGACAAAACTGGAAGAAACGTAAAACGGGAAGTTTTAAAAACACAATAATAGGAATAAATAATGATGTAAGAAAATAAAAAGGAAATAATAATTTTTTTTCAATTCAAGAGAAACTGACAGGGAGAATAGATAAAGGGGATTACATGCATAATTGAAGTCGCCAAAGAAGAAATCTACAAATAATTAAATAGCATAAATTTATAAGAATAAAATTCAAGAAAACATTTCTAAAATTAAAGAAGACTTGAAGTTAAATATTGATATGACACATCATGTCCCTGAGAATATTGACCCCAATGGGTCAACATGAGTCATATCCCAGTTAAAAGGACTTCAAATATAAAGAAATATTCCTTTGACAGTCAAAAACTTAAAGAAATTATTATTAAACACATGAAAGCTGCCTTTCGCATTCATAAGAAGAAAAATTCAAGTTAGAATTGTATTGATATGTAATTTTTCATCTATAAAATTGGCAAGAAAACAGATAATGTACCCTTGGCGATGATGTAGAGATAACAGGCACACTGATAGTCAAAGTATAAATTGGTATGACTCCTATTATGATAAATTTGCTTATATCCATGCCAATTTCAAATGAATATCACCTAGAAATGGCAATTTCTCTTTCAGAAATTTATTGTATAAACATCATCTTAAACATGTGAAATAACATACATATATAAGTTTTTTGCAATATTATTTATAACAGCAAACAATTAAAACCACACACACACACACACCCCTTCACATAATGGAATACCATACAGTCTTAAAATGAATGAAGAAGCTCTTTATGTATTAATATGGGGTGATATTCAAAATATAGTATGAAGTGGAAAATATCAATGTGTGGAACAACTCATATTCTGTCATCCAAGTGATAAAGATAAATATAAGAAGGTATGTTTGTGTACATGAGTGTGCTAGATCTATTCTTGTGAATCTCAGGAAGAATACATAAAATGATAACATGAGTTGCCTCTGGGAAGGGGAACTGGGAAAGGGCTAAAAAAATACAGTTGAGTTTGAAAATTTGGAAACCACATTAAGATTCTTACATGCATTTACATACTATTTAGGTTTGGTAGGCAATCATCTACTAAAGCCAATACAATTATAGTGGCCTGAATAATTTAATGTGGATCAAGGAACAATCTGTAGACTAGAAACAGTTGATTATTCCAGGGCTGGCCAATAAAACTTTCTGCAGTGATTAAAATGTTCTATAATTCTGCACTATCTTATATGGTAGTCACTAGCACATCTAGCTACAGCTTTTAAACACTTGAAATGTGGTTACTGTAACTAAGGAATTATTTATTTTATTTTATTTAATGTTTTTCCACTTAAATTGAAATGGCTACCTGTGGCTAGTGGCTACCATATGGGACAGCAGAGCTTTATACTAAAAAATACTGAGCTCTAAGTATTAAAATACTGAGCTTTGAAGACAGAATATTTATGACATTAACATGAATAATTTATACTTTTCTCATGCAATACAATGCTCTGTATACAAAAGCCTAGTCTTCAGCTGGGTAGGTTTGTTGCTGTTTCTCAAATTCCTCCAAGCCCTGGCCAGAGCATCAGTTAGGCTACATGGTGTCTCTGTAGAAATTAGGAAAAAGGAGCAACTCCACAAGCAGATGGCTGGAACAATAAATGATGGCTTGGTGTGTACTACAAAAGGTGACCCTCTCTTTGGGCAGTCCCAACCTCTGCCAAGGCAGGCAGCTGGTAAGGGGAGCACAAGCTGGGTTCTGCCTGCACTCGCACCCTTGTGAAATTGTGGCACTCTTGTCCTGTGAAGCATCTGCCCACTTGCGTATGGTGGCCCTGCCCATAACCTTTCCCCAGAACTGAAGCAAGTGTTGACCATTCAACCACAGAGACCTTCAAGATCCAGATTCCCTCTACCCCCTACTGTGTTAACTCCTTAAGTCTAAAACTTGTCTGCTAGCAGGATCTGAGCCTTCTGCCTTTCTTTTCTCCAGAATTATTCCCATATTATAATTATAATTATTATGAAGGTATAGAAATGCCTGCGTCAGAACACAGGTTTGAGGATTAAACAATGTAATTCATGGATAACATTGATCTTTTGTCTAGGCTTCAGTGGGTGCACAGTAATGCTTAGGTCATCCTCCCACATGGATGTGATCGTGTGTATGTTAAAAAGAAATGGTCCCTACAAATGTATCAGTTGCCACCTGCATGTTGGTGACATGCAACAGAGGCTTAGAGAAAGTACATGAGAAGCAGGATCTGAGCATAAGTAGGAAGCTCGTGTGTGTGTACATCTATCTGAATTTGGAGGGATAGTTTGTTAATGGAATTTAACCATAGCACACACTTCAACACCCCCGACCCCCTGACTTTCCTGGTTCCGTTCATCAAACTGTGTATATTTTCCTGATCTCTCTGCTTTGTTCAAATTAGTCTGCTTTATGAATAAAAAAGTTGAGGTTCAAATGTTTAAAGTGATTTACCCAAAGCCGCACAACTGGAGGCAGAGTCCAGTTCCTTTCTAGACTCTAAGGCTAGTTTTCTTTAGACCAAATTCTAGCTAACTAAATATAATATGCCAGTAATAACATATTTGTCATTTATCTGTCACAGTTCATGCTACTGACCCAACATAAAGTATGGACTATGAAGAAGGTTTGTGTATGGCTTGATTAGTCACCAAATTTGCCTTGTTAGAATTTACTGAAGGATGAGCCTTTATTCTCACAGACCTCCTGAACTGAGAGTATAAGAGGCCATGAAATTCAAGCTCCCAACTTACACATGAGTGGTAGTGATTCATTCAAACTGTGTAATCCATTCCTTCCCTGGGTCTTCTTATGACAGTGACAAACCAGAGAGAGAACTGGTCAAGCTACGGTTAATATGAGAAATAGGAGAAAAACCAAGTTTCTTAAAGGACTGATCCTTGAACCCTTGACTTATTTGCAAGGAAGAAAAGATATATTTTTCTACATATTGCGTTAATTACCCAGTGCACTAAATAAAGCCCCAAACATGGCACACCCAATACTTGGTAATACGTATATAAATTCTTATTTTGGTCTCTTTTGACTCAAAGGAGGGAACTAAGAAAGAGGTCTGATCTATTTTAGGCCCCAAATTAAGGATGACCAATTTAAAATTCATCAACACAGTATTTATAAATAAAACAAGACTCAGTTGAAGTGATAATACTTCCTCCCTGTCTCCCACTCTCTGAAGTGTTGCAAGCTTACCTTCAGGCCTAAAATTAGGGCAGCCTTGCTGAGTCATTAATAAATTTTGCCCCTATACCTCATAAGACCATAAAATCCTTGACAACAATACTTAAAAGCTTGTCTTCCTGAGCCCACACTTCTCTCATGGAACCAGACCCAAATTCCATTATGGTTCCAGAAAACTATTCCTGGCAAATCAGATCATTGCCAGTGACCTAGAGGCATCCACTTACTTTGGCAGAGAGGGTATTTTCCTCCTTACAGAAGTAGAAATGAGGTTATCTTCCTTAGCTTCAATCAGTCACCAAATTTCCCTTATTAGTGATTTATTTTGAGAAGAATCTTTCTTCTTATGGGAACTCAGAGATTCAGACATACTGTTGGGATTGGTAGGGACTTAGTGTTCATAAAACCCAAGTTCCTCATTGGACACCTAATAAACAACAAACACAGGACTATCAGGAGAAGTCTTATGTATAACTAGTAGATTAAAAAAAAAACTTCAGAGTTCTAGTCGTATTTCTCTTGTAATTACTCAACATCATAGTAACATGAAATCCAGTGGATAACATAAAATTACCCTATATTCAAACATTCACTCATTCAATTCATAATATTCATCAGGAATTTGTGCAAGCTCCTGTACTAGATACTAACTATAAAACAAAGAATACAATTGATGTGGTTTCTGCCTTCACAGGACTTAATTTAGTGGGTTACAAAGACAATATGAAAGGCAGCTATGATCATGTGATGCTTATGTATGAGGGAAGAACAGGGGTGTGACAGGAGCATATGGGTTGAGAAACTGGTAGACGGGGAGACCTAAAACATTCCTGAACATTTTTGGACATCAAGGAAGGCTTTCTGGATAAAGTAACACATAAGCTATACTCTGAACAATCAGTTAAGAGTTAGCTGAAAATGAGAATGGGGATAAAAAGGAGGAGTGTCCCAAGCAAATCCAAAGACCCAGAAGTAAGTGAAATAAAGCAAATTCAATGAACCATAGCCATGCAGTCTAGCAAGAACTCAGGTAGTCCAGGACAGCATAGTGAGCCACAAGGCTGGAAAAGCAAGCAAGACTCAGATTATAAACTGTATCATTATACGCTGCATTAAAGAGTTTGAACTTTTGTCTAAAAGTTTTGGAACCAAATAAGGAACTTTAGCATCTGGAAAAGATTACTGTGGTTACATTATGTATGGGAAATGAATTGGAAAAGAATAGACTTAAGCCAAGGAAGTCAGTTATGGGGAGGTTGCTTAGGAATCCAGACATGCGATGTTGTAGTCTGAACTAAAAATAGTGAATGCATTTCAGAAATATTTATGCAGTTGAATGGGCAGACCTGTGATTTACCAGGGCAAACAAGAATAGCCAAGAGCTTATCCCTCTCTATATCTCCCTTGCCCAACAGCACATAAATATGAGACATCACAGATCAAGCCAGCAATAAAACTCCTGGAGTAAACCACCTGACCTCCAATGCTTCTAGGTTAAAGTCTTCAAGATTTATAGGATGAAGTCTAACAAAAGCCGTCCTTTCTCACTAGTGTTCATTTTGCAGATACTTCTTGAGGGTCTCCTGTGTTTCAAGCATTAGCCCATGTCCTGGGAATAGAAATGAAAAGGACACAGTGTCCACACTTAAAGATCACTGTATTGTAAAGGAGGCAAATATATGAATGGATAATTATAAAACAATGCATAAGTAAAGTTTTGCTAACTCTGAATGAGTATATAGAAACACATAATCCAACCAAGGAAATCATGAAAGCCTCCGTGGGTACCTTCATAGGAGGTTTCCAGGGCTCATTCATAAAAATGAGTAGGAATACATAGAAGAAAGGAGGAAAAGGGAGGTATGGTATCAATAAAGGCATAAAATTAAAAAATTACATGGTTTCTGGATGAGGGACATAAGCAATACTGCACAACTGAGGCATGAAGTGAGAGGCAGAGTGCTGTAAGATAAAGGTCAAGAGGTTCATAGGGATGGCCTGCTGGGCCATGTTAAGAAGATTGTATTTTAACTGCTAGGCAATGGAAAGCTATTGAAAATACTGAAAATAGCAAAACATAAGTTTAATTTTCCTTTTTAGTATAGTGGTGAGTGAAAAAAAGGTCCAATAAAATCAGATTTGTGTTTTTGATACCGATACTATGATATATGTACAGAAAATGTGATTTAAAGGAATATATCTAAAAGTAAGAATGCAGGAGGCTCTTGAAAAAGTCAGAAAGAGAAATGATGAAGGCATGATCAGTGCCTGATATCAAGCAATGTTAGAGATGGAGAGAAAAATGAATGAGAGAATCTTAGAAGAAAACACAGGCAGAATTTTGTGATAGATTGTATTGGGATTGGTAAGGGAGCAGGACAAAAAAAGTGTAGTTAGTTTCTAACTTGAGGGACTGGGTAGGTCTAATCATTGAAATAGAGAATACCGAAGATGAGTTCATTTTGTTTATTGCATTATAAATGTCTAGGTAACATATGGCTGTAACTCTGGTATGTTGAAATATATGTAAGTCCAGATCATCAAGATGATGTAGACTTTTGAGTTATCAACATATGGGTGTCAAAGAGACTCTAGAAACAAATGGGGGCAGCTATTTATTTATTGTCTAATTGATCAAACACATATTTACTACTTTGTAAGTGTATCAGAATATTACATAGAGGAGAAGTGTGCCAAGAACAGAACACTGACAGCTAAAAAGACTAACATTCAAGAGGTGAAAAAAGGCAGAGGTATCTACAAATGAGACAGTGGAGAAACCATCAGATAGTTTCAAGAAGAACCAAGAGTGTGGGTATCACAGAAGTCAGGAAAACAGAAAGCAAAATGAATAATTCTAGTAAAATAAGGATTAAAATGACATTTGCAAGAAGACATAACTATCCTAAATATATATGCGTTCAACATTGGAGCACACAAATTCAGAAAACAAGTTCTTCTTGGCCTACAAAAAGACTCAGACAACCACCCAATAATAGTGGGAAACGTCAACACCCCACTGACAGCATTAGACACCCCATCGAGGCAAAAAACTAGCAAAGAAATCCTGGACTTAAACTTGACACTTGACCAATTGTAACTAATAGGCATCTACAGAACACTCCACCCAGTAACCACAGAATATTCATTTTTCTCATCTGTACATGGAACATTATCCAAGATCAACCACATGCTCAGTCATAAAGGAAGTTTCAATAAATTCAAAAACATTGAAATCAAACCAAGCACACACTCAAACCACAGTGCAATAAAAATAGAAATTCATATCAAGGGGATTTCTAAAAACTATGCAAATTCGTGGAAATTAAACAACTTGTTCCTGAATAATTTATGGACGAACATAGAAATTAAAGCAAAAATCAAAAAATTATTTGAAATTGATGAAAATAGGGACAACACTCACCAAACTGCCTGGGATACAGCTAAAGCCGTGTTAAGAGGAAAGCTAACGGTACTAAATGGCTTTATCAAGAAGTTAGAAAGATTTAAAATTAACAATCTAACTTTGCACCTGAAGGAACTAGAAAAAAAAGAGAGCCAACCAACCCCAAGGCCAGTGGAAGAAAAGACATAACAAAATTTAAAGAAGAACTGAATGAAATTGACATGCAAAAATCCATACAAAAGATCTTCTCTCTTTCTTTTGTTAATCTAGCTAGCTGTCTACCTATCTTGTATGTTTGTTTGTTTCTTGAAGGAGCAGCTCTTGGTTTCATTGATCTTTTGTATGAGGTACATTGGGAAAATGAGGCCCAAAATGATTAAATAAATTATTCGTAGACACATAAATAAATTCTTAGTGGCTAAATTGATCTTTCTTCACTGAAAATATGATTTCATACCTAAAAAAACCCTAAAGAACCCACCAAAAGTTTACTAGAACTGATCAAATATTTTAGTAAGGTTTTATATACAAAATCAATGTACAAAAGTCAGTAGTATTTCTAGACACCAATAGTGTCCAGGCTAAGGGTCAAATCAAGAACACAATTCCACTTAAAATAGCCACAAAGAAAATAAAATATCTATAAGTACAGCTAACCAAGGAGATGAAAGATTTCTACAAGGAGAACTATAAAACACTGCTGAAAGAAATCAGAGATGACACAAATAAATGGAAAAACCTCCATGCTCATGGCTTAGATGAATCAATATCACTAAAATGGCCACACTGTCCAAAGTAATTACAGATTCAATGCTATTCCTGTCAAAGTACCCACGTCATTCTTTACAGTATTAGAAAAAACTATTCTAAAATTCATATAGAACCAAAATAGAGCCCAAATAGCCAAAGCAATCCTATGTGAAAACAACAAAGCCAGAGGCATCACAGTTACTTCGTCCTATACTATAAGGCTCTAATAACCAAAACACATGGTGCTTGTATAAAAACACACATAGAACAATGAAACAAGATACAAAATCAGAAGTACAGCTGCACACTTACAATCATCCAATCTTTGACAAGGCCAACAAAAACAAGCAATGGGGAAGGGCTACCTATTCAGTGAATGGTGCTAGGATAACTGGCTAGCCATATGCAGAAGAATAAAACTAGACCCTTACCTCTCAACATATACAAAAATTAACTAACAATGGATTAGAGATTTAAATGTGAAACCCCAAAACTATAAAAATACTAGAAGAAAACCTGGAAAATACCCTTCTTGACCTTAGCCTGGGCAAATAAATTTTGGCTAAGTCCCCAAAAGCAATAGCAACACAAACAAAAATTGACAAGTGGAATCTTAATAGAACTAAAAAGCTTCTGCACAGCAAAAGAAGCTATCAACGGAATAAACGAACAACCTACAGAATGGGAGAAAATATTGCAAACTACATATCTGACAAAGTATAATATCCAGAATCTATAAGGAACTTAAATCAACAAGTAAAAACCAAACAATCCCATTAAAAAATGGTCATGGACATGAACAGATATTTTTCAAAAAAAGGCATACAAATGGCAAACATATTAAAAAAATGCTCATCATCACTAATCACCAGAGAAATGCAAATCAAAACCACAATGAGATATCATCTCACACAAGTCAGAATGGCTATTATTAAAAGTCAGAAAACAACAAATGCTGGTGAGGCTACAGAGAAAAGGGAATGCTTATATACTCTTGGTGGAAATGTAAATTAGTTCAGCCACTGTGAAAAGCAGTTGGGAGATTTCTCAAAGAACTTAAAACAGAGCTACAAGTGACCAAGAAATCCCATTACTGGGTATATACCCAAAGGAAAATAGATCATTATACCAAAAAGATACATGCACTTGTATGTTTATCATCACCCTATTCACAATAGTAAAGATGAGAAATCAACCTAGGTGCTCACCAATGGTGGATTGATGAAGAAAATGGAGCACATATACACCAAGGAATACTATGCAATCATAACAAAGAACAAAATCATGTCCTTTGCAGCAACATGGATGGAGCTGGAGGCCATAAGCCTAAGCGAATTAACACAGGAACAGAAAGTCAAATATTGCATGTTCTCACTTAGAAGTGGAAGCTAAACATTAAGCACCCATGGACATAAACATGGGAACAGCAGACACCGCAGGCTACTTCAGGGAAGAAGGAGAGAGAGAGGGAAATGGGTCAAAAAAACTACCTATTGGTTACTATACTCACTACCTGGGTGCAATATACTCATGTAACAAACCTGCACATGTACCATGTACTCCCTGTTTCTAAAATAAAAGTTGAAAAAAAATGCTACATGCCAAACTGTAAAAATTAAAATAAAATAAATTTACCTTTGATTCAAAGACTATAAAATGTACTGATGATACTAGTGAAAGTACCAGGGTAATCTTTAACAAAATGGGCCACCCAAGTTGACCTCAATATACCCAGTGGCCAACCACCGCAGAGCTTAAACTTTGGTCCCTGGCTCCCCACAACTGGGAAAATAATTGAATCAAATACAATCATCTTGTACAATGTAGGGACTTTATTTTTCCCTTGAGGCTAGCCAAAGAAAAGGAACTCTCCAGGGTAATGTTTAAGAAATGGACTCTCCTATAATGTGAAAAGAGCACTGGACCAGGATTAAAGAGAATTAATGCTCTAACCAATACTAATATTCTTGGTAATCTTAGGCAACCCATTTAAGTTTGTGGACCCTATATTATTTATCTATAAAATCTAGATGGACTAGATAATCTTTAAAAGCCCTTCCTACCATTCCTCTATATGAATATAGGCATGATTACCTACTATGACTTGCTATGACCATAGATACACAAATCTGTTCACTCATAGGATATTCCAAGGACTCCTAGAAGCCATGTGTTCTATGCCCTATTTTGGAAAGTTCTGTTTTTCTTCCAACTAGGAAAGCAATGTGAGAGATAGAATTTTGTGTTTTCCTTCAAGATGAGAAAACTCATTTATAAATTTGCGGCAACGCATATTAATCTCACAGTAAACGCCCACATAGCAACTGGCTTCATACAAAAAATAAAACAAAATAAAGGTCCTCAGAGAAACAGAACCTTTATTAAAAGATTTTTTTTTCTTAAATATCTACATCAAGTTGTTCTCATAGTCTTTAAAATGCCTCTCATTAAATCACAGACCTTGTTCTGGGCCTGAGAGAGTTTTTCATGAGTGGAAATGCAATGTTCTGTCAGCCTTTTGGAAGAAGACCTCAGAGAGTTTTAAATAATTAAAGCATTTACATTTTAGAAGCAGGAAATAAAATGAAAGTCTTTTCAACATATCTTGTTTTTGTAGGCTTATCAGAAGGTAAGGTAGTAAAATAGGACTAGGAAGGTGAAGAGAAGCTAAAGCAGGATACATTGTCAAACAAGTTATCTTAGAAGGTAACTGGTCCTCAATTCCACTGGTAATTGGGAGAGAGTATAGAACACAACTCAGAGTTAAGGTAGCTGAAAAATAGGAAGCTAGAGTATTTATCTTCCAACCCCATCCATCATTGGCTGGGAGCTGCTCCTAGGGGCATGAATTCCACTAGCTTGGTGTCCAGGTCAGGAGAAAGTCATCAAGTGAAGAACTGCAAATGCTTGCAGAAGGAAATGGATCTTAATGACCCAGGAGTGCCGAGAGGATATGGGTGGGGCACAGGCAATATCCCCTACATTTCTCAAATACACTCTACACTTCACAACTCCTATATCTATGTGCATGCTGTTTCCTCTGCCTAAAATGTTTGTTTCTTTCCTCCTTCTTTTATTCCTCCTCCAATATTAAAAGTTAACCTTTTTTCAAAATTTAATCTAAATTGTATATTTTTGTGAAGTGAAGGTTATTTAACAGTTTTTCTTTATGTAAAAGTAGTGTAATAGCTAACATTCACTGAGTTCTTAATAAATACTAAGTACCTTCTAAGGTAAATACTATTAATATCTCCATTATACTGTAACACATGTAATAGCACCTGAGATATTAAAGATAGGTGATAGAGCAAGGATTCAAGACAAGATAGTCTGTCTCTAGAACCCATGCTCGTAAACATGATATCCCAAAGACTTATAGCATGTAGCAAACTGCCCCCAAGAGTTCAGCATCTAGATGGGGACACAGGTTACTTACAAGATAAGGAATATCTAGTAGTTATCAAATAAGTAAAACACATACAAACTTTTCTTTTGTATGAAAGACTAAGGATTAAAGAATCAATATGCATCTATTTGTTCTATAAGGTAAATAAAGAGTTCTGGAAAATAGCATTATTCAAACACAAAATTGTTGTTAATTCTCTAGAAATGATTACAGACCTATTTCTCAGATTAGGAAGCATACTGAGTACTAATACAAAGAAATAAATATGAATTCACATCTAGTCATACTTACAGTGAAACTACAGATATCTTTATTTTAAAGATATCTTTAAAATAACCTGAAAGCAAAAGAAGGTAATGTAAAAAGAACAAGAATTAGACTAACAGCAGGCTTCCCAAAAACAGCTGTAGAGACCAAGGGAAATTGGTCTCTACAAAGACAAAGGGATATTTCAAAGTGCTGAAAGAAAGTAACTATCAACTCATAAATATCTGACCAGCTAAATTCTCATTTAAAAGTGAAAGTAAAAATCAAGATAATTTTAAATTAGAAAAATTGAGAGAATGTTTACCACTAAGGATCTTCTGTGAAAAGATATCAAAAGAAATGTATCCAAAAAGAAGGAAATTGAACACAGAAAGAAGAAATGAAATAGTATGAAGAAAATGAGCAAGGAAATTAGCAAATGTTTTGATAATTTTTTTTTTTTTTTTTTTTTTTTTTTGAGACAGAGTCTCTCTCCATCGCCCAAGGTGGAGTGCAGTGGCGCGATCTCGGCTCACTGCAAGCTCTGCCTCCCGGGTTCACACCATTCTCCTGCCTCAGCCTCTGGAGTAGCTGGGACTACAAGCGCCCGCCACCACGCCCGGCTAATTTTTTGTATTTTTTAGTAGAGACGGGGTTTCACCGTGTTGGCCAGGATGGTCTCCATCTCCTGACCTCGTGATCCGCCCGCCTCGGCCTCCCAAAGTGCTGGGATTACAGGCGTGAGCCACCATGCCCGGCTATGTTTTGATAAATTTAAGCATGCATTGACTACATAAAAATAAACATAATGGCTAATTTGGAGGATCAAAAAATAGTCAGTATTAAAATACTAGACAACAATGGCAAACAAGATGGGGGTGATAACAGTTACAATAATCTAAGTCTAGAATATTCAGAGAGGCTTGATTTATCTCTAACAAATAGAAATGGAAAATAACTTTCAATTTTTGTATGTGTAGGTAAGGAGGGAAGGAAAAAAAGAAACATGGTGAATTTAATAAAATATAAGATGAGGAAGAGAGCAAATAAAAAACCTATAAAACATAAAGAAAAGATAATATGAATTATAAGAGTTAACAACTATATAGTCCTTATATGTGTAAGGTACTGCTCTAAATATTTTACATATATAAAGTCATTCATTCTCCATAACAACCCAATCAAGCACTATGATATTATTATAATTTCCCTTATTTTACAGATGAGAAAAGTAAAGGGAGGTTAGAATTAAAACATAAGTATAGCACCAAAGTCTGTAGTATTAACTAGTATATTATGATGCATCTAGAAGGGAATCTAAATATTAGTAATCAAAACTAATGTAAATTCATTAAATTTATAAGGTAAAGAGAGATTCTTAGGCTATCTATCTATCTATCTAACCAATGACATCAAAGGCTGGATATTTATAAAGACAATAGACAAATCTCAGTCAAGACTATTCATAAAAAGAAGGAATGGGCTAGTAAATAAAAGGTGACATGTAAACAAACTAATATCAAACTATTAGAACTTGTAAGAACTGCAACAAATTTCCTGATTGGATATAAGATAAATGTGTACTATCATCTTTATATGCCATTGCAAATCATTTGAAATGTACTTTTAAAAATGTACTACTTTTGATTCCTAATCCAACTATAAAATGTCTAGAAATAAATATACCAAAATATGCATAAGACTTTGTAGAAGAAAATATTGACATTACTGAAATATTGCTGATGAAGTTTCAGTAAGGTAAAAATGACAATTAGGCCCAAATTAACCAATAAATTCAATTTGATCCTAATAAAATTCCAAAAGGATTATTTTGGTGAAACTCTACAAATGAAGATAAAAATCATTTGCAATGACAACAATATTCAAGACAATTCTGAAGTGCAAAATTCATTTTATCAGATAACAAAGTTCATTTTTTTGCAATGAGATATTTTAATATAGCTTCTCAGCTAATTAAAAAAGTATAAAATATGTTAGTACACAGTTGTGAAAAGCAGTTAATGAACTATTTCTTAAATATATGTACAGAAATCTTGACTGCCAAAAAAATACATACAGTTTTTAATCACAAATAATCAAACATAATTGAAAACCAGTGAGCTATTGCATTCAGCTGTGAATAAAAGGAAAACACTCAAAATTTCTTGTTAAGAGGGTGTTCATTCTCACATGGAAGTGCTGGGTGAGACCAGTCACTGTACAATGCAGCAGAGGAACAAGCTCCCATCTAGTTGGTTTTGATGGAGCATAGCAGCTGTCAGGCTGAATCAAGAACAAGGTCACTATCCATGGGAACAAAGATGCTTGCAAGATGAAGTAGACCTTAAACCAATCCAATCTATGGATTAAGGACATTGAGCATTGGCAAATATTCCCGTTCATGACCATCTGAATTAGTTCTCAGGTAAACACTTTATAATTCCTGAAGAAAAACCAAAGGGCAGATATATCTTTAATGTGGAGCATCTGGGGACATCTTTGGATACTTATACCTCCAAGAAAAGGAAAGTCAAGTGATTTTGAGGTTACTCTCAATTAGCAAGCCAAAGAATCAGGAAAATGGTCTGGAAGAAGCAGGTGTCTACACAGCCTATATGAATCTGGCTCTCTGTCTGTATCGTGCCTCCAAAGTGTAACTGATGCCTTCCCCATGTATGCTGTCAAAATCTCATGCAAGATAAGCTACAAGTGAAGGATCAAAGGTTTAAATGTAAGACCTCAAACTATAAGACTACTAGAAGAAAACCTAGGAAACATCATTCCGGACATGGGTCTTGGGAAAGAATTTATGTCTAAGTCCTCAAAAACATTTGCAATAAAAACAAAAAATGACAAGTGGGGCCTAATTACATTAAAAAGATTCTGCACAGCAAAAGAAACTATTAACAGAGTAAACAGACAACCTACAGAATGGTAGAAAATATTTGCAAACTGTGCATCTGACAAAAGTCTAATATCCAGAATCTATAGGGAACTTAAGAAACAAAAAACAAATAATCCCATTAAGGTCAATGGGCATGAACAGATATTTCTCAAAAGAAGACTTACTTGTAGCCAATAATCATATGAAAAAATGCTCATCATCACTAATCATCAAAGAAATGCAAATCAAAACCACAATGAGACAATATCTTACATCAATCAGAATGGCTATTGTTAAAAAGTCAAAAACAACAGGTGTTGGTGAGGCTGCAGAGAAAAGGGAACACTTACACACTGTTGATGGGAATGTAAATTAGTTCAGCCACTGTGAAAAGCAGTTTGGAGATTTCTCAAAGAACCTAAAACAGAGCTACCAAATGACCCAGCAATCCCATTACTGGGTGTATACCCAAAGGACAATAGATCATTACACCAAAAAGATATACACACTTGCATGTTCATCACAGAACTATTCACAATAGGAAAGTCATGGAATCAACCTAGATGCCCATCAGTGATGGACTGGATAAAGAAAATGTGGTATATATACACCATGAAATACTACACAACGATAAAAAAGAACAAAATCATGTCCTTTGAGGCAATATGGATGGAACTGGAGGCCATAATCCGAGGAGAATTAATGCAGAAACAGAAAACCGAATACTGCATGTTCTCTCTTTGCAGTGGGAGCTAAACACCAGGTACTCATGGACATAAAGATAGCAACAGTAGGAACTGAGGACTGCTAGAGGGGGAAGGGAGGGAGGGGGCAAGGGTTGAAACATTAATTGTTGAATACTATACTCAGTACCTGGGGATGGGAACATTCATGCCCAAACTTCAGCATCATGCAATATACCCAGGTTAGAAACCTGTGCATATACCCCTGAATGTAAAATAAAAGCTGAAAAAAAGTTTATTTTTTAACAAAATTGCAGAACTCAGGTTCCAGTACTAATTTAGCCAGTAAAGATTTATTTATGTGACAATGAATAATCTATTTAATCAACTTGGGCGTCAGTTTTTCCATATACCTCATACAAAGAAGTCTACTTGCTCATGTAGACACTTCAGCTTTTCTGATTACCTAATATAAAGTAGCTCATCCCCAGTAACTTACTATTAGATAGCTTTGTTTATTTTTGTATGACAGCTGCTATCATTGAAATATTATTTTATGACATTATTGCTTGTCTCTCCTTTCCTTCAACCAAGAAAAAAAGTCTTTGTTACCTTGTCAGGTTATTTTTACAACAATACTCACACCTGGAATTGTGCCTGGCACATGATATACTATCAAGAAACATTTTTTAGATGAATTAAATGCCAATTCTCATCTATGTTCTATAATCCCTAACATGGCAAGCTGCGAATCGAATTCCAAAAACTCTGATAATTTTTAAAAGGTGAAAAGTCTGATAAAGGATATCTTAATGTTGCTTTTGGCATAGGCAATAAAAGAGAGAGAGGACAAATAAACAATGGTGGTATATATAAATAAGACAAGCTGTAGACAAACTATTAAAACATTTGTCTAATAAACCCCCAAGAGCCTATCTATGGTGAGGAGAACTTGACTGTCTTCTCCAAATAGTGTACAGAGCATTGATCACTATTCCAGGTTCTGTCACACAACTTCCAGTTTCAAAAAAAATCATATTCATCATGTCAGGATTGCTTCATAATGGATAAAGAAATGGATAGAAAGAAATAGAAAGAAATAATGGATAAAGAAAGCTAAACAATATGCTAGGATTAATAAGCTTTCTTTCTTTTCTTTTCTTTTTTTTTTTTTTTTTTTTTTTTGAGACTGAGTTTCCCTCTTGTTGCCCAGGCTGTGCAACGGTGTGACCTCAGCTCACTGCAACCTCCACCTCCCAGGTTCCGATTCTCCTGCCTCAGTCTTCCTAGTAGCTGGGATTACAGGCAGATGCCATGACACTCAGCTAATTTTTGTACTTTTAGTAGAGAAGGGTTTTCACCATGTTGGTCAAGTCTGGTTTCGAATTCCTGACCTCAGATGATCTGTCTGCCTTGGCCTCCCAAAATGCTGGGATTACAGGCATGAGCCACTGTGCCTGGCCAATTAATAAGCTTTCTTATTCAATAGTTTGAAAGAGAGTTGGGTTCCAACCCCAGTTCCATCAGTTATCAGCCATGCAACATGGACAAGTTATTTAATTTCTCTGAACCCCATTCTCTGATGTATAAAGTACGGTCAATAATAACTATTTCTTAGGGTTAATATGCAATTACATGCAATTACAAATTTATAATTGTAAGGACTCTAGAAATGTGTTTAAGTATCTTGAATGTCAAATACGTTGTCTCCTTTAAGAAACAAAAGGAAAAAAACTGGAAGGATAAAAAATAACTAATCTCAAAATAACAGGTAATACTAATGTCATGTATTTAAAAAATACTGTGACTAGAAAGAAGGAAGAAAGATGATTCTTACTAGGAATGTCCTTTTTAAATGCAAACCTTCCAATTTCCATGAACTATTGCTTGAATAGGCATCCACATGTTCGTGGGATAGGATATAAGTGAAGGGGTCTAAGTGTGAGGCTGTTTTATTTGCATGTATTTTACTCCAGGATACCATCAGAAGGATGGAATGTTATCCTAGGAATGCCCCAAGGCTCTGATTTCTAGATATTCAGTATAATGTGATAATCTCATCTTCAAAATAGTAGTGGGAATGGTAGTATTGACATGGTATGTAGCCCTTCACTTTCAGAGAAAGAGAAAATAGAGTTAGCAGAGAGGAGAGTGCTTTGCTTTAGTGTTTTAGACAGATTGATTCACTCTAGGATCAGTCAAGATGAAAACAAGTCAAACTGAATTCTAATAACCTGTGGATGAAATAAAATAGAGTCCTCAGGCTGAAGTTCCCCAACAGGAGGAGGGAATACCCAGTATTGAAGGTGTCTACCCATTTCCACTGATTCAACAATTATATATTGAGTGCTAAGACAGACACTGTGCTAAAATCTAATGCTGTTTTACCATTCTATGTCTAATTATGCTTTCTATAAATCTACTTTATAAAGTCCTGCCAGATATATCAATTTATTCCATTCTCACCTCTATTTTAAGTGTACTTTCTCCACATTGGTCTAATACATTAATTATTTAAGCCAACCAATTCTAGTAACCTCAGGTCCCATAGACTAAAATGCTTATTTCCTCAACTCAGTAAAGCTACATGTCTCTATCTGGGTTCCCCTTCTCATCTCTGTAGTTAGGAAATTGCCCTCAGCCAAGCACTTTGCTAGACATTAGAAGGCCAAAAATAAGTAAGAATTTCAGGCAGGTCCCTGCCCTCATGGAGATCATAATTTAGTGAGGAAGAAAATCAAAAATAAAAATTTAAATTGACAAATTACCAAAAAGGAAGTGATCCATTTTAGAAAACAAACAAACAAAGGACTGATATAGAACGATGAATTAAGGCCAGGAGCAGTGGCTCACGCTTCTAATAACACCACTTTGGGAGGCCGAGGTGGGCAGATCACAAGGTCAGGAGATTGCGACCATCCTGGCCAACATGGGGAAACCCTGTCTCTACTAAAAATACAAAAATTAGCTGGAAATTAGCTAGGTGTGGTGGTGCACGCCTGCAGTCCCAGCTACTCAGGAGGCTGAGGCAGGAGAATTGCTTGAACCTGGGAGGCAGAGGTTGCAGTGAGCCAAGCTTACACCACTGCACTCCAGCCTGGCGACACAGCTAGACTCCGTCTCAAAAAAAATAAATAAATAAAATAAAAACAATGAATTAGGGGACTTCCTTAGATGGAGTTGTCAGGGAAGATATCTCAGAGAAGGTGATATATAAGGAACAACTTTAAGGATAATGAGGTATCATAGAAAGAATAGGGAAAGTACACTCTAGGAAAGAAATTCATATACAAAGGCCTTAAGGTGACAAACGGCACATGAATAACTTCAGGGAAAACTATATGGTTAGAACATAGTGAAAAACTGGATAATGGTGAGGCAAAGATCTGGTGAGACAGACAAGAGCCAGGTCTTGTGGGGTTTTGCAGGTTGTAGTAAGGAGACTAAATTTTATTCTGAGTGCAAAGGAAGCCATTGAAAATCTAAAATAGGAGAATTATATGATTCAATTTACTTCCTCTAGGACATTACTCTTGCTATTGTATGGAGAATAAATAAGAGAGAGACAAAATTGGAAGATAGGAGATTGGTATGGAATTGTTATAATAATTATATGACAGGTGATAGACTACATTGTTGTCAGTGAAGATGATAATTGAATAGATGTGAGGCGTATCTTAGAAATGAAATTGATAGGACTGTTGAGTTGAATATGGGATGTGAAGGAAAGAGATGACTTGACATGACTCTAGGTTCTTAGCTTGAATAATCCGATGGATGTTTGTGCCATTTACTAAATGTTAAAGACCAAGGGAAGCGCACTTTGAGTGAGGGTGTGCTATGTAAATTTAAGATTTCTGTTTGGTAAATCATTAAGATTGAGATATCTATTAAAGTTTGAAGGAAAATATAAATTAACCAGTAAGATACATAAAACTAGAACTAAGAGATGAATTCTACATTTCTAATTTTAAGAACTAAATTTTGCTCATATCAAAAATACAATTATTGACTTCTGCTTCTGGCCACAAATGAGTAACAGAGAATAAAATCACCCTGAATGAGAAATAACCATAAACTATGCAAAAAATAGTTTTAGACATTGGAAAAAATGGACACCAGGACTTTAATATTGGAGAGAGAAGTAAACAACTGGATGAGCCCTACAATCCTCTGCCTGAGGTAGTTTTAAGACTATAGCACAGCGAGAAAGAAAATAAACAGAGATAAATGGTCTTCTTGAGTTTAGGAAATGAATATCTGAGTTCAGGGAAGATGAAATTTCTAGAATAGGCAGAAACAATTTCCTAAGAACAGAAAGAAATGCAGAGAAAGAGCCTCAAATATCTGAATTGAAGTTTTCTTGAGTCTTTGGCTGAATATTAATCAGCACATGTTATTTTGCTTTTTAGAAAGAAAAAATTGGGGGTGGATGCAGGTAGGGAGAGTGCCTGCAAATATTTGAAAGAATAGTAGCCAAATAACAGGGTAACATGCAACAGGATAGCTATAACACAAATACCAATGCTAACGTGAGACTGGAAATTGTTCAATGTTTCTCCACTAAAAATAGAGAGACCTCACTGAATATATATGGCAAATAATAGAGACAAAAAAAGATCATAGCTTAAAACTGGGAGTGAATTAGATCTACTCTAGAGTCACCCTCAAAGAACTTAGAAATGAGCTCCAAAAGGATCAAACTAATCTGTATCTAACTTCACTTTCTGTAGGAGAAAGAATCTAATACTCTTTAAAGAAAAACACACAAAAACTAACAATCAGTAATATAAAATTTACAATAGCTGACACCCAGTAAAAAATACTAGAGTATGAAGAAGCAGAAAAATCTGGTCCATAACAAGGAGAAAAACTTTTCAAAAGAAACAGACCCAGAAATGACAGAGATTATAAAATTAGCAGGTAAGCACATTTAAAAAGCTATTATACATTACAAACATTAAAATATGTCAAGAAAAACGTGAGCATAATGAAGACAAGTAGGTGAAACGAAAAGAAATAAAACTTTTGGAGATGAAAAAATACACTGAGTTATTTAACAGTAGATTCTATTCTATGAAAGAAAATATTAGAATATTTCAGTAAACTTGAGGACACAATAATAAGATGTATTCAAAATGAAGCACATAGAAAGAAACTACTAAATGAAAAACAAAAAATGATCAGAGATTTCATGACCAGTATGATAATATCAAGTGGCCTAACATAAAAGTAATTTAAGTTTCAGAAAGAGGAAAATTGGGGGGAGGGGGAGATCCAGGTAAGGAGAATGAATACAAATATTTGGAAGAATAATAGCCAAAATGTTCTCAATTTGATGATAACTATAAGCCCATAGATCCAAGGAGCTCAATAAAATCCAAACTGGACAAACACACACACCTGTATACAAATACAAATATACACACACATTTCCAATATGCATCATAATAATATTGCTAAAAAATACAAATAAAAAGAAATTTTTTAAAGTATTCAGAGAAAAAATACACATGGTATCAGAAAACAAAGATATATATCCTATAGATTTATCATCCTAAACTATGCAAATCAAGACAATGGAACAGCATTTTAAACAGCTGCAAGAAAAAAATATGTCAATGTGAAATTCTATATTCAGTGAAAATATCTTTCACAATAAAGGCAAAATAAAAACTTTTTTAGGCAAACCGAAGCTAAGAAAATTTGTCAACAGTAGACCTTTACTACAAAGTGTCTTAAAGGAAGTTCTTCAAGTGAAAGGAAAATGATGCCAGAAAGTAAGTTGGCATCGTTTTCCTTTGCTTGAAGAAATGAAAAAATGCTAAAAATGTAAACATGTAAATATACGATGTTTTTTCCCCTTTATTTAAGTTATTTAAAAGAAAAGTGAACATTTAAGGCAAAATAAATAACAATCATGGAGCATAACACATTCAATGGTAAAACATAATTCAATAAATCAGAGAATTGAAATGAAAGTAAGTCACAATAAATGGTGTGATACTCTATAGATTGTGATCAAAGATGTATATTATAAACCAGAAAGCAACCATAAAAAATAAAATAAAGATACTGTTAATAAGCTAGTAGTGGGATAAAATAAATCATTTAAAAAATGTTCAGTTAATCCAGAAGAAGGCAGTTTAAAAAATTAAAAAAAGAACAGATGGGACACATAGAAAACATGCATAGTAAGATGGCAGACATAAATCCAATCATATCAATAATTGCATTAATGTTGAAAGGTCTAACTTCCAATTAAATAATGAAAATTGTCAAACTGAAAAAAGCAAGACTCAAAATATATGTTGTTTACAAGAAACCCATTTTAGATACAAAGCCAGGAATAACTTAAAAATGAGAGGATGAAAAATACATATATCATGAAATCATCAATATATAGAGAGTTGAAGCAGCTATGTTAATAGCAGAAAAAGAAGCCTTTAGAATAAAGAGTACTTCCAGGTATAAAGAGGGACATTTCATGATAACAGGGTCAATTTATCAAGAATACATAATAATCTTAAATACATATTCAGCAAATAGCAGAGCTTCCAAATACAAGAAAAATTCTCACAGAACTAAAAGGAGAAACAGACAAATGCACAAATACAGCTGGAGATTTTAACACCCCTCTCTCAGTAATTAAAAGAACAAGTAGAAAATCAATACAGATAGAAGAAAATCTCATCCATACTATCAACTCAAACTAATTGGCATTTATAAGAAGACACATTATAGAGTAGTAGAATACACATCTTTTCCTGGTGCATATGGAACATTCACTAAGATTAACTGTATTCTGGGTCATAAAACAATTCTATTCAAAAGAATAGAAATTATACAGAGTATTTTCTCTGACTGCAAGAGAATTTATTAGAAATCAATTACAGAAAGATACTGGAAAATGTCCAGATAGTTGGAAATTAAAGATCACATTTATAAATAACCCTTAGAGTTAGAAATGAAATCTCGAGGGAAATTAGTAAATATTTTAAACTGAAAAACATGATGATTTAGGGGGAGAAATGACTTAAAGTTGTAACTTTTTTCAGGATTCTAGAAATTTGTTGTTTATTATATTGCTATTGTAATCATATTTTTCATTACTATTAATTCCATTGTAATCAGTCCTCCCTAGTTAGAGGCCCTCAGCCCCATCTTCTGGCATCTAAACCAAGTGTGGTGGGACAAGCACCAGATTGGGAATGTATTCTTGACTTTGCCACTGGCCAGTTGGTATGGTCTGATTGTGCCCCCAAAATGTATACATTGAAACTCAGTTGTCAGTGTGATAGTATTAAGACGTAAGGTTTTTAGGAGCTGATTAGGCCATGAGTGCTCCAACCTCATGGCTAGGATGAATACCCCTTATAGAAGAGTCCTTAGAGATCTTCCTGGCGCTTTCATTTCTTCTGCATGTGAGGACACAGCAAGAAAGCAAAAGCCATTACCAGACACTGAATCTTCTAGTATCTTAGACTTCCCAGTCTTTAGAACTGTGAGAAGATTGATTTCTGATCTTTGTAAATTACCCAGTTTGAGGTATTTTATCACAGCAGCACAAACAGACTAAAACAGACTAAAAAGGTACGGTTAGGTAATTTCACCTAACCGTACCTTATTACTTTTCTATGTAACGTGAAGAAGTTGGGTGGAATGTGCTCAACGATAGGTGGCCAACTGGTCACAGATATTCTTAGCACTGAAAGCCCTGTATCCCAGGAATCTGTTCAGTCCTAGAAAACAGATGTTTAGTCTATTTCAGAGAACCTCTCAGCTCTAACACTTCATTATGCAAAACCTTTCACTAATATTTTACATTTAAACATTTTTTCTTTTCCTCTCATCATACTGATTTTGTTCTCTTAGTAGTCTTGAGATAAAGGTCCCTGGACTTTTGACCCGTATAAATGTTGATCCAGTTTCTAAACAACTTCATGCCATTTAACTGACTAAATTCAGGTTAGCCTGGGGCTCCATCTCTATCATTAATTGACTATTTAGAGGACCAAGAGAACTTCAGACTGTTCCTAATTTCTCGGATCCTGTATTGGATGCAAAATATTTCCATGAAACAGATTATTCTATTTTGTCTCTTGGGTTATATATAAGTTACCTCATATATATGGCAGGGTAGCCCAAACTAAAGGCTGTTGGAATCAGTACAACTGATGATTGAGAGCATCAGTCAATTGTATTGCTTTTATTTTCTCAAAGTCTTTGATTCTATCCTTTGAACTCTTTCATAATCTTACCTTGCTATTCCAGTCAGTTGAGGTGGAAAAAAATCAAATTATATCTTGGGAAACCATCTTTTACAGGGAATCATACAAAAAGTAATGTTTTCCAATTACATAATGTGCATAATTATATAATTAAATGTGATACTAACCATTCCTGTCACCCATTGCAAACATACAAGGGGAGGGAGAGGATGACTCTTGTATTGCCTCGAAAGAATTGCCCAGATGACAAGATCTATGGGTTTTGCATTTGATAGCATGAGGTTGGCATGTTACCATGAATTAATTATGTAATAAGCAAACCATTGTAGTTTGTTAGAAGACAATACATTTCTCTTTCAAACATGATACTTCAAAAGGATTAAATAACTATATCTACATAATATATTATAAATCACCTAATGTACATTCCCCACAATTTTTAAAGTTAGAAGGAAAAAAATGAAATAAGTGTCATGGAAGAATATGCAGTGATGATGTATCTTTCTACTTATTACAATTACATTAAGTGGACTTTACTTGTCTCTTTTTCGGATAAAATCTGTGATGTGCTAAAGTCATCAATTAAAACAAAAAAGAAACTACAGTGCTTCCTCTAAAAGCCCCCAATGCAGCAAAGCTTTGGTATGTCGATAATGGAGTTAGAAAAACCTCTGAATATTGTATTATTATATGCATTGGTCCCAAAATAGTGCTAATTTTTATTCTGCAAGGGTACAACTCCTCCAGTTTTTATTTGCAGCTTCCTCTGAACCTAAGACTCAGACATAAATCCATGGAAACTGAGTTGATGACATTTAGAGTGACAGCTCATATGGTATTCATAATTACTACCCTATTTCTAGAGAAAGTCATGTGCACCAGATATCATATTGGTCCTTTATATAAATGCAGTCCTCCTGGCCCTTCCCTCCAATCTACCACATATGCTCAGGCAAGTCTACAGCCCAAAGAACATAGATCAGACTAAATATAAGCCATTTGGCAAGAGAAGGGTCTACCCTCCTCCTGATTTCTAGCACTGGAACACTGTGATTTCCACCTTCAGCTTCAGGATGTCTCTTTTAAAACTATTCCTGTTTCATAATTAGGGGACTTTGTGCAGTACCTTCAAGGATTGCATACAAAGATTTGACACTAGCCTCTCTCTGGCCTTTGTGCTGTAGCATTAAAGAGAGTTTCGGCCACGTCTCGTAGTCAAGTCCCCGCATTTTTACTGAGATCAGGAAGCTGGACCTTGATTCCTGTCTCAATAACCTGTATGGGGTCCTAGCACCCCCCAGGAACTGTCTTCAAGCACCTCTTTTCACCTTTGTGAACTCATCCAGTAAAGGAGCCTGACCATTCCCAGAATGACCTTGCTCATCACCTATGAAGTTCTGGGCTTTTCTTCTGACCTCGTCCTTCATGAAAGAGCAGGAAACCAAGTTGGATACTATTCTGCACAGCTGTGAAATCCAGGGAATGAAGCACAAACTTGACTCAGTGGACAGTGAGAAGCCAAGCTAATTGCTTAAGAAGGAATGCAACACAACGAAAGTGACATTCAGGAAAACAAGTCTGGCAAGAGTAAGAGAAATGACTAAATACAGATAAATCTGCCTTCTGTGCAACGCTTTAGGCATACTACCCTTGCCTTATCATGGATACCAGTTCATATTGCCCCACCTCTCTTACCCTGAAAGTCAATCATAAATAAGGGATTTTTTTGAGAGGGGGGGCACAATTATTCCTATTCTCTATAGATTTTTTCTTTTGCTTTATATTATTTATATCTTTTTAAAAAATCTGCTGCTTTTATGCCTAGAATAATAAAACTGTGATGATACTGTAATAAGGTACACAGAAAATGTCCAGAGTAAAAGTGAAACCAACGCGGGCATTCTCAAACATAAAAGAATTCTTATAAGTGCCTCTCCAAATGTTTGAGTTCCAAAACAATTCACATGGGTTTTGTAGGATGTTTTCCATTTCTTACTTAATCCCAAGTGGGCTTTAAAGAAAAGAACATTTAAGCATTTCTTGTCCCTTCACACTGGAATCAGCCAAATGTGATGTGGAAAGAGCTACTTGATATCCAAAAAACCCTTTCTACTTTTTAATGAGTTTTTTTGGGGGGGGTTTCCTCCTTAAAAAGGGCAATAAGAATTCTAATGCAAACCAACTCAGAATTCTCCAAGTATAACTAGCAACTTAAGCCACAAATATTCAACTCAGTGTGTTTTCTTTGTTTTCTAGTAATGTGTCCCTCTCCCTTGTCCATTCTAAGAGACATTTCATATCCGTGGTATAATTCTCACCCTTAAATATAGGTGTCCATTTTCATGGCTACAGCAGCGATCAGCTAAGCCAAAGCACAATAGGCTTTCAACAGATATTGTTAACAAATCGATGTGGGTGTAGATTTTACCCAAGTTCCAGAATGAAAGCAACAGCCACCGGGGCACCCAGGGTGAAGGGAAGATTGAAATTCATTGAAGAAAGGCCAATTTAAAAAAAAAAAAAGACTGACTTAATGTGTAACAGATAATGTTTTAAGGATCTGTAGAAATCCGACAGAGAAATGAGTTTAAGAAAGGGAGTTTAACAGCTATGCAACATTCTCAGGTGCGTTTCTCTGCCTCTTCCATGCAAGAAGTCTTCAGAATGCTAGGCTATGTGCAAAGTGCTATCTTGGACACTGGGAGGGAGGAAAGGCCATGTACCAAATCATATAGTACAGATGTTCTTTTCTTAAAAGGCTTATGAACATCATAGTAAAAACAAACAGACCTTTTTAGAAGCAAGTAATGGAATTTGAAAACGTGGATTTGAGAACCAGCCCTTATAAACTTACTAGCTGAGTAAGCAGAGTAATTCATTGAACTGCTCAGAAACTCAAGTTGCTTCATTTAGTTAAAATGGATAGTAATATCTGCTTCACAGGGCAGTCTAAGAATGTGTCATTCTAGAGATTGTCATCAATCCCTTTCATACATGTGCCTCTTTTCTCCATTTGGAAAATAGAACATCAAATGGAATATCCAATAGAATATCTGACACAATATTCTTTCCCTAGCATGTTTATTAGTAATGACTAAGTTGACCTAAAAAAACTGACTTAGAAATTATTATATGTGAAACAATTTTTAAAAGAAAGTCATTGTATTACTGAAAGAAATCTGGATACTGGGTGAAAAAAATGCAGTGAAGTCCTGCAGGGAGGCAGGGACAAGACAGAGAAAGTCCAGGTGGGTTTAGTGAAAGCCAGCCTGGCTCCGGGATGCGCAATTACCCTGGAAGGGCTGTTCCAGAGTGGTCATAAACCTACAAATGTCCCTACCTACATCATCCAGATACAGGCTAGGTATATCACCAAGCCTGGTGTACCTGCCTCACTAGACCTGGACTTTTGAATGTTTCTTGGACTAGGGGTTCTCCAAATTGCAAGACAACTTATCCTTCCCAAGACTTCTCTGGGCCAAACTAACACCTTAAACTTCTAGAAAAACAATTCAGTCATTGAGAATGTAGAGTCAGAATCCTTGTAGAAAATAGACGTTCCACTCAAAATGGATAATATAAAGAGAGTTTAATAAAAATAATATATTTTTTAAAGTATGGATCCACTGTAGGGAAACCACAGTGAAGCCAGAGGAGGGAAATAATTGTTGACCTTTAGCCTAAAGGTTTGACGCAGCCCTAAGAGTCCCAGAGGCAAAGAAATCTGTGTGGATAAAGTCTCTTTAAAGGAAGAGCCAGCCTGTAGTAACATCTCCTATTACAGAGAGAGAACCCCGCAGGGGACTAAATACCACCACTCACCCTATCCAACTCTCCTCTTCCATCATATCGCCTGTCATTGCTAAACCCAACTGAAAGCTGGAGGACAAGGGAATCCCTTGGTATAATCTATAGAGGCCAGGGCACAAAATAACATGGACAATGCACCCAGAGGTCAAAGAGAAGATATCCAGCACAGAGGGATTTGTTATGTGCTTACGGTTATGGTTTGAACTATATCCCTTCAAAAAGATACACTGAAGTCTTACTCCCCAGTACCTCAAGATGTGACCTTATTTGGAAATAGGGTCTTTACAGAAGTAATCATGTTAAAATGAGGTCATTATGGCAGGTCCTATCCAATGTGACTGTGTTTTTATAGAAAGTGGAAATTTTGACACAGAGACAGACATGCACAGAGGGAAGACCGTGTGAAGACACACAGGGAGAAGATGATAATAGGACTGGAGTGAGGCATTTGCAGGCCAGGGGATGCCAGGATTGCTGGCAAACACCAAGAGGCAGAAGAAGCCAGGAAGGATTCTCCCTAGAGCTATCAGAGAGACCTTGGCCCTCTTTGCACCTCGATTTCAGACTTCCAGCCTCTAGAACTATAAGAAAATGAATTATCTGTTGTTTTAAGCCATTTGGGTTTTGGTACACTGTTAAGGCAGTCTTAAGAGGCCAACACACTTGCTAAGATGCAACTGCCCTGACTGAGCAGCCTTAATTTCTCAGAGTGGGTTCTGGCTTCAAAATGGACCTTAGAGAAAATGATGTCCAAACCTTTTACTTTACAAATAAGAGAAATAAGACATAAGAGAGGCTTGCTTACAGTCACTCAACTGGTAACCAAGATCAAACCACTGAATCCCCAGAAAGCTTTCTGTCAGCTCTACATCGGCAAGAAGTCAGGGACACGATTCTCAACCTAGCAAAGCACATTGCACAACACTTTGCCACCCACCTAGCATATTATCCACGTTACAGGATTCTCCAGAATAGATGACGAGTGCCATCCTTTGCTGAACTCTCACATCTCTGTAGTACTAGCAGCTTTTAGAGGGGGCTCTCAGCTAACGGAAACAGCTCAGAAATAAAAATTTGTCTCTGTTCTTTCTTAGTGCTAAAGAAAATGTCGAATAACCCTGAGAAAGACCACCACTAACTCTCTAGGACAAAATGTTTTACTTCCTTGTGAATTGGCCATAAAAAGAGTTACCCAAACAATGCTCATTGATTGAAGATTGACTGCCCCACATATCTTGAAGAAATGATAAGAAACTACACAGTCAGCAGTTAAAAGTGTTAGAGAGAATGAGAGAGAGGGTAGACAAGTGCCACCCAGAAGTAAATAGATTTCCTATAGCACTGTGATCTTTCTTATCTAGAGGAAGGTTTTGTTTTTTTGTCAATCAATCCCAGCAGATCTTCTGAGGGCTGACCACACCCTGGACTGGGGAATGCTCGGGAAGGAATAGGGGAAGGAAGAGGGGAGAGGCGATTTCCTGATGGGTCAGGTGCTGGCAAGTGTCTGGACCCTGGGAAAGTCGTGGTGTAGGAATTCCTCTCCTTGGAGAGCAACCAGAGCAGCAGGAACAATGCTGGGAACCGCTGGTGGTGACTCTCAGGTCACGCCTTGAACAGTGCAGTCCATGGGCACCAGGCTAGGACACCGCACCTCCCAAACCCTGGGCAGCGCAGTGTATACTCCCCTCGTTCAGTCCGGCTGCCGACGTGGAGTGCTGTTCTCCTGGCTAGTTCTATTTAAGGGAGACAACTAGCTTCATACAAGATTAACGCATCAGGATAACTAAAAAGGCAAAGTCTGATTAAGACTTTCCTTTAGGTCCCAATAGTCCCAAACGGAGACTACCACTTTCTTGGCTCTTGACTGATTGTTCTCCCAAGGGAAAGGCATATTTTGACTCTCAAAGTGATCCCTTTATGTGCAGTTTCTAATTTGTCTGCAGAGATATAAATACTTTAGATGGCGTCTCTCCTTATAAAGCAACTCAAAAATTATATAACTGTGAATTAAAGGGCCATGTTTCCCTGCTTCTGTGTCCCCATGCCCTTTGAAGACAGTGTGCTGAGGAGGCACAGAGAGACCTTCTGCCTTGGCCAGAGCACCAGTGAAAGTAACACTCATTTAATGGAGGCTATAATAGCCTATTTCTACATCAGTTTTTCTTCTATTTAGAAAAGTTTCTTCTCTCACTATCAAAAGTAAACTATCTGTTAAGAAGTATTTAATTACTATAGGAGTTTCCTTCAGCTAGATCAGTGCAGAGAAAAGCCAAGATAAACCAAGATAAATCCATTTTAAAATGCCTTATTGAAAACCAGATTTCCTACTTCTTCAGAGACTAGCTGGAAAATAACCATTAGGATAATTTACTTGCCTTATTTTCTCTTTCATTCATATGTGAACAGGACACCTAGCTCTTCCTGAGCATTTTAGAAGCCTCCGTGGCCTTCAAATCTGGTGCATTGGTGACCTCTAGAGGACAGAATCTCATTCCAGACTCAATATTAAGGTTAAAGAATCCAGTGCTCTGGGGAGAATGTGAATACATTATCAATATTGCAGCTGCAAAATAGCTTTGGGCTCTCACAGGCACAAGAAGCTTCAAGAAATTATCTTCCTCCAGGTAAAATCTCCAAGGTGTCAAATGATGCATTTTCTTGTAAATGAGAGAAGTTTGTTGTTGATGGAAACTTTTAAAAGATGGATTATTTCCCCTAAGATGTAGCCCGTTTTTTGACAGATTCCCAACTGAATCTGAAACATTAGATTCCCAACTGAATGGGAAACATTAGAGGTTCGCTGAAGTGGATGTCTTTCGCCATCTTTTGCCTACTCCCCACCCCTCAGCATCCTGCCCAATTCTCAACACAAGTATTTGAGAATATCAGAAAAAGGATTCAAAGACTTATTCTGGAACCCCTCTACATTGTCAGGGCTTTGCATTTCTTGGTGTGAGTAAAGTAGCTTGCCATGCTTCACTACATTTTCCTTCACCAGCAGAGCTTTCAACATAGCTGAGAGGGGTTAGAGAGGGGTTAGAGAGGTCCCAGGGCCATAGAGGCTGAGTTAAGGCATGATTGTGCAATGGGCCTCTAATCTCCCATAGCATTTCCAAGAGGTCCTGGGAGAGAATTGCCTTTGCATTCATTCATAGACAGAGCCAAGAGCTTTGAATCGCTTTTACTCTCAGGTAGTAACACAGACTCCATGCTGCTTAATCCATGGAGACAGAAGTCAGACTTACAACTCAACCTGCAATGCAGGGCCATTTAGGACCAGGTCATGGCATCATTGAATAAACATTGTTTTTTAATGTAAAGCTGTTCTACATTCTGGGCACATTTCCTGGTATTTATTATATGTTATCTTTTATTTTCACAGCTGCCCTGCAAAGTGTGTGTTAATCTATTTATTTTACTGATAAGAAACTAAAAGAGCTCACTCAATCAGTGTTACACAACATATAACTAGAAATTTGCTTATATTCCTAAATGTGTGGTATTTCCATTATATCACAAGGTTTCTAACATCAAATGTTTGGGCAGAAAATGAGTGTTTCACCCATGGTTTACACTACTCACTTTACAAATAAAGAGATGGAGGAAAAGAAATAGCATGCCTGAGGCCACACACTTTAGTGGCAGAGTTAGAGTTAATAGCAAGTATTTTAATTTCCATGCCAGGGCTTGGGTCACTATACAAAGTGCATAATGATTTCCTTCTTGCCTTTGCAGGAGCTATAAAAGATGTCTATGAAAGTAGCATAAATACCAGAAAGTAATTCTCCTTTAACATTTCCTCTTCCATTTACCTGACTTTGGTTTTCCACATTAGGGAGCGCTTTCTGAGGAACCCAGGGAATCCTACAAGGCTCCCAACTCTAGCTCCAAGGCCTCCCTCACCATTTTCTCTTTTGTACCATTGTCCTTATTTATATCTATATGGGAAAGAAAATTAGTCTCTGCGGCGCACAAGCAAAAGCCCATTAACACAATGAGAAGAGCAGTAGGCCTTAACACTTAAGACTCAGAGATAGATTATAATAGACATTTGAAAACTAGACAGTTTTCTAGAATTAGACTTCTGTTTTGTCTAAGAATCTATTCATACGACCTCTGGAAAGACCCAGCAATTTCTCAGCAAGTCAGTTTCTGCTCCTAATATATTGTTTAAATTCTATAAAAAGATATTTCTACCTAGTTAAGGCTTACAAATAAATGATAAAACTGTTATATAGCTTAAATCAAACTATTCTACTGACAATTAAATGATGCAATAAGTACTCAAAACTCTACAATGCATTTGTTATACAAGAATGAATATTCAATTTTTGCTTCTATAACTTCTTTCTATGGCCCAATTCTTGATACATCCCCAAGTTAACACTTCTCAGAAATATGCTAGCTCTTTTGAAGCTTTTATCAGTGTAATGTTGTTAGCAGTTCTAGTGAAGATTTAAGTTAAGAGGCTAAAGCTGGTAGCCAAATGGTAGTTTGGGGATTATCTGGGAATTTCAAGGATCTCTGTTAGCACTGTCCCCATAGTATGGTTGATGACAGAGTTTTCAGTGACTCATCTTTGCAGTCAAATTAAGGGGTTTTGGGAACCACCCAGGTCTTCAAGGCCAGTTGTTAAAAAGTAACAAGCTTCCTACATTATTAGAAATCGGGGGCTTGTTATCTTGCCTAAGGAACTGGATAAACTGAATCTTACTCATTTGACATTTAGAAGTCATTATGGAGAATCAGAAAAACTCTCATGTTGGTTGGCTAGTAAGCTGGAGTTTTATTAAGCCTTGTAAAAGTATAAGACAAATAAACATAGAGTATGAAGGGTTGCCCAGTTGTAGGTCTATGATAGTATGAGAGAAGTAGAGTAGACGAGTCGAGAAGTGGAGTTAAAGATAGTATAGAGAGAAGAGAGTTAAAGAATTCTGATTTCTTTCTCTGAGTTTTAATGTCTGACCTGCCTTATTCCAATTTCAAGGTCAGCCAGCAGACTAGCACCACAAACACTAATTAGAAAAGCCCTGTTCAACATTCTCCTCTATCCTTTTGCCATAGTGGAGCAGTTAATAACAGAACTGCAGCAGGGCTCTCAGCTAGTAGTAAATTGAGAACATTTTCATGGGGATTGTGTGCTGCTCAATCTAGTTCTTAACCCAGGAAGGTTGGTTAGTATAACATTATGAAATGCTTTTCAAATGTCAGCTATTATTTCTGCAGTGATCTCTTACTGATGTATGTTTAGGGCTCAACAGACTGTTATCTAATTTCTCACCATTCCCCAAGTTCTGCCACAAACAAGCTGAGGCACATCGAAATCTCCCACACCATGCCATAAAGCAAAGTTAAGCCTTCTCAGCAGATGCCTATTAACAATTAAAGCAAAGTTTGGAAAGAGAGCTTTTAGTTGAGAAATGCTGCAGGCAGTCAAATAGGGAACAGAAGAGAAGCACTTAAAAGTTTTTGATGTAATTGTCTGGATAGATATTAAAAGCAACATATAATACTTATCTAATTTTCTCCGCAGACTGAGAAGGCAAACATGTCTTCCTAGAACGATATGGGAAAAGATAAAGTAAGCAGGAGGAAACAAGGATCTGGCTTACAGATGCAGTACTACTTCTTCATACAGAAGAATATAGAACTGGGAATTTTTCAATCAAGTTGCAGATTGCAAGGAACCTAGAGACCAGAGTACAGAAAGACAAGGTATCAGATAGCTCTGTGATGTCCAGAGGGGTGCAGATTTTCAGTTGGGAGAAGTGCATTTATTGACTTAATTTGTAATATTTTACCATGAGCAAACAGGATGACTTGGCTTACTTTATAGCCCATGAGGCAGAGCACAGACACTCAAATAATGGTAAGCCCTATAAACAGAGATCACAGCTGTTCTGCAAGCTCACAACAAAGCACTCCCTCATCAGAGAAAACATCGCATAAATTTTTAGGCACCTGGACAATCTTGTTAGTGATATCTAATCCTCTTTGAAAATCCAGGCTAAGTCTGTAAGCATTTTAGCAGTTGTCAGCAGTTTAAAAAAAAAAAGGGTGGGGGGCGGGGGGACATTCTGTTTTATTCATAGTGTTCCCAAGCAAGTCCTTTCTGAAAATTTTAGCACTATGTTTAGGGTACGGAAGAGGAATCCCCATGCAAAACCCTCTCCTAGTGTCTTTCCAGTCCAGGGCCCTCACACACAAGTCCTATCTTTGAGATATTCCATTCCTGGAGTCTCATTCTTAGCTCCTCCAAAACTTTGCTGGAGGCCTATTAAGTGCCAGAAACCACATGAGCACTTAGTAAGTAGTATCTCACTTACTTCACACAACTGTTTGTAAAGTACATAATTATTTCCATTATTATTACATTTTGCTGATGAGGAAACAGACTATATGAAGTCAAGCAATAAGTTAATTGTTGGAGATGTGAAGCCAGAAGATCTTGACTTCAAGGTCTGTGCTCAGTGCTGTTAGCCAACCTCTATGCTAAAAGGCTGCCAGAGCCTTTTTTTAAGACCAGTTGTTCTGGTCATACCATTGGGTTTTACTTAGCCAATGTGGCTTGAAAGTACCATGCATCATTCTAGTTCTCGTGAGACTATTAGCACTTTAAAGGCAGGGACAGTGCCAGTACAATGAGTGGCCTGTAGGACACATTCAAGTATTTGTTGTGAATTGTCCCTTGTTCTCAGGAGAAAACATGATGATTTGGAAGTTGTTTACACTTTTGAGTGTGGCTAATCTTAATCAAAATGGCTTATCAGTTTAGACAACTTTTTAAATCTCTCTCAGCCTTAGTGTCCTCAGATATAACACAGGGCATAACCTCAGGCCATTATCTACCTCAGATGTTATTTTGATGATGGAGTAAGTCAGTTATGACAGAAGCCTACACAAAAGAATGGCATATTTCAGGGATTTAATATATGTCTCTTATCTTCCCTGAATGTAATGGTGCACAGACACCATTAGATTTAAATCTTTAAGAGAAAGAGAAGTCAATACCAAATAGTAAAGAGTAATAATCATAAAATAAAAAAAACAAAAGTCCTGCAAAGCTCTGTAAGAAATGCTTTTGCAAGAAGAGTTACTATATCCTCCTAGAAGCATGTTATTTAGCAAACTGAGAAGTACATGTCTAGTAGGAATATCTAGCACTCATTCTGACAGAAGTGATTCACTTTAAATCATATAATCCAGTTGGGAGCTTGTACTAGTCAGAGTTCTCCAGAGAAATAGAACCCATAGGCTGTATAGTCATAACCACATTTTGGTCAATGTCGGACCATATATACAACAGTGGCCCCATAGATTATAATGGAGCTGAGAAATTTCCTATTGTCTAGTGACATCATAGCTGTCATAATGTCATAGCTCAATGCATTACTCATATCTTTATGGTGATGTTGGTGTAAACAACCCTACTGCACTACCAGTCATATAAAAGTATATGGTAGTGTGCTAGGCCTTCACATTCACCACCACTTATTCACTGACTCATCCAGGGCAACTTTTAGTCCACAAGCTTTATTCATGGTAAGTGCTCTGTATAGGTGTACTGTGTTTTATATTTTATACTATACTTTACAGTACCTTTTCTATGTTTCCAGGTGTTTTGATGCACAAATACTTATCATTCTATCACAATTACCTACAATATTCAGGCTATACTATATAGCTTAAATATGTGGTAGGCTACACTATTTTGTTTTGTGTAAGTATACTCTATGATGTTCACGCAATAACAAAATGCCCTAATGATGCATTTCTCAGAGTGCATCCCCATCATTAAGCAATGCATGACTATATGTAGATAAGTATAAAGAGATTTGTTAAGAGGGATTGGCTCAAGTAATTATGGAGGCTGAGAAGTCTCATAATCTCCCACGTGCTAGCTGGAGGCCAAGGAAAGCCAAGCCCGAAGGTCTGAGAACCAGGGACGTAAATGGTGTAAGTCCCAGTGTGTGTCCAAAGGCCAAAGAACTGTAGGGTGGGGGCAATAGTGTAAGTACGGATCCAATTCTGAAGGCCCCAAAATTAGGAATGCTGATATCTGAGGACGGGAGTAGATGGATGTCCCAGCTCCAGAAGAGAGAGAGCAAATTCACTCTTCCTCTGCCTTTCATTCTCTTTGGGCCCTCAATGGATTGGAGGATGACCACTCACATTGATGAGGGCAATCTTGTTTACTGAGTCTACTGATTCAAATGCTAATCTCCAGAAACACTCTCACAGACTCACCTTAAAGTTTTACCAACTATTTGGGGATCCCTTAGCCCAGTTACACTGACACATAAAATTAACCATCACAGAGCTGACTTCAAGAACTCTGAAATTTGTAAATAATTCCTGGAATGTAAGCTGAAGAAGCAGTAGCTATCTAAAAACATTAGTGTGTGTGTAAGATTTTTATAGTAAGTTAATAATCAGTTCAAGCCAATCCAGGTATTTAAAGGAAGCCTCGCACACTCAGACCACCAAAAGGCCATGCTAAACGGAGTCTTAAGAATAATACAGTAGGATGAAAAACATATTTTCAAGTACAGCTTATGGAACAAGAATTTGGAGTGTTCTTGTGTACAGTGGAAATTATTCCAGTTCCAAGTAAGAAAATACCCAACTAGGAATGGCTTAACCAAGTAGGAGATTCTTTCTCTTACACACTACAGTTTGTCAAAACTGAAGTACCGCCAGCTATAAGAGTAATCATTATTGTATGTTTCTAAAGAAACATGCTGCCAAGTAACTATTACACATGCTTCTATATTACTTAGAATTTTTATTATATATAGATGTATTAAACCTGGATCTGTATCATATCACCTATCTGCATACTTTAAAATGAGAAATAAACTGGTTAATGTCTCTAAACTCTTTCAGATTCAGAGTTCAACTCTTCTGATTCATAGTCAACTCAAAATTGCCAATGAGTTTTTCCATTCAATGTTGGTTTCTGTGTCATCAAGAGCATAAATGATGCAACATTTCTTAAAATAGTCCTTTGAAGAAGTAAGCACCACTGGAGCTAAATTCCGAAGCCAACTTTGAAAATAGGTAGCTATCCCCTTTAACAATGCTGCTAAAACCCACCTAATTTACCATCTCCTCTGCCTCCTTTCTCAGTTCTTAAGGATTTAAAGAGTCCTCTGCTATAGTCTCCAAGCCTAATTTTGGAGCTGTTAAAGTGCCAAAATAAATGTATACTTTAAAACTGAATAAAATATTGTAATAAAAAGTCTGAAGACAGGCAGTCCATGATAAATTTAATGTTGATAATAAAAATGGGGCTACTTTTATCTGTTTCATGTGGCTTGTGGTTTTGTGGTCACAAGATGGCTTCCATAACACAAGGCTTCACACCTAAATTCAAAGGAAGGAAAAGAAAAATGACAGAATAGCAGTGGTACAGTTGCCATTTTATCTGGAAAGCAATTTTTTTTCAGAAGCTTCTTAGCAGGATCTTTTCTTTATTGTCCATAACATAGTTATAGAACTTCAAATGCTGCAAAGAAAGCTGAAAAATATAGCCATTGGCAAAGGAGAATGAAGTTTTATGACTATCTTAAACTTACCTCAAATCATGAAATGACTCTGTGTAATTATTCCAGAAAATCAAGGTTCTATTAGTAAGAAAGAAATATGGAATGGTTGTTTGGGTATTTGAGAAGCAACTAGCTATTTATGCTACATTAAAAAAAAAAAAACGAGAGAGTGAGAAATAGAAAAATAATTAACTACTTCTCTTAAATTAGCAGTTGGAGAAAAATCTCTGGTTTTAGACCAGAAAAATAATAATCAGGTTGCTAATAAAGACTGTGGCATTTATAAAAGCCATTTACTTTTTTTAATGATACACAACTCACTAATATACTACCACATTTTAATATTGTAAACTTCAAACTTTTAATTTTAAATAAATTATTCTTATGTGCTTTATCTCCCTTTCCTACCAAATGTTGGATATTTTAAACAAAATATCTGTCTATAATATATCAATGATATTAATCACTTTTTTCTGTTTGGTGTTTTATACATTAGTGCTAATTAGCTGGTATGATTAAAGGATAATATTTTTAAAGTCCCATTTAATAGGAGATTATTTCCTCTTCTGCCATGAATAATGCTATGCATGGGCTAAAGTAGGAAAATTACTGAAAATTACCTTTCTAATGGTCCTAAATATTGAAGTAATCTGCCCAATATGAGGATACTTTTTATTAGTATACTTTACACCATCCTCCTCTTATAAAAACTAATTTGTTAATGGAGAAGACTTAACTTCTCTAACACATTATTCTGAAGAGTTTATTAAATGAATGTATACATTAAAGTAATACTAAATCCTTGATAAACAGCTAATCTCAGCATGTGATGCTGCCTTGTTTGAGAATAATATTGGAACATGAGCATTAAACCCTCTTCTACTTTTTAACTACTATTTAGGAGTAAATCATCACCAAGATGAAAAAGAGTACTTTAGAGGAGAGAAAGGAATCCTTTTATCCTTTTACCTGTGTAGTTCATAATGCACCAGGATTTTGTGTAAACCTGACACGAGAAAACTGTAAACCATCTTGTGAGTTACAGCTAAATGTTGAGGCCAGATGCTTAGGACTCTAGTCATGGCTCCACTACCACCAGCTGTGTGACCTTAGTCACTTACTCTGGGTTTTGTATGGTCAAGCATAGTTCCTACTCCAGGTGGATGCTAAGAAAGTGGCTGGTGTTGGCCAGGCACAGTGGCTCATTCCTGTAATCCCAGCACTTTGGGAGGCCAAAGCAGGCGGATCACCTGAGGTCGGGAGTTCGAGACCAGCCTGGGCCAACATGGAGAAACCCCATCTCTACTAAAAACACAACATTAGCCAGATATGGTGGCGCATGCCTGTAATACCAGCTACTCAGTAGGCTGAGGCAGGAGAATTGCTTGAACCCAGGAGGCGGAGGTGGCGGTGAGCCGAGATCACACCACTGCACTCCAGCCTGGGCAACAAGAGCAAAACTCCATCTCAAAAAAAAAAAAAAAGAAAGTTAAGTGGCTAGTGTTAATTAACATCCAGGTTCCTTCTGAACAAGGCCAAACTTAGAAGATAAGAATATGATTTGGAGATTTCCCAGGAAGCCGATGACTGCAAAACATACCTCATCTGCCATGTGGCAAGTCTTAGAAACCAGCGATTGATGCATATGGTTTAGGTTTAGGTAGGGTTTGCTATAGATCAGAAGATCCCTAAGAACAAAGGTTTATTACTAACCTTTGTAGCTACTCTTCCTGTTTCTAGCAGAGATCTTCTTTTGTTTTAATATATTAGGAACTATTGTTCCTAATAAATATTCATAGAGAGAATTATATTAATTTCATTTAAATGCAAGGAGTCCTTGCATTTGTAGTTATTGTGGGAAGAAAAAGCACCTACCAGGTTCTTTTCCAAAAGGAAAAGGGATGAGAGAGAACGTGAGGATATCTCTCGAATGGGATGAAGAGTAGGAAACTGCTCCCAGAGGGCCTTTGTTGGATTACCGTGGGGACAGATAGAGCATCAACAAAACAGAAGCACCATGATATGTTTTTTTCATAATACAATTTTTTTAGGAAACAATTTTATAGCTTAAAAATCACAACAAAAAATGTAGTCATCATTGGAAAAATCAGAACAATTTAAAATTTTGTAATATATATTTTTAAATTAATTTGAGGAAATGTGTCTTACAACCTTTTCAATGCTTTAGAGCTTCCAAAATTTAATCTGGCCCTGCAGGAAGCAGTGCAGAAGGCTGACAAACACTATCTAACCCAGGCGATCAAGGTTAACATCAACAGTGGTAAGCCACATTGACAGTATGTACCCTTGATATGTGATGAGAATGCCACCTTGTCTCTGTACCCTTTCTTTCAAAAACATCTAACCCCAACTCAGTCATGAGAAAACATCAGACAAATCCCACTCGAGGGACATTCTACAAAATACCTGATCCTGAAAGCTATCAAGGTCATCAAAAACAAGGAAAGTCTGAGAAATTGTCACAACAAGTAGGACTTAAGGAGACATCCTTCCTAAATAAAATATTGTCTCCTGGATGGGATTCTGGAACAGAAAAAGGACACTGTGGAAAAACTTTATAAATGTGAATAAAGTATGGACTTCAGTTAATAATAATATATCAATGCTTATTCATTAATTGCAATAATTGTGCCATACTAACATAAGATGCTATTAACAGGGAAGACTGAGTGTAGGGTATACAAAAACTCTCTGTAGCATCTTCTGAATAATTCTGCAAATCTAAAATATTCCCAAGTAAAAGGCTTATTTTAAAAAATTTGTTTTTTTGTTTTCCATTTCCAACATTGCCCTGCTAGTCACTATCCTTCTGTCCCTGAAAACCTCTTTCTCCTTCCTGTAACATTTCCCGATTGCTTCAGAACTCTGAGGGTTGAAAAAGCAAGAAACACTGCTGGGCCAACCCAAGCAGTTAAATGCACAAGTTCTCCCCAACTTCTCCCCCAAGTACAGCTTGAGGAAATGGTACGTAACCCACCCACAGCTCTGACAGTGCCTGAAACCGTCCTATTAGACAAAAATCTCCCCACTTCTACCTTCTGCTATGAGGCACAAGATGTCTCCGAGGGCAGCTAAAGGAAGTACAGTGTCATCTCTATCATGTCCTGATCACAGACACTTTGCCTGCTCTGTGTCCACAGCCATTCCCATGGCCCTTGGGAAATCCACAGAAGCACACATGCCCACAGAGACAGCCTTAGGCTGATTCTCCATGTACAGAACAAAAACATCTGATGATTGGGGGTTCCTTTGACTGGAATTTTTAATTCTTTGCAAAGGCATAACTTTCAGAGAGGGGTAAAGCACTAGGCTGGAAATAGGGAATTTTGGTTTCTAAGAAACTAAGCATAAAACTCAGGACATGACCTAGGACAATCTATTTTAATATTTCACTGCTTTAGAATTTTCATATGTAAAAAGAGAATAACTGGTAAAATGCGATTGCTCAATCATTTCCGTCATATAAAATTCCATCGAGATCTATTTAAAATCTTTAGCTGAATGACCTTTGGCAAGAAAAAATGATGATCCAAAATGAAGCTACAGCATAGTGTGGTTTTAGTAGTCACTGCTGAAAAGTTCTGTGCAGTCAACAGAAAAATAAATACAAACTGCCAAGTAGCTTAGGGAGAAAAGAGATCTCACTTCATTTAGTCAAGAAAGTTTGCCCAATTTACTCCACAATATCATTAGCTCTTTGTCTGCCTTTGGGCCCCAACGTCCTCTTGCATGTACAATGCCTACGAGTTGCCATATGGACTCTATCCTCCCTTTTAAGAATGCTTATCTTCCTCTATCCTGACTTACTTCTTAGAACAGTAGTGTTCAAACTGAAATGCCCTAGAGTCCTTCAAGATTTCCCAAAAGATATGAAGAAAGAGATATTTTTAGAGTAGTAGATTCTCTGTTTTTCAACTCTCATGTTTACTTTTTCTAAAATTGTGGTGTCTAAGAATGAGCCTGTTATGGAAGTTCAGATTTCCTTTCATCACCCCATTTATAATAGCTCCTCTCCAACTTGAAGAAAGGGCGTAATAAGTGGTACTGGATCGATTGGATATCCATACTGGGGAAAAATATGTTTTGGTCTTGACCTCACAGCATACACAAACATTAATTCTTTATGAATTATAGATTTGAATATAAAAGGTAAAATAATAAATCTCTTGGAGTTAATAAAGCTGTATAGGAGAGCTTTTTCATGACCTTGAGATAGGCAAAGATTTCTTATATAAGATTCAAAAAAGCTTATACTATAAAAGAAAAAAGATAAATTGGACTATATTAAGTATTCTGTTTACAAAAAGTTATCACTAATAGCATGAAAAGGCAACCCATAGGATGAAATATAATATTTTCCAATACTTATATCAAAAAAGTATTATACACAGAATACATTATGAAAACAAAACTTCAACAAATCAGTAAAGCAATTGTAACAACAAAAAAATTGGCAAAAAAAAAAAAAGATTAGACATTTCACAAAAAAAGGAGACCTAAATGGCCAAGTGACATATAAAATAATGATCTACTTCATTGCTCAAAGTGATGCAAATTAAAATCACAATGTGATACCATTATATATCCACTAGAAAGGCTAATAAAAAGAACAAATAATACTAAGTGTAGACAAGAATATGAAGCAACCAGAAACCTTATTCATTGCTGCTGAGTATATACATTGGTGCAACTCTTTTGAAAAACTATCTGGCAGTAAGTACTAAAGCTGTGCTAAAATGCATATTCCATGACCCCATGACCCAGCAATTCTACTACAATGTATATATACATTGTATACATTCAACAGAAAAGTATACATAGATGAAAATAAAACAAATACTAGAATATTCATAATACTAATATTTCTAATGGCCTCAAACTATAAATGTGCCCATCAATAATAGAATGAATAAAGAAATTGTGCTATGCAGTAATAACGGTGAATAATCTACAGATATATGCAAAATACAAGATGAATCTCAATTTCAATAATGTTCAGCAAAGGCGAGCATAATGAATGCTTCCCCTTATATCAATTACCAAAAGAAAAGAAAAAGGCAAATATGGTTGGGGGAGTCAGTGAATAGTGATTAGAAAAGAACAAGTAAAGAGCTCATGGAGTGCTAATAATGTTTTGTTTCTTGTTGATCTGAGAATTTGTTACACTGATGCATTAAGTGGTAAAAATTCATCAAGCTGCACATTATGAAACATACACTTTTCTGTATTTATACACTAATATAAAGTTAAAAAAAAACTCTCACCCTAAAATTACTCCAGGTATAAAAACCTCCAGGAAAAATTTAAATTGTTGGTGTTCAAGTTGAAAAAGTGAACAACGAATGACTGGGTAAAAAACCTTTTGCAATTTAAATAATTCTTAATTATTTGCTTTCAACAAAATTGAAAAAGGACCCAATTGAGTTGTTGGCTGATAAATTATTGCAATAAAATTTGGTGATAAATAGGAATGAATAAATTGAATATTACTATAATATAATTTTATTATATCCACATCTACTTAGATATATATTAACAAAGTTCATCAAAATCTGTACCTACTAAAAAAGAATAAAACAGATTCTGAAGCCAATAAGTACATGAACTAATTGGGAAAAAAAAGCCTATCTCATTGAAAGATAAAATCTTTTTATGTTTGATAATTATTCATGTTTATAACAATTATAATTTTGACCAATTATATTGTCATAATAATTATAATAGCTCATTTCAAATGATCCTTTTAAAAATGCTTAGAGCCTCCCTTTTTAAAAAAAATTAAAAACTTACTCTTTATATATATGTATTATATATGTTGCAGAGAAGTACAATAGTGTTGTCAATATAATATTGTCAAACATAAAATGTATTACATAAAACTAAATTTTGTAGGGGAAGAAAATGAAAATGTAAGCTCAAAGGTAAAAAAGGAATTATGTAAAAATTCTGTTAAAGAAGAACTTTCTAAGGTTTTTAAGTTAATGATGATGGATATCAAATCTCTATGGCATTTGGAGTCTATTGGATACACTTAAAAGTTACATTTTTAAAATAAAATGTCAATATTTACAATTTGCTAGAATTATGACTTTTGCAGATAGTTCATCTTAAAATCTTAAACGTATCATTTTTCAACTTAAAAATGTGCAACCTATATGGTTTTATAAAATTATTTTGGGAATCAGGTCATGCTAGGGAAAGAGACTTGAAGACCACTATTCCAGCAGACATCACAAAAGCAGATTTAACCCTAAAAGCTATTCCATCAAACTGTTAAACAAGAGTATGCTGGGTACACATGATTCACTTACACATAGAACCAGTCATCCCATCTGAAACTACTCAACAGAGGAATTGGCTGGAGGGGACTTTCAAGGTAGAGATGAGCACTGCTTAATGTGTCCTTTAATATGTAAAAGTCCCTAGAATTTCAACTATGTTCCTCTTTCCACACCTCCTGCCCTAGCAGCTGTGCTGGAATCCCTTCCTTACTTCTATAATAGAGCATATCAGCTAAGACCCAAAGCCAATTAGACAACAGGTAACTCCCCATTCTACAGACAGGGGTCAGACACCACTGCAGGATTTGCTAACAAGGTTCTCTTAGCCTTAGTACCTTAGTACATCATCCGTCTGGAAGACATATATATATATATATATATATATATATATATATATATATATATATATATATAACAACTTAAAGAGTGTTACGGTCTGAATGTTTGTGTCCCCTCATAATTCATATGTTGAAACCTAATTCCCAATGTGGTAGTATTAAGAGGTGAGGTTGAGGTTGCCAGGCACTGTGGCTCACGCCTGTAATCCCAGCACTTTGGGAAGCAAGGCGGGTGGATCACCTGAGGTCGGGAGTTCGAGACCAGCCTGACCAACATGGAGGAATCTCATCTCTACTGAAAATACTAAATTAGCCGGGCATGGTGGCATATGCCTGTAATCCCAGCTACTCGGGAGACTGAGGCAGGAGAATCACTTGAACCTGGGAGGCGGAGGTTACGGTAAGCCGAGATTGCACCACTGCACTCCAACCTGGGCAACAACAGCAAAACTCCGTCTCAAAAAAAAAAAAAAAAGAGGTGAGGCTTCTGGGAGGTGATTAGGTCATGAAGGTGGAGCCTTCATGAATGGGATTAGTGTCTTTACAGAAGAGGCTTGAGAGAGACTCTTCATCTATTCCATTATGTGAGCACAGGGAAAAGACACCATCTATCAACCAGAGAGGGAGCCCTCGCCAGTACTAAATCTGCCAGCATCTTGATCTTGGATTTCTCAGCCTTTAGAACTGTAAGCAGTAAAGGTCTATTATTTCTAAGCCATCCAATTTATGGTATTTTGTTATAGCAGCCCAAACAGACTAAGACAAAGAGGTTTATAGAATGCATGAGGATTTCTCAGAAAAAGAGTTGCCGGAGTACACATTGTTTCTTTTCCCCACCTCAAACCCAGTGGAGGAGTCTCTAAAGGAACCATTCATAAAGAGTAGGAGTGTCTACCAGAAAACAAAACTGACACAGACACCCTACACCTTGTCTGATGAACTAAAGGCTTTCTGGAATGCCTATGATGGAACCATTCATAAAGAGTAGGAGTGTCTACCAGAAAATGAAACTGACACACACACCCTACACCTTGTCTGATGAACTAAAGGCTTTCTGGAATTGCCTATGATGGCCAAAGACAGAGGGAGATGCCAATGATGAGTGGTGGGTGGAAGGGATTACATAGCCAGATTTTGGCGAGGAAAGACATCAAGCTTTATCATGGATTAACTGGATGTCACACAGATGGTTGGGCCAGATACAACTTGAAATGGCCCCATCTAAGAGGACCACCTGACAGGACAAAGTGACTCAGCACACAAAGATTGTGTGGGTTGTGCACCAGAAAAACCATGACGGAGGAGAAAACACTCTCAGAGTTGTTGACAATGTGGCAGGCTAAACAGTAGCCCTAAAATATATAAACGTTCAAGTCTCTGGAACCTGTGAATATGTTACCTTAAGTGGCAAAAGGGACTTTGCTGATGTAACTAAGATAAAGATATTGAGATGAGGATATTAACCTGAATTATCCAGGTTGGCCCTAGATAATCTCAAGGATACTTATAAGAAAAAAGAAGAAGACAGGAGGTTCAGAATCAGAGAAGGAGATGTGGGGACAGAAGCAGAGGTCAGAGCAATAGCATTGCTGGGAGAGGGGCATGAGCCAAGGAATGCAGGTGGTCCCTAGGAGCTGGAAGAAGCAAGGTAAGATTCTCTGGAGCCTCCAGAAGCAATGCACTCCTGCCACACCTTGATTTTAGCCCACCGAAATGTGTTTTTTTGACTTCTGACCTTCAGAACTGTAAGATAAATTTGTGTTGTTTTAGGTTTGTGGAAATTTGTTAACAGCAATAGGAAACCAATACAAGTAACAAAGTTTTCTTGTGCTCCCTTCAAGGTGTTAAAGCATGGGAAAGTTAACAGTGAATGGAGATGAGTGTATGACTGCTAAGATATTACATTTTGAGGCATTACAACAAGTTGATCATCTCCAATATTTTCCTGTTCCTTAGAGGCTTGCTTTCATAAACAGTCAAAATGAACAACAATAAAGTTCATACTTACACAGGCCAGACATACCTTGTTCATTTGTCGTTTGAGTATTACTGTTATGATTAATTGGGGAGGGAGAGGGATCCATGAGGGATCAGAATAAGGAAAAACGAGAAATGTCAGTGCTTACAATAAAGCCTAATCTCATGAACTATTGACCTAAAAATTGATGCTCTGCCTCACCTTCTAGCACACACTTAACCCTAGAAAACTGACAAGCCCCCCAAAAAACTTCATTATGAATTCATTCCAAAGGAGCATTACGACTATGAAGTTGTAATTTAATCATAAATGTCTGTCATTTCCAATTAAGATTCAGTTTGTATATTTGGTGAAACAATAAAGGAAAAGCTAAGCTACTTAGAAGTTGTCTAAGCAGTGCTATCGATTATTCTAAGGCTGGCTTCTACTGAGTCCAGATAAGTTTATGAAAAGGAAATGCTCAAATAGATCACCTGGACATCGTGTTTCCATCTGCTACAATCTCTTTTTCACTATTGAAAGGTTTAGTTGAGAGACTGATCTGGGCCTTGAATTTAATATATCAAATTATTGAGGAAAAGCTGCAAGAAAAAAATTATTTCTCAAGGCATTTCACAGAAAGTTTCAAATTGCTAATTCTCTAAGGATCATAGCAAACATGAATATTGTCATGAAAATTTACCATGGAACTATAAAACCTGTATTCTAGACCTTAATTTGCCACTAGTGAGCTGTAAGATTATGGTTGTTTAAAACCTATGAACTTGAGATACTTAATTTGTGAAAAGAGAAATTTTTTATGGTAAGATACAGTATTGATAGCTGTCAACAACACAAAAGGATCTGGAACTTGTCTTTCCTTTATTTCTCATGTGAAAAACTGGAAAAGTAAATCTCTATGGATTAATGAGGATTAAATGAGATAATGCATGTAAAGCATTTATCAGAAAACTTGGCATTCACTACATCTGTCATTCCCAGACTTGTCATTAATAATAACTACCATCTCAATGTCAAGCATCCTATTTCTGCCCACCCCCCTACTGCCTTTGCAGCTAGTACCTCCTGTACCCCAACTCCAACAATTCTTTGATTCTGCCTCAACTCCTTCTCCCCTACTGAGCTTTTATTCTGTGGTCTAATATTGTAAATCATTTTCTTACATACTACTTCAACTTCATTATTTTTCTCTTGCTTTGCTCTTATTTGACAAAAACCTCAGTCCTAGAAGACTCAACTCTACTTACTCCATGTCTCCTCCATGAAGGTGGCCCTGTGGCTAGCAGCAACAACCAATCATGCTATTTGATGTCACTTAAATTCTTCACTATGAAACTGTTACGGGATCCTTGGGGTATCAATTTTCTTCCCAGAAACCTCTGTGGCCAGTGGCACCTTTACAAGAGTTCTTGTCCTGTGCCCAGGAAGAATGAGGTACGCAGACAAGCCATCTCTGCAGCTCTCAGCAGAGAGGGTAGCTCCTCTCTGCAGGTGGTCTGGTCGTCCGGTTGCCTTTCTGCCCTCTTCGTCCTCTGGCTGTCCTCTGGCTGAGCCTAGGGCTTTTACAGACCTCAGAGGGGAGGAAGTGCATGTCCATTGGTCCATGGGCAGCCATGGGCCGGTGAGAAGGTTAAGATTCTTACCTGAGAAGAGGCTCCCCACTCCAGTCTGCAGGACTGGCAGCCCAGCCCCCAGCCTTCAGGTCCTCCCTGGACTGAAGGTGAGGCCTTACTGGAGACCCACCCCCTTCCACCAGGGTGTCTGCCTCCCGTTGCCATTCATGGTCCGGGAGCTCGGCCCAGATCCTGCTCCACAATCGGAACAGGTGCCAGGAAAGTAGAGAGGCCAGGCAGTGGGAGAAAACACCCCAGAGCCTGCCTGGGGGATGGGGGAGTGTCCTTTCTGGAACCTGTGAGGGTGCAGGCTGTAGAGATGCCCGGGTCCTTCCCTGAGAGGGTGGCCGCAGCAGCACCTGGGAGCTCCTGCCCCACCAACTTAGAAGGGGCAGGGCTCCTGCTTGTCCCTGGCTCCTGCTAGCTCTGTGGAACAGGAGGCGCAGGTCTGCAGATGTGGGTCCAGCAGCTGCAGCTACATCCTCACCCGGAGGGGAGGGCAGATACTGCCTTTTCCTGGCCCCCCGGAAAGAGCACAGGGAGGCTCAGATTCCCAGCCACAGTTTCCGCGGCTGTAGCCCCACCCAGGAGGGCGTGGCTCCTGCTTGTTCCATAGAGCAGGCCTGGGTCTGCAGCTGCGATTTGGACAGCTGTAGCGGCACCCGAGGAGCTCCTGCCCCAACTCAGAAGGGTCGGGGCTCCTACTGGCACCATGGAGTGTGCAGCTCCAGCCGGGCCTCCCTGCTGCAGCCAGCATGGCAGCAGCCACTGCCATCAAAATGGCCCTTATTGCTACACACAAATACTGTTATTTTATCTCTTTATTCCCCCACTTTTCTAAGGGATGTTCCATACCTCCTACTAATGTATCAGACTTTCAATATCCCCTCCCCTATTGTTACTTTTAGATGAGATCTTGCTTCTTATTTTATTGAGAAACCATCAGAAGAAAATTTTCACAAGCTCCCATCATCGTATCTAACCACCTGTGTGACTCTTAACCCATAAATTCTGACTTCTTCTTCACTAGTTAGAATAAATTGTTCATGCTTCTCTTTCAGTTACCACCTCCACTTGTGTATTATTACCTACCCTTTCCACCTATTCAAGGACATGGTTCTTCAATTCTTCCTCTGCTTCATCATCAGTTTTTCTTTTCCTAGTAAATTATTCCATTAGGACATAAATATGCCGACATTTCTCCCCATATAAAAAACAAACTGACTTTGGATCCTACAACTACCTTCAAATACCACTCCATTTTCCTGCTTCCCTCCACAGCAAAACTCCTTGAAAGAGTTGTCTCTAGTCACCATCTCTGTTCCCATTTTCTTCTGTGCTCATGCCAATAAAGCTCACACTCACACCATTCCATTCAAGTTTCTCTTATGGAGGCCACCAGTGACTTCTACATGTTTAAATCCAGTGGTCAATTCTAATTCCTCATCTTATTTGATCAGCCCACAGCACTTTCTCTTCCTTAAAACACTTGCTTCACTTCTAAAACACCCCAACTCTTGATTTTCCTCCTACCTTACAAACCACACCCTTTCAGTCTCCTATATGAATATGTTATCAAGTTTGACAATATGAAGTTGTCTATATTTGACTGTTATTGTCTAAATTTCATGTGGTCCAACCTAAATATTAAATATAGAAAACTCTAATTGAACTAACAGCTATAGTTGAACTGGTCTTTGCTTTTTATTAGTTCATTAAAATAAATAGCTTTCTACATTTCCGTGTTTGGAAGTCTCCTCTTCCAAATCTTCCCAGGTGTTCCAATGTCTTCAGACATCTTCACTTTGTTTATATACACTCTCTGGGTGGTCATGGCTGTAATATCTCCAGGATAATCCTCTCCTCTGAATTTCAGATTTATATATCCAACTGCTTACTCAGCGTCTCTGCATGTCTAATATACATTTCAAACTTACTAAGTCCAAACTCAAACTCCTAATCCTTCACTTCAAACTTGCTTCTCATCCCATCTCCCACCTCATAGTAAATGGAAACAACAAACTTATAATCTTCCACCTTAAAAGTCCAGGAGTTAACCTTAGAATCCTTTTTTGTCACGTACCCCACAACCAATCTGTCAGGAAATCTTGATGCTTCTGCCTTCAGGATAGATCGAACATCCTACCAGCTATCATGACCCCTCACAGATCTATCCCTGGTCCAATGTATCATACTATTTCCCCCTGGATTTCTACAAAGCCTCCAAATGATCTCCCTGCCACCACTCTTCCCCCATAGTCTTTCCTCCACAGAGCAGTTGAAGGTTACTATTAAAATGTAAGTCAGATTGTACTTCCTTCTCTTCACAGCCTCCGGAGTCTTCCCATTGGAAGAAAGAACAATGCAAAGTCTTTACAGTGACCTGGAGGCCTGCAGGATTGGAGATCCCCCACCCTCACCTCAACACCTGCCCATGTCATCCGCTTGTTTCTCTTTCAAGCTCTTTGCTCTCCCACACTGGTCTTGCTATTCCTAGAGCACTCCAGACATGTTCTAGCCTCAAGGTTTTGCATTGTTTTCTTTTTCTGACTTCAAAGGACCTTCCCCTGACTATATAATCCACTTCCTTACCTGCTCAAATGTTACCTTATCAGTGAACCCTTCCAAACAATCTTGTTAAAAATTACAACCATCACCCTGTTCAATTTTCTTCATAACACTTGACTATCAGACATAATATATACTTTTTCTTATTTATTTATTATTTGTTTCCCCTCACTACAATGAAAGCTCTATGTGGAAAGGGTGTTTTTGTTTTGTTGTTTGTTTGTTTTTTTGTCTATTTTGTTCATTGCTTAATCTCCAGTGTCTGGAACAGGACCTGGCACCTAATAGGCTCTCAATACACACAGAATTATTTGTTGAAGTAATAAGCATTGAGTACTCAACGAATGTTACATATTAACTGTAAGTTCCTTTCAACTAGATAGTAAAAAGTAAATATTAGTTCAACTATAGCTGTTAGTCCAATTAGTTTTTTTATATTTAATATATTATGTTGAGCCATATGAAATTTGAGTAATAACAATAAAATACAGACAATTGCATATAGTTCAACTTAGTAATGACATCCTAATCTCTACCTCCATGTTCAGACTTAGAGCTTTCCATCTAATTTGATCTTCCCAATTTAGCAAGAGGCATCTATTAGAAGTGCAAGTCTGGCCATGTCAGTCCAGCCTAAACATTCCAATAGCCTACCACTGCTTTTGGGATTCAGATCAAAATGCCTCAACATGACCTAAGGGCCCTCAAAGAGGCTGGAGATTTATCCTACAGATCACCCTCCTTCTTCATCTGGCTTCCAAGCACACCAGCCTTCTATCGCTTCCAGTGGTGCATCGTGTTTCTTCCTGCCAAACACCTTTTCTTCCTCCTAAAACTGTGAGCCACCACCCCCCCATCTCTTTTACCACAAACCACCTTCAACCTTCAATTATATACCTCTTTCTTTTCTCCAGATATCAGCTCAGTTATCAATTCCACAGGTAAGCCCTGTTCACCTGTGTGTTCTTTTTTATGTTTCCCAATTGTTTTACTTTTATTTGTACAATAATTTGATTAATGTCTGTCTTCTCCACCAGATTCTAAGCTCCATAATGGCAGAGTAATGACACTCAGTCTCTTTCTATCCACAGGGCTGGACAGGACTCAAAAAATATTTGTTGAATGAAGGGTAAAAAAATGAATGAATAAGTAAATGATGACTGTAACTCACCCGTCCAATGTGCGTTTCTATTTTATGTTTTAAGCTTGGCTCATAATGCTATTTGGAATAAGGGTCCTAGTAACCGCATCAATATTCAAGGAGACTTGGGGCTCCCTTGGAACCCCAGCAGTCCATGCTTGTTAGTATTTGGCTAAACTGATATGCATAAACTAAAAAAAAATTACTCTATCCTTTAATTCACTTGACTACCTACACAGGAACCACCATTTTATTTACTAACCTTATGCTTTGGCCATTTATTTCCTGAAAGCTTAATTAGGAAATGTTCAATATACTGGCAAGGTTTTTTATGTCTTAACCTATGCTCAACTCTATGTCAGAACTTCTCCAAGCAGAGAAGATTTAGACACAGTTACAAACTCAAATGCCTACAAGAATGAAGCAGAAGTTTTTGTTCATCTTCTCAACATCCTTCTGCCTTTCTGATGGAAGCCCAACTAGGTCCAGATATATACGTTCCTCCAGGTATAATTCAGTTGTTTTTAGTATATTCAAAACGCTGTGCAACCGTCATTATTATCTAATTCCAGAACATTATCATCACTTCAAAAGAAACCCCACACCCATTAGTAGTTGCTCTCTACTTCCTCTTCCCCTAGTCCCTCGCAGCCATTAATCTACTTTCTGTCTCTAGAGATTTGCCTATTCTGGGAATTTCATATAAATGAAATCAAACATGATATTTTGTGACTGGCTTTTTTCACTTAGCATAATGTCTTCAAGATTCATCCATGTCATAATATGTATCAATACTTCATTGCTTCATATTGCCAAATAATAGTCTGGTGTTTGGATACATCACATTTTATTTATCCATTCATGTTCAGTTAATAAACATTCAGACTGTTTCTACATTTTAACTATTTTGTTTAATGCTGCTGCAAACACTTTTGTACACACTTGGTGTGAATAAAAGTTTTACTTCCCTTGGGTAAATACCTAGAAGGGTTTTGGTTTTTACTCTGAGTGAGACTGTACATCACAGAAAGTTTTGAGCAGAGAAATAATTTTGAAAGAACTATCCTGGATTCTATGTTAAGAATAGATTGCAGGCTGGGTGTGGTGGCTCACGCCTGTAATCCCAGCACTTTAGGAGGCCGAGGTGGGCGGATCACAAGGTCAGGGGTTTGAGACCAGCCTGATCAACGTAGTGAAACCCCGCCTCTACTAAACATACAAAAAATTAGCTGGGCATGGTGGCGGGCGCCTGTAATCCCAACTACTCAGGAGGCTGAGGCAGGAGAATTGCTTGAAACCGTAAGGCTGCAGTGAGCTGAGATCACACCACAGCACTCCAGCTTTGGTGACAGAATAAGACTCCATCTCAAAAAAAAAAACAAAAAAAAAAGAATAGACTGTGATTGGAAAACGATGGAATCAAGGGAATCAGTTTGATGCTATTTAAGTGAGCCAGATAAAGATAACTTAGACCAGACATATAGCAGTAGAGGTAGTGAGAGATGATTACATTCTGCAAATATACTGCAGGTGGAGCTAACCAGATTTCCAGATAGGTTGGATGTGGAATGTGAGTGGAAATGAGTAGCCAAGGAAGATTCCAAGGTCTTTGTCCTGAAGAACTCAAAAAGTAGCAGTGCCATTTATTGAAAGGGAAAATATTGGGATAGGAGCAGGACTGAAAGAGAAGATCGAGAGTTTGGGGTTGGTTGTTCAGTAGCTACCCAAGGAGACATTTGGGGTTCATAGTTAGATCTGCAGTTTGGAGAGGGCTGTGTATGAGCTGAAGATACATGTGTTAGAAGTCAGTATATAGGTGGTATATAAAATATAATCATCTCTGATCCTTTTAAACCTGGGTCTCATTCCTTCCTCCACCCCTCCAACCTTCTGTGGGCCCAGCTGCTTGTTTCTCTGGCAAATTCCCCAGCTGTATAAGAAAATGCCCTCAAAGTGTTAGTTCATCTGTTCTTGGGCATAAATGACCACATGGAAGCAAAAATGCTATGACCTCAATGCTCTTGTCTCGTCCAGCATGGAGGATATTTTGTCTTTTCTACAAGCCTTTTTCAATTCCAGCCCTGGTCAGCACTCAGTGTCACTGGCTAGAACCTTCCCTCATTGAATTCTTAACACCTCCAATGGTCCATTAATTCTTTGAGGGCAGACACTGCAGTATGGTCTGTGCTTCAGTCCCCCCTGCTATTGTAACAAATTATCATACTTAGTGACTTAAATCAACAAAAACTTATTTTATAGGTCTGGAGGTTAGGAGCATGAAATCAGTCTCACTGGGCTAAAACTGAGGTATTGGCAGGACTGTTGCTTTCTAGAGGTTCTAAGGAATAATTCATTACCTCGTGTTTTCTAGCTTCTAGACACTACCTGCATTCTTTGGTTCATGGTCTCATTTCTTCATCTTCAAAGCCAACAACTCCAGGCCAATCTTCTTTTCATGCTGCAATCTGTTTTGTTCTCCCTCTTCCGCTTCCTCCTTACTCTAAAAAGCACGCTTGTGATTATATTGGGCCCAGCTGGATAATCCAGGATAATCTTCTTATTTCAGTGTCAGCTGATTGGCAACCTTAATTCATCTGCAACTCTGATTCCCCTTTGCCATACAATCTAACATATTCACCAGTTCCTGGGAATAGAATGTGGACATTTCGGGAAGCCATTTTTTTTCTAACTACCAGAGTCTGAAATCTATAGCTCCTAGCATAATGCTTAGGGCATGCCAGCACTCAAAAAATGCAAATGAATGAATGAATGCATCTCTCAGTGCCTACAGCTGGGTGTTTTCCTCCCAGAAAATAGCCTACTGTTATTAATTATATTCCTGCCTACTCCATTTTTAATGGGATGTAGGGGAAGGAAAAGAGATGGAAAGCAGTTCTGAAGAGTTTTTACATTAGCATCTCCTTGGATATTGGTAGATGAAAGGAATAGAAAACCTTACAGGAATAAAACATTTAATCCTCAATCCTAAAAAAATCTTACCTGTAGCTTACAGTATGAAACCTACTCTTGTCGTAAGGGCATGTGACTCTTAAGCAGTCCAGAGAATTAAAACAGTTTGATCTTCTCATCAACACTAATGTTAAAAATAATTTTAGTGTATTTTGCCAAGGCTCTACATAGGTATCAAAACCAGGCCATCAAAGCAGTGAGAGCCAACCAGCAAAATTTCTTGATCTCTCTATCCTTGTAGAACTCTGCCTTTCCCCATTACACTTTATTTTTTTATTATTTCTTTGTTACCCCTAATTAGTTCATGAGCTTCATACAAATAGCCCCTCAGCTCATTTGCCAAACTCATTATTGTGACTCTAGACTTGGTGCATAGTAGATATTTCCCAGTCAGTGAATGACTTTGCTAAATTACTACTCACAATGTACACATGGAATCACAGGCAGCTTTCTCATCATCAATGCTTTCATCTTGAGATCTTGGAGACTCAACTTTCTTTATGGTTCACTTAGGACATTTCTGAATATTTCCATTTCACTCATTCTTCAGATATTGACCTCTCAATTGTCTTGAAAAGACAGTTATTTGCCAATTAAGTCAGCAAACTGTTCTATGCCCCATATAATGAAATAAGAACATTGCATATTACCACTGTGATTGTGTTACTGGCAAAGTCATGGAAGTAGAAATTTCCCTTCTCTGTAACTTGAGGTTGAGTCTTCACAAAAGAAACATTTGTGGGTGTCATATGAGAACATGTTGTAAGCACAAGTTATAAATTGGGTTCATTTGATTTTGAGTCAGTTTTTTAAATCTAACTCCCTTGAATTTGTGAGTAATCTTGTGCAATTATTAAGAATATGATTCATTCTGAAAATCAATTGCAAATACTTTGTACTTTCAAAGATGAGCTGTTTGTCATGATAGAAAACTAATTTTTCAAGCAGTGGTTTATAGAACCACAGAATTTCCTCAGAATTGTTGGGAATACTATTTATGGGAAACATGTAAAGTGTTTTATCAAATCCCACCCCAACATGGCATGAAGAGCTTTGGTTCCAGGACATGAAAAAAAAATTGTTTTAAAATTTCAAGGTGCAGGCCAGGCATGGTGGCTCATGCATGCAATCCCAGCACTTTGGGAGGCTGAGAGGCAAGATGATCACTGGGACTCAGGAGTTTGAGACTAGCCCGGCCAATGTGGTAAAATACCGTCTCTACTAAAAATACAAAAATTATTGGGGGTGTGGTGGTGCATGCCTGTTGTTCTAGCTATTTGGGAGGCTGAGGCAAGAGAATCGCTTGAACCCAGGAGGTGAAGGTTGCAGTGAGCCGAGATGTGCCATTGCACTCCAACCTGGGAGACAAGAGTGAGACTCCGTCTCAAAAAATAAATAAATAAAATTTAAAAATAAATTTAAAAAAATTAAAGGTGCAGAGCACATTAAAAGGAAAGAATATATTTAGTGGACGTGAACTGTCTTACTGGCAAATACTGCTTATCACTTCAGGACAGTTCACCAGGTAGCTTAGAATAAAAAGATTCTAAGTGTTGGAGATGAAACAGTAAAGAACAAAAATAGCAGACATACATTTCTGCTCTCACAGTTATAACCTAGCAGAGAACAAAAGACAAAAAATAAACAATAAAAATCTATTATGTGATAAAGTAGAAAGCAATAAGCACTAGGGAAAAATCAGAGAAGAGAGATAGAAAAGGCTGAAAGAGTTCATTCCCTTTTATTGCAGAGTAGCATTTCACCATATGGGTACCCCTCAGTTTGTTTATCCATTTACCCAAGGAAGGACATTTGGGGTTGTTTCCAATTTGGGGCTATTACAGTACAAATAAAGCTTTTACGAACATTTGTGAACAGGCTTTTGTGTGGATATAAGTTTTAATTGCACTAGAATAAATACCCTGGGGTCAATTACTGAGTCATATGGTAAGTATATGTATAAACTTGTCAAAAATACTGCCAAACTGTTTTCAGGGTGGCTGTTCCATTTTACATTCACACCACCAATGAATGAAAGATCAGTTGCTCTGAATCTTTGCTGGAACTTAGTATTGCCAGTACTTTTTATCTTAGTCATTCTAATAGGTATGTAGTAGTATTTTGTTGTGGCATTAATTAGCCAATTCCTAATGACTGATAATGTTAAACCTTTTCACGGGCCATCTATACATCCTCATTGGTAAAGTGTCGTTCAAGTGTTTTTGCCCATCTTCTAATTGAGTTATTATTGAGTTCAGATAGCTTTTTAAAATATATTCTGGATACAAGTTCTCTGTCACATAATATAATTGGGAAATATTTCTCCCCATCTTTCACTTGCCCTTTCATTCTTCAAACAGGATCTTTTTCAGAGCAAAAGTTTTTTAATTTGTATAAAGTCCAATTTATTTAATTTGTATAAAGTCCAATTAATTTAATTTATTTTTTAATGAATCATGTTTTTGGTATCATGTCTAAGAACTCTTTGATTAACTCTGGGTCATGAAAGTTTTCTCCTATTTTTTTCCTAAAAGTTTTATAGATTTACATGTTGCATTTAGGTCTCTGATCAATTTTGAGTTAATTATTACATACAATGTAGGTTTTAAGTTGAGGCTCATTATTGTGCCAGTGAATACCCAATGTTTCTAATGTCATCTTTTGAGAAGACCACCCATTCTTCATTGAATTGCTTTTGCATCTCTTGGTCATACTTACGTAGTTCTATTTCTAGACTTTCAATTTTCTTCCATATCACATTGTGTTTCAATTATTGAATTTCTTATTTCTCTGTTTCTCACTGGACTTGAAAGTAGGATTGTGTTTTTCTCAATTCTGTTTCCAGGGCGTTTAGCACAATGTCTGGCCCACAGTAAATACAGAGTGAATAAAAGTTTATTAAGTGAATAAAAGAAATTTGGCTCTTTGGGCTTTTATATGTGATGATTCAGCTAATCAGCTTACATTTTTGAGATGAAATAAAAAAATTTGCTCTGACTTATTCGTTATCTTCTTTAGTATTTATTCAGTGTTCATCTGTTCACATCATTTCATAGCTTTTTGAATCAATCAAGACAGTACTAGATTTTGTATAATATGTATACAGACGAACATACTCTTAAGAAAAATACAATGTGAGATATGGTCCTTTTTCTTAAGGAAATTGCATCTTACAGTATAGCATAGTAGTGGCAAGCAGGAACTTCATGGCCAAGCAAAACTGAGATGCATCCTACATAGCCACTTACTAGCTTTGTGACCTTGGACAGGATATTTAATTTTTAAAGCCTTAAGTAACCAGTTGGGCCACTTGTGATGACAACAGCATATATTTTGTAGGGATGTTGCAAAGATTTAATCCAATAAGGGCACAGTGCCCTCCTAGCCTTTAATAAAGCCTTAATAAATGCCAGTCTCCATTACTTATTTCCATGTATTAAGTCTAAATAGAAATCTTTCTCACAGATAATATTGCTGTAGCCAAAGTAGAGTTCTTTGAGGAAGACTTGACTGGGTTCCAGCAAAATGAATTAAGAAAACATCCCTGTAACATGTTGCAGCCTAAGTCAAAATTACAAATTTATTTCAAAACCACTTTATGGTCAATGGCACTTCTGGGTTCTAGCTAAATTACGAAATCTGATATAAAAAGCATGGAAAATTTTCAAATCAACAGTAAGTTCGTTTTTCAGAATTGCATCAGTAGACACAGAAGTATTCACCCAATAAAAAGAAGTTGCTAACTTGGCAGGCTGCAATTTGATTACAGAGGACTGGCCATCCTAAAAAGTTAAATAAAACTTTCTTCTGCTCTCAAGAAACCATTTATGCTTTGCAACAAAATGGTCCTTTTTTTTTTTTTTTTTTTTTTTTTTTTTAGATGGAGTTTTGCTCTTGTTGCCCAGGCTAGAGTGCAGGGTGCAATCTTGGCTCACTGCAACCTCTGCCTCCTGGGTTCATGAGATTCTTCTACCTCAGCCTCTTGAGTAGCTGAGATTACAGGCGCACACCACGACACCCAGATAAATTTTGTATTTTTAGTAGAGACGAGATTTTATCATGTTGGCCAGGCTGGTCTTGAACTCCTAACCTCAGGTGATCCTCCCGCCTCGGCCTCCCAAAGTGCTGGGATTACAGGTGTGAGTCACCACGCCCAGCCTGGAATGGTACTTTTAAGGAAATGACACCCTTCGCAATCTTTAATCCCATCTCTTTACACATCCTAATGGGCTGTAATTTTCTATTGTTCTGTGCTTCCTGTGAAGACATTACTCTAAGTGCCAATTATAAACAAACAAATAAATAAATCTTCAAAGTTTTAAAATATTTTTCACCCCTCATGAACATCCAGTATGTTCATTATTTCTGTACTTCCAGAGTTAGTAATGGATGAAGTGACAGTGAAATAGAGTTCTGGCGCTTCAAAGTTCTAATTACAATGCAGTTGTGATAGGCAAGGAGGGCGGGGAAGTGCTAGGAGAACGGCAGGTCCCTGGTGAGGGCTCCACCCCCGGGCCTGTGCCCACGGACCTAGGTGAGGACAGGTACTCCTGCCTTGGAATCCAAATAAATGTTGCATTTCCCAAGACCACCCTGGCCCGCCATGCCCCATTCTGTGTCTACAAACCCCCGCAGAGACCTTAACAGGCCGACACACAAGTGGCTGGACTTTGAGAGGACGTCTAGGGGAGCATGCTGGTGGAAGAGCACACCGACAGACGCCAGCAGGCCATCCACCAGCAGAACAACTCGAGTTTGGCTGGGGCAGTGGGAAGAGAGCCCAGGCCACGGAGCAGCCCGGCTCCAGGGTAAAACCATCTGCCTACCAGCTCCCCCATCTGCTGAGACCTACTTCCACTCAATAAAACCTTGCAATCACTCTCCAAGACCACTTGTGATCCGATTCTTCCGGTATACCTAGGCAAGAACCTGGGATACAGAAAGCCCTCTGTCCTTGCAACAAGGTATTGTCTAATTGCGCTGGTTAACACAAGCCGCCTATAGATGGCAAAACTAAAAAAGCACCCTGTAACACACTCCCACTGGGGCTTCAGGAGCTGTAAACATCCACCCCTAGACGCTGCCGTGGGGTCAGAGCCCCAGAGCCTCCCTGTCTGTATGCTCCCCTAGAGCAGCGGGGCACTGAAGAAGCGAGCCACTTCCCTTCTCACAAGTCCTGCGAGGGGAACAAGGGAACGTTTCCCATTTCTGTTGGAGGTGGTGGGTGAGTTGGAGAGAGCAGCAACTCTCTGCTAGCTTCTGAGAACTGCTGTTCGTAAGCAGTTGAGATGTGCGTTTTCTGACCCCAGGTTTTCCACTGTAAAGCCAGTAAGCATGTTCAAACATTGCACCTTTTAGTTAACAAAATTCTCATTTCCAAACTACATGTTTTGAGTGACATTTTTGCACACACAACTTTTAACACTCACTGGAGACCACATAGGTGTATTGGCTGCTGATTACCTGAAGATATCACCCTCAGTAAACTGTGGTCGAAGCTGAGACAAGTTTGTTGCTTACTGGAATAAGGAAGACCATTCCCTTGACAGTGTCTCAATAGCATCTGGGAGGGTGAGCAGGCAAAGACCTTCATGAGGTCTGGGGGTCTGATTTAAGGTGAGTCTTTCACTGGTGGAAGTATGGGGAGGGTACTTGGTTGGGATTGGGCAAAGGTCATGACAATGTTGTAAGACAGATGAAACAAGGTGAGATTTTGAATGGAGTCTTGAGTAGCAGTCAGTTGTATGGTGAGCCATTGAGACAGCTGGCATACTGAGAAGGGATAATGAGGCTAGCTGAGAGGTCTATTCAGAAAAAAAAAAAAGGATTTTCCAGAAGTTCCAGAAATAAGGAATATTTCCTGAATAATTAAGAATAAAGTTATTCTTAATTTAATCTTCCTAGGCAAGAATTTCTTGGAATAATAAAGTCATATTATTAAAATGACTGAGCTCTGTGGTTGCAGCTGGTTTTTGTTTTCATGAGAGTGACACACATATGATTTTGAAACTCTCTGCCTCCTGGTTTCACCATTGGCACCTTCTGCTTCAAGAGCATTATTTTGTTGATTCTTTTCTTTAGGCTGAGGCAATGATATCTCCAGGATTCTTCTCTTTAAATATGATTTCTATTGAGAGAGGTAGAAAAGTATATTGTTAAGATTGTGAAAAATTAATCAGAAATTATGAAATCATAACCCTTCAGGGTCCTGAAAAGAAGTGTAGAGGTAAGATTTTCAATGAAGAAGGAAGGGATGGGGAGCCAGCTGCCTGACTGGATGGAGCTCCAGCATTGCCCCAGGAGCATGGGCTGCTGCTCTCAAGCATGCTGTGGGCTAAGATGCATGACAACTGACGTGGGTTAGAATATGGGTACCGGGAGATGAACTCAAAGGAAGAGGCCTCTGGGGACCTCACCTCTTTTTTCTCTAAGAAATACTTTGTGACTCCTTTTGAATTATTCTCTAAAGTCATCTCTCCTCTCCTTATAAAAGTATCTGGGGTTTCCCCACTAAAGGGTCTCAAGTGAACTGTGAGCTCATGTACACACCAACTATTTTCACTGTAGTGGAATTTTGGAGTACACACTACATGACATTAAGTTAATTAAATATCCACGCAAACCCATTTGGATAACTTAACTCAGCTTTACTTTTATTCTGTCTTTTCTACATTGTCATTGTTATTTTTCAACTTTACTTTCCTTCTAGTCAGAAGTCTTTTCTTAAATTCCTTGTTTCTTCTATATAGTACTTTCTCTTTTACATAAGATCCATTTTTTGTCTTCATTTTTCTCTTTCTTTAATTCCTCCAGTGATATATGTCACTGAAGGAATATATATATGTTTAAGTGTGCATGCGTGTGTGTGTGTATATACATTTTCTAATATAGCCCTAGGTCACCTTCCTTAAATTCCAGATGGAACTCTTTTACAGCTACTGTTCTCCAGATTAAGTCCTTTGGCAAGACTTTTCTCCCCATTGTGCTTCCAGCACAACTCCACTCACATTGATAAAGGCTCAAAGTGATACCCCCCAATCTCCACCCCACACCTTCCTCTATCTCAACTGGGAATTCTCTTCCTTTTAAAAAGATGTTAAGAATCAGTCTCTCAAATTTTGCCTTTCTCATTTTGTTCCCCTCTTTCTCATTCCCTTTTGAATTCACTATTCTCTCAAAGTTTTTATTCTCTTTTGATTTTTATAAATACCTTCTCACCTACCACAACCACTAACCCCATCCAGTAACAGCGACACATTTGGTTGCCAGAGCTTTCTTCTATTAGCATGTAAAAAAACAAAAACAAAAACAAAAACCACTTTAATTTGCACGGTGAATGTTCATTTCATCTTCCTAGGCAAGAATTTATTGGAATAGTAAAGTCATATTAATAAAGGGAAAGTGACCTATGTGGTTACAGCTGATTTGCTTTTCATTAGAGTGACACATGTGATTTTGTAACCTCTCTGCCTCCCAATCTCTCTGCCTAGATGACTTTCCTAAAATTATTAATAACCTTAAAATATGTACCTGAGATACATATATATATATAATCATTTGTATTAAGACAAAGAGTAGGTTAAGAAATGAAGTAAATAGAAATTTTATTCTTCTTGTTATTTTGCTTCATGAGAAATGTATCCCAAGAAGGAGAAATTAGGAGAAAGGTAAGAAGGGCCAGGCTATGAGAGGCCTTGGGGGACCATGTTAAGAGTGTAGGGATTTAACCTAAAGTCAATGGGAAGCCATTAAAATGTTTTTACTTGAGGAGTTGAGGATGACAATTTGTAATTTGAAAAGCCATAGGGTTGCACATCAATTAGAAGAGGTCAAGAGTGAATGTAGGGAGGAAAACTAAAGGGCTATTCCAATAGTCAAAGTGAGAGAAAATGGTAGCTTGGTTTCCAGTGGTGGCTGGGAGGGTAGAAAGAAGCCAAAGATAAGAGATAATAAGCAGATGTTAAACAAATTGTATATCGAATGTGGAGGAGAGGGAGGTGTGAAGGTGGATTCATAGGTTTCTGACTTACAAAACACACAAATGGAAGGCAGCACCACTCACTAAGATAGGAAACACTAGAACTGCACTGTCCAATATGCTAGATACCAGCCACAAGTGGTTATTTTAGTTTAAATTTATGAAAATTAAATATAATTTATTATTCAGTTCTTCGGTAATAGTCTCATTCCAAACGCTAATTAGCCACACAGAGCTAGTAGCTACCAAAATGGCCAATGCAAATCTAGAGTATTTCCATTACTGCTGAAATTATTGAACTATGCTGTAATAGAAGAAAACTAGGTAACACTGATGGCCAAGAGCTGTCACTCTGGTTACTTACTATTTTAAGGTTCTTTTACTTATGATTATACCTAATGCCAAGAAACTCACATCTATGCCTTTCAGCTAAACACAACAACTCATTTTTGTATGCTGCTTTCCATAAGCCCTTTGCCCCAAATGCAGAGTAGGGTCATGCTCAATAATGTCACTCATATGGAACTTAGTCAGTACATATTATTTGCAAGCAAGAGAAGTAAAGGTTTATTAAGTGGGTTGTAGGTCCCCAAGGATGTTAAGCACTTTAGTTTGGGTTTTTTCAAGAGCACACCCCAAGAAAAGAATGTGGGTGAAAATCATTTATTTTGGAGGTGATCCAGGAAGCACAAGAAGGGAGTAGGAAAGTAAGAGAGGAAATGGTAGAAAGCCAATGAAAGGCATTTTAATGAGTGGCTATTTCTATGAGCACCTGAGGTCTCTGTCTACTGGGGACTTTTGAGAGAATATGATGAACGCAACTCAAAATTCTCCTTCCAACTGGTGAGAAAGCTGGGATGTTTATTCACCAACTTTGATTCCTTATTGATGAAGAGTCTGTTCCTGGGGTGTTAAATGCCCAACCCTACCAGCCTTCCTGATGTACTGCTGAGCCTACCTTTGGGCATAAGGAAGCCCTCAAACAGAAAGACAAAGGAAGTCATGGGCATATATAGGAACTCTCTGCAAATGACTTCGGGTGGATGAGAAAGTGTGGAACAGGCACCAGTAGCCTCTGCTCTTCAATTTCATACTTTTCCAGAATGGAAAAGCATTCCATTAGCATTTGCATTAGTGGGCTGGTAACTATCTAAAGGCAGTCTCATCCCAGAATTACTGTAAGCCAACAAAAAACACAGAGGAATTTTCCCAGAGTTTCCTCCAGCTAGAGGCAGATATGACAGGGATAATTGTTAATCCAGTTTCAGTTGTTTTGAAACATCCAAGTGGAGATACCATGCAGACCCTCAATATACAAGACTGGGGCTCAAATCAAAGATCTGTAAGTCATCTATGCATATGTATATTTGAAACCATGGATACGAATGATATTTTATTTTTTTCTTTTTGAGACAGAGACTCGCCCTGTCACTCAGGCTGGAGTGCAGTGGCATGATCACAGCTCACTGCAGCCTCCACCTCCAAGGCTTAGTTGATCATCCTGTCACAGCCTCAGAAGCCTCTCTTATAAGGGCATTAATCCCATTCATAAGGGCAGAGCCTTCATGACTTAATCACTTCCCAAAAGTCCTCATGTCTTATTAGCATCACCTTAAAGTTTAAGTTCCAACATATGAATTTCAGAGGGACATATACATGCAAATCATAGCAGCCTAAGGAGAAGAGAAGAAGCAGAAAGGAAGCTGCTAGACAGAAAGTAAAACAACAAGGGCAGCTCTGGGTCAGTGCGGCCAGGGAAGGGAGTGTTTCAAGTTCTTCACAGACTTAAACCAACAGAAGAACATCACAGCAAAATTCGTACTACATGGCCCTTAAATATGGGCGATGAGTTAGCAGTAACTTACTCACCGTAACTGAAGTCTCCTAAAGCATAAATTGAGGTCTGTGTAGTTTTCTCTGTTCACAGGCTAAAATGAAACACATGAAATTGAGCCCAAATTTTATATTGGGATGCTTCTAATATTAATGCAAATTCGGAGTTGACAGAGTAATTGCAGAAAATTAGGGGTTTTGTTCCTAAAGAGAGCTAACAAATGGAAGTATCAAGTAATCCACCAGATCTGTGTACACGGTGTTCTCTGAATATTTTTCCACAAAACACTTTAAATATAACAATTTAAACTTCAATTTAAACTTTACTATCCTTTAGAAAATTTGATAAAAGTATAATGGAAGTAACAGTGTGGTGGAGAAAATGATTATTTGAGATTCTTCCTCAAGTGTTTACAATAAAAAATAAATTAGATCAAGCATGAGTCAGATGAAACAAATTATAAACAATCAGCTAAATTAAATGAATACTAGGAAAGAATAACTCCTAGATATAATAAAACCTGCAATCCTAGGCAGCCCACACACAGGAGGAAGCTTCTGAGAGATTTGCAAAGTCAATTAGAAACAAAAGCTTTCTGTATTTATACAGTGGGTAGAATATACATCATGAGACCTTTAATAGAGTGTTCCAGTCAGTTACTTCTAAGATATCTCTGTGCTGTGTGGCACTGAGTGAAGATACTTCTTGTGGCCCTCATTGAAATAAGTGTGTGTTTGTGTATGTGTATGTGCATGTGTGTGTGTATGTAAGAAAGGAGGAGAAAGAGTGACAGAGAAAGAGAGAGCGAAAAAAACAAGAGAAATCAATGTACTAAGTAACAAGAACAGGTACACCAACCACATCTATTCTACTCGGCACTAAGATATGGGAGATAGTTAGAGGTAAATAATGCAGTTTCTTCAGAGTTTTAATAATGTCAGATTTTAGACAACAAATGAATGAAACACATCAAAGAAGGAAAAACAGAAACAAAAAGCACACAAACAAATACACTGCAAATGACAGCACATGATGCCTTTGTTCATAGAAAGCTGGAAGTAGTTGATAGAACACTAATACAGAGTCCAGAGTAAGGTGGTGAAGTTTAGAATAGCTTCTCACACTCTAATGTACATATGAATCTTCTAGAGATCTCAAAAAATGTGGATTCTAATCCAGTGGGTGTAGAGTGGGCCCTGAGATTGTGATGTCTAATAAGCCCAGGTATTGCCAATGCTGCTGATTTTTGAACCACATTTTGAGTAGCAAGGTTGGCACAAGAGCTAGAAGTGAAAGTTTGCTACCAATCAGGGTGAAAGTCTACAGTAGCTGTCTGAGTTATAAACTAGAAGACTCAAGGCCAACATAGCAGGATGAGAATAAGGAAGAATAAGAATAAGCCACCACATGCAGATGGCTAGGGACAGGATGGTGTGTCCAAGCACAAGCAGCAGGGTTGTCATAGAGAACATCTCCTCATAGGTGTGTGGAGGGATCTTGAGTAGCAGCCTAGAATATGAGGCACCTTTAAGAGCTCAAGTGTATACACAGTAGAGATGTAATGTGGACCTGAAAGGCTGGATGGAGGCAGGACAAGCAGAGTGCAGTTATCCCTTACATAGATAATAACTGAGGCCACTGAGACTCTAGAACATTTAGACTCAAACAAACTCACTCATCTTTGGAACATGGTCTGCTTGGGATAAATGTAGACTTACAGAAGTAAGTAAAGGCTGCCCTGCTTACTGGAATGGACCCAGTGCATTCTACCAGTGGACACTCACAGTAACAAAATAAAGGAAATAGGTACCTTGCTTATTTATCAGCAGAAGATGTCCCTTGGCCATAGTTAGAGGCTCTTTGTAATACTGACATTTTAATCCTCTTTTTATTCTGCTAAATCTGTGTTTTTAAACAGTTTTTCTTATTGCTATGAAAAAGTACAGTGCCTTTTAAAAATGATTTTGTATTTTTGGTCTCCCACCACCAGAATGGCAGCCTATAGTAAGACGACTGTTTCACCACTGTAGCATCAGCAACTAGATTGCCTGGTGGATAATTAGAGCTCCATAAACACTAGAAGTAAACAAATGAAGAAAGAGAGTGCTTCCTCCCTTACCCCCTACTTACCACCAGGACACACCAAGGCCTCCAGTGTGTTTCCTCATGATAGTGCATCTCCCAGCAGAAGCCCTCAACACCTTTTCTCTCCCCACTCTTTCCACCTCCTCTTCTCCATCCCACTCTGAAGAAGCACAGTACTGGTAACTATGAGAAAAATATGTGAGTGTATTCCCCTCTTCCTTGTTTCCAATATCATTTGTGCCCCTTCACAAAACAGTTGAGAAATTGAGTTTGATTTTATAGTTAATGTATACATTTAATGTACTACTTCTTTTTTACCTTGAAAAACATAGTAAATTTTATGTGCATCATACTTGCGTCTAGGGTCTCTTTGAATTGAAAAAATATGATACAAACATATAGTTTGATGTTAAATAAATGTTTTGCCACCCATGGGAAACAATGTCAGGTGCTGGTCATTTGGAGTTTTTTTATGTGAAGGACCAGAGAAGCCAAGTTCCCAAGGCTCTGGTGCTGTGCTATCTCTTCCCTCTGGACTCTGTCCTAGGCAGCTGAAGTGCTAACATGGACCCCTGTGCTGCAATGAGAGGGCTTCGCCTGGAGAGCAGAGATCAGCTCTGTTCTAGGAATCCTGGTTTATTTTTTTCTCCTTTCCTTTGGCTTATCTTTCCTTGCACTGGAATGCTAGGAAAGGAAGAACTTTGATACTAGCTTCGAGGTAACCAATATGCTCAGCTTGACTGATCTAGGAAAAATGAGACTTTTATGTGGTCCAGTCCTTCTCACCAAGAGGCTAGACTAAGATTTGAGGCAAAAGCCTTATAGTAATAGCACACATTTCCTTTGCCTTCTCCTCTATGCAGGTACTTTAGGAACTTCACTAAGAAGGGGAGAAATTTTGACAGAATAAGATTAAACTGTTTGAAGCTTAGGTCCTGTTTCTTTTTTAATCTGAAGAGCAGAGAAATTATAAGATAGTCACAAAGTCTGAAAACATAAACAAATGTAGCTAACAAGTAGTTTATTGCTATTACATTATTTTAGATGACATGATCAATAACATGTTTTCAGACTTTATAGCCACACCCTGTCCTTATAATAAGGCCTTCTGATGTTCTCACTTATAAGTGGGAGCTAAACACTGCATACTTGTGGATATAACGATGGCAATAATAACCACTAGGAACTATTAGAGGGGGGAAGGAGGGAGGGGTAATAGGGTTGAAATCTAACCATTGCGCACTATGCTCACAACCTGGGTGATGGTATCAATCAAACCCAAAACCTCAGCATCACACAATATACCCATGTAACAAATGTGCACACGTACCCTCTGAATTTAAATTAAAAGTGGAAATTATAATTTTTTAAAATGCCTTCTGCATAATCGGCTTCTTTAAGACCCATTAGGTCAGAGGCATCAAATGCATAGGTTACTATTTGCTATGGTCCAAATGTTTGTGTGTATCCTAAACTCATATGTTTAAATATTAACCCCCAATGTGATAATTTTAAGTGACAGGACCTTTGTAAGGTGACTGGTTCATGACAGCAGAGTCCTCATGAATGGAATTAGTGCCCTTAAAAAAGAAGCCTGAAGGAGGTAGCCCCTTCTGTCATAGGAGGAGACAAAAAGAAGATGCCGCCTGTGAACAAGAATCTAACCGAATCTGTTAGCACCTTGATCTTGGACTTTCCTGCCTCCAGAACTGTAAGAAATAAATTTCCATTGTTTATAAGACACTCAACTTATGGTATTTTGTTATAACAGCCAAAACAGAGTAAGACATTGCAGCTTGAGCCAACTAAGACACTATTTAACACCCCTTTGACAAACGTTTCACTTGTCCAATCTTTGCTTCACATCCCTGCACATGTTCTAAACAATGACATTAAATAAAAATGCTACTGAGGTACAAGCTTTAAATTCTGAAATAACATTGAACATAGTAAATGATTTTATTGCTATTAGGTTATCTTGAAACCCTAAAATGTAACAACTACAAGATTTTGCTGGAGATAGGATTGCCAAATAAAACATAGGACACTTGGGTAATTTTGAATTTCAGATAAGCAAATACTTTTTTAGTGTAAGTATGTGCCAGGTAATACATTTTTAAATAATACCATTGGTCACTGTAGTAAGGGCAAGAAAATATGGTGAATCATATCCTGGCTTTTAAAGGCATCCACTCAGAAATGACACCCATCAATTACACTGACATTTCATTGCCAAAACAAGTCAAATGGCCATGGCCAACCTCAAAAAAGTAGATAATTGTGATCCTAACTGGAAGGAAAGAAACTGGAATATATAGGTAGAGAGCCCTAATGGCAACCACACACACACAACATTTTAATTCACATTTTATAAGAATAATTACAAATTAAAAGATGAGCATCAATCAAACACATTAGAATGGTTGCTTATGGGAGTAAGGAGGAAGGAAATGAAAGTGGAAATTAGGCTAAAAGTGAAGGAATAAACAAACAAGAAATAAGAGAAGGCATTATTACTGTCAGTGTACAGGTAGGTATACTGGGAATCAAGTTTTTAATGTGTCATCATGACCCCAACCAATACTTAAACAAGAGCTCAAACTTAAGTATTCTGACTCCACATCCCATTCTCTGTCCCCTAAATTTCCAGGTCTCAGGGTTACACGCTATGATGGATAAATATAATTGTTTTACATTGATAATAGCTTCCTATCCACATGATAATTTGAATAGGATGTGTCGAGACCCCACATACCTAAGATAAAGCTTATCTTATTTCTTTTTGATAAGCAGCATTAATAACATTGTGGAAAAAGCAAGAAGTTAGGAGTCAAATGAACCTGCATTCAAATCCCAGCCTTGTCAAGTAACAGTCTTATGACTTTTGACATGCGATGTTAATCCCTGTAAGTATCAATGTCCTCCTTTGCAAACCTTCGTAAATCCAGGATAATAATGCCTAACTTAAAGGCGCCACATAAAGATTAAATAAGAAAAGGACACATCACAGAGCCTGGCATTTAAATATTTTAAACTTTAACTATGGCTTTTTATTGCCCCAAAGTTTATAATTTACACTGAGCTGATAATCTGTGTTCTTCTGCTTTAGCCTATTTGTGATTCATTTGGTATTTCCTCTATGTCTGTCACACTATTACTAGTAAAAGCTTACTTTAGCTAGTTACTTCGTTACTTAGGATGTTCACTGCAAATGTAATGAGCAAAAGTGAAAATCAGTCACTGGGGCCTTCAGCTTGATATTTAAGCTTCATAGCACCACTGTAAAGACTGTAGTAAGTAAAACACCCTGTGATGTTTCTTAAAGTTGAGGCAAAAGCCAAATGATAGGTGAATAATTTCTTAAGCTACTAAGCTTTCATTTAATTTGTCCATAGGAATCCCACCCAATTCATTCATCCAGCATAATGAATAAAGGTTTCTTCTTCCTGTTTGCATGAATGTGACCCAGTGACCATCAATATATTTTAAAGGATCAAAGAAAGCTTTAAAGAAAGAAACAGTCCTTAAAAATGATTATTTCCTGTTTTTCATTATCATTTTACTGCTTGTTTAAGCATCTCCAAATGACATATGATTACATTTTATATGATTTTGAAATTTGAGCTAATGTAAATGGTGTCATATTATGTATATTCTGTGACTTGTTTTATTTATTTGACAGTGTGTTTCTGAGAGTCAGTCATGTGCGTGTATGAAGTGACCATTTATTCTATTTTGCTACTCTATGGTTTTCCATTTATAAGTACACCAGGACTCATCTTCCATGCTCCACCTGCAGAGTACTGAGTGCCCTTGAGTAGGAGGAAGGCCACGCAATGAAGCAGAGGCCCAGAGGGAGGGAGATGGGCTATGCAGGACACATTTGCCGTGTCTAAGCTGACGTGATGATCATTTTGTTATTACTTATACTGTGTCTAGTCTTCTGTATTTATAAAACACAGAAGAAATATTTTATAATTTCAAAATCAGGGGAAGGATAGAATGTTGCTCTTTGTTATGTGACCCAAAATACATGGCCCTTTCATCAAGGAAAAAGCTTCACTTTACATTGGCATTAATGACACTGGAATTTGGGTTTGTTTTCTTTATTTTTTTCCTTTTAAAAAGTGACCCAAGGTACAGGGAATTAGTTCCTTTTGACTTCTTATGTCATCCCAACCAAATGTGAGACTTAACGTGTGAAAGTCACCTGAAGCACGTGGCATCTAAAAACTATTGGTTTTTTAAAATATATGTTTTAATAGACAAATAATTGTATATATTCATGGGGTATAGTGAGATGTTTTGATATATGTACATGTTATTCATCAATGAGTATCATTGATATAAAAGTAGGTGCCCAATAAAGACTGGAATATAGTAGACATACAAAACATTGGTAAAGCACTCTCACAGACAAAAAGCTGCATATCAAAATGGGAAGCCATGTATCAGAATAACAGGAGAGAAATGGTTGATATAGGCAGACACATAGGGGAAAATATTTATTCATTCAATCAATCATTAAATATAAATCAAGCATGTACTATGTGCCAAAACCTGAGCTAGATGCTGAGGTCACAAAGGTAAATTTGACCCAGGCTCTGCCCTCAATCAGTTTACAATCTAATGCTTACGCTACTACAGTATTTTGCAAATATTTCCACTACAGAAGTCATTGCATCATATTGAATAGGCTGTTTGTCTGGAAACAGTTGCATCTTCAGGGTAGGGCATGCATCTTACTGCTCAATGTCTAGGGTGACTGGTGCAGATAAGGTCTCAGTAAATGTGTATTGAGTGAATCACAAATGAATACTGGATTGCCCCAGAAATCTATAACTTATGGTTGCCTTCTATAGTTTTTCTTTCTTGTAAGATCCCTTAATTTTAGATTTTGCCTTCAGAACCTAAAAATCTTCAAGGCAAAGTTCTCACCCTCAAATCTCATATCCCCAATGCACTACTCTGGCCCTACACACACATGCGTGCACACACACACACATAACCACAGGGAAAAATTTTTTTAATTGCAATAATGACCATTTAGAGCCATTAATGAAAAACTGGAGTTTAACAATGGAATCTCAGAAAACATCCTGGGGAATTATTTGCTTCACTGTCTCACTCTAAAAGACAGCCTACTGGCCCAGCATTCTTGAACACAGAAACCTGAGAGCTCTAACAGAGACTCTGCGTCTTTACTCACTGCACAAATTGACTTGGATAGTGCAACAGACAGATGACCTTTGTACAGTTGAGAAGATCAAAAAATTAGCAAGAAGGGCAGCAGCCTAGAGAAAGCAAAGCAAGGAGAAGGATTTTGAGACCCAGGCTAGAATGTAGCACTGTTGAACAAAAGACAATAAAAAGGTTGGAAAATTGAGTGTGCCGCCTTGTCAAATAATATGACAAATGAGAAAGGAGAAAACAAAGCCTAGGATTCTAATGGTTTAGGATCTCATAGAATACAGAGAAGGTTGACTGATGGGAGTAGAACAGGGAAAAGTTTTTGGGGCAAGAGAGAAGCACCTCTGTATTTACAGATTTTCTCTTGGCTGTTTGTATCCTGATTTATTCACCTTCATCAGCCCTTCCCGTGGGGTCAGCATTGAGCTGTAGGACTGATAAATATGACCTGGATATAAAGATCAGCTGTTTACTATTACTCTTTAGAAGATTTGGTCATCTGAAAATTCCAAGCAATCTAAGAATTTCTGTAGTCAGCAGTCAAAGACCTTAATTAACTGCCCTAATTTCTAGTTTCCAATCCCTGTTGGTCAAAACCCCAGACCTCAGTCTCTGGCCTTCAGTAATAAATTTCTGATATATCAAGATTTTATTTAGATTAATCTTTTTCATTTTAAGTTGATGTCAGTGAATTTGGATATAAGTATTAAGGAACATAATTTAGCATAAATACCCCTGAACTATCAGTAAATGGTTCATCATGTCTCTGTTTATAGGAATGTTTCCAATCCAACTGCTTTATTGACTCTGGGAACAGAAACTGTTTCTTCTACTCTCTTATATATCTGTACATGTCTTTAAGTCTGGCTGAGAGAAGAGTTGGTGCCTAGTAAACATGTTCTGATTTATATTAAAAGAACAGATCCTACTTTTCTCATTAGGTCATCAGAGGATATGTTAAAGCATTGCTTACTCTAGGTATAAGAGGTACAAGAGGTAACTTTAAAACTTATCTTTCTCCTTGTTTAACCCAAGAAAGACTTATCAGACTGTAACTAGTGCAAGTCATGTAGAGAAGCTTTGCCCTGAGCTGGTACACTGCCTCTTAATGGTTTCCAAATAGCCACATCCACAGGACCCCCAAAATAGATCACTGAATCAAACTCGTAGGAGTTGTTATGTAGAATGAACGAATGCATGTTCAAGCAGAGGCTTGGTTTTCTCTCCTTTTCTACTTCTGAATGTGATCTGAATACAGTTCTTAAGTCTAACTTCCTCAGAAGCTTTTTCTATTAGTCAAATTATTTGTTTTTTCTTTATTTATCAAGTACATATTAACTGAACTCCTCAAACATGCCAGGCCCTGAGAAAAGATGTTACAGTTGCTTTCATCCTCAAAATGGAGTTAGAAAAAAAAATGACTTAGGCTATTTCAAAGCATCACGATTAGGATTATGTTAGAAGAAAGCAAAAAGCACCACGCATGCACTTGCAGGGCACCAGCTGGTAGGGAGGTGGTGGACGGTGTCCAGGAAGGCTGTTGTAAGTCCCTGTCACTGTCACTTTGCACTGCCACTAGCCTTTTAGAAATTATTTTGATACTTCATCTGGTTTTGGAAGTAAGTGCTAAAATCTGTTTGGGAATTCATAGCTGAAAGCAGTTGGCAACAGGGCTTTGGAACAAGGCCGGGAAATCACAGCACATCTCTCCTCTTCCTTTGTCAATAGGCTACACAAAGGAGCACTTACAAAACAGTCCTATAAATCACATGTTCTTATGTCTCTAATTGATAATTCATGTGGAATCCAATTGCAGTCAAGTTTGATTCCTTTGTTCTCTTACCTGCAAACATATATCAAAGGATTAATGGCCTTAAAATGGATCTAGGTGCAAAAAAGTCCTGGAAAAATATCTTTGTCTCTCCCTAAATCCCTTCCCTTACTATCTTAAGGGGGCCCCTTTCTTCCTCTTTCTTCTCGTGAACAGATAAATGTCCCTGTGAGATTCGAATTTCCTTTGCCTAGTGAATTACAAAGGGATGAACCTTGAAATGAAGATGTGTCATAGATCACCTGAGCTATGGCATTAAAGAGAAAAGTCAACTTTTAAAAGGAATGAGTGGGATTAAAAAAAGAAAGAAGAAAGGAATTACAGTGTTTCAGGCAGACATCAGATACTTCTCAGGAAAATAGGCATGGAGTTAGTAATCAAAGCTTGAATTTTAACTTTTAAGAGTCTTTTTTGACATAGTGTCTCCCATTCAATCTCAAATAGCTCTAATTAACCGAATGTCGATACTAAAATTTGACTAAATATACCTTGGTCTCCACATCTCTAGACAGCATTCCTGAGAACCACCTACAATTTGAATGGAGTCAAGGAGAGAGAGATACTATGAGAGAACACAATAGGACTGCTTTTTTAAAACATCATCACAAGATGAAAATCAGCCAGGCCTAAAAGAACAATTTTAATATTCCCACTGCCAGGAGAAGAGTTGGTCACTATTTGGTTATTGGGAAAAAAATCCCTAATTCCAAAGGGCTGACTGTAGAGTCTGACCAAGTCTGACCTCTGATTCATCCACCAAACACACAAACCATGAAAAGAAAAACAAGTTTCCATCTTCTGTTACAGAAAAGGGCTCCGGATCCAGACCCCAATAGAGGGTTCTTGGATCTTGTGCAAGAAAGAGTTTAGGGTGAGTCCATACGGTAAAGTGAGAGCAAATTTATTAAGAAAGTAAAGGAATAAAAGAATGGCTACTCCATAGACAGAGCAGCCCTGAGGGCGGCTGGTTGACCATTTTTATGGTTATTTCTTGATGATATGCTAAACAAGGGGTGGATTATTCATGCCTCTCCTTTTTAGAACATATAGGGTAACTTCCTGATGTTGCCATGGCATTTGTAAACTGTCATGGCGCTGGTGGGAGTGTAGCAGTGAGGATGACCAGAGGTACTTCTCCTGGCCATTGTGATTTTGCTGGGTTTTAGCCAGCTTCTTACTGCAACCTGTTTTATCAGCAAGGTCTTTATGACCTGTATCTTGTGCCGACCTCCTATCTCATCCTGTGACTCAGAATGCCTTAACCGTCTGGAATGCAGCCCAGTAGGTTTCAGCCTTATTTTACCCAGCTCCTATTCAAGATGGAGTTGCTCTACTTCACACACCTCTGACACTTCCATTGACTGGGCGATAGGCAACACTTTTCTTTTTCTACAGTAAAAACATGACTTGAAAATGTAAGGATATGTCAGTTCCTTCTCTCGAGGTTGCTGCCAGGCCATACCACAGGTTCTGCTGAACACATTTGTTCATGATCTGCTTACGAGTTTCAAAGTTGGGGAGTCATTTTAAAAAATCATCTGTAATTTACATGCTTTGCCGACATTCCAGAAGGTGTTTTTTTTTCCAGTTAAGAACCATTTTGTCCTTTAGGGCGGTCTCTGAGGGGAGTTTGCTCTGGGTGTTTGTAGCACAGTGCAACTCTGCTATAGTTTCAGAAATCATGGATTGTTTTTCTTCTTGATACGTATCTATAATGACATTTTACTATTTTGCTCTTGATTCAAGGCTATAGCTATTCAATTAAATCTTGAAGTCCCACTTTTATTATCTAAATTTTGGCAACCACAAAAAAACTTCTCTCTACTCACTGTAACCTCCATAGGAAATATAATGCAGAGAATTTATACTTACATGGGAGTCCATGAACAATTAGAGTCTTTCCAACATTTCACCCGAGCATTTCTCCAATAAATTAGTAAAGCTGCCACCCCTTGCCTTCCCTACTGATTTTGGTGAAATTGGAGAGAAAAATTGAGCTCTGCTTTGCACTGGTACCGATCTTTAGCCTCACTTTAATGTCGACAGATGTTTTAGAAGTGCATTCTCCAAGTTGTTAGGAAAATCCTTTTCCCTGAACGCCTGCTGGCAAGTTAAAATTGAACAGTATTCTTTGTCTCTTTCCAATTTAAGTAACAAGTAAAATAACTGTTTTTGTGTCTGGCAGGAATAATTCATCTTCATCACTTCACAAAGAACTCTATCCTTGAACAGCCTGCAGTATGACTATATTGCCAGCAGAAGGGAAACAAGTCAAAGAGCAAAGCAGAAATGTTCCTAGGAAAGATTGCTACTTTTCTATCAAAAATGTGCAATGGCAGAGGTCTCATGAAATGAAAAATACAAATGGTCTAAAAATAAGTAAACACTATCTATCATGCTAAGCCTTTGTGTATCATCCTGCTCAGAGCAAGTAAAATGTAAAATCAATGCTATTGTTGGAATAGGGAAAAATCTCTTGCAGGTGTTGATGAAAACAGAAAGTCCTCTCTGTCTTTCCACTTACCCACCTTAAGTCTCTAAAGTGTCACCTTGATGAAAGCTAAAGGGAAAAACAAGATACAAAAATAACTCAAAAATTGCCACCCTCCACCTGCATCAGTCATTTGGGAAGAAAAGAAAGTGGGAGACTGAAAAAAAAAAACAGATTAAATAGCACAAGATAAACTGAACCCCAGAAAAATGGGAATGTGGAAATAGAGGTATGCTTTGAATTAAAACAAAAGGGAGACTCTGCCCAGATGAAACCAAAAGGTCATCAGTTTAGAGTAGGATTTTTGGTTTCATGATATGTGGCCTAAAATAATGATTATAGTAAAAGCCATATTCAGAAAAATTGTTTATATGAATTTCTTCTGATGGCAGTAGGATTATACTGTGACACTAGACTGATTCTGCAACTTATTCAGTAAACATGGATTAAGCTGTGACACCAAAAGAAATCAAAGGGGCATATGCCAGGCCCTGTGCTAGGCACTAGAAATACAAAGGTGAGTAAGAGAAAGACACCACCCTGAAGAGCCAGCCATTGGGAAAGGAGGAATTCTGAAGTCCGGTAAGCTGATTATATAATATTTCAAAAGAATTATCTAAAGCAGTGGCTCCTCAACTTTAATGTCCATAAGAATCATTTGTGGATCCTGTTAAAAGGGGATCCTGTTATTCAGAAGATGGTGACAAGATCCCCAATGGTGTTGATGTTACGTTGTTGGGCTACATGTTGGGAAGCAAGCCCTAACTCACAATTGATTTCAGCTTTTTCTCCAGTGAGCTCTTTTAGCACATACCCTAATGGCATAGGAATCCAGGAGGGCATTTATTTGACTGTGCTGTGTGTGCTACCCGGGAAGTAAGAGTGGAAGTCTCTGTGGCCTGACTCTGTACACCAAGTCAAGGGAGGCTGCTCTCCACTGCTTCTGAAGCCTTAGGAAATCTACTAAATCTGCTGCAGCAGCAAAGCAGTTTAGTGATGAAAAGGAGCCTCTTGATTGGAAATCTTGCTAAGGGCTAGAGTAGATTTTAAAGTAGATTATAGAATTTCCTTACCTGGGAGTCTAAGAAAAAAAAAAGTGCATAGACTTTTGTCTGCCCTAAAGACGAACATGGTGACTCGGCTTTTTAAAAACTTACCCTACTCTGAAAGTCTAAGAGAAAGAAAGTTTATGAAAGTGAATTTCAGAATTTGTTCAGTACATTCCTATTACAAACATAAAAAGAGTTGGCCTTTGGTCAAATTGAGTGTAAAGATAGTTGGCATATTTAATCAAGATCCTTCCTCTCTAGGTTGACGCCACAGGAGAAAAAATAATCAAAGATTCTGGTATGTTGGCAAAGGTAGCAGGATAATAACTAGATATGAAAATCAACTTTCTTTAAAAAAAAGTGCTTATTTAAATGTTTATTTGAAGCTTAAATGACATAAAAAAAACAGTCAAAGGAAATCCTTGAGCTTTAAGAATTATAGCTTATAAACCAAATATAATGCAAATATATTCATGTCTGCTATGGACCCGACGCTCTCCTACCTGCTGTAAGAGAGCTTAGTCACTTTCCCATTACCTCCTGTTGTTCTTTGTATCAAACTTTTACACTTTAACAGCTCTTTCTTCTCAGCCTAAAACAAGCTTAACCTAGCTCTATCTTAACAAAATAAAAATTTCTACCCTGTCCTCAAATCCCCATACTGCTTACGTCTCCCCTTTTTCAGTCCTTTCTTAGAAAGTTCATCCACCTAGATGTATTAATTTTCTCACTTCCTATTTTTGGTTTTTAATGCCCCTTTTTTTTCAAGCAGTAGAACACTCTTTTTCAAATTAAATCTTTTTTGAAACATCAACACACACATACACACAAAGAACAACTTCACTGGTTGAGAGACGGGATGGAGACCAGAGAACCCTCCTCTCAGTCTTTCATTTACTCCTGCCTGCCCCGTCAGCCCCTCAGCAACCTCTGAACAAGACCCGAGGCTCTGCCCCACCAACTGCTTCATCCATGGATACCTGCCTTTCCTTCTCTCTAAACCAAGGAAATGATCAAAGTACCTAGGATCTCCTAAAGTCAATAGGCCCTTTCTGGTCCATGTCTTGCTTGATTCTCCAAAGTATTCAATACTACAGCCAAATGTGGAATTCTTTCTAATTCCCCTCTATCTGGTTCTCTCTAGTCAGGGCCTTTGCACATTCTGTTTTCTCTGTTCTAATCCCACATTGACTTTCCATCTCACCAAGATTAAAAGCCTAATTTATTTTGATTACGTTTAATCCCCTACTTAATCCACAAAAAAGCCCCCTCCTCTCTGCCTTTGTTTTCATCGGCTCTCTCAATATCTCTAGCCATGCCAGTGGCCTCACCCCTCCTTGACCTCTTCAAGACTCTCCTTCTTGTCTTATTGGTATGGCTTGTTTCATTAGATCCTTCAGGTATTTGCTTAAATGGCACCTTCCTAGGTGCTTCCATCCTCATTTCCTGCCTCACTTATCTTCTTAACACTTGCCATCATCTAACATATACTCTACTGTACTTGCCTATTCTTTATTCTCTATCTCTTTCCCTAGAATATAAGCTTCATGAAAGCAGGAATTGATCTTTGTTTATTGAGTGGTTTGAGAGTATGTGCTCAAAGAAATGCTTGAGAAACTGAATTAACTGTATTTGTTAAATAAATAAATGAATTGATAATTAATGAATGAATTGCTGTCTCCTTGCATGTCTGCTTGAAAAAACCCCTGTATTAATACCTCCAGTCCCATCAGATCAAAACAACCTCCTTCTTGAAGTTTCCAATTCCTGAATCAGGAAGCATGAAGTTCCCCCTGTTTATTTTGCCTCTACCAAAGCTGGTAACTCTCAAAAAGGCTTGTTGCTGTGTGACCTTCATTACTTTGGTGAATTGGTCTTAGGCTAGGGTCCGCCCTCAGTATTACCAGTTCAGAAACTGGATTGGTCATCACAACAAGGTGAGTTCATCTCTCAGACATGGTCTTGAGATGCTCTTGAGATCAATCTTTAAACATGAACACCAATTAGAGTATCAACTCAGCCAGTTTTGTCCAGGACAGTCTTGATTTTAGCCCTGAAAGTCCAGTGTCTGGAGAAAACCCTCAGTCCCAGGCAAGCCAGCATGGTTGGTAGCCTTAACACAAATTTACCTACTGACAATGATGAATAGTTTACACAGAAATAAGAATAATCTAATTTTTTAGGCAGCACAATCTTTTCCTACAGGCACACCATAGGACATGCCAGATCATCATCAGAATGATGTTTTGTGAGCATGGTTTGAAAATAAGGTGAGTTGTGTTGGTCAAAGAAATGTTCATTGGCACCGGGATAAAATAGACTAATGCACATCCATCAGACATTAGAAAACATCCTGACAGAGATTATTTGTCCCAAACTCCTATGTCTTTATCTTCATTAGGCATATCATCACCAATGGGGCCAGCTACTTGAAGCTAGATTTCTATGCCCTGGTGTTTGGGTGGGCACTGCCTCATTTTGCCCACGTGATAAACTTTTTTCTGTGTTTCTGGGACTAATCAATCAACTGCTTGATTCATACACATTTCTGTAAGATGACTTAGTATAATCACACACTAAGTCATTATGAGTTGATTTTTTAAAAATTAATTATCAGACAGCAAATCCTAAGATTTGCTTTTTATCACCATTATATCAATTATTAAGTTTACTTCAGTTGTTTTCTTGGCTCTTTTGACACTAGACTGTGACTTTGTTGGGGACAGGGGCTTTTGCTTCTATCTGTGCACCCCTAGCCAGTTTTCAAGTACAGAGCCATGTTCTTCAGTATTTTCTGAATGAATGGGTGCCTGGGACTGGATAAGGAACCCAATCTCTCCAGAAAAGGCCACTAGTCCCTTTATTTTCTGGACATCATTCCAAGAACCTTTCTAAAATCCATTCTACAAAACACCAGGCCTTCAAGATGTTTCAAAAAAGCTTCTGTGATTTGATACGCATAGGAAATGTTGCATAGTATACCATCTTTCTTGGAATTCCCAAGACATTAGCATATAAAAATCACTGAGAAATTCTACTGTAATGAATCTGTTTAATTTTATTTAAGCTTATGTTTTCCAAACTTATTTAACAATAAACACTGCTTTCCCTTTTTACTCAATATCTATAGAACATACTTTGGTAAATTGATCAATAATTTCTTAATTGCAATTTTAAAATTAAAAAAACTTTAAACACTAGAATTTTTTATGATTGTGGTAAAAACATATAATATGAGACCTACCCTCTTAATACCTTTTAGGTGTACAGTGCAGTATTGTTAACTAGATGCACGTCGCTGCGCAGTAGATCTCTAGAACTTCTTCATTTTGCATGTTTAAAAATCTATACCTGTTAAATAGCAACTGCCCATGTCCCTTTACCCCAGCTCTGGAAACCACTATTCCGCTTTCTGATTCTATGAATTTGACTATTTTAGATATCTCATGGAAATGGAATCATACAGTATTGTTCTTCTGTTACTGGCTTATTTCACGTAGCATAACGTCCGTGTTGTAATATGTGACAGGATTTTCTTCGTTTTTAAGTCTGAAGAATATTCCATTGTATGTATATACCACATTTTATTTATTCATTGATCTGTCAGTGAACATTTAGGTTGTTTTGTTTCCACATCTTAGCTATTGTTAGTAATGCTGCAATGAACATGGGAGAGCAGATATATTTTTAAGATCTTGTTTTCAATTCTTTTGGATAGTGAGAAGTGGGACTGCTGGATCATATGCTACTTCTATTTTTAATTTTTTGAGGGATCTCCATACTGTTTTCCATAGCACCATCACCATTTCATACTCCCACCAACAGTGCACAAGCATTCCAATTTCTCCACATCCTCATGAATACTTGTTTTTTTTTACTTATTTATTTTTACAATGGTATTTATTTTTATATGTATGAGTTGATATCTCACTGTGGTTTTAGTTTGTGCTTCCCTGATGATTAGTGATGTTGAACATCTTTTCATATAGTTGTTAATCACTTTTATGTGTTCTTTGGAGAAATGGCAATTCAAGCTCTTTGCTCATATTTTAATTAAGTAATTTAGATTTTTTTTTTACTTTTGAGTCATAGAAGTTTCTTATATATAATGAATATTAACCCTTTATCAAATATATGGTTTGCAAATATGTCTACCATTCTATGTACAGGTTGCCTTTTCACTCTTAACTGTTTCTTTTGCTGCACAGAAACTTTTTAGTTTTTAGTAGTCCTACAAAGACGTGAAAGACTTGTGCAATAATAACTACAAAACATTGCTAAAAGAAGTTAAAGAGAACAAATAAATAGAAAGGCATCTCATGGTCATGGATTGGGAGAATTAATATTGTTAAAATGGCATACTATGCAAAGTGATCTATAGAGTCATTGCAATCCATATCAAAATCTCTATGGTATTTTTCACAGAAATAGATAAAAACAATCCTAAAATTCACATGTAACAACAAAGGACCTTGAATAAACAAAATAATCTTGAGAGAGAAGAAGAAAGCTGGAGGCTTCGTAATTCCTGATTTCAAAGCATATTGCAAAGCTACAGGAATCAAAATAGTATGGTAATGGCATAAAGACAGACATATAGACCAATGGAACAGAATAGGGAGTGCAAAAATAAATCTATGCATTAACAATCAATTGATTTTTGACAAAGATGCCAAGAACACACAGTAGGGAAAGGACAGTCTCTTCAATAAAACATTCTGGGAAAACTAGATATCCACATGCAAAAGAAATGAAATTAGTCCCTTATTCTTACCATATGCAAACATCAACTCTAAATGGATTAAAGACTTAAATGTAAGACTTAAAACTATAAAACTACTAGAAGAAAACATAAGGGAAAAGATTCATAATATTGATCTTTGCTAATATTTCTTTGATATGATACTAAAAGCACAGGCTTACAGAAAGTTTTTATTCAACTCATTTGATGACAAAAGTTGACTTAAATCAAGGCAGTAAGAACTGATTCAAGGCTCTTCAAGGTTTTTATTTATTTCACTTAGTGTGACTATCTATATGTTTTTCTGTCAGAATATTTATGTGTTTGATTTTGGGTGCTCTAGAGAACAGATGGTCAAAACAATTATAAATTACATAATACATTTGTCTGCAAAGATTTTGAATAAAAGTTGGGGAGGACTTCAACTACATTGTTCACAGCTTCCAAGATTATTTCCAGAGAGATTCCAATCCCTTTAGTAATTATTTTTTCACTTTTTAAAAAAATTAGTTAAATGACTAAAACAGTCCCATATCTGCTATTCATACCTATGTATTATAGGATTAGGGTTTCCTGGGACATGAGATCCAATTATGAACATTCTATCAAGAAATAAAGAGAAATATTCCAGCAGTTCAACATTGCTCTTGCTCTTTCTTGGAAACACAAAGTTCAGAGATTTATGACTTTCTTTCCTGAGTCCATGAGTAACATTTATAAATAAGAAACACATTTAGTTTCCAACAGTTATTTGCATTTCATATTTAGTACAAGTAAACACTTATCCAACTGCATTATTTTCATAGAGTTTGTTTTTCTATTTCATATATACATATATTTCTATTGTGGGGCCTTCAAAAGTATCTATCTAGAAGAATTGCCTAATCAACTAACTGAAAATTTGCTTTCTCATTTAATATGCAGAATATCATTTTATTTGGAATTAAAATATAAGGCATCCTGTGGTCTCTGTCTAGATTGGAAATGGTTCCAGTGTAGTAAATCCTTCAAACTTAGTGTATCTGACTGCAGTGTGAAAAAAAATCAAATTCAACAAGGATTCATTGAGCATGTCTATGACTTAAGTATGTGGGAGAACTAAGAGAATACGACATGCTCTCCTAACTAAATGTGATTATGATTTTCTTAATGGTTGGCAACTCAAATTATTGTGTGGTATATTTGATTACATGCTGAGACAGGGAGAAAAATCTTGAAATAAACTATTGGTCATTTTTTCCTTAAATTTAAATTCCTGACATATTAATATCATTTTTTAGCAATGCTATTCTGCTTCAAAGAAAGGGAAGTCAATAGCATTGGATCCTTACTATCATTCCAATGTTTACAATTCTGAACAATGAATTTATTTTCATCTTATTAACTTTATATTAGTTCTAATTAAATTAGAAAAAATAAGTTGGCAATATTTACATGGTATTAAACTATAAAATTCTAGCTCACCTCTAACTCCTCTTTACTTTTACATTTTAAGTTAAATTCTCCACCAAATGAATCTAATGGAAAGACAATTTTACTCATTTAAACAGAAGTAGGTTAATGTCACTCTGAACACAAAAACAGAGACGCTGCTTTTTCAGTCCCAGCTACTCGGAAAACTGAGGCAGGAGGGTCATGTGTTCAAATCCACCCTGGGCAAAATGGCAGGATTCCACTTCTAAAAAAAACAAACAAAAAAAGGTACTGGTAATATTTAAGCATTGGTTTCTAAAGCTAGATTGTAAGAATTAAAAGAAATTAAGTCTCTATAGTTTCTGGGGCTATAAATTAGTGCTGAGTGGTCAGTACACTTTAAGGAGTTTGTGGTTTCCCAAATTACATGTAGCACCAGACTCACAATATTGCTGACACTCTTCCCTCTGCTAACCCACAGGAAAGTGTGCCGCCAAAAACAAATCAATTCAGTAGCTGTGTAACGTGCCCAGTACCTATAATTTTAATAAAAAATTCCTCCAAAAGGACCAAAACTTCAAAACAGGTACATTTAATGTGATGAATCTCAGATACATTGGATTCTCCTGTCGTTCCTAGGTAATTGTACATTATGCTGGCTTTAAATATAACCATGACCTTATGACAGTCTCCTCAGATGTCTTTGCCACTTTCAGAACTGAAAGGGGTGTCAGATCACTAGGCCAATTTTGTTTTTTAGTTCTTTTTCATTCTTTCCTTTTATTTGATTGTTAAGTTTTACCCATATTTCTTTTCATTCAGGTGTTAAGAGTCTTGGTCTAAAAGTGGTACAGAAGTTTGACTATCATATTTCAAAATTGAGCAAGCTTAGGCCATCCTATTGGATTCCATCTGGCTTCACATTTGGTTCCTGTTTTCAGCTCCTACTTCTCCCTGCCCCTTTCATTGGGGCTGCTGATTTTTACATCTGCAACTCAGCTACACCAACTGCCTGGGCCACAGTAGCAAGTTGACCAACAATCTTAGCCCACCAGCAAGTGAGGTCGACAATTAGTGTCTCTCTGCTATGTGTTTCACATGTGGGTTGCCTGCAGACACACTTATTTGGCATCTGTCCCAAACCACTGTGACACTAACGCAGTCATCAGTTTCTATGCACGGCAATCCAATATCCTTCTAGCCCAGCGGCCTTGCCATAAACTCCAGATTACCTGACAGACTCTGATGTCCAGCCTAGCTCTTGCCTATCCTTTCCTCTGGAGGGCTGGACCCTGTCTATTTTATGCCTAGCTACTTCACAGACTTCAGCTAGAAATAGACTGATTGTATGGGAACATGGCACAATAGTCTGTCTGACATAAATTCCAGCCAGTAGACTGAACATCTTTATACCTTAGGCATGGAAAGTGCTGCAACCAAGCCCAATTTAAAGACAACCTTGGCCAGGCGTGGTGGCTCACACCTGTAATCCCAGCACTTTGGGAGACCAAGGCAGGCAGATCACTTGAGGTCAGGAGTTCGAGACTAGCCTGGCCAACATGATGAAACGCCATCTCAACAAAAAATACAAAAATTAGCCAGGTGTCGTAGCGGTCATCTGTAATCCCAGCTACTCAGGAGGCTGAGGCAGAATCACTTGAACCCAAGAGGCGGAGGTTACAGTAAGCAGAGATCGCACCACTGCACTCCAGCCTGGGTGACAGAGTGAGACTCCGTCTCAAAAAATAAATAGATAAAGCAAGCTTGAACACAGCATACTAGACCACTGGCTACTCATCGTAGTAATCAGCTTCTAGCTGACCCAGTTCTCCAATCCCCCATTTTCAAGAGTGTTAAGCCTTCTCAGCAGTATCCAGCCTAATTCTGAGATCCTATCATACTTCACCCTCAAGCCCTTCAGAAACAAAGTGATACGAGATGCAGCCTCTAGCCTCAAGATGGGACATGATTCATCTTGTAAAATACAGAAGAAATACTTACAATATGTGATTCACATTCCTGTTACTTTAGGCACTGCTGACAGAGACAGACTTTATAAACCATGGGAGAAATACTTTCATTAGAGAACACAAGTATGATTCTAATGAATTAGAAGTTAAGAAAACTACTTGTATACTTTGGGCTTCTCCTGTATTGAATGGTGAAAATGAAAAAAAAATGTTTTATTTTTGCTGGAACCTGACTGTCTATGAGAAGTGAGGTGACTAACATGGAGATATGGGAATAATGTGGATGGAAACCAGAGGGGACTTTTCAGTACCTATAGTGTAACAACAAGAGCAAAAAATAATAGCCAATCACGGCAACCCCATATAGGTGCTACCACTGGGAGTTAGATCCTTCAGGAATGAAAGTTCCTGGGTAAAGTCAAAGAAATACTAAGTTAATAGGAGAGCAAATAAATCATATCTATGACCTAGTGTCATAAATGCATACTTATGTTCTTTTCCTTGCTATATCAGACTTACATTTAATTATTTTTACCAAATTTCCTCTTTCTTTCACACCTACACAGCATGTGTGGGTGACACCTTCTCGGTTTAGTCCATAGATTACAGAGTATGGACACATGATCATGATAGAAGAAGAGGAAAGCTGGGCATCTTCCTGAGATCCTGAGCCAGGAGCTGCAGGCATCAATTGATGAGGCTCTGGGATTCTTCATTTTGGGGAGAAGGTAAGTGTGCCAAAGCTGTCAAGGGTTGTTTTTAGTATGATAGGAACCAAGAGTTGTAAATGAAATCATGTATGAAGGATATTCAAAGGGATGAGCTATGTAAAAAATCGTCATTATTTTTGGCCACTACATATTCAATCCTACTTCTTATGTTTGGGAATTTCTCCACTATAAGTCTTTGGGAGATGCAGGATCTGCCTTCCACTATGTATGCTCGAAGAATTCACTGTGGACTCAAGAGTTAGAAGGACATAGAAGAGAGGACTGGGACAATGGCAATAAAACTGAGTACTGCCCAGGCCTGATGGCTATCACAGGCACAAGCTGCGGCACTTGACACTCAGTGGAGATGGTAAAAGTTTTGTAACATGGTTTTGGGTACATTTTGGGCTGTCTCAGCCCCCAGTTCTCCAATCTTCTTTGTGATTATGTAAACTACTGTATTATGTTTTGGTAAATTCATTTTCTGCTTAAATCAGCCAGAGTCATTTTCTGTTGAGACACCAAAAGTTCTATGTTGTTGTTCTCCTGAGTCCCAGCGGGAGACTCATAGCCTTGAGCTCATAGCCTTGGGTAAGCTGGGTAAGTCCTTCCATGCCTTACATCCTAGAGAATGGGTATCTATTTTCTGTTTCTTATGGCTTTTAACATCATCAGTGATCTAATTGCCATTCTCCTTCCCCACTCCCCTTTCCCTAGTAATTCTTTACCTATGATTATGTTTTGATTGAAAAAGATTCTTAGGGTATAATAACATTAAAACATGCCATACAGTAACATGCCTTGCCAGTTTTGAGTTTGTTTTCTTTGTTTATGACAGATATTGGACATTCTTTTGCATAACAAGCTATGCATTTTCCAGAAACCTACAGAATGTTATGAAATATACATCAGCTACCGAAAATGTATTAGTAACATCTCTTCAAGAAATTAAACAAGTAGGCAGGGTGCGGTGGCTCACACCTGTAATCCCACCACTTTGGGAGGCTGAGGCGGGCAGATTGCGAGGTCAGGAGATCGAAACCATCCTGGCTAACACGGTGAAACCTCGTCTCTACTAAAAATACAAAAAATTACCCAGGCATGGTGGCGGGCACCTGTAGTCCCAGCTACTTGGGAGGCTGAGGCAGGAGAATGGCATGAACCAGGGAGGCGGAGCTTACAGTGAGCCGAGATCGCGCCACTGCATTCCAGCCTGGGCAACAGAGCAAGACTCTGTCTCAAAAAAAAAAAAACAAGTAAAACACAATTTCAGAATGAAGAGGAGGTCTTAGATTGGGACAAGGCAGTATCAAACTTACTTTATTACTTTATATCAATAAATGAGATGAATAACAATATTTATAGAGAGATTTTACAGTTTTTGTATATGTTGTGACAAATATTGGTGTATTAAGTTAAAAGGCTACAAGTCAACATGCAACTGGGATAAGCACATCTTTTATAAACAAACAAATTTTCTGGATAAGTAAGGGTGACCCCTTTAATTATCAACACACTTTTAACTATGATGAAAAAATTTTTTAAAAGTATTATACAACTTTTCTACCTTTCTAATAGGATTTAATGAAACAGAATGTAAACTTTTCTTTATGAAAAGAATCATTTTCATAAACATCAATTATTATACTATGTTAAAAGGGTATTAAGCGGTACGAAGCTATTTGCTACAAGCTATTCAACTTCTATTTCACCTTAATGCCTTAAATTTTCCATTAAGCCTGAAACTCTTACATGCCCTACAAGTCCTTTAAGATAGAGTGCCTGCCTACATCTCCAGCCTCCTCCCAAACATCTCTTCTTGCCACTGTCCTCTGGACAGTTTCTCTAAGCTCTTTCACAACCCAGCTACTTCCTATGCTGCTCCTCTACCAAAATCCTCTTCCTTGCAGAGCTTACCTGGCAACTTCTGCTCTTCCTTCATGTCTCACCTCAATATTACTTCCTCAGTAAATCATTCCTGACACAAGAGCCCAGCACAATGCATGTAGTGGACTTTCAGTAAGTGTTTATTGAATTAATGAATAAAATATCAAAAATAGTAAATTTCACAAACATTCTGGAATAAACATACAATAAGAAATTTTTTGGTGTTTAAATTTTGACATTTAAATATAAATATATCTAGAAAACTAACATGTATACCTATGGACTTGATTTAATGGAAAAAATATACAGTAATTAGAAAATGTGGCTAGGGATCAATTAAACAGTGGATATGCAGATATCCCATGCCCTTTTCTTTTGCTGTCAACATGACAAGCTCTGCAGAAATGACCTGGAGAAAGAGAAACAAAGAACAATGTCTACTTCTTACTCAGGTGCTTTAATGGAGCCTGGGGATGATCGATGGATGTCAGAGATTCATGCTATCCTCCACTTGTCATTTCTATGAAATTAAAAAAAAATTCTTATTCCAACATGAAGGGAAGATGATTAATATTATAAGACTATAATATCTAGATATATAGAATAATGCTAAACATATGGCCAAGTTTGGGGGTTTAATGGTATAATATATTAAGAGTTAAGAAATCATAGGCATGGAGGTCATGAGACCTAAGTTCTAGTCTCATGGAATTCTATGATCTGTGTTCACTTCCTCAAAAAATCATTTTTAATGCACTTATTTGTGTGAGGCATAAGGATAAGAACTGTATATTTGTCTGTGTATAGGAAGTGAGGCCAGATCCTATGGAAGAAATCATATTTATGTATAAATATGAAACCATCTTTTCCCTTAAGTAGTTAATAACCACTATGGAAAATTTGAAGCTATAACAGAAATAGCAGGCACATAGACAAAAGCTAGATTGTGTGGTTCAGCAACCAAGTGTAGTAGGAGTTCAAAGAAGGGAAAAATGAGTGTGGGCTGGGGTTTCTTAGGAAACTCTTGTGGGGGAAACGGAGCTCAAAAATACGTTTAACATTGTTGTAAAGGATTGAAGATCTCATATAACGTTTCACTAAAACACAAATCCCCTCTTCCCAGGAGCATAAAGTCTTTTTCCAATTTTGCAGCTTCTGGAAACATACAAGTATTCCTGAAAGACGAAGGCACTTGTCTAGCCAGCCAGTTTAGTGGAATCAAGCCTGGGTATGAATGAGCTCCAGCTGTCATAACGCCTCTTCACGTGCATCCGTCATGGAGGTAAAGGGAAAGGAACTGACCCTCAGAGAGGACTGAGCTTGGTAGGCAGCAAAAAGGAGAAAGAGTGGACATGGAAGAAGTTAGTGCCATATTTTTGCAGAGCAGTGAGGAGGCTGATAGTCTGGAATATAGAGTTGTGTGGGGGATAGTGAGGAGAGGGTTGGGAAAGCATACTACAACATAGACTTGCTCTAATTAAATCAGAAGTCTAAGCTCCTAGGAGACATGACTGACTCCAGGGCGGGGGCAGGGAAAGTACAGTGTGAGCCTGGAACACTTTATTGCACTAAAAATGAGAGCTGCTGGGTGCAGTGGCTCACGCCTGTGATCTCAACATTTTGGAAAGTGGAGACTGCAGGATCACTTGAGGTCAAGAGTTTGCGACCAGCCTGGTCAGCATGGTGGGTCCCCATCTCTAACAAAATGAGCTTGGTGTAGCGGCACAGCAGCCCCAGCTGCTGAGGAGGTTGAGGTGGGAGGATCCCTTGAGCTCAGGAATTTTAGGTTACAGTGAGCTATGATCACACCACTGAATTCTAGCTTGGGTGACAGAGTAAGATTCCATCTCTAAAAAAATTAAAAATAAAGTAAAAAGCGAGGAGCTGCTCAAAAAATGATGGGAATGTGGCAAAACTATGCAGGAACTAGCCTCAAATGATCTGGAACAATTTGTATATTGTTGATAATGAATTATAACTACTTCAGTGAAACAAAAATCTTTGAGTCTATACTGATATAAATAAGCACATGAATAAACAATTGTATTAGGGAAAAGGAAAAATCCTTCTTTTCAGTATAATGCTAACTAATAAATATGCAAGACACGATATTTGAAAAACATTAATGAATAGTAAAATTAGCAGGTGAAAGTTTGGTAAGAAAGGGTATTTATATAGACTCAAATATCTCCCACAAATTCTGTATTAATTACACAGGGAAACGCAGTAATTAGACAAAGGAAGAATTTGGATGACATCTCACCTTACTCAAGAAATCAAAGCTAACATCACCAATATTGAGACACATGATCATCACATGACTCAATATACTGAGAAAGACACAAAATCCTTTCATTAATATTCTTGCCAAAAATGCATTGCTTGAGTCTATTCATGAGAAAACATCAGACAGAAATGCTCCTGGTAAAAGAAGACTAAAGAGGCATAAAAACCAAATGTAGTATATGATGTTGGATATTGGACCAGGAAAAAGAATAGCTATAATGATATTGGACCAATTGATAACATTCGACTATAGAGAATAAATAAAAGTATTATACCAATGTTAAATTTCCTGATATCATGGTTATGTTAAAAAAAGGCTTTGCTCTTAAGAATTACAAACTTAAGCATTTAGGAGTATGAGGTAATCAATGATGTCTTCCACTTATTCTTGTAAAACTATATTAATAATATAAATTGTGTGTGTGTGTGTGTGTGTGTGTAGAGAGAGAGAGAGAAAGAGAATTACACAAAATGTAACTAATGCCAAAATATAAGGTCACATCCATACACAAAGAAAAGCCAAAATGATGTTTAATTATAAGCCCTGGAACATAATAGGTCATTTATATGGATATAAGAACAGAATTCAATACCTAAACCCCATGTTTCCTCTTTACATAATAGAAAACTGTTATTTTGTTGGAATCAGCAGAAGAAAATGTCAGAAATGCAGGAAAAGGAGTTTAAATTTAAAACAGCATGGTTTTGTCAAAAGTATTTACTTAATCCTGTAAACTTGATGGGTGGAACATGAGGAAGGCATTCTTTTTGCGACTGTTCAGGGGAAACAGAACAAACCCTGGCCCAAATGAATAGGCCTAATGTTTTCCCATGCCAGTTCCTCATCCTGTTGCATGCTCATTTAAGGGTTACTTTTTGTTGCTTCTAACTAAGAGTAAAAGTAAGAAAATCTTTTTGTTTTTAATCACAGAGGGTTTGGGCTTATAATACAATCCTCAGATTCAATCTTACCATCAATCCCACGAGAACAACATCTGGTAATTCTAAGAATTTATGGAGATTAGAATTACTCCTCTTCTCAAGGTCAAGTTTCCATATATCCTGAATGAGCCTCCTCAGCTACCCACATGCTCTCTCATTTTTGGCTTCCCATGACTCCTTAAGTTAAGACTCCAGGGTGAGTTTCTGCCCCATTTCCTGGCTGTTGTCTAATTTCATCTGGGACAAGAACCCCATCTAGGACCATGACAATATTTTGTTCTGCCAACCCTCTCCTTACTATTCAGATAGGTGAATCCTTTTACCTTCGTCCCTGTTCTTGACTGGGCAAATTCTCCAACTCAGAAGTCTTTTCTAGGACTATGATTTGTGACCCACTTGCTCTTAGGACCTTTTGATTTATAGATATTTGTGAACTCAGGTTAGGGTATGCTACCTCTCTGTGAGACAAGACTATACCTCCTAGAATAATATGGAAACACCTAGAATGATCTGGAGACTTCAGATAAAAGTTTTCTTCAGGGAGTTATTATATTATCAATCCTGAAAATAAATTACAGAATTTATCTAATTTGGTTTCTTTTGATTGGAGATCTTTGCAATATAGACTCCTCTCAAGTTCCTTGATCTCTGCTGAATTTTCAGAAATGCCCTGATAGTACTTCACTCATTAACAATTATTAAGCAATATCCAGTTTTTCATTTATTCCTGTAAATATGGAAGGCTACATTTCCCAAACTTCTTGCAACTGGATGAGGCCATTTCGTAAGTTCTGGCCATTGAAGTGTAAATAAAATGACGCATCCACATTTTGTTGAACTTTGAGTCACAAGATCAAAGTAGCCTGGATCAGTGAGCAGCCACAGGAAGGACAACTACCCTGGAGAGTTACCCAGATTTTCAATATATTTTATGAGTGATATTTAAATCTTTGTTGTGTCAAGTCCCTAAGATTGGACAGTTGATGATTCTTGCAACACAATCTAGCCTATAAGGATTAATGCAAGCACCAACCATATGCCAGCCTCTAGTAGGTACTAGGAATAAAAATCAAATAAAATAAGGTTCCTGTTCTCTAAGAGATTATGTCCTAGGGAGGAATTCAGATGCAAATCAGCAATTGTTTTACAATAAAGTATTTGTGACATTAAATATATGCATAGGAAACCCAGAGTATGGCAAACAAAATAAGGAATAAGAGTTATAAAAATCTTTCCTGGATGTGGTACAATAAGCTATTTTTAAGGATAAAAAGGATAAGAAAAAAAAAGGCATGGACAAAAAAGGACATGAAGACGGGGAAATTGCATGAGAATGGCATGACATCGTGAAACACGATGACATATTCTCACCATCCCACCAGAGAGTGACATGCACAAGTGCCAACTTCAGTAGCCTCATGGCTAGTGGGTGCAGCTGACTAATGCAGGGTTGTATATCATAAAACTAAAAAGACACCAATAGGTAGGGAAAGTGTAGAGTTCCCTGATTACACCATCCCTGAAAGTCATTTCAGAGCATGTGGCAAAGACCAAGGTCTCTACTAGATAAATTAGACCCATCCTTTATTATGTTTACTTCTGGTATTTGTATGGTTTCGTATTTTATATTTAGATCCTTGGTCCACTTCTAATTTATTTTTATGTATGATGTGGGATATGGAGCTTGTTTTATTTTTTCAAATGAATAAATAGTTGTCCATGCTTCATTTACTGAAAAACTTATTTTTGCCCCAGTGTTTTGAAATGTCACCTTTTTAAACATTTAAGTGTTACATGTACTTGGACCTATATCTGCACTTCCTTTTATATTGCACTTGTCTAATATTCTATTCAAACATCAGTACTAAAGAGTTTTAATTACAGAGACTATATGTTATTGTATGTCTTCATATCTAATTGGGCTAATTGCTCTTTATAACTCTTTTATGTATTTCTGATTATTGTTTTCTAGCTCCACACACACACAAAACAAACAAAACACACTTGTTGGTAGTTTTATTGAACTTATGTTAAATTTATAAGTTAACTTAGAAAGAACTGATAGTTTTATAATGTTGAGTCATCAGACCTAAAACAAGGGATCTATTTGTTCAAGTCTACTTTTATGTCTCTCAGAAGTGCTTTAAAGTTTTCCATGTATAGGATTTACATATTTCTTATTAAATTTAAGTATCTTGTCTTCTTTTTCGCCATTGTAAATGAAATTTCCCCTACCATTTTATGATATAATTGATTATTATTCATTAGCTTTATGTCTTGACACATTAATGAATTCTTTATTGCTGAGTCACCATAGATTCTCTAGGGGGTTTCCAGGTACACGATCATATGATGCTGGTTGGAATGAAAATTGATACTATCCTTATAGTAGGTGAATTTGGCAATATCTAACAAAGCTACATATACATTCCCTTAGGATATAGAATTACCACTTTTAAGTAATTTACTCTGCAGATATACCGTTGATCCTTTAACAGAATCCTTTGAACTGCCAGTCTACTTATACATGGATTTTCTTTTGCCCCTGCCACTCTGAGACAGCAAGAACAGCCCTTCCTCCTGCTTCTCCTCTTCAGCCTACTCAACAAGAAGACAACAAGGACGATGGCCTTACGATGTTCCACTTCCACCTAATTAATAGTAAATATATTTTCTCTTTCTTATGATTTTCTTAATAAAATTTTCTTTTCTCTAGCTTGCTTTATTGCAGTATAGTATATAATACATATAACATATAAAATATATGTTAATCAACTTCTTATGTTATTGGTAAGGCTTCTGGTCAACAATAGGCTATTAGTAGTTAAGTTGCTGGGAAATCAAAAGTTATATATGGACTTTTTAGTGCATGGGGGTTGGCACCACTAACCTGCACATTTTTCAAGGGTCAACTATACCTCCAACAATTTGAAAATACTTGTGCACAAATATATTCCTTGCAGCATTGTTTATTATTATAAAATATTGGAAGCAACATGTCTAAACAAACACTATTCATTAGCCAAACTGTGGTGTATCTAGGAAATGGAATACTAAGCAACTATGCAAAGGAATGAAGCAAAGCTGGAAGAACTGAGGCAGAGTGTGGAAGAGAGCTCCTTTTTTCAGAAAGAAGAGGAAATAAAGTATCTGATTATTTAGGCAAAAACAACAAAGGGACGATAAGTAGAAGACTAATGTGATTGGTTACCTAGAGAAGGCGGATGAGGCTAGGTGGGAAGCATGAAAGGAATGACAGAAGGTGGTCAGTGACCCTCCTCTGTGTATACTTTTTGTACAGGTCTGACTTTTGGGACCATGGCAATGTTTTACATACTCAAAAAAAGGAAAAAGAAAGAAAAAACACACAAAAAAAATCGGAAAGGATAGGGAAATAACTCTAAAATTGAGTCAAAACAAAAACAAATATAGCAAACCATATTTCAAAAGAATAACCTACCTACACTGAATAAATTGGAGAGAGAATTAACCCAGGTAACTTTTTCCTACAGGATTTAAATGATATACACTTAGGCTAAAAACAAATATAATTCTAAACAAATATTGAGTTCTTATTCGTGGGCTTCTTTTACATAGACATGGATGAGCAACCTGAAACCATTTTCTTTGTATTCTATGATTAGCAAATAAGGCATTATGTCATGAATAATGGTAGCCAGGTTTCTCGCCACTGGAAAAGGGAATTACAAGTATGAGAAGGCATGAAAAAATAAACAAACATGAGAAGGCAGAAAGCTAGAATGATCCCACTAGTATGAATTGGAAATGGAGATATCAGTGTAGACTCATGTTTTTTAGATAAAAATAGTAGAAGTGAGTAAGAGAGATAATAGATATTAAAATATATAAATGTGTGAAAGGGTCTATAAGTAATTATTTCTTGATAGAATCAAGCACATCTTTTTAGATAAATGACCGATTTCAGGGCTGAGGCAGGGAGATTACAAAATGAGGTCGCAACATCTTCTTGTACCAGAAAGTAAAGAAGTGCTACAAGAAACATGGGAATGTACCAAAAGGACCCAGGAGCCAATCTGAAAGACTCCCACTTACCAAAACTGAAATAATTTAGAATCAAAATAACTAATAGAAAAGTATTAAAATCCACTGAATAAAACAATAACCCAATGAGTCTACATTGTTATAAACAAACAAAATAATGGGAGAAGGGCTGTAGTAGAAAGGCAGCTAACAAATGTAGAAGAAATTGTAAAATACAAAACTACCATTTAGTAATCATAATAACAATTGACTCAAGCAAGAATCTCCAGTGAGTACTAAAACCACTGGAGGGAAGTTTAAGAACTAATAATATATTTATATAATCTCCAAGTATCTCCTCACAGATATTTATCAATTACAAAAGACAAAGAGGTAACTTTACAGTGATAAAATCTGGCAGACAATATGTTAAGCAGTCAAAGTTAATATTGCCAATATTGGGACAAAATGCTTCTACAGTGTTCCTGCTAAAAGTATATTGTAACCTCAATGTAATCATGAGGAAACATAAGCAAATCCAAAGTAAGGGACAATCTACAAAATACTTGGCCTATTCTTTCTAGAAAACTATAAACCTATTCCAGATTAAAAGAAAGCTAAGACATATGACAACTGAATATAACACATAAACTTTCATCTTCTTTTGCTAGAAGGAACATTATTAGGAAAATTGACAAATCTGAATAGGACTGAGATTATATGATAATATGTTAATTTTTAATGTTCTGATTTTGATAACTATGTTGTAGTTATGGAAAAGACTGCTCTTGTTTTTATAAAATACATGCTAAACTCTTTAGGAATAAAGGAGAATCATATCTATAAGTTACTGTTGAACAGTTCAGGGAAAAATCATATATAGATAGATAACTGATGACGATGACGAGAAGGAGGAGGAAGGGATAGATAGGTAGATAAATAGATAATTGATAGATAGTCTTAGATAGATAGATGATACCATCTAGATAGATAGATAGATGATAGCATCTAGAAAGATAGATGATAATAGATAGATGATAGATAGATAGATAGATAGATAGATAGATAGATAGATAGATGATAGATAGATAGATAGAGTCTTAGTTCATTAAATCTGCTATAACAAAAATACACAAACGGGTAACTTATAAAGAACAAAAAGTTTATTTCCCACAGTTCTGAAGGCTGGGAAGTCTATGATCAAGGCACCAGCAGATGCACTGTCTGGTGAAGGCCTGCTTCCTCATAGACTGTGTCTTCTTGTGCCTTCACATGGTGGAAGGGGCATATCAGCTCTCTGGGGCCTCTTTCATAAGGACACTGTGTTAGTCTGTCTTCACACTGCTGATAAAGACATAGCCAAGACTAGGAAGAAAAAGGTTTAGTGGACTTACAGTTCCACATGGCTGAGGAGGCCTTACGATCATAGTGGAAGGCAAAGAGGAGCAAGTCATGTCTTACATGGATGGCAGCAGGCAAAGAGAGCTTGTGCAGGAAAATTCCCCTTTTTAAAACCATCAGACCTCATGAGACTTATTCACTATCACGAGAACAGCATGGGAAAGACCTGTCCCCATGATTCAATTGACTCCCACTAGGTCCCTCCCAAAACACGTGGGAATTCAGGATGAGATTTGGGTGGTGACACAGCCAAACCATTTTAGGCACTAAACTACTCATGAGGGCACCACCCTCATGACCTAATCATCTCCCAAGGCTCCATCTACTTACATCATCACCTCGGTGAATAGCATTCAACATATGAATTTGGAGGAGGTGGGGAACAGAAACATTCAGACTATAGCAGATAGATAGATAGATAAATAGATGATAGATAGATAGATAGTAGATAGACATAAAAAATAAATGTTTAAATAAAAAATAAATGTTAACACTTAGAGAATCTGGGTAAAGAGTATATGATCATTCTTTGTATCATACTGACAAATTTTTGTAAATCTGAAAATATGCCAAAATATTTATTTTTAAATTTGGGTTGGCTGGAAGGCAAGAACATATATGCAGAATACTACATGTGCTACCTCTCCTACCCAGAGGAACATTTTTCACAGCCCCATAGGTGCCTGCTCTGGCACCATGATTGAAATAGTGTAGGCATAGGACTAGCTGTCAGGAAATTTAGTATCAATTTGGATCCTAACCATGTTCCATGGAAAAGCTGTGTATCATCTCTGAGCTTCAGTGTTCTGATGTGAAAGGAGGCTTAAGCAAGATGATCTCTCCAAACATTAAATAGCTTTTGAAAATCTGCTATATGCTATAACTGAGATAGTTCTGCAAGCAAAGCATCTGCTCTCATGGAGATAATAGTCTAATGCAGATGGCAGATTTAAAACAAATTGTTATAGGTGTATAAAGTTCTGAAAGAGGAAAAAATATTTAAGAATATAAAACAAGGGGATCAAAGAACATACATTAAAGAGATATGAGTCTTGGGAGATCAGGGAATGCTTCCTCAGGGGAGCTGCAGTAAAGCTGCAGCCTAAATGTAGAATAGGGGTTAGCTGGTGTAGCTGGTAGAAGGCAGATAGGCAAGAGCACTCCAGGAAAAGAAACAATGTGCAAGATTTGAGGAAGGCCATTTCTTGGTATCTATGAAGAATTGAACAAAATCCAGGATATATGGACTGGAGAGAGAGTTCTCAGGCTAGAACTGCAATATTGGATAGAGAGGTGGGTAGGCAGGGAATGCCTCGTGGTGAATGCTGTCTCATGAATATTAAAACCACTTCTAAATCTATGATTCTGTTTAAAAAGGTATTTATATGTGAATATTTGACTTTAAAAAGGAATCCAAATTTCATAGGCCATTACAATATGGTTTAGCACTTAAATGTTTGGCTTATGGTAGTTACCCAGAAATATTTGTTGAATGTCAAGTATATTCATTACTCTATAGTTCTCCAGCCTAAGAGCTACCTCTGCTGAAAGCTTACTATATCACACAGGGCCTGGAAGTCATCATGAAATTACCAGCCTCTACCTTAGGGTCTGGCACAAGCAAATCTTGATGCTGACAGAGAAATCCATCAATAGTGACAGAAAGGGACACAGTCCTCAGCACAGAATGTTTGATGGCTGTGCAATTGTTTAAAGCCTGTAGTCAACCAAGCTTTGAAGTAAACATTGAATAATTGTCCCTTGGCTGGAAGACTGACGATGTCATCTAATATTTCCTGTCTGCAAATTAGAATTGCAGATTAGTTCATGGAAAGTTATATTATAATTTCTATAACTTCTCTTAAAAGAATAAATTTCACTCTCTTTGGGATTTATGTCACCTTGATTATAAGAGAAAAGCATATGTCCACATGGAAGATCAACAATAAATTCATGTTCCTATAAAATGGGGACAAAGTGGGTCAATAGCCTTAAATCAGCCAAGGCAAAGACAATTGGGCGCTATGGCGTTTTACTATGAGTCTGTGTCTGGATTCTTATCTTCTGCAGGGCCAATAAGACTGCTAACCTAATCTGCTGTTGTGCTCCAGCAAGGGAAAGTCATAGCACAAAGCCCAGTCATAGCATCTGCTTACTCACAGAAAGGCAGTGATTGTGTGCAGGGCCAGGAAGGAGGGTCTTCATGTGGATAATAGCAGGGACTTGACATTTCTGTAAACCAGCCTTGCTGGAAGTGCTTTGTATAACAACTAATATGGTGTAGTGTTAATGGGACCTAATAAACATGATGTAGAATCATCTCCCAACCCAGGGGTCTTGCCACAGTGAGAACTTATCCTTGGGTAATGAGAGAAAGAAATGTATTTCTTCCTGGCACATCTCTCCCAAGCTAAATAGGTCATAAGAAGAATCACTGTGGATCAGAATTGTGCCAGATAACCCCTGCACACCCTGTGACAGGTTGCTTTAGTTCAGCTCATAGAGAGGAAAATCTAACTTAGCTCTTGAAGACAATTTTATCAAATACCATCTCTGAATCAAAATCCATGTTTCTTAGTTTGGCATCCAAATCTCTCCATAATCTGGTTTAAGCTTCCCTTTTCAGTGCTTATGTCCTACCATCCTTTAGCCCAACTAGCTACACTCCCCAGTCCTGTTTCTCAGCACTCATATTCCATTGGTACCTTTCCCCCATCTTGACATGACCAAACTATTTCCAAGGTCCAGCACAAAAACAGTTCTTCTACAAAACATTTCCCTATGCCCATCCCTCTACATCTTCAGCTTCTGAAATCTCTTAGCTCTTTTCATTGTGCCCCTAATTTTGATTATTCTATTTTATGTCCAGATGTTGGAGTGTCATTTCTTCATTTAATTATCACAAAATTGTGTTTAGTTTGTGAAAGGAAAAAATGTAGCAAAGAGAAGTTAAAAGTTTTGCCCAAGCTAAATGACTCTCATGGGTAGCACAGGACATAACAAATAATAACTGTTTGAAAAATGTGTAATTTTAAATGCATTATTTTCAATAAGTGAAAGACTGATAACACAATTCAGCTACAATCATTTGGGTATTTTTAACCTACTCCAAAAGTTAGCAGCATGATAAATGGGCCTCAATAGAGTGTACCTAGCACATCCATTTATTTCCCAAGTATAATATCATTTGCACATTTATAGGACTTCTTATTTTATAAACAAAGCAAGATACTTGTTAAAAAAATATACGAAAAGTATGCCTAAATGGTTTTATTATTTAGAAAAACAAGTGACACAGCCATGATGAATCTGACTTCCATGAAACCAAGGCCAAAATTTCTGAACATTTTTTCTCCTCGTCTTTGAACCACCAGGAAGGCAGTCTCTCCACAACACAGACAAAGGTCATCTCTCTGATTCCACCATCCCCAAACCATTTTCTACAAACACAGAGAACTAATTACTGAGCTGAAGAAAAATCATCTGGTGAAAACTGGCAACAGTGATGATATGCTATGGGAGGAACTGCACAGTCAGCTCCACAGACTTCTCTGATAGAGAGAACTCAATACTAATTAGTACAGGAAGGAGTAAAGGCTGATATGGTACAGCAGCACTTTGGCCTGAAAAGCCAAGGGGATTTCTAAAAATATACAAGAAAACTGCACTATGAAGTCCTCATTTCCTACCGCCTCTCCCTCCCTGGCCTTGGATACTTCTCCCAGAGCCAGCCTAGCATCTCAGGTTGGATTTCCCTGAAAACAGGAAAACCATGGCAAGGACTCAGAAAATCCCATCCCTGAGGAAGGGGCACTAGAGCTAAGAGCAGTTGCCTAGAACAGTGGGGGTAAATGATAAAGACAAAGGAAGAGGAAAACACAATCTTAAACTTAAGTGAAACTGCCTTTGCAAAAATTATAACTATGAGAAAATTATGACAGTGAAAGAGATCTGATCTAACCAAATCCTGTCTTGCCTTTAACCTCCAAACTGCCCTTAGTTATTTCTGGGCTTGGGCCACGTTAACTTTGGGAGAAATTTAGTTTAAATGACAATGGCTCTTCCCCAAAACTTAACTGTCTTTGGAAAGCTAATGAAAGACCATCTGGTTAAGAGGATGAGAAGAGCCTGAACCCTGCTAAGGTGTAGACAGAAATGACTACCAGTGTATATTCTGTAGGTCACAAGATTTGTAATTTCCCCAATTACTCCTGCAGTTAACATCACTATTGTAGAACATAAGATTGGCCTTTTGAGATGTCTTTTCATGTTTTTGCATTTCTGCTGACAAATGGCTCCACTCAGACCCACCAACAACTGTTCTGTGGCCCCATCCAGAAGCATGACTCAGCTCATAAGAGGACCACTCTCCACACCCCTATATTGTATCTCCAACCAATAAGCAGCACCCATTCTCTTGTCCACCAAAATATCCTTGAAAAACTCTAGCCTCCAAATGTTTAGAAAGGCTGATTTGAGTAATAATAAAACTCCAGTCTCCTGTTCAGCTGGCTCTGCGTGAATTAAACTCTCTCTATTGCAATTCCCCTGTCTTGGTAAATCAGCTCTATCTGGACAGCAAGCAAAATGAATCCATTGGGTGGCTGCAGAAGCTTGAATTGCTAAATGTGGAAGATACCTATCTCAGGGTGGAGGTGATTGGAGGCTTCATGACTATCTAGCTGCACCAGAGGTGGGGACCCATGGGCCCTCTCCTTAAGCCACTACAGTGATATATAAGAGGGGTAATTATTTCTGTCTCATCCTGGTTAAGTCACACAAATGTGGCTGCATCCATCTGGGAAAGGGAAAGCCTCTTTTGAGCTGAGCATGTTGGACGCTTTGGGAATTCTCTGGTGTAACTTAAGTACCAGAAACTGTTTTATTTTCATAAGAAAATTATATATAAGAGAGTTTTCTAAGACTTTTCTTTCATTTGTGGAGAATAGGGTTTCTATTCTATAAAAATAGTGGGGATTCTGGGTGGGGTACTGCCTGAGAGAGGTTGGCACAGCTGACATTCAACAGCCAGCCCCACTACACTGTAAACTTCCCCATTCCACACCCCATGCTTCATCGATTTGCCTTCCTTAGAAAAGTCCACCAATGGGGTTGTGGGGGAAAGGAAGTGCTATGGGGCTCCTTGTGATGTTCTAGCTGCCTCCTGGTCCTCACTATTTGCATATGGCGCTAGTCTACCTGGAGTCTGTATGTTTTTCTTATAACAGTACCCTTTTCTCATTCTTAAAAAAACCAAGAACAATTCTATCCCCTCTGATTTTTATGAGATATCTACAGCCTGCTCAGCAGAGACTCCCTTTGCTAAAAAAAATGGTCTAACTGATCCCCTCCAGGATTTCTGAACAATCTCCCATGAGCCTCTGAATATGCCACCAAATTAGAGGAACAGACTTGACAATTATGACTAATCCCTTTCCATAAGGTTATGGCTTTTAGGTGTGTAGCTGATTGTTTGTGTGAAGCATTTCCCTTCAAAAAAGAGAATCCTTAGGAAGTATTAGACAGGCTCATTTACTCCGTGTCCTGCAAAATAAAATCTCAGCAGAAAAGCATAAGTAAGCTAAAATTAGAATGTGAGGATTCCCCTACACAATTGTCTTCTGTTGAGATGCTGTGCAGGTAAAAATTGCTTAGATATTTTCCTACACATCTTGGAGATACAGAAAGCAAAGTGGAGTATACTTGACTGTGAACTCTTTGAGGTTAGATGCTCTAATTTCTTTTTATTTCTACTGTCAGATACAGGGCCTGACATATAAACGACAATTAATAAGTGTAAGTTAGAGTCTGAGTCTGTTCACAAGAAAGATAAAAGAGTAAGTATGAAATACTATACATTAGAAATACTGTAAGTTAAAAACTGAATCAGTTTCAGAATAGAAGTGTTGTTTTATATGGTATCATATATAAGACCAACTTTTAAAAGAGCTGTAGCAGGCCTAGATAACAAGGGAGTATAGATTAAAAGTCCAGCCTATCTAATCAGAAGGGCTTAATTATAGAAAAGTCTCAGAATTCTGAGTGGCTTATTTCATGTCAAAGCAATGATCATGAAAATAAAAGGACTTGTGAAGTCAGTAAATGACCAACAAACTTACACTTGAGAGGAGAACAATCAAGATGTAATGAAAAATCTAAGACATCTGGACATTTGAAGACAGTAACATCAAAAAGGGTCTCCAAGAAAGAGCGTTTTTGAAGAAAATAGCACATCAAGCTGAAGGCCAAGCATTCTCATGACTAACTACAACAGTATAAGAAGGATTAATGTGGCATGTGTGAGTATAAATGTAGAGTTGTGATATTAAAAATGTTTTGAATCACCAAACTAAACCTGTTGTCTATTTGCCCTAAGCCTTCTTCTCTTAGATTCAGTATTACCAAAGTAAGCTCTTGCATTTTCCCCCTTAGATTTGATTTGACTTTGATAAAGTTTTTAAGTGCTCTAAATAATATATTAGAAATAGACCTTTAAATCCTAGTGACACAATTTATGCTCAGAGACATTTCCTTTGACTTGTAAGCATAGTCTGAAATTTCCCCAACCAGATATTGAGGGAAGTCATTTCTAAACCCTTTCAATAAAAGAAAGCAAAAAAACCACACATTGAGGAACTATTTTCACCAATTTTTTATCTAAGTCCATTTCAAAGCCCATTTTAAAAATGCCAAAAAAAAAACTTGGCTAATTCATAAAATGCTGCACAAACACAAGGCAAACCATCATCATAAATAACAGACTGCCATCAGCTAACTTAAGTGTACCATAGAGCTATATGACAAGACCCACTGATAAGAGACTCAACCTTGCTCTTATCTCAGTGCCCAAGAAATCTTTTGACAGGATAAATTTGAACATTTTATTTCTGAACCCAATAAGAATAAAACCACAAGAACTCATGTCAGGAATAGAGCATGAGGATTCTTTGAAAGCTCATAAGTAATCTATAAGTTTATCCTTTTCCTCATTTCAAAGAGAATCACATCTCATTTTATAGGACTGCTAGAAATATATACAGGAAACACTTCAGCTTTTTTTTTTTTTTGAAGAAAAGTAACCATGAGAACAAATATGGCTACCTAGCTCATTGCAATTCTATGCAAATGATATTTGGTACATACTCAAAGCCACTACAGAAATCTTTATCAGCAAAAAATATGCTTCTCATTTCAACCCAAACTCCATTTATCTTCTAAACCTTCTAGGAGTTCTATGGAAATGATCCTCATTAACAAAAATTTGACAGGAAAAGAGAGATTACGTATGGCAAATGAGCTGAAGTGAATTCTCAAGGTTAGTGAGTAAATCACTGGTGAAAATATAATGAAGATGCAGGACTCTTGATTTTCCAATGTAATAATTATTTGACCATTAGAACTTAAATTAACAGATCCCAAAATGAATTCAACTCCAATTATTAAAAACTGGAAACCCTCAAGGACAAATGAAACTAACTTCATAGGTTTTGACTATTCTGAAAATATAATTTATTTAAAGCTGAATATAAAGTCATTATTAATTTAGAGAACAATGTATTTTTAAAAGCGCACTGTCCTCTCACTCCCTTCAGTAAGAATCTGCACCGGTAAGAAGCGTTCTGCTTCTTAGCTGTTGTATTCGGATATGAGTATGTTTTTTACATTCTAATAAAAAAAATAGGTTATGCCATTAGACTCAGCAGCATCTCAGAGAGTTCAATAGGCATTCTGTCTTTCTCCCAACGCCTGCTGCCATGTATCACCCAAACACTAATGGAAATAATAGATAAGTTCACCTTTGGACTCTGACAATAATCCTTGAAGCCAAGGACAAATTTCAAAATCCATCAACTACTGAAAAGAAAATAGATACACTGCTATTGTATATTGGGCTCTGCTGGCAAGCTACTTTAATGTTAACATAAGGTAACTTCCCTGATTCCAGTGCTTGTTTGTGATCATGTAAATAGCTGGTTAGATTTTGTGTCATCTAGATTATGTCTCATCCAACCCACGAACTTAAATACTATGGCGTAAACATTTCATGAGGAAGTTGGATAGATGAGTTTAGAATAAGATTGAAAAAACATTAGCTGGTAAAAGTGTCCTTCAAAACATGTTCATTAGGAATACAAATGAGAATTTATGGTTACAACATATTCTTAGCCTTTGTGTAGTTCTGCTAGAGAAGGCCTGGAATCTGAATGAATATCCCTGAGGTCACACCCTCATTGGTGTGCTTCAGAAAAGCAGATATCCAGACCAATGAGGATAAATACGACACATAAAGGAAAAATCATATTCGACTGCACTCTTCCAAGCATTATCGGCCACTAAAGTCACTCTTTGCTGCAGCCAAAATCTCCCACCTTCACCATTTCTTCTCCTGTTATCATGTTTGTTTGGGTTTTTTAAATATCTTTTTTCTGAGCTTGTGCAAACTCGTTTCTCCCTTTTCATTCTATCATCCTACACATTGTCTGTGGCCAGTTCATTCTTCCTTCCACCAGCTTCACTCATGTCATTCCCTACCCAAAATGGTCATTGTGTTTCTACTCTCCATAAAAATTTTATTCACCACTGATTTTATCTGAAGAATGCAAAGCCAAAGGAAATTTATTATTGTTGTTGTTCTTGCTGCTGCTATTGTTGTTAAGTTGCAAGCTTGCTTTCTTCTTGGTCTGCTTCTCCAACATGCCTCTCTGAGTCATGAAAGGTAAACTCTTTTCTCCACAGATCTTAACACAATCCTCTTCTCCCTCTTCTTTCCTCTGCTAACCTTTTATTTGATAATCCACAGTCTACATGTTCTCTTTACCTTCAATCTCCAAATGCAGAAATCTCCCTAAGCTTGTCATGGGAGGAATTTTCTACATTTTATTTTCTCCAAGTACCGTACAGTTTTATTTTTCCTCTTCCTCCTTCATTGCCACAAGTCATCTAAAATCTTCTGCCCCATTTCTGATTCTCTCGTTAACTCACTGGACTCTGACTTTCATCATCAACCAGCTACTAAAACTTCTCTTCTTTTTGAAGGTGTCTCATCCTTCAAGGAGGAATCTCCAGAGCAGGGTATACGCACCCAAGAAGTAAGAAATAGTCAGTTGCAGCATGGGAAAAATATTAGAATTTCTATTAATATATTGTATTCTATAATAACATTAAAGGAAGTAGGCATCGATATTTAATATAAAAATATCATATGTGTGTAAGTCTATACACACAGCAAGTATGAAGCTATCATGCTACTCACATGCAATTACTCTTTTCCACCATATTACAAAAACTATAATTTGTGTGCCTATCAAGGTAGATTTATAGATGGTATCATGTTTTTAACATAAACTAAACCTCACAAAAAATATAAGTACCTTAAAAACATTTCTTATAAGAAACCACAGGTTGAAAAAGAAGCAATGTTTATAAAACAGGAAATAAGGAAATGGCAAAGAAGACATTTCTACTTTTAGTTTCAACTATTTTTTGTACCACATAACAAAATTAATATATAAACCTAATAAGATCCAACAAAGAGAGCGATTAAAATATCATGAAGAGGACTACTTGAAATATGGACTTATTTCCATTATTGTTAATGAGATTTTATTTTACAAAGAGGCAAGTGTTTCATATTAGTTGATCTTTTTTGTAATGACAATTTGCTGATGATAATATAACTACAGAGATAAGAAATAAAAACTTCAGTGGTTAAAAGTGGCTTCTAAATAATGAGTAAGAAATTAGCTGCTTTCTCAGCCAACAAACATGAAAAAATGCTAATCATCAGTAAATCATCAGAGAAATGCAAATCAAAACCACAGTGAGATACTATCTCACACCAGTCAGAATGACTACTATTAAAAAGTCAAAAAAACAACAGATGTTGGGTAGGCTGTGGAGAAAAGGGAATACTTACATGTTATTGGTAGGAATGTAAATCAGTTCTGCCGCTGTGAAAAGCCCTTTGGAGATTTCTCAAATAACTTAAAGCAGAACTACCATTCAACCCATCAATCCCATTCCTGGGTATATATCCAAAAGAAAGCAAATAGTGCTACCTAAAAGACACATGCACTCTTATGTTCACCACAATACTATTCACAATGGCAAAGTCATGGAATCACCCTAGGTGCCCGTCAACAGTGGATTGGATAAAGAAAATGTGGTAATATACCACATAGAATACTATGCAGCCATAAAAAAGAATGAAATCATGTCCTTTGCAGCAACGTGGATGCAACCAGAGGCTGTTATCCTAAGCAAATTAACACAGGAACAGAATAACACAGGAACAGAAAACCAAATACCACATGTTCTCACTTACAAAGTGGGAGCTAAACATCAGGTATTCATGGATATAAACATGGGAACAATAGACACTGGGAACTACTAGAGGAGAGAGGGAGGGTGGAAGGGGGACAAGCACTGAAAAACTAACTGTTTGGTGCTATGCTCAGTACCTGGCTGACAGGATCATTTGTGCCTCAAACCTCAGCATCACACAATATACTCAGGTAGCAAACCTGCACATGTACCCCCAAATCTAAAATAGAAGTTGAAAGAAAAAGAAAAAGAAAAATGAATCAGCTGTTTTCAAAGGAAATATATGCTATGGTGAAAGCATATTGAAACTGAAATTTAGAAATTATTATATAATTATGTGTGAAATCACTATATGATTTTGGTGCCCAAAATATTGTAAGTATATCACTTACACACACTTTTACATCTGCACTCTAAAAATAATTGAAAATATAATTTTAATGTGTTTAAAGTCTTCGAAATAAATGTGTTCGTATGTTTTATGTGAATACATATATATAGAATATATGTATACATATGGAATATGACATAGAGCGCACAATTTGTTGACAATTTTGTTAACATTGGGGACAAAGTAAACTTACAAACTGAACTTTAACAAATAACTTTGTAATTGGTGGATAGGATTGAAAAATTTGAACAATAGATTATTAAGTGTATCATTAAAGATTTTGCTTAGTTCTTCATATATTTTTCATGTGAACACCACTAGAACCAAGTATTAAATTAAAGGAACCCATGGCCAGACCTTGGAATTATGATACTACTATGTGATTCATAAATGTAAACCAAAATTTAAAAGCTTTTAATTAGGTTAATTCCATTCATAATCAAGATTTTCAGCAGGAGAAATTATATAACCAAAGATGTAAATAAAAACCCTCTACTTTTACATTAGAATTAGAAATAACATGTATTTACAAGTTACTTTTTTCTTTCATACACACACATACACTCACACACTTATAGCTTCTCCCAGTAAAAAAATCCCAGAAGAATTAATAATCCAGTAGCAGTAAACACCCTTACTGCACAGCTTGTGATTTCTAAATACAGTTGCCCACTAAAAAGGATCAATGATCCTTGGAAAAATGCTGCTTGAAGGTCTGGAGCAGAATATATACAAGATGAACTTGGCCACCTTGTTGATGTTGGGTGCTATGTTTGGAGACAACAGTAAAAAAGGTAGTAAAGACTAATGAGTTTTAATAAAAAGACTTAGTAGCCAAATTGGAGAGGCTGCTTCACCAGCAATGTGATAATTTTGAGCACCAAATATAATAACAACTAAAGTTTATTAAAACATAAAATATATAAAAATCCATGAATTTATACTTCATCATGATATTAAATAATTTTTTTAAAAACCTCAATTTTCTGAAAAAATGACAAAGGGAAATTATCAAACAATGTTCTATCTTTCTTATATGAACCATATTTTGGGATGACCAGTAGTTGACAAATGATTCTTTTTATAGAAGATTTCTAGTTTGTAAATTCAGAAGGAGGAATAGAATTTTTTTAAGTTACAATTTACAATCCCCCCACCCCCAAAATAATGTATCTAAGCAATGGACATCAATGGATACTAAAATCATTAGGTAAAATAGTTCTTTATAACAGATGAATAGAATAAGGTTTCAAATACATAAGCCTACTGATAAATCTTAAAATCTAAAATGACCATTAAAAGTGGGTCAATAGATATGTATCTTCTGGTATATTCCAATAGTAAAAGACACAACTTCTAGATCTAACTATTGGTTTATAGCAAATAAGGAGCTAGAGAAACAAATTAAGCAAAACATAAAGAAGCAATAATTCATATCCAAACATGAGATATTCTATAGAAAATATGACCTGGTTTCTACAACAAATGAAATATATATATATTTAAGATAAAGCTTTTGTAAATTAAAAGAGACAGGACACAACAACTAAACACTAAGTGGATCTTGCTTGGATCTTGGTTTGGACATATACCAACTCTAAAAAATGTTTTGAGACAATTAGGGAAATTTGAATATGGACTGGTATTCGATATTAAGAAATTATTGCTAATTTTAGGTGTGATATAACATTGTGTTTATTTTTAAAATTTATTACAAATTAAAGATACATCTTGAAATATTTATAGGTAAAATGATGTCTAGAGTTTGCTCTATAATACTCTAGACCCCCTACAAAATATCAAGTAGTAAGGATGGGTAAATGAACAAGATTGACAAAATGTTATAGATTTTTAAAGTTGGATGATGATTCCATGGAGGGTAATTATAGTATTACCTCTATTTATTTTTATCTTTGAAAATTCTATTATAAAAATTTAAACTGCAATGCTTTTACTAAAAATATTAATATTATTCTTACTATTATTATTTTAGTGGGAGGGAAATGTTTGCTTTAGAATTGTAAAAGTATTATTTAATGTTTTAATTTCTTCCTTAACTCAAATTTTTGTATGTTATTTAATCAGGAATAAGTAGAATACAAATGTAAGTGATTTAAAATAAATAAATACCTTTGGTGCAGGCTCAAAACATTTTTACTACTATAGGAAATACTAATGATGAAAGTTTGGGGACCACTTCTTTAAAGATGACAGTATTGTATGTAGATCTCTATCCTATTTCTTTAAACATTCCTTCTTTATTGCTTTTCTGACTTTTCTTGCTTCTTCTGCCCCATAATTCTGGCCATTGCCTTGCCCTGTGCCTCTCTCTCTGCCCCCTTCTATGTTGCTTGAATGTGGGTCTCTCTCCCTCTCTCGGCCTCTCTGCTTCTCATCATCCTTTCTCTGGTTGCTATTTTCTCTTTGGAGTTCCTCCCAATTGATAAGCCCAGTCCCATTTTCACTACATCCTAGAATCCAATTCCAATCTTTTACCTACAACTTAGTAGGAATATATCCTGACGCCAAGAATGTAAAACTCTGAGTCAACCATCTCCAAGCACACTTCATCCTCCCAATCATATCCTATGGATTTTTATTTTTCATTTTAAATGTCTTTATACCCTCTCACCTCTGTCTTCATTCTCACTGCCTCAATTTAAATCCAAGTTTTCATATTGTTCCCTCAAATAGCACCGCTGAAAATTGCCTCCTAACAAGACTTTCTTATGCCATTCTCTCATATCACAGCAGCACTAATATTTGCGAAACACCCCTTTTATCAGGTCACAACTTTCAAGGGCTGCTATTTCCTACCACACCACATCACAAGTCTTTTGCCTGGTTTCCAAATCTGTTTGTCATATAATGACGCCTCCCTACCAGCCCAATTACAACCTCATCCTTCTATCCAGGGCATTTTCCATTGGACTCACTCCCATCTCTGTGCCTTTGTTTCTCTTATTCTCCTCACCTGCAATATTCTTCTCTTTCCTCACCATCTATTCTTCAACCCCTCCCCTTCATTACAGGTCCATGTTTCCTTCCTGCATGAAGCCTTCTTTGAATTACATTTGCTCCCAGTTATCTACCCCTCTCTAAAATCCTAAAGCATTTACTCTTTGTGCAACCAATTTCAGGCTGAATTATAAATAAAACTATAACTTATATAAATCTTTAATCTTATCTTTTTTTATTGTCAATCCCAAATCTGCAATATTACATGAGTACCCAGGTTGGGAAGCATACGAGAGACGTAAAGAAAAGCTTTGTCAAGGGAAGTTACCGAGCATCAGCGACTGACTGAATTCTTTTAAAGTTTTTAATACCCTTTCAATCGCAAGCAAAATAAATCTAACTCAAACTGGCTTTTGGAAAAAATGGTAAAACATTTCTGTCACTGGGGAATCCAAAGGTGCATGTAGATGTAGGAGCTCTGCCCTCAAGACTTTCTTTCTCTCAATTTCATGCTTATCCCCATGTCTTGGCTTCATTTTCATATAGCCTTTCCCTATATAGCAGGAAAGATAATTACTCGCAGCACAAATCTGTCATCGGACTCACGATTCAAACGGAAGTAAGATCTCATCTAGTGCCCACACATCAAGAAGACTTTATTGTCTATGCTTGGTCACAAACCAACTCCTAGACCCACCACCATGGAAATGTGCAGGAGCTCCGTAATTGTCTAGCTGGATCATGTGCCCACACAATAGATATTTAGAGTACAGTGTTGTTGAAAGAGGGGGAAGCCTTTGTTGTCTTAAATCATATAGGCACCTTTTAATTGCATCTGTTTGTAGAACTGGCCACTTTCAATTTATATAATAACTATATGATAATTTACAAATTAGCTTCTGTGTGGGATGTCACTGTGGTCTCTGTTCTCTATTTTTATACCATTTTTCATATATTACAGTAAGGAAAAAAAGGAGTCAAGAATAAATCTAGGCTGATACATGAGCCAGCTGGCTTTTGCCATTGGGTTATTGTAATCATGAGGGTAAATGGGAAGTGCAGATGAGAGCATTATCCTGTCACTACTTGAACAGCCTCTTCACCTGGAGTATTTGCATTCCATTCAGATGTGTCATTATTCTCAGGAATGTGAAGGGCATCACTCACCCTTCCCTGCTGGTGCCTTGTATACCCATTTTCCTTAGATCCATGGAAGGTCAGGCCTGTTTTTATTCCCTTAGATTTAAATCTCCCCTTAGCTTACTCAGTGCCTTTTACTTAGGAAGCTGAAAAAGAAATACACTAAGGACCTATGAAGTATGAATATTCAAGCACTACAATATAAACAGAAAGTAAAAATAGCAATTTGAAATTATAGGAAGTATGAATTTCAAAATTATAATTTTAGCTTTTTTTCTCTGTTACGAGGAATAGACCTCGATTTCCTCCTGTAATAAGTTAATATAGCCATTTTTGCTAAATGTTTTAATTTTTTTTAAACTTAATATGTATAATTTAAAATACACTAGAAATGCTTGAACACAATTAGAACCTGGGACAAATTTTATGATATTTTATATCCCTTTCAAAAGTTAATACAATAATTTGGGTTTAGTGCTTATGTTTTTCTTGATTTAGTATACAAATGAGGACTGCCTTAGCATTGAGCCTCTGATTGAGGCTGATAAGTAGAACACAAAAATATTTTTCCCCAAAAGTATACTTGTACAATTCCTGAGGAATTTTCCCTAATAAAAACCATGAAAAATAGGTCATTCTATCCTGCCAAAGCTTAAAGTCGCAGTTTCTAGGGCCTAGTTCATTCTCTTAACAAAAATCAGGGTTTCTCTTTCACAAGCTGACGTATTTTCTATTTACAGTCTGTTCTTTAGAAACATTTCCACATGAAAATATCAGAATCCAATTGGACTTCCTGTTAAAATGCAAGTATTATTCATGGCCCTCTGAAATTACTTCTTCCCCTGTTCTTATGACACCTCTAAGATTCAGTGAGTCTTAGGTTTTATTCATCTAAACTTAATTTTCCATTCATTGAATTAAGAAGTCCTCTAGACCATGAGGGGGTCTATGAGTTTTACTAATGTCTACACACTTGTTCCCATTGGCATGACTCAGTACAAGAAAACGAGGGCATAGTGGAGAATTTGAGGTTTCATGGGTCATCAGGGACCAACATCACTATCCCTTGACCTTGTGACTGTAGGGAATGAAGTCCTATTTGCCACACTAAGGGGGCATCTGCCTTATGGTACTCTGCTTCCTTTCTGTGTTAAGATTAGGTTAAAGGTTAAAATCTTAATTAGAGATGTTGCCCTTGAATCTTGGAAAGGATGTGGCCAATGGTATATATGGAAGGAAGATACAAAGTTTGGCTCTTTCAGTCAAAATGATAATACGGCATGAGTCTTAATATTGGTAAGACTCTCTCTTACCAATAAAAGTGAATGAATTACTTATTAAAATAGTACAGTGAGAAATGGATACCTTACTCATTATACAGAGTTTAGCATGATATTCTATCAGTAAATAGTGCACAAACAATGGATTCAGTTTTATCTTCAAAGCTTTAAAGGGTTAAGGAAATCATGTTAACATAAAGATCCCTGGCCTGGCCTTCTACTCCAAGCAGTAGTGGAACTCCATCCTGTTATTTAAAAAAGACAGAAAAAAAAGTTGACTCTGGCTTCTGTATTCAATCCAAACACACTCACTCTGTCTCATGGCTGGCAAGTCACTTGACTCCATCCTCTCCAAAGAAAAAAAGAAAAAAAAAAAAACTAAACTCAAGTAAAAGTTAACTGGATAAAAAGTTTTTAAGAGATAAATTTCTAGGGCTAACAAATGAATAGCCCTGGACAGTAGAAAACTGTTATTTAGACTTTAGCCATCTGGCATGTAGCCTTTCAGATTCATTTTCTCCCTTTTCTATGGCGTGTCCAGCCAGCTTCGGGCTGAACTGTTTGAAGGATGTTATCTTGCCTCCCCAGCACTATGACTTCTTATCTAATTTCTGCTCCTCTGTATACCAATGTGCCAAGTCTCTGTCATATAGGCTCGTTCTCCTCCAAGCAAAGCCAACCGTTGTCTGCTAGGCATTTTGTTAACACATTACATACACATAATAAGATGTTGTTCACTCTACACAGATGTATAAAGCTAAAAAACTAGCACTATCATTACATATTCCAGTTTAGCTATTTTAAGGCCACTACACTCCCATATTACAAAGCCATGCTATTTATACAATCATGCATATGGAAGACTCATCCCTCCTGTGAAATTTCAGCCCAGTGTGCATAGAAGACAAAATTACAGGCCCCAAACTTGAATATACACTCATCCTGGCTTGCTTATCTTCCTTGGATGCAAGCCAAGTTGATTAATAATTTTTAAGTAAAAAAGAAAACAATTTTAATTTGATAAAAAGAATACAAAAAAACAGCACAAACAAGAAAAATAGCCAATCTCAACCCAGAAGGGGAAGCTCCAGGGACAAAGCAACTGGGAAAGTGAACAAAAGGCTGGGGTGCTGACCTTAACTTGCCTGTGTAAGGGGCCTGCTCCTCAGCTGTGCCTCATTATTCACAAAAACACAACAGAACAGACAGAAACTACAGCTCGAGAAAATGATATCCTTTAAAACTATCCTACAGCTTTCTGTAACAAAATGATGAAGAAAATGCATTTACTTGACTTTCTAAATTATAGGAAGAATATGTTTTTCCAAATAAATTTGTTATATCATCTTTCTCCCAACAGTTTGAGGCACTGGAATAGCTAAAGTGGTTCACTTTCTGTTGCCCAGTAGTGATAGACATAACAGTGCTTTCACCTCCTACCTCTCCAGAGAGTGCAAGACAAAGGGACTGTGAGTAATATTATCCCAATTAGCAAAGACAGAGGGCAGTCTGCAGAGTAAGGTTCCTGGTTTATATTTATTTCACCTTAGGACTCCAGAGGGAATGGTCCATCTTTAAAGTGTGCCTTTGGCTGAGATACCAGGGACAAGGAGGTGGGAAGGCTGTCTGATTAGGAGTCCAGAAGATCCTACCTATCAGATGCATGGCCCTCAGAAGGACAGAGAAGGGAAAGGCTACAAAGCAATCTGGTTCTAGATTTTGTATATGACCTAATCCCTAGTCTCCAGAGTACAGGCCTTCACTGCCAAAAACAAAAGTAAAAATCTCCACCACCTGTCTCCTAAACAAGATAAAATTTATTACTTTTAACTGAATAGACACACACGAATGGGTGTCAGCTGTGACAGGCCCCAGGGGTAGTGGTCTTGACAGGTAGATGGAGCCTCCCTTCCTCTGACTTCTTGCCATTGGCACACAGTCGCCGACCGCCTATTCTTGCCCCATTCCTCACCCTGGGATTTACAGGGGCTGGTGTTGTGATAATGAGGACACAGACAAAACTATAGGCCAGGACCCAGGAACTACACAGGTTTCTGAGTTTGGGGAGGCACTTTCATGGCTTATGAAACACTGGAAGGCTGCCGCTCTAGAGGACACCAGCACCCCATTTCACTGCTCAAAGCACGTACTGGAATCAAATCGCCCCTACGATTTCTGGCAAAAAGAAGGTGGGGCACTTCCCTGTTGGCTGGACTTCAGAAAGCAGGAAAATCAGGGTTGGCCTGCCTGGGTAACATTGTTCCATAGCAGAAAGTGATGTGTTGCTGTGGCTATTTTTTTTTTTTTTCCTTTAGCTGAGACATTTTCCCAGTATCTCTTTAGATAGAAAGTCAGTACCTTTTCCCTGGGTACATAGATCAACTTATGCAACTCAAGGGCAAGACAAACAAGCCATTATGATCTATCAGAATGAAAACAGTGTTTGTGTGTGTGTAAGAGAGAGCGAAAGAGAGTTGACATCATTATGGGAGAAGGATTTTTGTTTTTTGCATCGGTAAACTGGTCCCCTGAAAGTAGCAAAAGCTGTGTAGCTTTTTCTGTCATAAGCTGTATTTTATTATGCTTCATTAATAATGCAAATCTCCTTCGTTCAATTTTCTTAATTTCTTGCAGGATAAGAAATAGGGTGAAATAAAGATATCCTGTAGATCAGTGGATCTCAACCTTGGCTGCACATCAGAATCACCTGGAAGCTTTTAAAAATCCCCTAATCAGGCTACATCCCAGATTAATTAAATCCGAAGCTCTGGAGTGTGGGATGGAGGCATCAGTAGCCAATAAAGCTTGCCAGGTGACTCCTGGCAAGTCCAACATGTAGCCAAGATGTAGAACCACTGCCTCAGGCACCTGAAGTCCTCTGTTTTGTGTGTCACTCTGAACCCAAGAAATATGACTTTAAAACAAAAGGAAGAACGCACAAGCTCTTCTGTATTCACCTTAATATATTTCACTAACAAAATTTATTCAGCACATTTTAAAACAAAAACAAAGCTTTTAATATGTAATATATCAGTACATATTTTCCAAATTAAGTTCACAATTCACATAGAATAATTAACAACAATGTCAACTGTGATATGAATAAGAAGTTTCTTAATTTATCTCCAACTAAATACTGTTTTTACTTATCTTTTGCTTTGTTTAATATTACTGTTTTTCTCCTGCACATCTAATCTGTGAATAGAAAAAAGCCATTCCTTTATTCTTAAGTGACATCCATAATATTTGAGTTTGTTTCAGTGTTTCACATTCCTTTTTTAAATTAAAAAAAAAAGCAGTAGATATGGTAAGTATAAATGAAGTTGCAAATTAAATACCCCCAAAATAGCATTTTTCCATTCAAATGGACAACAATTTTGAAAGGTTAATAGCTTTCAAAGTTGGTGAGATTAGGAATTTGGGATTCTTAAATACTGTAGATGGGATTATAAATTTCCACAACCTTTTGAGAACCTAGTCTGTCAGAAATATGCAACCTTTTGAATTCTGATGCTAGCCAAGAGAAATAAAAGCACCAATACACAGAGATACATGTGAAAGAATATTGATTGCAACACTGTGTGTAATTGGGAAAACCGAAAGCAAACTGAACATTCATCAGAGGAAAAGAAATGACCAGTTTTACTTGCTCATGACTGAAATTGTTACAATAAGCATGTATTATCCTATAATTCAAATAACAATATACCTTTTTAAAAGCAAGGGAGAAAACCAGGAAGATAGCTATTAAATAAGATATTTTTCTCTTTGTTCCTTACTTGGCTGGCTCAAGCAAGTTCCAACATGGATTTCTGCACATCCAAAATCTCATGCGGAGATTAGTTTCTTCTTGTTTTCGTTGTACTCCCCATACACACACACACTCATTTCCCATAAATCATCAAAAGGATAGCTTTTCTTTCAATGCACATAATCTTGTTAATTGGGTACGTCTTATTTCTAATCAATTTGCAGAGAAGGTTTCAGAACACGAGTAGAAGACTATCAACTCTCACTGCTGATAAGGAGGGAGGAAAACCATTTAAGGTGCAAGGAATTTCAAGCCGTTGTTAGGAACAACAGGAATGCAGGGATCTAAAATTGCATACCAGGTAACAATCGGCGGCTCTGTTCAAATCAGAAATGGGACACAGAGAATCAAATTAGTATATTTGAATTCCATTCTAAATATTTTCCTTCTTGCTTAGTTAAATGTTATTTTTCAGGGTATATATGTAGCTGCAACATGTATTATCCTCAATGACACATCATTTGCTGGGATTCATTTGAGACGTAAGTGGGACCAGCAAATGGTTGCTGTTCTGTTTCTGTAGACTGACTAGAACAAGGCTAGAGAGGAAACAGAGACTGGCATTCATTCAGTGCCATTTGCAATGTGGAATGACTCATGCTTGCCTGGCCCCTGGTGAGTCATCAGCTGAACTCCAGGTCCAGGGAGGCCACAGCATTTCCATGGGGCGTTCTAATTCAGGTCATGCTGAGGTCAGCAGACTGCCAAAAATCACACGCTCCTTCCCTGGCCACCTCTTAAAAATATCCTGGGAATGTCTGTCTAGAAGGATTAAGGTCACTCTAATGCCTCATTAAAAAAAAACAACTTCATTTACCTTAAAAGATGAACTGTCTGGTAACAGACATAGATGAGGAGTGAAGACACTAAGCTCACATGCTGATTATTAGATTTCTAAAAAGGAAGCGTAATATCCTACCAATTCCATTTGGGGAAAGGCAGAAACTCATTCCCACACTAGACTCAGTTTAAGCAAGCCACCCTTGTCTCTGATTGGCCCCTTTTTTCCCCCTTAAGAAACAGGAATGCTGATTCTCAATCTTTCAAAATACTGAAGTTACCATGTCCTGGCTATGGGGACTGTGAGGTCACTGAGAGCAGACCCATTGCAAGCAGCACAGCACTGCAATTATGCCATCCAAGACAGACAGACATTTGTCTGTTTTCTGAGGTTTCCAGGGAAAGAGTTTGCGGACACTCTTAGCAATGTTTCTAGATCACAGAACGTTGCCTGTATTGGCTGGAGAGTTGGCTAGTGCAGTTGAATCTCATTCTTCTGTTTTCCCAGGAGATAATGGAACATAGCTGGCTATTATATAGGACAAAAATAATTGCTGAATTGGTATCATAACCAATTCAAGTGTAAACAAGATCAATCAACTTATTATTTTGTGAATCCAATAATCCCACACAATTATTTAATAATTTTTTTCCTGATTTGTTTTCTTATTTGAGACTGTGCTTATAATGTATTCAACATTGACTCGGTCAAGACCATTAAGACAAAGCATAAATTTTGCTTACTTTTAAGTAAACATGTAGAATTTATTATTGTTATTGTTATAATTATATTTATTGTTATGTAGCCCAAATAGTTGAATCATGATGATATATGATGGTATAAATTTTAAGGTGGTCAGGTCATTATCTTCAGGTTTCTGTCTCTTCTACTTTACTAGGTAGTTCTTCCTCGATGGTCTAGATTAACCCTGAGTAACAATTCTCTCCCACTGCTTCCAAAAAAATTGCTGGAAGAAAGTTTACGTGGAACAAAGATGTTCCTGATTTGAAAACAATTAGTATATCTGTCAGTGTCTCATCAAGAAGCAAATAGCATACTCAAAGAGGGTGATTAAAGAGGTTTTAGTGAAAAGATGTATTAAAGATGTGGGTAGTGTCTTGGGGGAAAGAGAGTCTGAGATGAAATTTTCTTGTAGAAAGTCTCTTGGGGAGTGCCCATGGTATTAACACTTGTGAAGGTGGGGGAAACAAAATTGAGCAGAAGTAGAAGCTGAACCTCGTTGCAATCACAACAAAGATGTGAGGCTATCCCACAGGGAGCTCTGAAGCTGGCATGGCCCTTGAAAATTATTCCTTTTTAGACAAAAGGCCAAGCCTTTGTATTCATCCCCAGATAGGCCAGTCACTGGATGCTTGCTGACCCTGGAAACATGGGCCGAAGTGGCTCTTCACTGAGGGCAACTTTCTTCACAGCTGGAGGAATAAGAGCCTCCGTGCTGGAGTGGGTTCTGACACACCACACCATCCTCACAGGCAAGATGGGGCAGCTTCTCAGAGTCAGCAGCAATGATCCATGGCCACCTTGAAGCCTGAAGAGGTGAGGAGTGGAGCTGAAATGTGATGATGTCTGTGGTTGGTGGAAGAGGGCCACTCTACTGCAGCCGATATTTGGTGGAGGAGCACAGCCACTACCAGCCAGTGCCCAGGCAGGGAGGAAATGGAGGCAACAAATACCACAACTCTCTCTTCTCACCCTCCAGTTCCCTGCCAGAGTTCCCCACTGGCCAATTACAAAAGAAAGCCAGGGACAAAGAGGCCAGCCTTTAGATTACAGCCCCCTGGAACACAGAGCAGGACAGAAAAGAGAGTGGATCTGAAGAAGCTAAGATATTCAGCACATTCAGACTCTTAGCTGAAAATCCAGTTGTCAAAAGTTGGCCATTACATTTATATTCATTTAAGAGCAAAGTAATTTTACTTTCCCAGCTTTCTTTAACTTAAGACACATAGGAAATGTGGAGTCCTAATTAGGAAAAAGGAATCAAGTGGGTGGGAGCAGGAAAAAGCAGAGAGAAAGCAGATAAGCTACAAGTCTGCCTTTCTCCATGGTCCAGGACACATAGCCCTCCCATGCAAATAACTCACAGTCTTCCTGCTCCCAGCTATCACCATACCTTAGGCTGATAAAAAAATATATATATGTATGTCTGCTCACTGCAGCCTTGGCGTTATCAGTACTGCACAAAGCCCTCATCAGCACACAGCATAAGCACCATTTTATAAAATCCCCAGCAAGCCTTTGTCTCCGTGCAGTCAGCTCTTCTCTTGCTGATTGGCCCATTGCACCCTTGTAATGTATTTTCATACTTTTCCTAATAAACCTGCCTTTCTTTACCTATAACTGTCTTAGTAAATCCTACTTACCACTGACACCACTGGCCCCAGATAGCCGCTACCTGCGACAGAAGCTTTCTTCAAGTACTGTCTACTGACCAAGCAGATGGGTTAAAATTGTGTGAACTTGCTTGTATTTTTTCTGATGAGGGAAAAGATATGTGAAAAATAACCCCAACATGGATTTACTTTTCCTAGTTTAAATCTCAAAAATTGAGTCTAAAGTATCAATTATTTACCATCATAAAATTATTAGAATTTTTAGTAACAAAATTTATAAACAATAAATACTTATAAACAATACATTTATAAACAAAAAAGTATTCTCTTCTGCTGAATGCTACATGGTGGAAAAAATACGTAAGTAAAAACCAAGCAAATAAAGATAGAAGCCATGTTCTTTATGCAGTCATTGCAGTCATTTAGAAGAGGCAGGGCACTACCTGGGGGATCAAAGAAAACCTCAGAAGGGAGGAAGGACTGGAAAATAGAAAATGCAATATATGCCCTGCAAATAACTCTTTGTCAAGATTTCAGGGGCTAATAATAATAACCCCAATAATAATCTTATAAAGAAGAGCATTTCAGAAAGCAGCACTTTATAACAATTTCCATTCAATTGGCACCTACGAAGTGTCCATTGTAGTTTCTAATAAAGTACATGCAGACAGCTCTAAGACAGACAACTACCTACTTGAAATGTCCAAGTGAATTTTCCATATGCAACTCGGATGTGAAACGTTCAACAATGCATTCTTGTGTTTAGTTATTCAATGCATTTATTCCTTCTGTACTCTATTTCTCAGGAAACATATCTCTACTCACCCAGGTCTTTACCCAGAAGAAACCTCAGAGCCCCCCACGACCACTCCTTCCTCTTTAGCCCAAACACATGATCCATCCTAAGCTCTGCTTAGTCTTTCTACAAAAATATACCTCAAATATTTCCACTTCTTTCCATTTATACTACTGAATCCTTGGCCCACCAAGGTCAAGACACTGCTTGACCAAGGAGTCAGCAGTATCTTTTTCTGAGATTACTGCCATAATCCTCTAACTGGGTATTCCTCCTATCTGCTGAGGAATTATTATTCTGAATAGTAATTGCCTATTTACCTATCTTCTCATGTTCTCTCCTCCCCAGACAATGCATTCTCAGCATCAAAGGTAATGTCCTTGTTGGTGAATAAATTAATGACTAATCACAGTAATAATAATGGGTAGTCTTTATTAAGCACTTGCATTGTGCTAGGCATTATCTCAGCACTCTAATCCAGTTTCAATAAAGTCAGAACTATTTTTATGTGTTTTTGTGCATTAATATTAATTTTTTATTTTTAATTTATCTGTTAATTTATTTCTCTCTTTTCCTTAAAATATCTTGTACTCGTTTACATTGCACTTAAGATAAAATAGAAGTCCCATGTGAATTTGCCTTCTTTAGAGCCCCATCTCATACCATTTCTCTTCCAATACCTATGCTTCAGGCTTCTGATTTAGTTCCTCTAGTGCACCATTCCAGAACCCTTTTGTATACATACTCTTTCTTAGGTCTAGAATGTTCTCCCTGTCCACTGCTCTCTGACTGGCTGTAGTAATACCCATTCATTCTTTATGTATCAATATAAATATCAGAGATGCCTTCCTTAACCTTCCATCCACCTGCTCCTGCAGAGCATCCTGTCTTTTTGCTTCCCAGCCCTTGTCACAATGTACAATTTGTGTGAATAGTTGATTATTTTTACCACCTCACTAAACACTAAGCTTCATGAAAACAGATAAATTTTTTTCATCACAATTACCCAAGCACTTAGCGCTGTGTCTGCACATAGTTGTCATCAACAGATATTTTTTGAACGATAAAATTAAGAGAACCATAAAAAATTAAAATAAGGCCTGGCACGGTGGCTCACACCTGTAATCCTAACACTTTGGGAGACCGAGGCAGGCGGATCATGAGATCAGGAGATCGAGACCATCCTGGCTAATACGGTGAAACTCCGTCTCTACTAAAAATACAAAAAAATTAGCTGGGTGTGGTCATGGGCATCTATAGTCCCAGCTAATCGGGAGACTGAGGCAGGAGAATGGTGTGAACCCGGGAGGTGAAGCTTGAAGTGAGCCGAGATGGCACCACTGCACTCCAGCCTGGGCAACAGAGCGAGACTCCGTCTCAAAAATAAAATAAAATAAAAATAAAATAAATGAAGTAATATAATACATAAATAAATAGCACCCAACCCGGCCTTGGGGAACCAGGAAAACAATCTGGAAAAAAAGACAGACAGGAGAAGTTCTAAAGGAAAATAAAAACTTAGCTTCAGGAGTTCTTAACCCTGATTATACATGAGCTGATCTGGGAATATTTCAATAAACTTTGAGCCCAGGAAATAACATTTAATTGGTGAGGGTGGGACCCAGGCATCTGTTTCTGTTTTGTTTCGTTGTTTTTGAGCACCTGGAGTGATAATGTCAGGATTGAGAACCATCGAGTTTGATAAAGATTGGGTAAAGAGAGAATCGGAGTGTTTGAGAATGGACTTTGCCAAGGCATGGAGAAAAAAGACGACATGATATGTCCACAAAATAGCAACATGTTCCTCATACTATGGCTGATCATTGATTATAACAGAGGAAATGGTGAGAGATCTAGTTAAAGGACTGAAAAAAGATAGACATTAAATGGTCTAGTTTCTAGTAACTCTGCTAAAGGTGGACAGTATCCTAAGGGAAGGGCATGATCAGACTTGCATTCCTCTGTTTTTAGATTCAGAGTGAATTCTGGTAAAAGAGGGGCAAGGGAATCAAGGCTCAGAGATAGGAAGCTGGCGGCGTAGTCAAGACAACATTACACGTACAGCCCAGAACATTTTCAGGCAAGGTTATTTTAAGGTCATGTTTAAAGGCATGCACTACACCAGCATTTGGTTTCAATATGGTGTGCTCAATAAATTAATGTTAGGATATTATGTCCTTGAAGAGATTCCTTATGAATTTCTTAAATCTACTGGCACAGGAGAAAGCAAAAGAATATGTTTGCAGTTCATGTGGTGATCTCCAAGTATTTTATAATTACAATGGAATTCACATTTTTAGAGGGTGTTCTGGAATTCCAATATATCATATAATCTGGTTTTGGTCATTGAAATTAAAGGTATTGTGTCTGTAAGTGATCTCAGGATTTCTTTTATTAAGTCTGTTTAGATAGAGAGCATTTCCCCTTAAGAAACTATCACAAAATCATATCTTGAAAACTTTACGCTTTGTCCCATTAGAAAAACATGTAATAATTTGATCTTCATAGAAAGTGAATGTTTTGTGTCATTGAGAAGTAAAATACTCAGAGATATTGAACTGAAAAGGAAAAGGGAAATTAGAAGTCATCAAATGAAAAATGTAAAGTATATATTTGAGGGGAAACTTTATAAAGAAGAGTTTTATATTTTACTGTATGTCTTTAAACTACATGTGTCTTTCCTTTCAACAAAATAAAAATGAGAAGTGAATTAAAGTGTAACAGAAAATACAGAATGACGTTTTTTATTTTAATAGGAAGAGTTTGTTTAGTTGGTCATTGGCAATGAGTTGGATAATGTTTATGCCATGCAAAGTTTTTCCACTAAAACAATTACATTTTATTCAGGGTCTCCTTATAATATGCCTGTATCTGGAGAAGCAATCATCTATTCTTCACAGCCATACTACACTATAAACAAACGGTAATTAAGCCCCTGTTGTGGGCAGAGTACTAGGCGATGGGAATGGAGAAATGTGAGACTCGGCCCTTGTTTTCACAGGTCTTAAATTCCATAGGAGGAGATAGCATCTGTTCATCAAAGGACAAATAAAAATAAAGAGGCTGGGTGCGGTGGCTTATGCCTGTAATCCCAGCACTTTGGGAGGCTGAGGTGGGTGGATCACAAGGTCAGGAGTTCGAGATCAGCCTGACCAACATGGTGAAACCGTGTCTCTACTAAAAATACAAAAATTAGCCAGGCGTGGTGGCATGCGCCTGTAGTCCCAGATACTCCAGAAGCTGAGTCAGGAGAATTGCTTGAACCTGGTAGGCAGAGGTTGCAGTGAGCCGAGATTATGCCATCACTCCAGCCTAGGCAACAGAGCGAGACTCAGTCTCAAAAAAAATAAAATAAAATAAATAAAAATAAAGGGAGTTTTACCTGAGTGTCAGAGAAACTGTAACAGACACAATAAGAATAGACAGTAGTTAGAGTGAGAAGTGAGAAAGAATGTCTGGAAAAGTGTAGGATAGGTGGACTACAGAAGGGTAAGTGGTGTGGGGCAGAGGGTAGCAGGGTGTTTGTGTAGGATGAACAATAATGAAAGAACCTTTAAAAGCATAGTAAAAAAAGATATGGTAGAAAATCTGAAGGCAGCATAAGTTATGCAAGGCCTTGTACACCAGGTTAAAAACATTGAGACCTTTATTGTAGGCTAGATCAGAGCAACAGAACAGCTTGAACTAGCATATAACGTGTAAATCAAAGGTTTCAAAATATCTATATAAAGCAGTTAAAGAACAGAATACAGTTTATAGCAAAATGGTGAATTACATGATGTAAATACTAGAGTAATTCAGATTCAAGATCTCTCCCCTCCATCATGGGATGGATTTGTTAATAGAGGCCTCAGGTTGGTAGGGCTCTACATTGATTTTTTAAACGGTGTTGCAACACAGTATTTTCTCTCATTTCCTGTGAGTAAAGAAGATGCTTTGGAGAGCCAGTCACATGAGCAATATACTTAATGGCTGCTATTCTGAACCTACGTTTTTCAAATTTCAGCATAGATATGAATTACCTGTGGCTTTGTTGAAGTGCAGGTTCTAATTCACAGGTCAGGAGGGACATAAGATTCTGTTTTCTTATGAACTTACAAGTGATTTAGCTGAAGTGATTAGGTCTATAAGTGATTTGAGCTACTGATCCATGGATTATACTTAGTGTAATTCTAGCCTATGCCTTCACACAATGAGACTGGCTGACATAGCACTGACACTCTCGCTAGTATATTGCTGAACAAGTCAACCAGAAGAAAAATCTAGCACTACTCATTAAAGATAGCTAAAATAAATCAACTGACCACACTTTGATCATCTTGGTTCAACAGATACAATTAAGTAAAGAGATAAATCTCCAGGATAGTTTTATGAACACCACACAAAAATATTTACTCTCTCTCCCTCTCACACACACACCCCTATGCACATGCACATGCACACACACACACACACACACACCACATACACACAGACGTAAATTCATATTCTACTAAATATGACTTTAGGATGAATGAACAGTCCAGCAAATAAATTTAAATTTTTAAAATTCTGTTTTTATTACCCATGTGTAAATTTTATTTATAAAATATTAACTCTCTAGTATTTACTTACATCCATCAGCCTCCACCTGTCATGATTGGTTACTTTTACTTGTCAACTTGACTGGACCATAGTCCCCAGATATTAGGTCAAACACTATTCTGGATGTTTCCACAAGCATGTGTTTGGGTGAGATTAACATTTATGTTTGTGGACTTTAAGTAAACAAAATTGCCTGGCTAATGTGGATGGGCCTTGTCCAATCAACTTATGGCCTGAATAGAACAAAAGACAGATCTCTCCCAAGTAAGAAGGAATTCTGCCAGCAGACAGTTTTTGTACTTGAACTGTGATGTTGGTCAGTTCCCTGGTCTCCAGCCTGGCAGCCTACCTGAAGATTTTGAATTTCTTAATAGTATAAGCTAATTCTTTAAAACAAAATTTCTATATATACACACATCCTATTGGCTCTACTTCCTTGGAGAACCATAGCTGCCTATGAAAAACTAGGCTTTATTATAGGTCTTTTTATACTTCTAGCCATTGAAGGTTGGGGTTTTTAATTTTTCTTGTTAGATTTAGCCTTTGAACATAGCTCAGAGCCAGTCTTTCAATGTAGGGATTATGAATGAGCTTTAAATCAGGGCTCACTGGATCACCACATAATCAACTTGATTGGCTCTTGAATGCTGTATCAGTCCATTCTCATGCTGCTATAAAGGTACTGCCTGAGATTGGGTAATTTACAAATAAAGGAAATCTAATTGACTCACAGTTCCACATGGCTGGGGAGGCCTCAGGAAATGTACAATCCTGGCAGAAGGTGAAGGGGAAGCAAGGCACATCTTACGTGGCAGATGGCAAGAGAGAGAGTCAGCAAACAGGGAAGTGCCACACTTTAAAAACCATCAGATCTCATGAGAAATCCCTCACTATCACAAGAACAGCATGGGAGAAATTGCTCCCATGATCCAATCACCTCCTACCAGGTCTCTCCCTTGACAGGTGGGGATTACATTTCAAGATAAGATGTGGGTGGGGACACAGAGCCAAACCAAATCAGATGCCTAGGTCCTAGACTCTTGGATTGTTCCTGGCTGATCAAGTCCCTGCCAAGTAGCCCCACCCTCTTAGAGGGACATAATTCCCCCTCTTCTTTTTTTTTTTTTTTTGAGACAGAGTCTCGCTCTGTCGCCCAGGGTACAGTGCAGTGGCACGATCTCCGCTCATTGCAATCTCCGCCTCCCGGGTTCAAGCAATTCTCTACCTCAGTCTCCGGAGTAGCTGGGATTACAGGTGCCCACCACCATGCCCAGCTAATTTTTGCATTTTTAGTAGAGACGGCGTTTCACCACGTTGGCCAGACTGGTCTCGAACTCTTGACCTCAGGTGATTCACCTGCCTCAGTCTCCCAAAGTGCTGGAATTAACAGGCGTGAGCCACCACGCCCAGCCAATTCCCCCTCTTAAGGTCTAGTCCCATGTGACTGCAGGCAGCTGACAGATTTATTTTCCTGCCTCTTGAGCTTCTGTTTTTTACCCTGATCTTGTGCTCATTTTCAGCCTTTGTCTAGAGGTGCTTGCATCCTGCTTGTCCTTTGTTCTCCTAGACTGATCTGTCAGATGTGGAACAATATGAGATCAGTTGAAGAATTTTGGCCTAAGTTATATTTTCTGGCAGCTGGACTTATTCTAACTCTTCAGGCCTCTATGTTCTAGTCAATTCATAACTACCCAAACCCTACTTTTATCAAGCAAACACACCATATATCCCATCTGACTCCTGCCTATTCTCTGGCCTCCTCTATCATCAGTTCTAAATGCACCTCACACTGTAGCTCCCATGATTCTAACTATTCTTTACATGTTCTGGGTCCTTTTATCATCCCTTTCCTAAACATGCTATCTACTCTGCCTGGCATAATCTTCTTTTATTGCCTGACAATATCCTACTGAGCCTTTAAGAAACTGCTTAAATGTTACTATGCTCTGAGGTCATCAGTGACCCTTCTAGTTAAGTCATTCTTCCCTCCAGCACTTTGTTTATATCTCTTTATATCATGAACTTTAGTAGTGTTACCTGTGTTTTTCTCCATGCTGACTCTCTTGAGGGCGGGAACTGATTCTTACTTATTTTTGTGACCCAAGGAGCTAACAGTACTCATCACATGGAGGAGCTTAATTCTCTTTTTGATTCAGTTATTGCCTAATAATTCTGGGCATTGTCCAAATTGTAGGCAGAGAATGTTTTGTGTTCTGTCAACAACCATCAGCCTAGAACAAGTCATTCTGACATTAAATAGTTATTTTTCTTCTAGGTATCAATTTTACATATAAACTTGGCTACACACCAGAACTCAACCGGATTATAAATGAAGATGTCAAGGACAAATGCTTTATCCTAAAAGTTATCTTGAGAGACAGAAACAGCAACAACTAGAAAAAAAATCCAATAAGCTTATTTCCCATATAAAACTGAAAGTTGAAAAATAATTGGAAAGCCATAAAATCTACATGTACTCCACTATGTAGCAATTTTTACTCTATTCTTCTGTATATGCAATGTTTTGCTTTTTCAACTAAATTTTAGGCTGCCAGAGAAATCCTTACTCCTAAGTTTTGGGTTCAGGACTTGCCTGCTCATCCAGGACGGGAACCATGTTTAAGTGTCCTTTCTTCCTCCCAAGCACCTCACAGAGGGGCTGCTTACCATACACGAGGCCCTCCTTAACATTTGTAGTTTGACAAACTGGCAAAGTCAAATCTGAAGTCACTAGTGTAGCCATAGGAAATTGTGATTCTCTTGGCTCTTTATTTTTAAAAATTATCATCGGGATTTTATTGTTGAAAAAGTTGCTCAAGTAAAATACAGATAAAATTTTTCCAATTCAGAATAAATTGTCTACTTTCCTAGAAGGTAGGGGCTCAACCAGAAATAGTAAAGTTCATAAGCTTGACAGACAAAGTTTAGTCAGTTTCATTAAGAGAGGTTTCAGCTAGCATGGGCACTTTATACTAAATGACCCTCATAATCAGCTTACTCGCAATAAGGTTTGGGGATGTTACAATCCCTCAGGTTTTTACCTGAGTTCATATAAAATGCTAAAGATGCTAATATGATAGCTACTTTGCAAAGGTGTCTCCTTTCAATGAATCATGTCTCCCACGTTCATGCCCTTTTGCAGTTCTCTCCTCCTGAACCAGGGCTAGTTCTGTGACTCACTTAATAGAATGTGCAGGGAATAACACTACCTGACTTCTGACATTTGATTAAAAGAGACTTGGCAACTCCTGCCTGGAGCCTTGAGTTGCTGCGTGAGAAGCCTGAGCACACTGAGACCACAAGCTGAGAAGGGCATGTGTAGACACTCAAGTCAACAGTTTCAGCTAAGCTCAATTGTTCAGTTATACTCACCCGAGTACCAGACCTGTGAATGTAGAAACCATCTGGACATCTGGCCCAGTCAAGCCTTCAGATGGCTCCAGCCATACCTGACAACTGAAGGTGACCACATGGGAGACCTCCAAGCAAGAGCTAAGAGATAATATCAAATTATTGTGTTAAGGTACTAAGTTTTGAGGTGGTTTGTTATGCCGCAATAAATAACTAAAACACTGTAATCAGGGGGAAGTAGACTAATTCAGAAACAAAGCCTGATATAAGATTTCAAATCATTGAACACCTGGACACATGATAAGCTAAAAATAGCTCTTCCTCCATTAAGACCTGGGTCTTTTGCCTCCGAAAAGAGAAAATTATACTTGAATATGCTTTTCAAATATGATTTAACCTACCATCCGTTTGGTTTTGCTTAAGTTCATGGCTACTTGTCACTGCATAGTAACAAATTCTACCCATTTTATCACTTGAAGCAATAAAGCAGAATACACTGTCCCCTGAAACTGCAGAAACAGTTAATGGGATGAGATGACCACCATCTTCTTCCAGGCAGTGAGTCAGATCAATGGGAATTGTTGCCTTGGTTCAGACAGTGGCTGATTCAACGGGTGGATTTCTCTCCCTTTGTCTTCGCTTCTGTAAACTAGCCCAAGAAAATGATGGGGTCAATAGCATGATGGTGCTGCTGGGAGGTGAAGACTGCAAGTGAGGCTGCGTCGGCAGAGTGTCGCTTTGTCTCTCTGCTTGGCAAAGCTTATGATCACCATTACCCAGCAGTGATGGAGCAACTGTGCTTTTCAGGAAGTTGCCCAGGAGGTTCACTCATTGCACCAGGTACAGTTGTCAGTAATTAAAGTAGAATTATGCTAATAATCTTAATGGCAACTAAATTGGTACAATTAGAGACTGAGGAGGAGAAAATTTCATGTGTATACATGGTTATGCCAAAGATCTCATTAACTGAGTTAAAAGACAGAGGCCTGGGCTTCCAGGTGCTTGCTGCCTTTATTTTTGGTCACTCCAGGGTGCTGTTCCTGCATAGCAGCCCTGTGTCAAACTGGAGATCGCATTGCTCCTTTCCCATGGAATTGCCACAATCAGAAAGTCAAACTTGTTTTCTTGTCTGAACCTGATGTGATCATGTATTGTCTTGTTTCCCTCTCTCTCCCTTCTTGTTCTTACTTCTGGATCCCCAGGTCTAAGTTCAAGGCCTGGCACACACAGGTATTTAATAAATATTTATTAGAAATGAAGACACTGGAATTGACACAAAATGAGCCAGATTAGATGAGCAGGTCAGGAAATCCATGTTTTATACATATACATATATGTGTATATATATATGTATAATGTGTATTGTACATAATATTTTTACATATCCTTATCTATTGTGCTTCCATCTCTGAGGATTGTGTAGGGGATCCTTTAAAGCCAAGCAAGATCTTGTCCAGTCCTTGATTGCCCAGCCTTGCCTAGGGTATTTTATCCTTCAGTCTCATTCCAGCCAGAACCTGAACCAATGAGAACCAAGCCCTCTCTTGTGGGGTCTAGAGTTAGCCTTGCTTCCTTATGTAGGAGAAGCCCCCACATTTTCCCAAAGATACTTGGCTTTTCCCTAAATTAGGCATTTTCTAACAGTCTTAGTAATGAAGGTCTTTTTCCAAGAGCAGTGTCATATGGAACCCTAAATATAAATACCTACATGCAGGGCTGCCCTGGCTAAAACAGAAATGGGTCACTAAGGCTATGTCTGCTCAGCCTCTCAGACCCCTCTGAGATAATTCTGAAGAACCATGAAAAAATCATAAGTAAATATCTCAAAATCAGCAGCCTAGTTTATTAAACGAGAAGTTTCTTTAAAAAAAAGAATTAAGTGAACTTCAGTTCTTGACACTGAGATTTAGACTCAATCTCTGACCCCAGGCCATTTCTTGGGCAAAATCTGCCCAGATTTTGCCAGACCTCCTCTTCTGTGCCTGAGTTCTCAGATCCTTAAATCCACAGCAGCTGCTTCAACCCTCAAACTGCAGCCCCAGAACCCATCTCCTTGTGACTGTCACCATCACACTGCCTCCTGCTGCCACATTCTGCTCACCAGATCCAATTCCTTGGATGGTGACACCAGCATGGACTAACCCTGATTTTGCCACATATCTTAGACACAGCACTTTTCACTCTCTGCATTAGTTTTTTATTGCTACATTAAAAATTACCACAAACTTAGTAGCTTAACAAAACACACTTATCACGTCATCATCACCATGCATTAGGAGCCTGACTTTATTTCCCTGGGTCCTCTGCTCAGAGACTCATAAGGCTCAAATTAAAGTACCAGCTAGCTAGCTAAATCCTTACTTGGAGGCTCAACTAGGAAAAGATCTGCTTCAAAGTTCCCTCAGATTGTCAGCAGAATTAATTTCCTTGAGGCTCTAGGACTAAGGTTCCATTATCTTGCCAAGGATCACTCTCAGCTACCAGAAGCCACTCTCAGGTTCTTACCATGTGACCTTCTCCATTTCAGCACTGAATCCCTCTCACACTTCAGATGTCTCTGACTGCCTCTTCTGCTACCAAATAGAGAAAATTCACTTCTTTTACAGGACTCATGTGATGAAATTAGGCCCACCCAGATAATCCCACGATCTTAAGGTCAACCGTTCAGTACCCTTAATACATTGCAAAATCCCTTTTGCTGTGGAACATGACATAGTCATGGGAGAAACACAAGGAGGCAGAGATCACAAGGACATCTTGAAATCCTGCCTACCATAGCTTCTTATAAGCACACTCCATGTATTTCCCACTGTTCCTCTATGTTGTTCAGGACAAGTTCATCGCCGAACAACTAAACTTCGAAATCTCGGTGAGTTAGTGCAATCCGGGTTTTCTTCTTTCTCACATCAGAGTTTTCCTGGGTTAGCAGGGACTCTGCTCAACATCGCAATCTAGAAACTCAGGTTCCTTCAGTCTAGTAACTGCTATTCCTCAGGGCTCCAGAGCCTTCCATTTAATCTTTTGTATTCTGCAGGCAGATGAGAGAAGAGACAACATGAACGATTTTGAGGGAACTTATGGGCCAGGCCCGGAGGTGACCTTCCTGACTCCCGCCCACACCCCATTGACGAGAACTAGTCACGTGGTTGTCGCAAATCTAAGAAAGTCTGGGAAATGCACAGTTGTACCAATAAGAACACAAAAATGCTTGGTGAAGTCAAGTTCCCTCTCTGACTATCTACCTATGCTTCTGGTAGGGTCTAGCATGCTCCCTGAACTTGAGAGAGGGCAGATAATTACCTTTCTTTGATGCAAACCCTATCCTCCCACCTCAAAATGGGTCAGTTTCTGAATTTTTCAGTTGCAAACACAGAACTTAAAATTATGACAGTGCCAAGATATCTGTCTGCTGAAGCTGATGTTATTCTTTAAATAATTTTAGGGTTCAAGTATCAAACTTTTACATCAAAGCACACAAACTTTATTCTCATCACAAATAGAAGATTGGCAATTAATGTGTAATGAATCTGAGAATTTTAAAAGAAGGTGTGGTGTAAGAAGAAGGGGAATACACATATGCACACACACGTTGTATGTCGTTAAGCCAGTTCCATTCCTTTTCTTATTATCAAGTACATTTCTGCTTATTTCCAAGAATGCCTTCTGAAGCCTTTTCTTCAGAGACTTTCTGATGTGATTGAGTTTTGTTCTAGGAGCTGCCAGAAAACAACTTGTTATTTTTGGAGAGTTATAGTTGTTGTGCTGGGTCAAGAAGAACACGTATTCCAATTCTAAGCAAGACCTAAGCGCAGTTTTAAATCTCACCTTGAGAAAGAAAATGATTCTCTTATTTCCTGCTTTAAAAGATGTTGGGGGTAAAACATGAAAAAGATGCTGGAAGCCCTTGAAATACCTGGGACTTGACACATCCAAGGTTGTAAACATCTTGAAGTATTTACATTCGTATTTCAAGGGATTAATTAGGCTGCTATTTATGTAAACATCACTTTTCACATTAGTCTTTATTGATTTACCAGCTGCTCACTTGTCACTTGTCCTGTGTTTTTTTGTTTGTTTGTTTTGTTTTGTTTTGTTTTGTTTTTTTGCAATGAAGTCTTGTTGTGTAGCCCAGGCTAGAGTGCAGTGGCATGATCTTGGCTCACTGCAACCTCCACCTCCCAGGTTCAAGCGATTCTCCTGCCTCAGCCTCCTGAATAGCTGGAATTACAAGCACGTGCCACTGCACCTAACTAATTTTTTGTAATTTTTAGTAGAGACAGGGTTTCATCATGTTAGCCAGGCTGGTCTTGAAGTCCCAACCTCAGGTAATCCACTCACCTCGGCCTCCCAAAGTGCTAGTATTACAGGCGTGAGCCACCACGCCCAGCCTCACTTGTCCTATTTAATTTTACTATTCATTGAGTTGGTATTGAGATTTTCATGAGTGCTTAACCAGTTCCCAAAGCTTTGATTGTTTTTCAAATCACACCCCATTGGCATGAAGCAGTGACTTGAAGGCAGAAAACCAAAGCAACTAAGAACCTCCAAGTCACTTTGGTGGGATGAAAACATGGGGTCAGAGATGTCAAGAGGAGCAAGCAGAAGCCTTCATGGAAGCAGGTAGATATTTGTGGGCAGGGTGCTTTTTGTCATTGTTCAAAGACTTCATCTGTGGTTCCTCTGTAAGGTTTAAAACAATAATTTCAAAGCAGACTCTTTGACCATATGCAGTTTATACTCAGGTTACAGCAACATACTACAATTCCTTTGGTACATCTGATCTCCCAATACCAGAAATTTGAGGAGACTGTTCAGAAATAAAACTCTTAAATGCAGTGTCTCTGTGCATTGTTCTTACCATCGTTTCCTATAAGGTCACTGAAAAATGCTGTTCAGTCTTTATATCCAACCCACCCAGCCCATTACGTATAGGGCAATAGAGAAAACCAAAGCTTAAGCAGAATATATACACTTAATAGACACAGTGTAGTCTTTTAAACACTGAATTTTAAAGAAGGTAAAACACAATGGCTTATACTCCACTAAGGATGACTCACATCAACTTTGTTTTGGGATATGACCTATTTATAACCTGTTATTGCATTAACCCTAGTTTTGTTTGGAAATGGATATCTCCAGGTTGCTACAGTGTACAGATTAACTTCTGTTAAATATGAAACAGATGCTCTGAGCTAGCAAGCCAGGAAATTATTCAGGTCTCCTCTTCCCGTTTCCTTTTGAATTCAGATAACTCTTCTTGAGACCCTCAGTGAAAGACTATAAGGGTAATAACCAGGCTCCTGTTATCATTGCTGATGATAAAGAATCCACAAATGAAATATATTCACCCAGATGTTCAGAATGTACTACTGATCTAGATGCATTACTTTTTATTTGGTTTAATTTTTTTTTATAGGGCTATCCACCAAAATGATAAAAGAAAGAGACAGGCAGCTTAATGGCATTGGCTATTTGTATATGATGAAAAAGTTGTTATTATCCAGCTGTGTGATCTTTATGGAGGAAGCATACAGAGGGCAAAGTCTACCAAAGTTCAGGGGCTTCAAAACAAACCGACTGTCTAGGTTGTAAATTGCCTATTGACCTCACATGGCTAAATGGCTTTTTAATGGAGATCAGCTCTCTGAATCCAGGATCCTGCACTGCAAGTTACAAGCTCCAGGCTGCCATGAACTCTTCAGGGTGCTGAGGAAGAAGTGCACTCCTACAGACATTAGAGGTCAAAAGAAAATTGCAGTCATTGACTATTCTTGTGTCTGTGCCCCTTTCCACAGCAGGGAAACAATTTGATATCAGTTTTTCTTTCTTTCTAATCAAATACTCCCCCACCATAACCCACCCTTTTTCCACTCCCTCCCCCATCCCTCTATTTATTTTGCTTATTTTGCCGATTTAGATATGATGGGTTTGGAGTACTTGAGCTAGTCAACTAATACAGCAGGAGATGTCAGTTGACACATCAGTTTACTCTTAGACAAAGGATAAACACTAATAAAAGTAACTGCAAAGCACTATAAAAATATAACATGTTCCAAATGCTGAGTCCACTCAAAATAATGATATAATCATAAGGGAAGCAAAAGAACCTTCTGTCATTGCAGGGACAAGGCCCCAACAAGAGCATTCTAATGCTTTAAAATTATGAATAAGCTTTCATATGTCTCTGCTTACAGCTTTGTTAACCACAAGGTAGAAAGTCAAAATTGCATGTTTGTATAACTTGTATTTAGCACTTAACTAAAATTCAAAAACCAATGCGAAAGCAGAAGGAGGGCACGAGTGTGTTTTCCTAAGCTGCCACATAGCCACTTAGGGTTCTCCCAACTCTAGGATCCTCTCAACAGAAAATTTACAATGTTTTCAACTCCGAGGAAGGGACCAGGGTAAGGAAGAACTGAAATAAAGAGGGGAGAATCCAGGGTCAGGGTTCTCCACCCCAGGTTCTGAAATTGCTAGAAGTGGAGGGAAATCTGATGTTTCTGTCCCAAATGCAACTTAAAAGACTAAGAAATATACTTGTGGTCAACCACAAGCCAGCTATTTCTTTGTGACCAAAGCCTAACCCCTTTCTCAAGTCCACAGCATTGTAGACACAGTTTCCCCCAGTGCAACCAGTAAATTCACTGACTTTCTCAAACCAGCTCTCTATTATATAGAAACTTCAGGGCCTCAAGAAGCAGAAAGTTGATTGTTTGAATTTTCAACTTTTCTACCATTTGAGTCAGTGCCAGTTAGACATAATTCCATTTCATATCCTTTAGTACTGGGTAACTCAAAGTGTGGTCCGTGGACTAGTGCCAGGCTGAGAACTGTTGCCAGTCTACCATGAGATAACTACAGATAGTAAGCATTATGTCTGTTTATTCTAAAAAATGTGACTTTATTTGATGTCTTTTATGGCATTTTTGTCATGCATTTTTTTCTAGTATTTTACAAAAGTATGAGTCTACAAGGAATTGCAAAGTTAAAAAGAAAGTGTCCTTTGCCATTGTTAATTTGAAAAGTTCCACTCTAGAAGATCCAGTTTTGTCTTGAGGAATAGCTTTTCATATGGCAAACTCATCAAGTGTTGCACTTCTCCACATTATTTCATATGTATCTATATTTGGTGTTGGTAGATAGCTTATAACTTTGCTACATGAATTTTTCCAGATCCTCTGAGAAGCAGGCCACAAGACAGATTGAAAATAAAAGAGATTTATTGGGGCAATGTCAGAAAGGGAAACTGAGAAAGGGGAAGGCAGGGAGAACACCAAAAACATCAAACTGCAATGCAGGGCTGACCCCTGGGAAGGAAGGAAGGGAGGGAGGGAGGGAGGGAGGGATTGGCTGTATGTCCCCACCCAAATCTCATCTGGAATTGTAATCCCCATGCCAAGTGTCAAGGGAGGGACTTGGTGAGAAGTGATTGGATCATAGGGGCGGTTTCCCCCATGCTATTCTTGTGATAGTGAGTGAGTTCTCATGAGAACTGATAGCTAAAAGTGTGTGGCTTTCTTCAATGTCTCTCTCTCCTGCCACCATGTAAGACGAGTCTTGCTTCCCCTTCACCTTCCATCATAATTCTAAGTTTCCTGAGGCCTCCCCAGCCATGTTGAACTGTCAGCCAATTAAACCTTTTTTCTTCATAAATTACCTAGTCTCAGGCAGTTCTTTATACCAGTGTGAAAACGGACTAATACAGAGGGAGAGAAGGAAGGAGGGAAGAAGATCTTAGACCACACAGTATTTCTAAGGAAGTTTATCAAGGCTAGCATGGAGTCTCCCTTGAGCCAAAGTCACCTGTCAGAGGAGTTCTCTGTCTCCCAAAATGGGCCTGCTTTTGTATCCCTGGAACTTTCAGTCATTGGCTAAAACAGCCTTTGGAAAGTAGGCATAAATGTAGTGATAAATTTTAAAGCAGAGCCAATGGGGTACTTTTTCATGTACATAAAAACTGCAGTGGGAAACCCAAGGGGCACATTTTATGGCCACTATACTCCTCCTGATTTCACTGAAGGGAAGTGATCTTCTTTTCATCCATAGGTGAAGAGAAGCGAAGTAGGATTAATGTTTCTGGTCCTCCATCTTTTCCTCACTCCTCTGGGATTGCCTAACTGGTGAGACCAAAGAAAGTCTAACATAGTCTGAGCCATAGTCTTGGCTAGTCATAGCCAAATTAACCTACACACAGGATCACAGCACATTTTTAAAAAGGTGGGTTGCTTCTGGTTCTAAAAATAATTAGATTTTTTTAAACAGGCCTCACTTGTCCTCTCAGCTATCAAGATAACTGTTGGGTATGAAAACTGAACTCTGTCTTAGAGGTAAGAAAATAAATCACTTTATTCTACAATTCAGCTTTACCAGAAAACTTCTCACTTTGAGGAAACTTGCCTAGTTCATAAATAAATCTAATTCTATTTTTAAATCTGTAATTACATTTCTGTTTATATCTCTCATTTGAAGGGAAACCAGAAAAGGAGAAGGGTGGATGATTAGCATCACCTAATTTCTATTGTATGGATGGATGGGAGCATATTTATGCAAGGTACCCGTATCATTCTGAATATAGTACATGAGCCTGCAAGGTTCTTTTGTGTTCCTTTGTACTTAAAATAATAAGTGCAAATAGCAATAGCTGCAAATAAATATGCGTGGTGACAGCCCTTGGTATTGGAATAAAAGTATCAATCAGTATTCCACAGAAAACTGTACTTGCAGTTGAAGACAGAACATCTGTTATCAAACACCTCAAGACCTTTAAAAATGAATAGAAGCACTCATCTTTGGCTCCTTAGAAAAGGAAGATGAATGCTTTGATAAGAGTCTCTTTGTGGAAGTCTCTTTATAAATGCAAGTCTCCAATGGACTACTCAACCTAGAAACAAGTAAAAAGTCTTATTGGTAAGAATGCTCACTTCATTGTAAGGTAGCAGGAATAACGTCACTAAAAATTTATGAAGAGACCTAAATCTACAGAAAACTCAAGTGCTCCTATGAAAATGAGGCCCTCCTGAGTGATCTTAATTTTCATCACCAGTAAATCAAAAGCTTTTACTTTATCATTTGGAATCTAGAGAAGAAGTTGGTAGGTAGAGGAACATAAATAGAAATTAAAGCATTGACTCACCATGGGAAAACCTAAGTTAATCGATTGTTGTTTTTTGTTGTTGTTTTGTCTCTGGATTGTCTTCTTTTGATAGTCATTAAATACGAAAGAAAATCTGCTCTTGCTACTAAAAATGTAATACACATATTGAATCTCAAGAACATAAGCCTGGAGCACATTTTTTTAATGGTAGAAGCATTGTGAATAGTGTACAAAAGTGTCAGACATAGTCCAAATATTGTTTCCATGAACATTAAAGAGAATATGCTGAGAGCACTTTGAAAAGAGCTTTCAAATTCATCTGAAATCAATCTTCTTTGATGAAAATTATCCTGAAAAATGGAGTATAGCCAAACCTATTTTTTCCTGTTCTACTTAGGAATGATGCAGTGTTTTTAAGAGGACGATATTACTCAAATCAATGAAATATCTATCATTGAAAAGTCTACATCTTTGTGTGGTTACAGGTCCAGCTGCATCAAAAGCAAAAACATGGTTTCTTTTTTATCAGATCTCCTAAACACAAAATGTTCCCATGAATTCTAAATCAGTAATAGAATTATTTTAATGACCAGCAATTCACCCAAAAACCTATATTTTCTTGAGCTAATTTAGATAATTGCCTAGTAAATCATCCAGCCCCCAAAGAGATGTTTTGTTTGCATAAATGGATTCCTATTCATATATAGAGGCTCATTAAATCCTGTGACCTAGAATTGCAAGCAATGAGGGCAAAGCCAGCCCAGTAAAGTGAAGATCATAAAAATGTGGCCTTTTATTCCTAGGCCGTGTCTCCTTCACTTTAAAGTGCCTGCAAAGACTCCATCAGCTCCTTACTCTTGTGACATGGCTCCGATCAAGAGCCTCCTGTAGCACTCTCCTCTCAAGATACTCCAAAGAAATAATGAATCTGTCTCTAAAGTTTCAATCGGGCCTTGTATTTACAGGACTTTATTTGTGCAAAGAAACACATGTGGGACATATCCTTATTCCAATGGCCATGGAAAGTTCCATCTGCTGCACGATAAAGAAAAATTATTTTAAAAGATTCACACTTGGTGCTCTTAGAATGGCTCTTTGCATCAAATCACCCTTATAATAAATTCATGTACACCCAAGCTTTATGGGTTATCATTCATAGTCATATCATGGTCTCACATGTAACATGTATTCAAATTTGAATCTTAAAACCCTGCCTATAAATGAATAGGAAAATCTATAGGTTGACCTTTCTATAAGTAACACTTTATCTTTCCAATTACATCATTTTCATTTTGCATACCTTTGGGAAACTGTCACAGTTACTTACTTGTGTGATTCTTCAGATAAAGTGATGATAGTTACAAGCAGATAACTAATCTAACCTGAGCTCTGCATGAAGAATTCCTCTTTCAGGCATTTGCCAAACTTTAAGCTACACAGAAAAAGAGGTAAACAAAAGTGACTTAAAAGCAGGGCAGAAATCCTCAATAAAATGTTAGCAAATTGAATCCATCAGTGTATAAAAATATTAGTATACCATGACCAAGTGGAATTTATTCTAGGTATATAAGGACAGTTTGATATTCAAAAATCTATCATTATCATCCATAATATTAACAAACTAAACAAAAAAGTCATATGATTATACCAATTGACAGAAAAAGCATTTGACAAAATTCAACACCCATTCATTATAAAAACTTTCAATACACTAGGAATAGAAGGGAACTTCCTTAATCTCATAATAAGAAATTACATACACAAAAAAAAGAAACAATATCTATGTAATACATAATGGTGAAAGGCTAAATGCTTTCACTCTAAGATCAGGAACAAGGCAAGGAAATCTGTTTTCAGCACTATTATTCAACGTATTACTGGAAGTTCTAGTCATTATAACAAGCACACAAAAAAATAAAAGGCATACAAATTGGAAAAGAAATAAAACAGTCTTTATTCACAGATGACATAATCTCAACAAAATTGTATAGAATCTACATGTTGAAAATTACAAAATGTTGGTGAAAGACAAGAAGACCTAAATATCATGTTTATGGGTTAGAAGATTTAGTAAAGATACCAGTCCTCCCTAAACTGTTCTACAGTGTTATCGTATTTCCTATCAGAAGCTTAGTAAGGTATTTCACAGAAGTATGTACTTTTACTCTAAAATGTATACCAAAAGAAAAAGACCTTAAACAGCCAAAACGATTTTGAAAAAAGAAGAAGAAAGTTCATCTTCCTTTTATTAAAGTTTACTATATAGCTACAGTAATATATAGCTACAGTAATCAAGACAGTGTGGTATTGATAGCAAGATAGACAAAGCTAAGTGGTATAAAACAGAGAAAGCGGAAGTATGACCACATGAGTATGATCAATTAATTTTGGCAGAAGTACAAATAAATCATTAACCTTTTCAATAAATGCTATTAGAGCAATTGAACAACCATAGGCAAAAACATGAACCTTAACCTAAGCTTCACATCTTATACAAAAAAAATTAACTAAAAATGAATCACAGACTTAAATGTAAAACATAAAACTATAAAATTTCTAGAAAAAAAACTGCAGAAGATCTTCAAGACACATTAGGACTAGGTAAAGAGTCTTTAGATTTGGCACAAAAAATTTACATTCGTACACACACACACACACACAATTTTAATATACTATTTTTATTCCTGGATGTATGTTTATAATCTTTTGGTTATAGCCAAAGGAAAGGGTCTAATATGTTCTGACAGAGGATCATAGATCCTTATGTCCTGAAGGGGACTAGATCCTCCTCTAATAATACTGGTATTAAACATTCAGAATTGATAGATATGGTTTGTCTCTGTGTACCCACCCAAATCTCATCTCAAATTGTAATCCCCACATGTCGAGGAGGGAGCTGGTGGGAGGTGATTGAATCATGGGAGAAGGTTCCCCATGCTGTTCTCGTGATCATGAGTGAAGTCTCATGAGAGCTGATGGTTTTAAAGTATGGCACTTCCTCACTGTCTCTCCTGCCACCTTGTGAAGAAGGTGCCTTCTTCCCTTTTGCCTTCCGCTGTGATTGTAAGTTTCCTGAGGCCTCCCCAGGCATGAGGAACTGTGAATCAATTAAACCTCTTTTGTTTATAAATTATCCAGTCTCAGGTAGTATTTTTACATCAGGATGAGAATGAACACAAAGAATCTTCACCTTCAAAGCTACCTTAGTCTGCAAATGACTGCCAAGAAGTCATCTGGAAATAGGCAGAAAGAATCAGTGAGAATTATAATGATTTATGAATTTTTCCACTTTAAGCACCTAAATATGTACATATGAATCAAAGGACATATGTGATGTTATTGAATCCAGTAGTCCCTAACCTTGCGGTCACCAAGAAGCCTTCTTATTTTTCAGCAGTGCACTCTGTGTCAAAGATTTGTTTACTGAAGCAAATAACTATGAATTACTGAGGGCTTACTTTGTACCTGGTATTATAATAAGCATTTTACATACAGAATCTCATCTGATATTTTTTAAAAACTATAGGACAGGGACTATCAGTCACTATTTTATATATGAAGAAACTGAAGGCAGCTAAGGTCGAGTGATATAAGATCACAAAGCCAGTGGAATTGATATTATTGAATCTAGTATCTATGATCTGCTCATTTAAGTAAATATAGATTTCCAATAATAAATAATTTCTGGGGCAAATATTTGCTTAATTGCCTATACATGCACAGGATATATACATAGTCTCTGGAACTGAATTTTTATTAGTCCAACTTTGTCAAGGGAGTGAGACATAGAACAGAATGCATGGCTATTTCTATTTAGATGAAGCAAAGACTATATTTCACAGAGCATATGTCTTCGCTATTCTAGATTATTTGCTCATTCTTTAAATAGAAAATCTTCAAGAAACCAGCAAACTGAGATACCAAGAAGATAGTAAATTTAAAGGGACTATTAACTGAAGATCACCTAACATCATCATCTTTTTTGTGTGAAGTCTGCTCTGAAATGTGATTCAGGAGCAAGAAGATGCCAGTTATAGATTGCCTAGAATACCGAGTTAACCTAAAGAGAACTTTGGAAGGTGTTTCAGTTAACAGGGGATTTAGCAGTGACAGCTGAAAAGAAATTAACAGCACCAAATTTCAAGACATAAAACTCTTCAATTTATTTCTGGCAACATTTCTAAAACTCACAGTAACTATTTTACTTGGGTATTATCAGGTGAAATTTGTGGCTTTCTTCAGGAGCTAGTCACCCATTTACAAAAGCTTATAATCTTTAAGCTACTACTGACCTATCAATTATAGAGAATTTGGATGCTAAACATGGCATTTGAGCAAGCCAGCAGAACCTGTGATTCAGGTTTCTGCTCTCTGACCTCTAGGATTAGTGTTCTGAGGATTACACTATAATATCTTTAGTTTTTACAGCACCTTTTTCCAGAGTAAGGGGCAAGAATTTTTCTCTTTATTTTTCCAGAGAAGCAAAGCTTCTGAGGAAAAGCTTAGCCCTCTACAGCTGGTAAATATTTTCCAGTGAGGGGAGCAGCCGGCCATGGCAATAACCAGAGTTCTAGTCGTGTCTCTGGCCCATGCCTCTCTATAACTGGAGACTAGTCCCCCAGTTTTCTCCATTTCTGCAGCTGTAAAAAAGGATTATGACTAGCTGTCAAACAGGGCAGGCCTCTAACATTTATGGGTCCTAGGATATAAATATAAATAGACACTTTCAAATGCTCTGTTTTTCCTACCCTCCCTCACTGTCCTACATATGAGGGGTGTCATGTGGATACTTGTGGGTATAGTCAGGTATGAATATACCCATCCTCTCAAATAGCTGCCCCTCAGCCAACCCTGTGGCCTAGGGTTGAAAGCTCAGGGCTTCCTGGGGTCTCACATGCTGAAAGTGGAGCTGGGAGAGATGCAGACCCTGGATGGGGGCATCCCTTTTGCCATTCAGACTCCTCCCCGCTTGACGAATGGCAAAGCTAGAGGAAGAATAGAATGGACCCCTCTGAAGTGCAGGACCCTGGGCAAGAATCCAATTGCCCAGGTCTGAGGTGTCATGAACACTGATGAGAGACTGAGAAAGCAGAGAAGTGATTTGGGGAATAGGGAAGAAAAACAACAGGTCCTCTCCCCAACCAGTTAAAGATCAAACAGAAAAGTAAAACATTCATATGCATACAGTATGGGGCAAATGAAAAACCTACGTTTTATCTCTATCTTTACAGGGTTTCTTTTTCCAGAAGATGCATGTTTGGAATTCTGCAAGAACTCCTGATCACTTTAAAATGCCAATGCCTTTATTTTCAAGATGTACAGTTTCTGTCTTTTATCAAATAGAGGAACAAAATCTATTCTTCCAAAAAAAGGAAAAATGCACAATATCCAAATAAATTTTCCCCAGCTGCTTGCTGGATATTGGAATTAGATAACATGACATAAGAAGAATTTTGGTCTAATCCTAAGAAGGGAGTATGGTTGGTTCTCCTTTTCACTTAACATCTTAATCTCTTCCCCCGCTTTAAAAAGGAAGATCTATTTAATATCAAAATAACATGATGGTTTATGATGTTGGAGCTGAGAGACACAAGAGGCTGATTCAGTAAGTAAAGGTAATCAAGTAGTGGTTAGTAGCAAAAAAAAAAAAATTGACAAAGAGAAGGTAGAGCTCTCATCTGCCTTTGAGGCAGGAGGAAAAAATATTTCCTAGGCATAACAAGAAATGCATGGTAAGAAAATTCACTTCCTAATCCCAATGTCTATGGTGTCCATATTTCCACATCCCAAAACCTGGACAAACTGATACATGGTCCAAAAAATGGTCTTATATTAGAGAAAAACAATTCAATTCAGTCATGTCCCAGGAAATTCAGTATGTTTAGTGTTAAAAATTGCATAGCTTCCCTTTCTAACAGAATAGTTTATGGCTCTACTTTTTATATCTTACTAGTTAATGCTTATCTCCCCAAAAAGAGTAGAATAGAGACAAAGAAAACTTCACTGGATATACTCTATGTGTAACCATGCCTCCATGGATATAGTTGCTAAAGTCTTAAAGTTTCAACTTGGGAAATAGTAAATTTGGTGATAGAAAGGAAGGAAAAAAAAAGAAGGGAAATGACTCAGACTTTCTTCACTTAGCAACAAGCCAGGAACAGGATTCACCTGGGTACCCATGGACTTGGAAGACTTATACTCTTCCAAAATTTCTTCCATAAACTGAAAGTGGGTGAGTATAGGGAGGCTGCCTGCTCCTTAGACAACCCTAAAGGGCCATATTTTGATAGCCAAATTAGTAAGATGATCCAAGGATAATAATAGTTCATATTTACTAAGCATTTGCTATGTGAGAAGCAGTGTGCAAGGTACTTTGTATCCTTAGCAACTCTGTGAGGGAAGTGATGACATTCCCCTATTATATAAGAGAAAAATTACACTAAGAGAATTAGGTTATTTGCCAAGATCACAAAGCTCCCAGTCATGGAGTCAGGATTAAACTTCAGGTATGACTTTCCAAAGCCCTCTATTTCCCACTATGACCAAATTTCTTTAACCATGAAATCAGTGGCCAAAGTTTTGGTTGCTACTTTGAGCTGAAGAAATCCTGGAGTCATTAAATTATTATTTGTGCATTTCCTCTGCTATCTTTTTCTCTATGACATCTTACTCTGTAGAATGAGTCAAAAAGATCTCTGCATATGTGATTATCAAATCACCTACAAACTTGAGCTGGCAATCTTTGTGAGGCAAAAAGATAATATTTGTGCTTATGGAATTCAGAAGAATGTGAGTATACCTGTGCCTCTGGCTCTGTGCCTTGGTATCTGAGGTGCTGTGATTGCTTACCAGCTCTGATGTCATTTGCGTACTACGGGTGGTGTGGTGTGTGATTTGCAAGGACAGCCAACAAGAGATATTCCCATTTTTATAGGCACATGCCCATCACAGTTCAAGACTATTTCTCTTCCACTCCCCTGGCACGTGGGTTGGCCGTGTGATTTGTTTTGCCCAATAGAATATGAAAAAAATGATTCACACCACTTTGGTTCAGGACCCAGGCTTTAAGAGACCAGGCAGTTTCTCTTTTCATTCTTGTTTGAAGTCCTGAGCCACTATGTAAAGAAGTTCTGCTAGTCAACCAGACACATGACGTGTGGGGAGAAATGTCACCCAACAGCCAGAACCAACCACCAAATAATGTGAGTAAAGCCTTCTCGCCTCATTACCAAACCCCAGAAGAGTGCAGCCATGTAAGGATTCCAGCTGATAGCATATGGAAGAGAAAAATGAATCAGCAGAGCCCAGCCCCCTCACAGAATTGAAAGAAAGAATAGTTCTTGTTTTAAGCCGCTAAGTTGTGGAAGATCTTATTAGGTAGTAATAGGTAACTGATATAAGTGGTCTTACCATGGCTGTTGTCCCAGAACCAGCAACAAAGCAAAAATTTGCCTATCTTCCGGTGACCAGCATACAGGATACACATCCTAGGAACTGCAGGCCAACTGAAAATAGGTGGGAAGAAGAAGACCAACCTGACACCAGTTTTCTCTAGATCCTTAGTCATCACTGAATAAGACTGGCTCATCTAGCATGTTAAACAGAGTTGCTACAGGCCCTCTGGATCAATTAATCATCTTCCTTCCGTGAACATTTTCTTCAATCCATTGAACTAAGAAAGAAAAAAACAAGAATATTATTTTAAAGCTATGAACCACAAATTTATGTGCTAAAGTAGGCTTGAAATTTCACTTCGTAGAGCCCAACTACTAAGCTACCCTTGACATCCCTAAGACTCTCTTCAAACTGTCCCCAGACAGCAGTTCTACATCTCAGCAAGAAGTGCAAATAAATTCTGCTGTCTCTTAGGCATCTTCTCTTAAAAGGCAGAATCTCACTACCTCCATGAGAAGGAGGAAATGTTTCTCTCAAGTTCCCAGGATGCACCACAAGTGATATAATATTCTCAACCAGGTGTTCCATTCATGGGAGATATTTGCCCTTTGATCTACTTGGCACCAGACATGTATAGAAGTGGACACTTCAGTTTCTCAGTGCTACTCCATTTGGAAAGTCCTTTCAAAATGTCTTTCCCCATTGTACAGGCTTAAGAAAGCTTCATTCTGAACAACTTCGGAAGGTATATGATGTTGAAACCAGTGAAAACCTTGTTCTAGTTTTGTTTTATAAATGCATAAAGTTTTTTAAGATCCTCATTTTACAGAAAAGCAATCTCTACAAAAGAAATGAGACACAGAAAATAATGAAACTCATTCTATAGAGAGTAAATTGACCAATTTAATTTGGGAAAAGGCAGGATAAGGGAAGACTTTATTATAAGCGAATTACATCTGAATTTAGTAATCAGAAAGAAAGAACATCTGCCTGTGTCTTCATGATGGTGGATTGCTTTGGAAGTGGTACTAATAAAAGAGGAGGCTGTGAGTAGGAAGAGGACTTCTATCAAGAGTCAGAAAACAATTATTTTCAAACATGGGATAAGAAGGTCAAAGGACAAAGAAAAAGGAAGCTGCCAGAGTCTTTGAGACCTAATAAAAAGAGGAAATTAGAGTGAGAAAAGCCCACTCTGGGTCTGAGAACAAGTATTCCTGGGACTAGTTCTTAAGAATAGTTAAGGGTTACTTAAACAGAGATACTACGTACATGAAAGATTTTACATTGTATTGTTATTTTTTATTGGCTAAAGTTTTGAGGCTTATTGAAATTAGTTGTTTTAACATGGGCACAGAGAGGGCAACATCACACACCAGGGCTTGTCAGGGGGTGAGAGGCAAGGGGAGGGAGAACATTAGGACAAATACCTAATGCATGTGGGGCTTAAAACCTAGATGACAGGTTGGTAGGTGCAGCAAACCACCATGGCACATGTATACCTGCACATAACAAACCTGCACATTCTTCAGATGTATCCCAGAACTTAAAGTAAAATATAAGAAAAGAAATACAAGGCATGTAAGCACAGTTATGATCTGAACCCTACTGCAGAATGATTTGTAAAGAACTAGGAAATAAAGTTTAGAAATTAGGAGGTACCTAAAAAAAAAAAAAGAAAAAGAAATTAGTTGTTTTAATAAAGATCTCTCTTCATTTATTTGAAAAAAAAAAAAAGTGTGGGGGGGGTGCGGAATTCTCTTTTCCATGCTGAGCAGCCACCTTATTATGTCACAGGGTTTGAGCCATTTGACCATGACTCTACTTCACGAGTCTATTGAAAGCATATCAGTATCTGGCTGCTAAAAAGGGAAATTTATCTCCTGGGTCATGGGAGAGCATGATAGCCATGCATACCCTCTTTGCATTTGACTTTCAAGGCATCCCTTGGCTGCCACAGCTCTAACAAATTCCCTTGGTCAGAAAAGAGCAGCTTCTTCTGCTCCCCTGCTGCTCCTTGGTTCTTAACATCTATCTTGCCTCAATACCTCAATGCACTTTTGAGTCTCAGTTTCCATACACTCCAGGCAAACTTTGATTTAATTAATTGTGTTGTATCACAGACTGGATAGTTAATCATTTTCTGGAGAAGGCACATATTCCCTTTGAAACCTCATTTTCATTTTTAAAAAGCCAACATTCCAGTGAATGTATCACTTCCTTATTTAGAAAAATATTGTCTGCTCTTTGCAGGCCAGATTCTCCAACTCGCTCAAACTAGAATATCTAACATTTATGGAATACTTACTCTGTGCCAGCCACTAAGCAAAATGTCTCTCGGCAACCAGCGGAGGGAGATATGATTCTCTTCATCTGAGACCTAGCTGAGATGATGCCTGGCTGTGCCCTAGTGAGTGGTACAGCTAGACCTTGACCTTTTATTCCCTGTCTCTAGGGACTATTGCCTCCTGGGAGTGCAGAAATAGAGGCTACAATTTACTAGACGAAGTCTCCTCAATCAGCTGTCAGAATGATTTCTACAAAATATTCTCTCAAAAACCACTTTGAATTTCTTATCAATAACTTGATATTAAGTATCACCGTAGTCCAATCAATCAAAAATTTGGTTTTCAAATCTATACTGTTGATTTATAACAACTCTGACCCCAGTTGTTGAGTACAATATGATTAAATAAGATATTTCTCAATTCATTTTCAGTAAGATATCTAAATTCATGCTATGTCTTTTTCTCTTCATTATATATACTAAAAGAAACCATGCCAATCAGTAGACTGTCTACCACCTACAAGGTTTAATAGAAAGAGGCAAAACTACTTAAATGACAGTCAAGAGAACTTCCCCAGCTACGATTTCATTGAAAATGGTATTTTTTTCTAGATATCCTGTCTTTATCATTCTAGTTTGTCCTCCACACTTCTCAACCCTGGTGTCTGCCCAGGAGACTGTCACATTTGGATAACATCAATATAACCTCTTGCCATTGGCTCTGGAGGAGCAGTGTCAAGTGATCAGAGGTGGGAAGAGAGTGAGGGTGCTGATTATTCCTCAGACTCACCATGCTGGGCCATGGGTGGCCACATTGCCCCAGTGAGGGCCCTGGCACCAGTCGCACAGCCCTTCATACAGCTCCCCCTCCGGGTTCTAACCTCTCCTTCTATTTGTCCCTTCAGGCCTCCCAGTGTTAAGAGTCCATATTAACACAGGGTTACATGCCATCCCTTGTTGCTTTTCTTAAGCCATGTCCATACCCTTGTAAATAGTCTTTTTATCAAACTCGGTTCAAATTACCCAGTCTTAATGTGCCATCTGTTTCCTGTTGAAATCTTGACTGATACAATATTGAAAATATTGGCAAGAATCTACAAGCCTCACCAAAACATGATTATTATATAAAATCCCTATTTAAGATACAATCTCAAAAATTACAAGAGACAGCTCTTTTCTGAAGACCTGGCTTTCATTTATGGTGGGTTAATTACTCATTGTCTCTGAATAAGGTGGAAAAAGATCTATTTCTCTCTCTGTGAGTAAAAATATTACCAATATAATGTAGCAAAACAGAAAGAGATCTCTATACCTTGATAATTATTGAAGTTAAGATGCCCTGACCTGCAATGCTGTTTAAGAGTTGAGAACATTTGGAAGTACCAAGGATCCTCCTTGCTCTTTCTGACCCCTTTGCCTTCCTGACTCAGAGTAACATAGAAGAACATTGCTCTCCAGAAATCTGGGATTCAGTCCTTGTTCTGCCACCTAGTAACTCTGACTTTGGCTATTTTATCTAATCTTCCTAAGGCTTATTTCTATTATAGGCTGAATGTTTGTATCCTCCCAAAATTCATATATTGAAGCTCTAACCCCCAACATGGTGGTATTTGGAGATGAGATCATTGAGAGGAAATTGGGATTTAATGAGATCATGATGGTAGGGCCCCATGATGTGATCAGTGCCCTTATAAAAAGAGAGACTAGAGAGCTTGCTCCCCCTCCTACATATAAAGATACAGTGAGAAGGTAGCTGTCTGCAAGCCAGGAAAAGAGTCTTCACCAGAAACAACCCTCTATCAGACCTTGAAATTTCCAGCCCCCAGAACTGTGAGAAGATAAATTTCTGTCGTTTAAACCACATAATCTGTTTTTTTTTGTTAAGGCAGCCTGAGATGACTGAGACAGTTTCTGTCCCTTTAAATTAGAGATGATCATACTAGACTACCCATGTTGGAATTCTCCTCTCACATTTACTAGTTGCAGAGCCTTGGTTAGTTTGGTTAATTGAAACTCAGTTTCCTTATCTATAATAATTAGAATAATAATAGTAATACTTTTAGGTTTGTTGGGAGGATTCAATTAAAAAAACTTAAGAAAAGTACTTATCACAGTGTCTGGCACTTACTAAATCTCCATATTAATCATCATTATCACTGCTATGGAAACACAGAATGAATAACTCTCCCAGGAATAGGGTAGAATCAGCAAAGGCTTCTTAGAAGTGAAGAAGAAAGGAAGCAGGAGAATATCCTATAGTCAGCCTTTATTGCATTCCCCAAATATCTAAACCAATGTTAGCTATGTAACAGTAAGTGCTAATTCCCTGCTCTTTGATTGATGTATTAATATTTGAAAAAATAATTGAATTACAAATGCTTGAATTGAGTAGTGTAGAAGTTACATTATGAGCAATTGAAGAGTAACTGTGGAAGGTGAGCTGACTAGTAAGGAAGGAATTGAGTAGGCACTTCATGAGTTCACTGATTGCCACTTTGACATGGGATAGGAGGCAGAGATAATGTGGGGAGCCACAGAGAGGATGAACTTAATATTAAACCTCTGTATGACAGGGTGAATACCCTTACTGAATTCTGTGAGTGTGAATTCCAAAATTCACCAGATTATAGATTTTTTCAAGTCAAAAATCACACTTGATTTTACATTTGGCTCCCACTCACTAGAAGCATCTCAGAGCAATAAGCACATAGTAGATTTCAACACATACACTGAATAGACAATTGTTGAATAGGCTGTGCCTCACACTGCCAGTCTGTTGAAGAAGACTTCCTGGAAAAGAAGAATCTGAGGAACCACTTGAATGACAAGAACAAGACGGTGAATAAGTTCAGGCAAAGGGGTTTGTTACCAGGCAGAAAAAAGGTAGGAAAGGGTCAGGTTTTTAACTAACTTCTCATAGATTTTGGAACCTTGTTTTCAAATGTTGTTTTTAAAAAATTTTTGTAAAAAATTTTTTTTACAAATGAGAATGAGGAAAAAGAGAGAAAAAAGGAGGGGAGGAGGAGAACAAGAGGAAAGGAAGGAGGGAGGAAGGAAGAGAAAAGGAAAAATAGTGACCTAAAACCTCTGAGAGAAGCCCAGAGACAGACTGAAGTGAATACTCCAGAAAGGTCAGGAGACCTCACTTCTCCTTCTGTAAGAAATGTGGATGTTGAAACCAGTTGTAGGATGAGGTGGTGGCTCCACGATCCAAGCCTGATTAATATGAATAAGGAAGAGGAAAAACTGCTCAATTATAGACCCTCACATCCCGTGTTTCTCTAGATTTGACAAAGTTCATTCAATTAATAACCATGGAGTTTTAGAGGAGCTCACCACTTTGCTAGGCCCTATTGCTGCAGCATAATGGGAGATTGCAGAAGGAACTACAATAGATGTCTAGTTCCAGTGACTTTCCATGTTGAAGGACAGGAAACACAGAAAGGGGACCATATAAAAAAAGAATATTACATGTAGGAGAGATTGACTCAAACACCAAAATTTTAAATCATTTTTAATTAAAAGACTGTTGAGAGAAGAAGGAGATGAGTAAAAGAAGATTTCTTATAGAATGTGAGTCTGAGAAATGCCCTGAAAGAAATGGAGAGTCTGGCTTGGCTGCAGTAGGTAAGATCATTCCAAATTAGGGTTGGGGAATGATCTCAGGGAATGTTGGATAAAGATAGGCAAGATCTATTTATCACTTAGAAATTGTGTTCCATGCTTATACACTGTTAGTGGGAGTGTAAATTAGTTCAACAATGTTGAAGACAGTGTGGAGATTCCTCAAAGACCTAAAGACAGAAATATCATTTGATCCAGCAATCCCATTACTGGGTATAGACCTAAAGGGATATAAATTGTTCTATTATAAAGATACATGCATGTAATTGTTATATTACAAAGTTCATTGCAGCACTATTCACAATAGCAAGGACATGGAATCAACCTAAATGCCCACCAGTGATAGGCTGGATAAAGAATATATGGTACCTCATGGAATATTATGCAGCCATAAAAAAGCATGAGATCTTGTCCTTCACAGGGACATGGATGGAGCTGTAGGCCTGTATCCTTAGGAAGCTAACACAGAAACAGAAAACCAAATACCACACGTTGTCATTTGTAAATGGGAGCTAAATGATGAGAACACACGGCCACATAGAAGGGAACAACATACACTGGGACCTAGCAGAGGGTGGAAGCTGGGAGGAGGGAGAGGATCAGGAGAAATAACTAATAGGTACTAGGCTTCATACCTGGGTGGTGAAATAATCTGCACAACAAGCCCCCATGACACAAGTTTACCTAGGTAACAAACCAGCATATCCTGCACATGTCCCCTGAACTTAAAAGATTTTTTAAAAATAGAAATTGTGTTCCAAACCCCCCAAAATACTATGTTGAATATATTCAGGGTTAATTTTTCTCCAGTATAAAAGAAGTCCAAAGGGAGCTAAGCTAGGTCTGTTGTGGTACTCCTCGATGTCATTGGAGATCCAGGTTCTTTCTAGTTTTCTATTTCACCATCCTTTGGGCATGACACTTGTGTTCTCAAGATAGCTACTGAAGCTCCACCCATCCTACACATGTTTCAGACAAAAGGAAGAAAGAATAGGTAGGGCAAATAGGCACATACTTCCCCTTTGAAGAGACTCCCCAACAACTTCCATTTATAGCTCATTGGCTGGAATTCTCTCATACGGTTACCCAAAACCGGCAAGGGAGGCTTAAGAATTTAGCTGTTTAGCTTGGCATGTTTCTACAGCCAATAGAATCAAATACTTTAAACTGAGGGATAATTCTAGAGTTCAGCAAGAAATAACAGGAAAAAGTTTTCACACCAAAATGAAGGGTACATGTAAGAAACTAACCCTGTAATTTGTGGCCTATGTCAAAGACTGAAGAGGGAGTTCAAGCCAGAGTGAAAGTTGTTGCTCTTGCAAAGCAGGCTGGTTTTCAAAAGATGGGTTAAAAGGTTGTCATGGAGCTCTTGAAAAACTGCATGCAGAGGAATTAAGAGCAGAATTTGTTCCATTTGCAATGTCAATCAGTGTGGAAATGTGCTCAGGACCAGCCAAGCACACAATAGCACATGGCACTAAATATGACACTGAGATAACTCTTTTAGGACCGTGAACATACAAATGTATCTCTTAAAACCTTCAAGCTCCCCTTGCTGACATTTGGTGCATTTTCAGACTTTGTCTTTATGTGATTTTGATTTCCAATAGTTGAATTTGAAATATAAATCAAGAAGTTTCCACAATAATTTTTACCATTTTGGAAAAAGTAGGATTTTTTTTTTATTTTAAGAATATAAATGCACAGGCATACCTGGGAGATATTGTGGGTTCAGTGCCAGACCACCACAATAAAATGCATATCACAGTAAAGTGGGTCACAAGCATTTGTTGGTTTATCTGTGCATATAAAAGTTATCTTTACACTGTACTGTAGTCTATTGAATGTACAATAGCATTGTGTCTTTAAAAAGTATATACCTTAATTAAAAAATACCTTATTGCTAAAAATGCTAACGAACATCAGAGCCTTCAGCAAGTTATAATCTTTTTGCTGCTGGAGAGTCTTGCTTCGATTTTGATGGTTGCTGACTGATCAGTATGCTGGTTGCTGAAGTCTAGGGTGACTGTGGCAATCTCTTAAAATCAGACAACAATGAAGTTTGCCACATTGATTGACTTGTCCATGAAAGATGTCTCTGTAGCATGTGATGCTGTGTGACAGCATTTTACTCACAGTAGAACTTCTTTCAAAATTGGAGTTAATCCTCTCAAACCCTGCTGCTGCTTTACAACTAAATTTATGCAATATTCTAAATCCTTTGTTGTCATCTCAGTAATGTTCACAACATCTTCACCAGAAGTAGATTCCATCTCAAGAAACCCCTTTCTTTGCTTCATCCGTTAGAAGCAACTTCTCACTGGTTCAAGTTTTATCATGAGATTATGGGAATTCAGTCACATCTTCAGGCTCCACTTCTAATTCTAGGTCTCTTGCTATTTCCACCACATATGCAGTTACTCCCTCCACTGAAGTATTGAACCTCTCAAAGTCATCTGTGAGAGTTGGAATCAATGTATTTCAAACTCCTGGTAATGTTGATATTTTGACCTCCTCTCATGAATCATGAATGTCATTAATGGCATTTAGACTGGTGAACCCTATTCAGAAGGTTTGTAATGTGCTCTGCCCAGATTGATCAGAGGAATCACATGTATGGCAGGCATAGCCTTGTGAAATATATTTCCTAAATAATAAGACTTGAAAGTCAAAATGACTTCTTGATCCATGGGCTACGGAGTGGATGTTGTGTTAGCAGGCATGAAAAAAAATTTATCTCTTTGTACATCTCCATCAGAACTCTTGGGGGACTAGACGAATAGTCAATAAGCAGCAATATTTTGAAAAAAATCTTTTTTTCTAAGCAGTAGGCCTCAACAATAGGTTTAAAATATTCAGGAAACCACTCTGTAAATAGCTATGCTATCATCTGGGCTTTGTTGTTCCATTTCTAGAGCACAGACAGAGTATAGTTCACATGATTCTTAAGGACCTTAGGTTTTTCTGAGTTGTAAATGAGCATTGGCTTCACCTTAAAGTCACTAACTGCATTAGGCCCCAGGAATGTCTGCTGGTCTTTTGAAGCTTTGAGGCCAGGTATTGACTTCTCTCTATGAAAGTCCTAGATGGCAACTTCTTCCAACAGGAGGCTGTTTCATCTACATTGAAAATCTGTTGTTTAATGTACACACCTTCATCAATTAACTAGCCAGATCTTCTGAATAACTTGCTGCAGCTTCTCCAACAGCACTTGCTGTTTCACCTTGCAATTAGATTACAAAGATGGCTCCTTTCCTTGAACCTCATGAACCAACTTCTGCTAGCTTCAAACCTTTCTTCTTCAGCTTCCTCATCTCTCTCAGCCTTTAGAGAATTAGTGAATTAGGGCCTTGCTCTGAATTAGGCTTTGGCTTAAGGGAATGTTGAGGCTGACTTGATTTTCTATCCAGACCACTAAAATTTTCCCCATATCAACAATAAAGCTGTTTTGCTTTCTTTCTTTTTGTGTGCACTGGAGTAGCACTTTTAATTTCCTTCAATAAATTTTTCTTTGCATTCACAGCTTGGCTGTTTGGTACAAGAAGCCTAGCTTTCTGTCCATTTCAGCTTTTAAAATGCCTTCCTTACTACACTTCATCATTTCTAGCTTTTGCTTTAAAATGAGAGCACTGCCACTCTTCTTTTCACTTGGACACTGAGCGGCCATTGTAGGGTCATTAATTGGTCTATTTCAATATTGTCGTGACTTGGGAAATAGGGATGTCCAAGGAGAAGAAGAGAAATATGGGAATGACTGGTCAGTGGACAAGTCACAACATGCATATTTATCAATTAAGTTCACCAACTTACATGGGTGCAGTTCGTGGCATCCCAAAATAATTATGTTATTAACATCAAAGATCACTGATCACAATCACCATAATATATATAATAATGAAAAAGTATAAAATATTGTAAGAATTACCAAAACGTGACACAGAGACATGAAGTGAGCACGTGCTGTTGGAAATATGGTGCCGATAGACTTGCTTGACGCAGGGTTGCCACAAACCTTCAATTTGTAAAAAAAAATGCTATCTGAAAAGTGCAATAAAGTGAATGCAATGAAATGAAGTGTGCTTATAATTTCTTATAAACGTTGTCAAAAATATTGATTTAAGACCTAAGCATGTTGTTTGAAGTTATAAAGTCCAAGAGGCATTCTACCAGGAAAAGGCTATCCAAGGCCATGTTTTGAAGAGCAATCCTGCACTGCACAATGTACATACTGAGAGCCCAGCAAGACGGAAGGTAGAAGAATGGTTACCAGAGGCTGGGAAGGGTATTGGGAGGTGTCGGGGAGGAGGGGATGGTTAGTGGGTACATAAAAATAGAATGAATAAATAAGGCCTAGTATTTGACAGCACAACAGGGCAACTATAGTCAATAATAATTTAACTGTACATTTAAAAAAATGAAAAGAGTATAATTGGATTGTTTATAACACAAAGGATGAATGCTTGAGGGAATGGACACCCCATTTCCATGATGTGATTATTATGCATTGCATACCTGTATCAAAACATCTCATGTACCCCGTAAATACATACACCTACTGTATACACACAAAAATAAAAAATAAAAAATTATTTTTAACAAAAAGATATAATCACATATGGTAGCAGGGCCCTTGCATAGTTCAAAGCCAGTGAGGCTACCGCCTGCACCATAGTCTATGTTAATTGCACCCCTGGAGTACAACTCCATAGACTATCCATGCAGTTGCCCTGGTAACAGATGTATACGGAAGAGGATGCACTTCTATAATTACAATGTAGCAATTACAAAAAATAATTTTAATACTTTATCCTCATAAATATTTTACAATTTTTAAAATTTTACATGTAAACAAGTCTGGGTCAATTTTTTTAACAGCAGAGGAAACATTTTCAGGACTGCTTAGTGCCTTATCCAGGGTCACAGATACCATTGGTCAACTGAGTACACCTACATGTGTTAAGCCTGCACCTAAATAAGCAGGGTTGAGTCTTTCTTGAAGTTATTCAGATCATGCCATTGTTAACATATATTTACCATTATCAGTGGCAAGTGTTGAAAGAATACGCATCTCTTTTTCTTCCTTTGCTTATGCAAATAATAGAGGAGCCTCAGACACTACAAAATGTTAATTTGTTTAATTATATGGTTTAAGAATTTTTTAAAAATCTTTGGCCCCCTCATATCCAAAACTCACCCTCATCTAAACAAAACAAAACAAAATTCCTAGTTTAAGTTTTTGCTAAAGGCACTAGACTTGGAGTCAAGAGGCATGGGGTGTATTTCTAACTCTGTAACTAAGCAGTGTTCTAATCTCTAGGGACCTCAATTTCTCCCTGTGTAAAAAATGAGGGAGTTAGAACTTCTACACCTTTTTGGCTGTACAGTCCAGGATTCAGTGCTGGCCTGCTTAAAAACCCATTTAGTCTACTGAAAGGAGTTGGCTATTCCAAAAGTAAAGCTCCCTGACAGTAAAGAATAACGCCAGACAACAATGCCAGCCCATGTGACAAGATGGCACTATAAATAGACAGCCCAGAATATCTGTTCATAGGACTAGCGGCTGGTAGCTCATCAGCTGCCTGGAGCTGCTATAGATTCACAAGAAACTTCTTTGTTTGGCTCTCCTCCCTTAGTTCTAAAAATCCAGTAGCTAATTTGAGATTTAGCACTAATATATCAATGTTGTATGTGGCTTAATACACTGACAAGCTTGTGGAAATAGGTTTATTGCTTGTACATGCTCGGTTCATGCCTTCCAGAAGAAGATTTGAGAGACAGTCCTGCTCTGTCTCCTCAGCTAACCCTCCTCATAATAACCTGGGATTGTCTTTTAAAATAGGACAGTGAACTGTAGCCATGCCAAACCACAGAGATGAGCTCTGAAAAAAGTCATGTTAAGGGAAGGAAAGATCACTAAATAATGCAAAGATACATTTTCAAATTTTACTTTTCCTAAAGTTCAAGGCACCTGTTAGTCTAAGAGAAAGATTAGATTTAGGGAGAAGGATGCTTATACCCTCACCACTATGAGCAACAGACATACACACATGCACTTGTTTCTCTCGAATTCCTCCTATATCCCTCCAGTTTCCAATTCTTTCTTAAAGCCACCTATTCATTTTCTCTACTTGCATTGCATTTACCTTCTCCCACCTTAAGTTTCTACACTTATTCCTGTGTTTTTTTTCTTGAAAAACTTCTTAAAATCTCATCTTCAAGAAATGCCCCCAATTTTTCAAAATGCAGCCAGAATTTTTTTTAAAATAGTATAAATAAACTTTGAAATGGTTTTACTAAACACTTTCTGGTTTTTTTAATTTAACATTGATAATTCACAGAAAACAATCATTTGAACATGTAAGCAAACAGCATTTGATTGCAACTGTATTTACACAATAATCATGGGTAAACCTGTCTTTAAAAAATAAAGTCATCGAGCATTGTAATTCTTTCCATCTCAATGCCAGCCCATAATACCTGCTCTATGGGGTGTGGCTAGGTTTTTTTCCCTGCCCCTGGATGAAATGTTAAGGAGCCCAAAAGATTTTCTCTGTTTGTTGAACAATTAAAAATTCTATAGTCATTTCTACTTGCAAGAACTGTCTCATTTCACTAATTCAAACAGGTTCTTGTAATAGTTAAAATTCCACAAGTCATTTTAAGTTGACTATTTCTCCCTACTCCAGATTGGGCCTCCTTCGGAAACTTACAGTGGAAAACAAAGAAAGCAGACATCTTGTTTCTCTGTCAGCTTCTCTCTACCTTATACCCAAATCCGCAGGATTGCAAGGGGAGAGAAACAAAAGAAAAGAAAGCAGGAAAAGACCTGCTTGATTTGCTCAGTGTTGATGCTCTTGGTGGTGTGACCAAAGCTGACTTTTTTCTTGAGCATATGATTGTGAATTCTTCAGAGGTCCCTGATGTATCTTCTTTAGCTGACCAATTGCTACTCCTCATCAGCTCCTGCCTCTGCAACCAACCCCACATTCTCATACTTCCAGGGCCCCCTTGCCTTTGCAGAATTCATTTCAGAGGCTCCAGCTTTCACATCAGGCCCATGGGAAAGTACCCCCTTCATGCCAAATGGTGAAAGTGCAGCCTTAGCTCTTTCCCCACCTTCATACATGGCTTCAGCCAATATTTCATTTCAAGATTATCTTCCATAGTACACAGACAGTAAACTACTGTGTCCCTCCAAATCCAGGAACACATCAAGATTCCTGATTGGTTACCTTGCAGCACTTTACACTAGATTGAAGTGAGAGTGAAGCACCCAGCACTTTTCCGGTGTTGGGAGTGAGGGCAGACTCCCAGTACACAGAAAATCCTCTGTTTAAATATCAATCCTTCTTATGCTCAAAGTGCATATTGAGATAAATGTCATAAAATCAGCCCTTCTCTACTGCACTTGAACATCCTGCACAGGTGATCTCACAGCATGTGCTGGATGGGAAAGTACTTGCCCTCTGCTGCCTTCTCAGACAAATTGGGTACAGTCACATAGAAAAAAACTCCTTTTAAATATCCTTTACTTACATCTATAGATATTATTCTACACATCAAAACATTTCTATAAACATATTACCTTTCCATAATATAAAAAACTAAAATTCAGGTTTTATAAATTTCAAGATGGCTGACTAGAGAGGTCACATGTAAGTTCTCCTCAGAAAGAAGAATGGAACGTAGAGGTAAATAATCAAAACTCACATAGAATATTAAAGAGAGGGTGCCGGAACTATTGGAGAACTCACAGGAAGAAGCTACCATACAGAAAAAGACAGAAGCAAAAGGCTGGCTGAGATCAAACCCTCCTGAGGGACTTGGTATTTCATCAAAAAGGTAAATGTTCTTGGCTCCCTTCACCCTTGCAGCAGACTGCTGGTTTCCAAACTTTAGAGGTCTCCTCTGCTTTCATGAGCCCAAGCACTAGTATGGGTGGTGATTTGGTAACTTTTTGAGGACATCACACCAGACTACCAACTTGCACACAGTCACTCACCCTGTTCCTGGACCCAAGCTGTGGTAGCAGGTGCCATATTTGCTGCATACCCATTGTGAGACTGTTTTCTGCCCAGGTAACCTCAGCCCTTGTGTCTCCACATTGCCAGATCTCCCACAGACATTCCCCAGCACCAGCTGGGATTGTGACAGCCACACAGGCCTGACTGGACCTAGAGAAGCTGCAGAATGCCCATGGCCCAGGTCTCAGGGAGTGCTGCTCCTAAGGGAAGAGAGAGTGCAGCCCACCAAGGAAGTACCTCTTCCCTGGGGCAAAGGAAACCAGAGCACATTCTTTCCTGTGCTTGAGAGCTTCCACTTATGCGGTAAAGTTGACTGTGTCTCTTCCAGCAGAGACAAAGATGCCATGCTCAGCTCTGTGGGAAAGGAATATGTTCCACCCCAGTGGCCATATGGCCCCAGTGCTTGAGCATGGCTGTGGAGAGGGAGACCTCTTTTTTCTACCCTCCCCACAACTACTGCAGAAACAGCCATGGCTGCACGCATAGGAGACTGACATAGGCATGCTGGTGGATGGTCATTCTAGGACTGTTAGGGGTGGATGTACCCCATTGGCAGTGTGCTTACCAGGCCCAGGCTTGCAAAATGGCAGGGCCCTTCCCACTCTCTACATAGAGCAGCAGCATTCCTGAAGCAGAGAAGAGGAGAGCCTCAAAGTTTTACGTTTTGGGCTGAGAAAAGAAGTTCCACACCATAACCACATTGGTAGAGAATCACAGAGCAGGTACCTTTCATGGCTCTCAGATTCACTGCAGCTTGGAGATAGTGAGGTCTGTCTGACCCGAATGTCTGGAGTGCCAGGACAGAAACATGACAGGAAGGTGAATTGCATTCCTACCTGGCCAGGCCGTGGAGCTGAGGTAGAAACCTCAGCAGAAGCCTCAGCACATTTCACCAGGAGCTCCCTCAACCACCCAGTCAGGTCTGGTGCTCGTGTTTACCGTTGGGATATCTGAGGTCAAAGTTGAGCTTGACAGTCCAGCTCCACCCAGCTTTGTGGGTGGTCCACAGAACAGCCCATTGGCTGAAGCAAAAGAGAGCTTCTCTCAGTAAACAAAGATCAAGTATATGCCCATCTGCTTCTGCAGATAGTCAGCTGTTACCTGTAAATGCCACCTACTGGCCTGGAGATTGAACTGCACAGTGTAATACAAAACCTGCTGACACAAGCGCACAACAGTGAGGAATGAGCTAAGATTCCTGAGACTTCCTCTATCCTGATACCCAAGGAGGCAGTGAACCTGCTCACAAACCCACCCAGTATGTAGCTACAACCAGCATTTGAGAAAGCCACCACACAAAAGCTATCTATAACCATGGAACACACATAGAATCCTTGCCACTGAAAGCATCCAGAACCAAAGTAAAATAACCATACACAGCATACAGCATAGTCACATCCTCAAGGAGGAAAAAAATTCCTTTCCAAACGAAAGTAAATTCAAAAAAAAGAAAGAGAGAAGAAGAGATAGTTTATCTAGATGAAAAGGAACCAGAGGAAAAATTCTGGTAATATGAAAAAACAGAGTGTTAAAACACCCCAGTGAATCACATTAACTCTCTAGCAATGGATTCTAATCCAAAGGAAATCTTTGAAATACCAGATAAATAATTCAAAATATTGATTTTAAATAAGCTCAATGAGATACAAAAGAAAATTGAAAACCAACACAAAGAAATTAGAAAAACAATTCAAGACATCAATGAAAAAATTGCTGAAGAGGTAGACATTAAAACAAAACACACACACAAAGAACATCTAGAAATGAAGAATTCATTGAATTACAAAATATAGTTGAAAGCTTTAATAATAGACTAGACCAAGCAGAAAAAAGAATTTCAAAGACAGATCTTTTGAATTAGCCCAGTCAGACAATAATAAAGAAAACAGAATTTCATAAATGAACAAAGCCTTTGAGGAGTATGGAATGATGTAAGACAACCAAATGCACAAGTCATAGCTATTTCTGAGGGAGATGTAGAGAAAGTTAAAAGTTTGGAAAACTTATTTGAGTAAATAATTAAGGAAGATTTCCTTAGGCTTGGTAGAAATTTAGACATCCATTTCTGGAGAGGTTGTGGAGAAAAAGGAACGCTTATAGACTGTTAATGGGAGTGTAAATTAGTTCAACCATTGTGGAAAACAGTATGGTAATTTTTCAAAGTCCTAAAGACAGAAATACCATTTGACCCAGCAATCCCATTACTGGGTATATACCCAAAGGACTATAAATCATTTTATTATAAAGACACATGCACATAAAAGTTCTTTGAAACACTATTCACAATAGCAAAGACATGAAATCAACCTAAATGCCCACCAATGATAGATTAGATTTGTTAAAAAAGTGTAAAAAAAACTTGTCAGCCACAAATTTTGTATTCTGCTAAATTCAGCTTCATGATGTACATATACACCATGGAATACTATGCAACCATAAAAAAAACTCAGATCATGTTCTTTGCAGGGATGTGGATGGAGCTGGAGGCCATTAACCTTAACAAACTAACACAGGAACAGAAAACTAAATACCACATGTTCTCACTTATAATTGGGAGCTAAGTGATGAGAACACATTGACAAATGGAGGGGAACAACACACACTGGGGCCCATTAGATGATGGAGGGTGAGAGGAGGGAGAGGATCAGGAAAAATAAATAATGGGCACTAGGCTTAATACCTGGGAGATAAAATAATCTGCACAACAAAGCCCCATGTCACAAGTTTAGTTTATCTATGTAACAAGTCTGCACATGTACCTCTAAACTTAAAATAAAAGTAAAAAAAAATACTTTTTATGCTACTTTACATAATGAAAATCAGAAAACTCAGGGTTGATCAACTCCTTGTCATTTATGCCTCTTCAGGTTACTGCCATTCATAGATATTTCTCATCATCAATTTTGAATGCAAGATAAAGAGCCCAAAACCTAAAAAAGAGAGAGAGACAGATTTAGACATCCAGATACAAGCTCAGAGAACTCTAGGAAAATGCATTGCAAGATGGACTTCACCAAGGCATATAGTCATCAGGGCCTCTAAAGTCAATATGAAGGAAAAACTTCTAAAATCATCAAGAAAAAAGCATCTAATCACCTATAAAGGAAATCCCTTCAGATTAACAGTAAACTTCTCAGCAGAACCTTTACAAGCCACTATAGATTGGGGTCCTATTTTCAGACTTCCTAAAGACAAAAACTGTCAACCACAAATTTTGTATCCTCCTAAATTTAAGCTTTATAAAAGAAAGAGAAATAAAATATTTCCCAGACAAGCAAATGCTAAACTAATTCATCACCACTAGACCAGTCCTACAAGAAATGTTTTAAGGAGTTCAAAACTTGGAAACAAAAGGTCAATGCTCACTATTGTAAAAACAAATGAATGTACAAAATAATTCACAGGTCTTATAAAACAATTACACAATTGACACTACAAAGCCACTAGGTAACAATTAACATTATGACAGGGACAAAACCTCACATATCAACATTAACCTTGAATGTGAACGGATGAAATCAGGAGTGTCAATCTTTTGGTTTCCCTGGGCAACATTGAAAGAAAAATAATTGTCTTGGGCCACACATAAAATACACTAACACTAATGATAGCTGATGAGCTAAAAGAAAATGCAAAAAAGACTCTAACAGTTAAAAAAAAAAAGACAAAGAAGGTGATATGGTCTTGCTCTGTGTCCCATCCAAATCTCATGCTGAGTTATAATTCCCAGTGTTGGGAGAGGGTCCTGATGGGAGGTGATTGGACCATGGGGGTTGGTTTTCCCCTTGCTACTCTCATGATGATGAATGAGTTCTCACAATATCTGGTTGTTTGAAAGTGCGTAGCACTTCCCCCTTCCCTATCTCTCTCCTGCTCCACCATGGTAAGACATGCTTGCTTCCCATTCACCTTCCACCATGATTGTAAGTTTCCTGAGGCCTGCCAGCCATGCTTCCTGTAAAGCCTGTGGGACTTTGAGTCAATTAAACCCATTTTCTTCATAAATTACCCAGTCTCAGGTAGTTCTTTCTAGCTGTGTGAAAATGGAGTAATAAAGAAGGCCATTATATAAAGATATAGGGATCAATTCCATGAGAAAATGTAACAGTTCTAAATATATATGCACCCAATACCAGAGCACCCATATGCATAAAACAAATTACATTAGATGTAAGAAAAGAGATACACAGTAACATAATAATGGTGAAAGACTCCAACACCTCACTGACAGCACTAGATCATAGAAGCAGAAAACTAACAAGGAAACTCTGGACTTAAATTGTACTCTAGACCAAAAGGACCTAATAGGCATTTACAGAACATTCTATTCAACAACCATGGAATATATATTTTCTTCTCATCAGGACATGGAACATTTTCCAGAATAGACAACATGTTAGGTCACAAAACAAGTCTCGATAAATTAAACAAAAAACAAAATTATATCAGTTATCTTCTTGGGCCACAGTGGAATGAAACTTGAAATCAATACCAAGAGGAACACTCAAAACTATACAAATACAATGAAATTAAACAACCTGCTCCTGAATGATCTTTGGGTCAAAGACAAAATTAGGATGAAAATTTAAAAAATTTTTGAAACACATGAAAATAGAGCTATAACATACCAAAATCTCTGGGATGTAGCAAAAGCAGCACTAAGAGGGAGGTTTATAGCACTAAATGCCTATATCAAAAAAACAAAGATAGAAAAATTACAAATTAACAACCTAACACTGCACCTCCAAAAACTAGAAAAATAAGAATAAACCAAACCCAAAGCTAGCAGAAGAAAGTAAATAACAAAAATCAGAACAAAAATGAAATTGAGACCAAAAAAAAACTATACAATGAACCAAAAAAACAAAAAGTTGGCTTTTTGAAAAGATAAATAAAATTGATAGACTACTAACTAGATTAACCAAGGGAAAAAAAAGACAGAAGATTCAAATAAGCACAATCAGAGATGAAAAAAGAGACATTACAACTGCTATCACAAAATTACAAGAGAGCATCAGAGACTACTATGAACAGCTCTATGCACACAAACTAGAAAACCTAGAGGAAATGGACAAATTCCTGGAAACATACAATCTCCCAAAATTGAACCAGGAGAAAATAGAAATCCTGTGCGGATGATTAATCAGTAGTGAGATTGAATTGGTAATTTTAATTCTCCTCCCAAAAAAATAAGCCAAAGCATAGACAGATTCACAGCCAAATTCTACCAAATTTACAAAGAAATGGCATCAATTCTACTGAAAGTGTTCCAAAAAATTGAGACAGAAGAACTCCTCCCTAACTCATTCTCTGAAGCTAGTATCATCCTGATACCAAATGCAGGCAAGGACATAGCAAAAGAAGAAAACTACGAGCCAATATTCCTGATGAACATAGATGTAAAAATCTTCAACAAAATACTAGCAAACTGAATGTAACAACACATCTAAAAGATAATACACTGCAAACAAATGGGTTTTATTCCAGGAATTCAAGGATTGTTCAACATATGCAAATAAATAATGTGAATTACTACAAAAACAGAATTAAAAGTAAAAACCAAGTAATTATCTCAATAGATACAGAAAAAGCATTTAACAAAGTTCAACATCCCTTCATGATGAAAACCCTCAACAAACTAGGCCTAGAAGGAACATACTCCAAAATAATAAAAGCCATATACAACATACCCATAGTCAACATTGTACTGCATAGAAAAAATTTGAAAGCATTTTCTCTGAGAACCAGATCAAGGCAAGGATGCCCTCTTTCACTATACCTGTTCAACATAGTACTGGAAGTCTTAGAGCAATTAGACAAGAGAAAGAAATATTAAACGCATTAAAATTGGAAAAGAAGTCAAATGATCTGTTCACTGATGATGTGATCTTATACCTGGAAAACCCTAAAGAGTCCTCCAAAAGACTCCTAGAGTTGATATATGACTTTAGTAAAGTTTCAGGATACAAAATCAGTGTATAAAAATCAGTACCTTTTATTTTTTTTCTTTTTTGAGATGAAGTCTCACTCTGTCACCGAGGCTGGAGTGCAGTGGCACGATCTCAGCTCACTGCAACCGCCACCACCCAGGTTCAAACTATTCTGCCTCAGCCTCCCGAGTAGCTGGGATTACAGGTGTGGGCCACTACGCCTGGCTATATATATATATTTGTTTTTTGTATTTTTAGTAGAGATGGGTTTCACTGGGTTAGCCAGGATGGTCTTGATCTCCTGACCTCGTGATCTGCCCACCTCAGCCTCCCAAAGTGTTGGGATTACAGGCGTGAGACCAATAATGATCAAGCTGAGAACCACATCAAGAAGTCTATTTCATTTACAATAGCTATAAAACAATAAAATACCCAGGAATACATTTAACCCAGAAGGTGAGAGATCTTTACAAAGAGAACTACAAAACACTGTTAAAAGAAATTGTAGATGACATAAGCAAATGGAAAACATCCCATGCTCATGGATTGGAAAAGCCAACATCATTGAAAAAACAACAACAACAAAAAAACAAAAACAAAAAACTATATTGCCAAAAGCAATCTACAGATTCAATATTATTTCTATTGAATTACCAATGTCATTTTTCACAGAATTACTAAAAACAATCCTGAAATTCATACTGAATTAGAAAGGAGCCTTAAAAGCCAAACCAATTTTAAGCAAAAAGAGCAAAGCTGGAGCCATCGCATTACCCAACTTCTAATTATACTACAACGCTATGGTAACCCAAACAGCCTGGAACTGGTATAACAATAGACACATAGATTAATGGAACAGAATAGAGAACCCAGAAATAAAGTCATATATCTACAACCAACTGAGCTTCGACAAAATTGACAAAAATATATAATGCAGAAAGGATACTTTATTCAATAAATGGTGCTGGGAAAATTTCAAAGCCATATGCAGAAGAAATAAACTGGACTCCTACTTATCACCACATACAAAAATTAACTCAGGATGGATTAAAGACTCAATGTAAGAACTGAAACCATAAAAATCCTAGAAGAAAACCTAGGAAAAACTCTTATGGACATTGGCTTAGACAAATAATTTATGACTAAGACCTCAAAAGCAAGTGCAACAAAACCAATAATAAACAAATGAGATTTAATTGAACCAAAAAGCTTCACCACAGCAAAAGAAATAATCAACAGAGTAAGCAGACAACCTACAGAAAGGAAGAAAGTGCTTGCAAACAATGCATCCAACAAAGGACTAATACCCAGAATCAAGGAGTGCAAACAGCTCAACAGGAAAACAACAACAAAAAAAACCCATTAAATATTGGGCAAAGGACATGAACAGACATTCTACAAAAGAAGACATACAAGTGGCCAAAAAACATGTCAAAGAATGCTCAACACCACTAATCATCGGATAAATGCAAATTAAAACCACAGTGAGATACCCTCTTACACCAGGCAGAATGGCCATTATGAAAGTCACAAAACAAGAAATGTTGATGACGATGCAGAGAAAAGGGAAGACTTATACACTGTTGGTGGAATATCATCAATGTACATCATGTAATTTACATCAATATAAATTAATACAACCTCTATGGAAAACAGTATGGAGATTTCTCGAAGAATTAAAAATAGAACTACCATTTGACAGCGCAATCCCATTACTGGGTATATATACAAAAGTAAAAAACATTGTTCTACCAGAAAGATAGATAGACTTGTATGTTTATTACAGCACTATTCACAGTAGCAAGGTCATTGAATCAACCTAAATGTCCACCCATGGATTATTAGATACAGAAAATGTTGTGTTATATGTAGCATGAAATGCTACTCATCCATAAAAAAGAAGGAAACAACAACATAGATGAAACTGGAGGCCATTGTCTTAAGCGATATAACTCAGACGCAGAAAGTCAAATGTCATGTGTTCTCACTGATAAACAGAAGCTAAATAATGTACACACATGGACAGAGTGAAATAATAGATACTGGAGACTTGAAAAAGCAGGAGGGTGGGAGAAACACAAGGGATGAGAAATTAACTGCTGGGTACAATTTACACTATTTGGGTGATCGTAACACTAAAAGCCCAGGCTTCACCACTACACAGTGTATCCATGTAAGAAAACTGTACTTGTACCTCCTAAATCTATCAAAATTAGAAAAAACTTTCAAAACTAAAAGTTCTTAGTTTCCCCCTTTCTCATGGGTCTTTCCTCTTTGTGCAGTGTTCTTCCTCCTTTTAATCAATTACTTTCCCCACTTTTTTCATTGTTATTTGTTTCAGTACTTCTGTTGTTCCAGTCTTTATCCAAAGAAGTAGGAAAATAAGCAAACGTTAGGAAGAAACTCAGAGTTCATTAAATTCACTGGTTAGTCTAAAAACAGTAAAACCAAGGCCAAAAAGGAATCACCTTAAGTCACAAAATCAGTGAGTATCAAAGTAAAGATGAAAGGACAAGTCTCCTGACTTCCAATATATTGCTACCTCCGTTTCAAAAAAATGATTTTCTTCCTTTTTATTGGTTCTCTTAAGAAAGAAAAACAAAAACCTTGAAAACTTTTGAGATCTTTCCAAATAAGATCTAATCAATACCACATATAGGTACACATTTGAGTGCTACATGTTAGGTTGGTGCAAAAGTTATTGCGGTTTTTGCTATTAAAAGTAATGGTAAAAACCGCAATTACTTTTGCACCAACCTAATACTTCCCAAACTCTCTCCTCTGCTCTCTTCTCCTTTCTCTTTCTCTTTTTAAATTCTCTCATTTCCTCCATTATGCCCTGTCCTCTTTGCTAAGTAGCCATAACTGTTTTTGTGTTTCCTGCATCTTTTGTTTCATAAGGTACCTAAGTTCAGATGACATATGCCATTGCAGGAAAATATTTTACCTTGATCTCTACACTTTCCCAAAAGGACCTAGGGGAGCTAGAGTGATAAACAGCCCTATGTTAAAGGGCTGGCCATGTGCAGCATACAGAAGGCAGATAAATTTACTTCCAAAACCCTTTGGACCACTTCTTTTTACAGATAACCGCCTCAGTTACAGCAGCTTCTGGCACCATCTTGCCATCCTCTTACTCTCCTCCAAAAATGACCTGTCCAAATCCCAACCCCTGATGCATACACTTTCTTCTATTGGCCCGTAAAATGTCATGATTAATCAAATGGTTTGAACATACAGTTCATCCAGCACACACTGGGAAGATTCCCATCAACCGCTTTGCTTCAGGTTCATTCCTGCAAGGGGATGAGATGCAGCAGCAGTCAGCTTTCACTTGTACAACCCACATAGCAAGCCTACCCATTGTGAGCCAAGGTTAGCCTTTGTTATTCCCAACAGCTTGTCAGCAGGGAGGCTCCTGATTTGAGGTGACCTGAGGGCAAGGCAATGAGGGCCGGCAAGACTATGGTAAATGATAAAAGGGCCTGGGCCACCTGCTCGTGCAGCTCATTATGTCCTTTCTTCCTGGTTATCCCTATCCTGGAGGTACAAAGTCTACCTCACAGTAGGTTCTGCTGGGCCTGCCTGAACTTACAACATGGTCTGTTAGAACTCAGCTCATGATGGGCAGTTTGGGCCACATTGTCACTGAATGTCCCATGCTCCTTCTCTACAAGGTCCCCATGGCATGTCCAGAAGCTGTATTTCCAATAAGTGACTGCCTGGTGCAAATGACATGGTCCTGTTCTGGAATCACAGGATCTATATTGCACTTCTTCCCCTGGGGCTTCCATAATCCCCAGGCATCTCTGTCACCAAAGACATCTCTAACTCAAGAGGTTCTGCAGTGTATAAGGTCAATAAGGCAGTGCTGCTGGAACCACATGCTGCACCTGCTGCCAAGCACTGTTCTTCTATAAGTACTACTCAAATCCACTCCCAAAAATGGAATACATTGACTCCAGAACCCAAGGAAGCCTATCAAGTATTGTGCCTCCTTCTTAGTGTAGGAGACATGAAATGTGATTTTTTAAAATTATTATTTTGATTTTGAAGGGGATGTCTTGTCAGAAAACCCCCATTACCCCTTGAAAACTAGAACACCACAAAGAAGGTAGGGTACAGGAGGCACAGCCAAAGCAATGACTTCCTGCCTGAAAGTATCTGGGCACACATGCTTGTGATCAAATTATTCAAACACAGAAAAAATCTGCCCTAGAAGATCTCAAATTTTTATCCCTACTATTCAGCATCTGCAAACACACTTTGAAACCAATCTGTAGTCCATTAAAGGAAGCCTGCACACTATCTCTCCTCCACCCCATAATTCCATTATGGCCATGGAATTGCCCTGGACTCTTACACAAGCTGAGTAGGACTAGGAAGTAGCATGATGTGGGAGCACCATACTCTGAAATACCGAACACTTAAAATATCAAATTCTAGACTGCCTGCACCTCCTACCTCAATACACCTTCCCTCCATACCACCCCCATCATGAAACCAGAGTTGGGAGACAAAGGCTGAGGAAGGAAAAATGGAATACTTTGTGAGTTAGAACAGTGTTTAATATTTTAACAATTTCCGGTTGCATGGGGTTGAAGAGAAAAAAAGAACTAACTTAAGCTGCTAGGTGTTTGGGACCTGCCTGAGAATTTGACATATGATTTGTGTACTCTATTTTGGAAGCTACTTTAAAGAGAGGAATACCTTTATCCAGGCTGGGATTTCACATGATACCATATATGAAGAACTCAGGAATGTGCCCTTATCATCAGTGGTTAAAGAAGGAAGAGAAGAAGGATGATGGAGAAGAGGAGTTCAGAGACATAATATTTAATTTCCTACCTCTTCTTTGGGTACCTTGCTTATGTAAGAAGGTATATCCCAGTCTGACAGCTAAAACCAGAAATAGCCTTTCCTTCACCACCTGTTGATGGTTGCCAAGCTGCTGAGGAAATACATACTCTTGCATATTATACAAATTCGGCAGTCCTCAGGTCCCTCTAGTCAAGTTAGCATCAAACCTTTCTTCTCTGTCATCCAGCTGTTCTTGATGAAAAGACTTGTAATTTTGAAGTGGTAGGAAGGGGACACCCCTCTCATATCAGTCTACCCCCATGCTTCCCTCTCCAGGCACCAAGGCTCAACCCTTAACTCCCACTTACTGCTGACTTCATTGTTGCCAAGTTAGATGAAAGAAAAAGGAAAGGAGGATAAGCCCCATTCTGACACCACTTTAAGGTCTTTCTGCCTCTCTCATCCAAACACAGAAAGGAAAGAAGGGAGAAAGGAAGGAGGCGCATGGAAGTTGGGGGCAGAGGAAGGAAGAGAAGAAAAACTTCACCTTTCCTTTTATCCCGAAATTGGCTCCTCACCCCCTCAGGCTTCTTCACAGCCAGTCTTGCTCCTTTTCTCATCACAAAGCTGTTATTCCAGCATTTCCTCCCTAAGTTCCTGCCCCTTTCCTCCCAGAGCCAGACTTTTCCTGAAGCATCTGCTCTTTCAAAACTGCAACCCTTTCTAACAGTAAATTTGAGCTGGGGAAGTCCAAACTTCTCAGCTCTAATGAAAGGTAGGAAGAAGATCCTGCAAATGGAGAGGGGATACTACTTCAAATGCTGTTCTGTGTGATGATAGAGTGTTATGGAAACATGAGAACCAATTCCCAGCTATGTCATAGCTAAAATCATTTGTGGGGACAGTAATGGTGGTGGACTGTGAACCATGCAATGATGGTAATCACCATGCACAGTGTCCTGCTTTGGCCAAATGTGCTCTAAGCTCCAAAGTAATATGTGCACCAAATGTAAAATGCAACAGAACATAGTAACACCACAAGGATTATAATAAAACCACTGGTCTCCAGCTCTATTCCTTTCTACCTTGACTCAAGCCCAGGAAGCACTTTCAGCTGCTTTAACTTCTTTCTTTAGTATAATAATTACTTCCATATTAATAATGACTATGATGTTGCTGAATTTGTCAATTTAGACATTATCTTTTGACTTCTCACTTTAGAAGATAAGCATTTGATAGTTTTCCTCTCCCCATCCCATCTCAGACATAGACATATACACATTCTCTCTGTGTCTTTTCAATATAATGTTATCACAGGTTTGTTATTGTTGAAGCCATCTTCAGTTTATACATTATATACAAATGCATATATTTATAGGTAATAATACCTAAATATTATTAATATCTGAGCCTAGTAGTGTAGAATGACTATATTTCCTTTCTTGTACAATTGCCTTTTTTCTGAAGTTATTAATTGCCTCATATTTTTGTTGTTATTGACTTGCTTTTCTGTATATCTATCATTATAATATCCCCAAATTCTCTGCCAAAAATATGATTCTTTTCAGTATATTCAGACATGTCAGACATTCTATGAGTTTCTTCTTTTACTTGGAGAGACATTCTTTCTGGAAACTTCTATCCTGCTTCTTCAATCTGGAACAGTTGCTCTCTAGACTTGCTGCACAGCTGCCATTCAAAACTTCTCTCCACCAACATCCTGGAGACTTTCTTAGCCTCTTTATTGTACTGCATACTCCTTGCTTAGATAAAAAATTTCTGTCTTTGTTTATTCAGCTGTTTTGGTGGAGTATATGCTCAAATAGCTTTCTGAGAAAGGGTACATTGGAGGCACATTTCTTAAGGCTTTGCATATGTAAAAATGAATTTATTTTAACCTTTATACTTGATTGATAGATTGGTTAGATGTAGTGTCCTATCTGGAATAAGACTAGAAAACATTTTCCCTCTAAATTTTAAAGGCATTTTTCCATTGGCGTTTTGTTTCCAGCATTGCCATAAAGAGGTCAATACCGTTATTCATTGTCCTTGGTGTGTGATCTATTCCCCGTTTCTATTTTATCAAAAATATTTTACTTCTCTTTTCCTCCAATTCCCTGAAATGATATGCTGTATTGTAAATTACTTTTTATTCATTGGTCTAAGTATACCATAAGACCTTTTTGATATAAAGGCTCATATTTATCTGCTCTTCTAAATTAACTTAATTATTTCTTTAAAAGTTTGGGTTTTTTCTTCACATTTTTAAAAATTCTAATTCATTAGATGATAGACAATCAGGATTTATCTAATATTCTGACCATTTCTCTATTTGTTCTCCCTTCTGGGAAACATTTTCAAATTTACCTATCAACACTTCTACTGAATTGTTTGAGCCATGTGTTAGTGAGTTCTTGAGATGCTATAAAGGAAAACCTTAGACTGGGTAAATTATAAACAAAAAATGTTTAATTGGCTCATGGTTCACAGACGGCAACAGCATCTACTGGGTTTCTGAGACCACAGGGAGCTTTTACTTGTGGCAGAAGGTGAAGTGGGAGCAGGCATGTCACATGGCAAAAACAGGAGCAAGAGAGAAGAAGGAAGATGCTACACACTTTTAAACAACCAGATCTTGCAAGAATTCACTCACTGCATGACACTATTGCAGGGACAGCACCAAGTGGATAGTGCTAAACCATTCATGAGAAATCCAACCCCATGATCCAAAAACCTCCCACTGGGGTCGACCTCCGCCACTGGAGATTATAATTCAACATGAGATTTAGAGGAGACAACATTCAAAGTATATCAAGCCACTATTTTTTTTTAATTTAAAAGTGTTCTTTTCTATTCCTGAATATTCCTTTTTATAGCCTACTGTTCCTGTTCCATAGATGCAATATCTTTGCTTATCTCTTGGATATTAATTGAAAAATTAAGTGTTTTTTCTTCTGTTCTATGTTTCCTTCTTTTTAAATTTGTTTTGATTCGTTTGCTTTGTACTTTGACATGCATATTCGAGATGTTCCTCTACTACCTAATATTCTTGGCTGTTCATTCATATTTAAGCTGTAAGTCTTTAAGGACTAATACTCATACCTTGCCCAGCTCCCCTGAAATGTCTTTTTACTGATTTTGGGGGGTGGGTGGTTTCCTGTGTGAAGGGTGAAGCTACCTTGTGTGGAACTTTGTCTGAGATTACACCCTTGCTTGGCTTCCTCAGCTTCCTCGGCCTTCTTTCCCAACTTCCTTACTTGTCTCCCATAAGAATACTTCCTTCTTAAACTGCTTGCATACAAGCTCTTGTCCCAAAATCTGCTTCAAGGGGAACCCATCTCATGACAAACTTCAATACTCGTTGGCCAGTCTCTGTACATAGCACCAACATAGTAGATGTTCAATCTATATTTGATAAATGAATGTTTTGCAATAAAATTTAAGAAATGGAAGGCCATTTCATTGAAGTTAATAAATTTTCTCTTTTATATAGATATTTGATGTTGATACAGCAAACACATGAAAAATGTTTGCCAGAGAACTTCAAAGTTATATGCTTCTGAAGAGGAGGATGTGGAAAAACTGTCAAAACCTAGTTGGTTATTGCATGAAAATCAGAGTAATAAATGTTGTCAAAAATTGGCAGACAGAAAAATTCTAAAGTATCTGAATATAACTGAATAGAACATCAGAAAGCTAAAATTAGTTTCCCCTTAATAAATGTCATAACATTGAGCATTCCCATATATTAAATTTTCTGTTACATAAATTTGAAATTTCTGGGAAATTTTTAAAAACACACCATCGTGGGTTCTCTGAATAAATGCATATATACACACACCACCCAGCACATTCACATTCTCTTCAGAATTAAGCAAAACACCATAGAAAAAAAAAATACTTGAGAGTTTACAGAAGCAATTTACAGTTGATTTAAATAGGCTGTCAATAAGTACCCAAAACTTATATGGGTCAATTCTAGCATTTTAGAAAAACGGCTGATCATCCTTAGCCCTGGCTTGAGAGATACCAATTGGAGGGTATGACCAAATGGATCAGAAAGAGCCAAAATAAGTTTTAGATGTACTTTGGAAAAGGTGTAAAAAACAGCATGTTGGTTTTGTTCAAATTTACAGAACGGACTCTAACCATCTAATAAATGGCTTCTATACAAGTAGATGGAAAATAAAATGCCTATACTCCAAAGACAACCACTAAGGAGTGAAGATCAGGGAAGTAGAAGTTATGATTTCTGATTTTTCTGGTGGGTCTGAGAGGGCCAAGGCCTTTGCCATGACTACCAGTGCCTGCAGGATCCCTTATTATGCAATGCAAACTAGAAGAGCTCCTATAATCAGGGCAAAGCTGTGCCCCTTTTTTGATTGGGAATGTAATGTAATTAGGATCTGTGTCAGATCCTAAAGTGTTGCTTCCCAAACAACCAGGTAAGACTGGTACCAAACCTGCCTCAGCCTATTGTCTTCACCAAGCTTATATCCTGAGTCCAGGCCCACACCTGCGTCCTTCTGCCCATCCTAGACCCTCAGCCATTGACCACTGTATGAAAGTAAAGCCTAGCATGCTGGACCTATCTAGTCACCATAACGCCTCATTCCTTCTACTGCCAGTCTGGACCAACTGGTTATGATGAGTTCCTTCTCTATGCTCTGTCCTTGCACCCCATTTTGTCCCATGTTACTGCTAAAATATTAGGAATTATCATGAATTTTAAAGTCTTTTATCTTGAACAAGAAACAATTGTTTTCAAGGAATGGACACTATTCAAATTAGCTTAATTAAAAATAGTAAGATCTTCTGGAAGGACATAGGTATTTCACGGTACTCAAAGCAGGTAATACGATAGGGCCTCAGGAAAGATTAGAATGAGTGAGAGGAAACAAAAGAAGCTTCACTCTCCAGGTCCATGGGCCTGAATGTCCTTTTCTTTCTGCTCCCAACTTCTCTTGTTTTGGTCAACTTTAGTGGAGCCAGGACCATCTTCATATGGCGTCTCAACTTTTTGGTTCTTTGAAGCATGAATTTGAATTTGGTGGGAAGCAGTGATGAGCATCTCCAATATGTCTCACACTCTGAGACCCGGGTCTCAGATGAGTCATTCTAGAAAATTATTTTTCATAGCGCTGAGATTTTATATAAAGCCTAAATTATGTACTGTTGACATCATATTATTGAAAATCTTTTAAACATGTATTTTAAGCTTGCCTCCCTTTCTAATCAGTGTGCTATAGACAACTAAACCTTTCTCTTATGACTCATGCATCCTTATAACCACCACATATTGTATAATACATTCTACAACACAGAGACAGCCTCCAATCCCTTTGAGGCCTTTGGGGCTATTTTCACCCACAAAATAATGGCACAGATTGTTACATTTTGGGGTTGTCTGTTGTCAACAGCTTCCAGTGCGTATTTCTAAAAGCCCCTCTTCTCATGTTTAATTTACTGCTGTTACAATCCTTGTGGCTCTGCAAATTAAATCACTCAGTCTATTTGTTACAGCCCATTAGCTTGCAAGGAACAGTCATGCACTCAGGATCCTCAGTTAATGGAGGGTGATATAAAAATACACAAAATATTTAAGAAGCCTTAGCATTCACAAAGCCAGCCCCCATGAGGAACTAAAACATTGTCCAGGGCACACAGACAGCTCTTCTGACCCACTTATCCTATTCTCTATGGAGGAGGCAGAATGAGAGTTCATAGAGTGGATGGGATAAAACTGGATCCCTAGTGCAATCATCACCAGGTAAAAGAATTTGGAGGCTGGGCACAGTGGCTCACACCTGTAATCCCAGCACTCTGGGAGGCCAAGGCGGGTGGATCACAAGGTCAGGAGTTCAAGACCAGCCTGGCCAAGATGGTGAAATCCCATCTCTACTAAAAATAAAAAAATTAGCCGGGCGTGGTCATGGGTGCTTGTAATCCCAGCTACTCAGGAGGCTGTGGCAGAGAATTGCTTGAACTCGCGAGGCGGAGGTTGCAGTGAGCCGAGATCACGCCACTGCACTCCAGCCTGGGTGACAGAACGAGACTCCGTCTCAAAAAAAAAAAAAAAAAAAAGGACTTGGAACATGTTCAGAGGTAGCCTGCCATAGTTGAATGATATATCCTGTTGAATTTTAATGTGCACATAAATTATCTGGGGCTCTTATTAAAATACAGATTCTAATTCATGAAGTATGGATGAAGCCTGAGTGTCTGCATGGCCAACAAGCTCCCAGGTGATGCCTATGATCCCATCCCGGTGGCAAGGCTGTTGAGTATGTTCAGTAGTCACCTGTCGGAGTGATAAATACTACCTGTGCCTCACATCCATTTTGAGGTCTTAAAGTGCAGCTTCACAGACTGGATCAGGCCTCTGTGGACTACGCAGATGCTGGATAGGCCCCCAGGACAGTCAAGATGATATCAGTGGCTTCTTCAGCTACTGAATATCCTTTTAGGCCTCTCCCTAAAACTCAGAACTCATGCTTTTAAAGTGAAATCATGTGTTTGCCATGCCAATAGAAAGTGAGCTAGGGGAAGCACATATACATGCGATCCAAGGAGCGAGCCAGTGCGCCAACAGTCCATGCCTTCAGCAATTGGCCTTCACCGCCTGAACTCCCACAATCTCCTCCTCATTGTCTTCCTTACTCTGTTTTTCCCTTTCACTTTCTTATTACCACCCGCCCGCTCCCTCTTTCTTTTTTCTGTGGTTCTGATTGCACATGGCTTCTATCGCTCCCCATTTTTCTGCTAACATTTGTCTCTTTAAGTGAATCTGGGCTGCTACAACCCTTCTGTCCCTGTCCCTCTCTGTGCCGCTCACTTTCAAACTCCCCAACACAGAGAATTTGACTGTGCATGTTAATCACTAACCAGTCTAGGGCCATTCCACCTGAACATAGATATCGCACCAGACCACCTCATAAGTCATTGCACCTCTGTGGATAGCTGCCTTTGCCTCCAGTTCTGCTCTCTAAATAACATCTAACTAGATGTGATTGATGTCAAATAGCATCTTAGAAAGAGCTCAGGTTTGGAAGATAGAAGGCCTGGTTTGATAACCTGCTTATGCCATTTATAATACTCTGAGCCTTTGGGCAAGTTATTGAACATTTCTGGGTCCCTACTTATTCACTTACAGAAGGAAATAATAATAGTTATTATCGCTGCAAGAAGTAAAAGAGAATATTCACCTAAAGCACTGATGGTTTTTTGATGCATCAACTGGTTAGGCTGAACTACAGACTCCAGTTATTCATTCCAACACTAATCTAGGGAGATCATCCTGTGAGGGCCTGAACTAATTAGTCGAAAGGGAAATTATCCTGGGTGTGTGGACTTAATCAGTTGGAAGACCTTCAAACAGAACTTAGGCTTTCTCTGGTGAGACAAAGAGAGAAACTCCTACCTGGATAAGAGCTTTCGCTCATGCTGGTGGATTCTAGCCTGCTCATAATTTTCCCTTCCTGACCACTTGCCCTGTGAACTTGGGGCTGGCTTAGCTAGCCCCCAGAATTATGACAACCAATTCCTTGAAATAAATTTGTGTGTGTGTGTGTGTGTTGTGTGTGCATATGTGTGTGTGTAACATTTATATACTCTCCTACAGGTTCTGCTTGTCTGGTTGAATGTTGACTGATGATATAAGCACTTAGAACAGGGCCTGGAGCATATAGTTATGTGCTCAAAGGATTTCACTCATTGTTATTATTAACTATGCATAAGATGACACTGGCAGCTACTCCTCTGAAGCACTGGGTTGTGGGTGTGGTGAGTTCCCAGGATATCCCATCTTGAGCTATACATTCGACTTCTTAAAGTGGTAGAGTAAAAAATAAAAAAAGAAAATTGGCCCTCAGAAGGAAGACCAGAGGGCCTATCTATTAATAAAACCCATTATATTTTGTGCCTCTTTACTTCTTGGTTCTTGAGCTTGTTTAGGATAGAGAAGATAGCTAGATAATAACAGTGGTGCTACTATATTTTAAAAGTTGATGTCAACAATTATTTAACATATGTGTCAGTTATTTAAAGTTATTGAGATTGCTCCGAGTGGATAGTTGTAGAAGAACAAAATCAGAAGTGGAATCTTCAGATTCCACCTGATTCCACTTGTGCCAGACTTTTTTTGTTTTCTCTGCACCGGCACTCCTAACCCCTTTCTTCTGTCATTAGTACCTGCTATGAGGGAATTCTCTCTCCACATTTCATGCAGTGGGAGATGGCTGGGGACAATGAGGCTTCACATGCAGCCAAAAGGGTGAGCACAAGAGTGAACTCCAGCAGTCACTCTATGATATCTCCCTGGACAGAGTGCACACATGGTGGATACATGACTAAACGGAGTCAGATAAGAATCCTTTCTTTAGATGTCCTATGTGGACCCTGGGGAAAATAGAATCCCTCTCCTAAGTCATGAGCCATGAGGATGCAAGCTTATGATTACCTGTAGCCATCTCCTATGCCACATACAGAGAGCTAGCTCAAGGACAAAGAAATAAGTTGGGGAAACAGAGATAAGAAAATAGAATAGCATGGTCTGTTGACTACAACATTTGAGTGCCAGGATCCAGCCATATCTGAAACTGGGTCCTCCTTTATTAGTTATCTACTGCTGCATAACAAATTACCCAAAACTTAATAACTTAAAATGGCAGTGGGTTACTTCTCACAGTTTCTGAGGGTCAGAAATCTAGGAGTGGCTTAGCTGGGTGGCTCTAGTGCAGGGTTTTTCATGCACTGTGGTAAAGTTATAGAAGGCTACAGTCATCTGAAGATTATATGAGATTGCAGGATAAGGTCTCAGTTCATTGCCATGTGGGTCTTTCCACAGGGCTCTCTGAGTATCTTCATGACATGAGTCCCCAAGAGTGAGTGATCTGAGACCGAGAGCAAGCAAGAAGTCACAGAGCCATTTATGACCTAGTCTCCCAAAGTCACACACTGTACTTCCACTGTATTGTATTCGCTGGAACTGAATCACTAAATCCAGCCCACAGTCAAGGACAGGAGAATTCGTTTCAATGTAGACATTTAAAACCACTACACAGAAAACTGGCTGGCCATATGTAAAAGCTGAAACTGGATCCCTTCCTTACACCTTATACAAAAATTAATTCAAGATGGATTAAAGACTTACATGTTAGACTTAAAACCATAAAAACCCTAGAAGAAAACCTAGGCATTTCCATTCAGGACATAGGCATGGGCAAGGACTTCATGTCTAAAACACCAAAAGCAATGGCAACAAAAGCCAAAATTGACAAATGGGATCTAATTAAACTAAAGAGCTTCTTTAAACTAAAGAAACCACCATCAGAGTGATCAGGCAACCTACAGAATGGGAGAAAATTTTTGGAACCTACTTACCTGACAAAGGGCTAATATCCAGAATCTACAATGAACTCAAACAAATTTACAAGAAAAAAACAAACAACCCCATCAACAAGTGGGTGAAGCATATGAACAGACACTTCCCAAAAGAAGACATGTATGCAGCCAAAAAACACATGAAAAAATGCTCATCATCACTGGCCATCAGAGAAATGCAAATCAAAACCACAGTGAGATACCATCTCACACCACTTAGAATGGTGATCATTAAAAAGTCAGGAAACAACAGGTGCTGGAGAGGATGTGGAGAAATAGGAACACTTTTACACTGTTGGTGGGACTGTAAACTAGTTCAACCATTGTGGAAGTCAGTGTGGCAATTCCTCAGGAATCTAGAACTAGAAATACCATTTGACCCAGCCATCCCATTACTGGGTATATACCCAAAGGATTATAAATCATGCTGCTATAAAGACACATGCACACGTATGTTTATTGCAGCACTATTCACAATAGCAAAGACTTGGAACCAACCCAAATGTCCAAAAATGATAGACTGGATTAAGAAAATGTGGCACATATACACCATGGAATACTATGCAGCCATAAAAAATGATGAGTTCATGTCCTTTGTGGGGACATCGGTGAAGCTGGAAACCATCATTCTCAGCAAACTATTGCAAGGAAAGAAAACCAAACACCGCATGTTCTCACTCATAGGTGGGAATTGAACAATGAGAACACATGGACACAGGAAGGGGAACATCACCCACTAGGGACTGTTGTGAGGTGGGGGGAGGGGGAAGGATAGCATTAGGAGATATACCTAATGCTAAATGACAAGTTAATGGGTGCAGCACACCAACATGGCACATGTATACATATGTAACAAACCTGCATGTTGTGCACATGTACCCTAAAACTTAAAGTATAATAATAATAATAATAATAATAATAATAATAATAAAAACTAAAATAAAAGAAAATAAAACCACTACACAACCTTTTGGACTTCTAAATTATATGGCCCTACACTTTCCATTTTTTCTTAAACTAAATTAGACTGGATTTCTGCCACTTGCTGTTAACCCTCAAGGACTTGGCAGTATGACACTCACTCCTTCAGCTTTGAACTTGACTCTGCATTTTACTAAGTGGAGCCTCCTCCAGAGGCTGAGATGCCACCTGATATTCCTGTTCCTTTGTTTTCCTTTGCCAAAACCCCAATGCTGATAATGCCCAGAGGTCAGTCCCTCATAACTACACTCCAGCTTCCCTGAATGACTACTACCTATCTGGTAGTAGTACTTGGAAGTCAAAGATCTGCTATTCAATGTTCCTAGCACCTGGTTTGGGGATTTCTTTGTGCTGCCTGCTTGCCCATTATCCATTTGTATATTCTCATGTTCTCCCTTTCTACCTACTTGGACTCCTCACAGCAGCAAGGTCTGTGATTGTGATTCCCTGCTGTCTTGCCAGCACCTGCCTGTTCCCCAAGCAATGATTATTTTCAGATCATAGTCATAAAATTCTTGCTCATCTCTCCGCAGTTAACTCTTCCATACCTGTTTGATATATCACATATATTCTGTAATTCTCTTCATAAGAAATTTATGTAACTTTACATCATAAAACCTTGACTTAAGAAGAAAGTGACAAACCACCTTGAAATTATTGATTGGTCCCACTGCTAAAGAGTTGCAATGCTAAAAATATCTAGTAGCAAATGCAAGTACATGGCTACATGATTTTTAAATTTAGAAGTATTATGAGTAGCAACCAGAATACAATATAAAAAAGGACATGAATCGAAAGGTGTTAAGGCTAAAGCACTAAACGTTATCAAGTCCAGTGGTTTTCAGTCTCAGATCAATAAATGTCACAACAGTGATTATGAGCTAATTTCAATTTTTTTTGAAGAATGGAAATATTTACTTACAGTGAAGATATCAGACTAACTAAAATGTCAGGATATTTGCTTTGCATGAAATTTTATCAAATCTGTTTTATCACATACTGTAATTGTAATACAATAATACAGTGCTAGTTATCTATTTGTGATCAGAAGTTTTAACTAGTTATACATGATAGCTGGTTTATACTTGTTAACATAATCATATGTCAGGAGATCTCAGAACCCAAACTGCATATATCTGGTATAGAAATGATCCTGAAATGAAAAAGAGCAGAAGTTAATTATCAGTAGCAGTCAGCCGTTCTAACATATGTCGGCATTTGAACTTCATTTCTCGGATCCCTTATTATTATAGCCAATAAGCCATAATTAACAAGCCTTTAAAATCTGAACCAACATTAAAATGAAAAAACATTGATGGCACAGATAAAATTAATATATTGTTTCATGATGAATGTAGTACATTAAGATGATTAAAAAATTTTAAACATGGGCTCAATGAGAGAAAATTAATAGAAGGTATTGCTGGCGATGAATTGGTTGAAAAACCTTACCTAGTTTAATACATTTCTTTCATTCACAGGGGAACTGGTATTTTCATAGAGGAGTAGTAAATTGCTTAGATTTATGCAAGTAAGTGGCAGAGCTAGAAACCAGCTCTTACTCAAGGTATGTACCTCTCAACCATGTTATATCTTCTTTGACAACATAGAAATATGGTGTGTGCAGCCACATTCTAAATGTTCTGACTTTCTAACTCATATAAATCCAGCTGCCTGCTTCATTTGAAATTCACACAGGATCTCAAACTTAATAGACTTGAAACTTAACTCAGCCCCCAAGCTTACTTCTTGCCCATTTTCCTCAAGTCATTAAATAAGCATTCCCTAGATTCTCAAGACAGAAATTTGACGGTTCAGAATGATTTATTCCCCTGCTTTAATACTAATATTCAATCACTGACAAGTCCTAACATTTCTTCCCCCAAAACATATTTTGATTCCATCTGCTTCTCTCCATCTTCGCTCCCACCACAATAACTCAGGTAACTAACAGCTCCTGTCTAGGAGACCACCACAGCATCCTACCTGGTTTCCATTCTTCTCCCTTCCCACCTCTACCACCCATCTATTTTCCTTACAGTAGAGTGGTCTTTAAAATATGAACCTGGGAATACAACTTCCTTGCTTAAAAATCTTTGAGTATCACCTTTTTACACCTTGGTTTCTTGTGCGCTACTGACACTTTAGACCAGCTAATTCTTTGCTGTTGGGGGTGGCTATCCTGTGCATTGGAAGATACTTAGCAGCATCCCCGGTTTCTCATCACCAGATGCCAGTAGCATCCCCACATAAACAGTGGCGAAAATAAAAAATGTCTCAGGCCTGGACAAATGTCCCATGCAGGGCAAAATCACCCCTGGTTGAGGACCACAGGTTTTCTCATATGACAAATTTAAACTTTCACATTTAAAGTCCTTTTAACTGCTACTGACTACAAACCTCTAAGGAAGATCTCAAAAAATACTAGTTGAAGTCCAGTCAAATGACTGAATTGGCCAGTAAAGAGAAAACTGTCTATCTATAGACTAAAAAAATATGTCAACAAGAGTTATTGACAAATTCAACATGACTCAATCTAAAGCTGTGGTTAAGGACAAAGGAGGTAAAAGTCGTCAATGCCACATTAACAAAGCAAGCAGAAGAACAGCTCTCAGTGTACATCTCATTAGGAAGAAACAGAGAGACCTTTCTCAGGATGACCTTCAATCTTCTCATGCTAAGTCCTTTAAATGTTTCTCAAAGTTTCCTCAGACACCCTTCTCATTATACTCAGGCCCTAGGTTGCCTCGTTTACTTCAATACTCTCAATAACTATCTAGTGCTGATTAATCTCAATTTCATATTTTCAGCTCAGATCTCTTTCCTGAACTGAAAGTATATGGCTACACTTTCCAGCTGGGCACCCCACTTGTATAGATGCCTCAGATCCACATATCTAGGACAACACTCAAGCCAGAGGCATTTTCAAATTTAAGTCATAATAGCAAAGAAATTGGGGTGGAGCTGTGCTAAGATCATAGTGGTAACCATGCAGGAGGAGATAAGTGAGATTTTATAAACCCAATGTCCATGAACATCAGAGTATATTCATGACCTGCCTTCATAATTTCATGGGTTCATAATGCATGGGTGATTGGCCTGATAATAAAGACCAGATATGAAATGGACAAGAATCATGTTTAGAAAGGTTGAAGTTATCCTTGAGTGAAAAGCTTTCCATTTCATTTATTTAAAGAAAAAAAAAATCAGGAAATGGACCTTAAAAAATTATACATAAAAACAAATGGTACATTTTAACATATTTGTTATCAAACACATCATATTCCCACTTATGGCTCCAGGTAGTTAATAACTTTGCATGTAGTGATGCCAAGTCCCATTCAAGTCCCATTCAAGTCAGACCACCCATTCTCACCCAAAGACAGTGTAGTCTTAGACCTCTGCTCTGACAACATGTATTTCTTGCCAAGTGGGCCCTGTATTCACGTTCTAGTATATCTTGGCCTTGGCACCTGGATTGGTGGGAGCTATAATGAGAAGCAGTGTGTCCTGACATTAATATACCCTGAAGCAGTCTGTTCCAAATGAGGCAGCTCTGCAAGGCCCAGTGACCATCACAGAAAGTGCTGACACAGGATTTTCTTTAAAATTGGCCCAAGCAGTAATATAAGTCATTCCCAGAGGAGTTGGCTGTGTGGTTTACATTGGCTTCCATAGCATTCCTGTGATACCCAGGTTCTATTTCATCAGCAGTGGAGCTGTGGTGGCAAAATTCTAACAGATTGTCTTCTGAAAAAAAGCCTCTATTTTACTGCTTAAGAGAAATGCTTTGAAAAATTACAATGCATTTTTCACCAATCTCCTTTGAGTTCTATATTTTCACAACTTAGTACAAGTAATGCATAGCCAATATTAAATGCTTATGATGCCTTTTGTTGTTTCAGAATGCTACAAAGCTGCGCTGTAAACAGTTTGGAAACTATTATTGCAACTACTGCCTTATGTTAGGCAGAGAAGTTAAATGACTTGACAAGTTTACCCAGCCAGTTAGTAGAAGAGCTAGAATTAGCTGTCTGTCTTCTGTCTTCCAGTTCCTCTGATATTTTTAGTAGACTTTGCATATGGAATATTTAGTGTGACTGAATGTCCAGGTAGAGGTATCCAGGACTGGACTTTGGAAAGGAGGGAGGGTTTAGAGTTACCCAATCGAGATTTACATTGAGTGAAGAGTGGAATCCACGTTGGCAGGTCAGATTGCCAAAGAGAGAAAGATAAGAGTTATGAAGAATAGTAATCATATCATAATTCCAAATATACAACAAATAATGATTGAGCCACTGAAAAAAATTAATTCGATAACATAAGCTGAGGTGAAGCAGTACAGCATTTTAGAGTATAAAAGTGATTCTATCGGTTTCATATTTACTCAGCTCATTCAATCACCATCTATGTGGTGTCTACTAGCACCAAGTTATGTGCTAAGGATATAAAGATGAATAGAAACTTCTGATGTCAAGATAATCACCACCCACTGGGAAAGCAAATAAACAATAAATTATTAGGCCATAATAAAACTATATTTAAAGTGTTATAAGAGCACAGAAGATAGTACTCACCTCTGCCTAAGGTAAAGTTCTCATAAGCACAGGATTCCAAAGCAGAACAAAGCTGACAAAATTTTTAATGCAGCATGTAGCAGTAATTTGGTGAGCACCTCATCAAATGTTGTACAACAGATTAATTATTCCGAGCGGACTGGAATAATTCTCTTAAAGTGGCATAACAGTAGCATTAATGTCCTTCCTTTTTTCACTTCGTCACATTGTTTCGCTCTGCCTCTGTGCAGAAATGAAATTAGGGTCACCATGCCTTTGAAATATAGCCTCTGCTCTCACTAATGCTAGAGCTGTCAAAATGAGGAATAAGAACTATCACTCCCATGTCTGATTCCTAAATAACGATATTTTCTTTAAGACAGGAAAAAAACAGTTACACGTATTCCTAATCCATAGTCTAAAATACTATCTAGCATAAAGCTATATCAAATAAATAAAAAGATGTGTTTGAAGTTTCATCTAACATCTAGTCAACTGGCTTTTGTGAAGAGTATCTGGTTATCACCCTTCCTTCTAGCTACACCATACTTTATGCTACTATGTCCTTTTGGCTCTGTATCCAGGAAGAATACAGAGACCAGAAACAATAGGGTTCAATAAGAGGAGGAGTATAACCTAAGGGTCCATAGTGCAATGTTTGGAAATGTACCCTTGCCCTCTGGAACTTTAACATGAACCCTATCTCCATTCCATTTGTGCTCCTCTCTAAGTGCCTTCTCACCCTTAATGTCAGCAATCCTCAAACAACCCTGAGAAGCTGGTATTATTAGACTCACTTGTAGATATATAAACTAAGGTCTAATCTAATGTTAGACAGCAAATTAGTAACAAAACCAGGTCTGAAAGTCAGGAGTTTCTTTCTTACTAGCTCAGAAATCTGTCCTCTATATCAGCAGTTGGCAAACTTTGGCTATAGAAAGCCAGGTGAAAAATATTTTAGGCTTTGTGGGCCAAACCGTCTCTGTCTAGGACTGACAGATTTAGCAAAGACAAATGCAACACACCTAGTTACATTTGAACTTCAAATAAGCAACAAATTTTTTTTAGTGTACGTCCCATGCAATATTTTTGTTTATCTGAAATTCAAATTTAACTAGATTTCTTGTATTCTATCCGGCAACCCTATCTCTGTCACAATCACTCAACTCTGCCATTGTGCACAAAAGCAGCCACAGACAATACATAAATGAGCAAGTTTGACTGTATGCAAATAAAATGTTGACAAAAACAGACAGCAGGGCTTATTTGGCTGGTGGGGGGTCATGGTTTGCTAACATCTACTCCATGTCATTGGCTTTGTCTTTACTAAGAGTTGACCTGCATAAAGGAATAAAACATCAAACTTATGTTATCATTGTATTTGATTTATAGATCATTTAACAAGTATAAACTTTCAATGCCATATCTTTCACTGAAGGTACAACTCACTCAATTTATAATTATAATGGTAAAACACTTCAGAGTTCCTTGAGTGTCCTCATTTTGCACATTCTAGAATTGACACTCAGAGGCATGGGAAGACTTACTCAAGGTCACACACAACTTAGTTGCAAAAAAAAGTCCCCTGTTTGGAGATAGCCAGTCACTTAAGTGTTAAAGAATATTACTGTCACTGGATACTGCTTAGGGGATGGGTGTACCAAAATCTCAGAAATCACCATTAAATAACTCATTCATGTAACCAAACACGACCTGTTCCCCGAAAACCTACGGAAATTAAAAAAAGAAAGAAAGAAAAACCCCACTGAGATCTCTGTGACTATAATATGTTGCCTAGGCTTTATAGAACCATTATTCCTCATCCCCCAAAATTTCAAGCATAAAAAATAGGCACGTAAAAAATTAGGAGGTACGTTGTTCAGTTTCCTCCTCTCCGAAGTCAATTTTGGGTGTGCTGCCCTTCTGCTCAGTGTCCTCATGGCCTCTGCCCCCACTGCCTCCACTGTGAACGCCCACTCCCAGGGAGGATGCTTCACAGTGGTGCATAGGAGGTGTTGGAGTCCAAATATGGATAAAGTGTCCAATCACAAAATATTTTTTCAGCTAAGATCACAACTAAGGAGTCATTCTTTTGAGCAATTAAATTGGAATTTAACCTATTTCATCACTGTAAGAGCACATCAGACACAGAAGGCTGATTAAAGAATCAGAACATAAACAGCATCAGCTAGAGAAAATAGGTGTAATAAACAGCCACTATTCCACTATTTGGGGGAGCAACAATAAAGACTGCTCATAGACAGACTTTTCAAGGAAGTTTGTAGAAACAGGTTCCAAGATTTCTGGAAATAGTAATAGTGCCCCGAAACAACAAAGTCACTTCCCAGGACAAGCGTGTGTCAACAGCAGTGTGGGACACACAAAAGAAGACCAGAGGAATCTGGGGAAAGACCAATGAGAAGCAGAATAAAAGCAACTCTCACAGGTAATAGCAAGTCGTGAGTTTATTAACAAGGAGAAATTTGAGATTTTTATACAGAGACGCTGTTGTAAACCACAGTTAGTGCTATATCTGTATACCTGAGTTCTCTCAAGAGTAATGCATATGTGTATATGTTAATATATTCTCATTTAAGACATGTTAAGTCATTCTCAACTAACCCTTTCGATGCCTTCAGATGTCCCAAGTTAAAAGAGCTCATCCCGCTGCTGCTTTATAGAAAGGTGAACTGTGTGTGGATCCTACGTAACAATTACAGCCAAAATTATTGCTGCTCAGAAATGACAAAATCAGCAGTACCTTTACAAAATTTACAAACTTGATTAACATACAGAACTATATCTTTCCTTCAATGTATTTGATATTATAAACAACATGGCACTATAAATATGCTTAATATATTTTATGGATTAGAAGTGTCATTTTGCATTTGATTTTAATTTCCCTTTTTTCTTCCTGTGCAATAGCCTCATTTCATTTTGTCTTCCCAGCATCTAAGCACTCTTCATATTCAGAGAGAATTCCAAGATGGATGGCAGGCACTTTCCACTGCTGATGCCAAAGGGGAACTAACACTCTCTCCCCAACCCTTTAAAGGGGCGATTTCAGCCCACCCAAACAGATACTCCGAAGATTTTTAGTGTTAAGAATGAGACGCAAAGGTGCACGACCTGTCTTCCAGTGAATTCCACAGAGATGAGAGCCCAGTGCTGTGGAGCAAGTATGGGCAATAGACTCCAAAGGTAAGCTGAAGAGAGCCCAGCAACAGCGGTGTCAACAAAAGAGATTCTAACATACAGTATTCTATCTCAAGTTTTTGTCTTCTGTGGTTCAGGTCCAGCTTGGATTCTCCAAACTCCTCATCGATTCTTTAAGCCACCTTAAATCCTTCAATTAATATTGATTCTGCTTAATCAGGTATAGATAGATCCCATTTTTGTAACCCTAAACCTCAACTGTTAAGCCTGAGATCAAATAGTGGTGAGCAACATATAGCTTTAAGAAAAAAAAAAAGCTTCAAGTAATTAGTATGCGCACACACACACACACTTATGACAGATGATTATTACTCAATATTTCACCATTATAGTACTAACAGAATTGAGGTTAAAAAGAGCAGTTAATGCCTGATTCAAGGGTAGAACTCCTAGCAGGAATGACCACACTTTTTACAGGTAAATCCTCCCCTCAGATTTGCCACTCATTATTGAAACTATAATCCTTCTAGCAATTAATAAGAATTTGTTAATGTTTAACACTGTGTTAGGTATTCCATAAGATATGTATGACTGCAAAACAACTTGTAATCCAAATGGGAAAACAAGAAAAACACAAACCAAGTAATGATAAGTTGTAAAATAAGATGACCTATACTCAAGTTTTAATACAGACTATAGCTTTCAAAGAAGAGTTGTTTGAGAAGTCTTCATGGGGAAAGTGAGTCTAAGCTAGACTTTACGAAGATGTGTAGGCTTTAGGAAGGTGGAGAAAAAAGCAGAGATTAAGTTAAGAATCTATGGCAGGATTAGAAGGGGATCAGTAACAAAGGCATTATTTTCATTCTCTTTCGGTTGAACATCACTTCTGCCTCTTGTCCTGGCCCGTACAAGTGAGAGATGGCCATATGAAACATGAGAAAGGAGGTGGCATGCTTTCCTGGCTCTCTCCTCTCCTTTCAATCTCATACCCTGCCCTACTCACGTGTCTTCATGCCTACTTCTACCCAAGTCTTTCCCTCTAGGGGAGTGCCATACCATCTGTTTTTCTTTTTCCTTTTGCTTTTTTTCCCCCCAGAAAATCTGTATGAATATATTGTTGGTCAGTTGTCACATCAGACTTCAATGATCTGGCTCCTGCCCTTCTTTCTAAACTTGAGAGAGTTCTGTGACAGACATAAATCCTCATTGCATCTATTGGGCAGGTTTATATCTGGACCATTCATTTGTGGTGATGTTGTCTGAGGAAACCTACCTTTGTGTAAGGGTCTGTTATACAAGTTTCCACCTTTTGTGGATCCAGTATTGGCTTTCTATGACCCTTGTAGCCTTTTATAACTCAAGCTCTAGGTTATAAAAGTCTGGCTGATAGCCCAGGGGAAATGCCAGTTTTAGGTTTTGCCAACTATCTCTGTTCGAGTTCATTCATTTCTTACAGTCTCAACTATATATATTTTGAACTTTTTTTTTTGTAGTTTTAAATGTTCTATACCGAAAGAATTTCTCAGTACATCTATAGCCATTTGGACAGGGGAAAGGCATATCTAAATACTTCCCTTTTTATTCTTTTTAATGTGTTTTCACTTTAAAGTATTTCAAACATAGAAAAATATATATGGAAAATATAACAGATCTGTGTGCCCAATGTTCAGATTTACTAGGTATAAATATTTTGTCACAATTCCTTCAGACTTTTTATACACACACAAATACATACTCCGCTCTCTCCTTCCTTCAGTCCTAGAGGTAACCATCATCTTGGGGTTAGTGTGTATAATTCCATGCTTGTTTTGGTGCCTTACCTAACATATATGCAATATATAATATTGCTGAGGTATCAAGTTTAAAACTTAATATATTGTGAGCACACAACTGATATTTTCAATCAATAGTATATTTTTGAGATTTGTCCAATTTAACACATGTAGATCTAGTACAGTCATTTAAATTGCTCTATTGCATTTTATTATATAACTAAATCATAATGTATGTATTTGTTTATGGATAGATATGGAGGCCAATCATACTATTATGAATGGCATTGCAATGAACATCCTCGTTCAACTCTTCTAGTGGACATGTCTGAGCCAGGCTCAGAGACACCTATATATATGAGGGGAATTTCCAGATGTGATGTGGAGTGTACATCTTGAACTTTACTGACAATTGCCAAATTGCATTCCTCAGTAGTTCTTGATCATTACACTCCTGTCCACAATGTGTAAGAGTTCCACTTTGCCGTAGTTTTCACCTACACATAGAGTCATCAGATGTTTGGGTTTTTTCCAATTCCATCAGTATAAAATAAATCTCATTGCTTTAATTTGCTTTTATGTTTACTAGTGAGGTCGCTCTTCAAATGTTAATTGGCTATTTCAGTTTATTCCTCTGTGAACTGCCCGTCTTGGGGATTTTCTTATTTTTCACTCGAGTTGACTATGTTTTCTACAATGACTTTAAAGTTTCTTTTCACATTCTGAAAACCAACTCTTAGTTATATGCTCTGCACATGTATTCTCCCATCTGAGGCTTGCATTTTGGCTTTGCAGTGTCTGTTTACTTGTGACGTCTACTCTCATTTAGAAGTTTATACAAATAGTCAAATTTATTAGTGTTTTCTTTTAGTTTGTTGTGACATCTTTAAAAAATCTATCCCTGTTCTGGTATCATCCAGAGATGCTTCAATATTTCTTCTAAAGTTTCACAGTTTGTGTTTCACACTTAGGTCTTTAAACCACCTGAAATTTGTTTTTGTGTGTGAGATGAGATGGAGACCTAATTGTATCCTTTTCCATCACTTTGGATAACTGTTTCAGCACTCTTGATTGAATAGTCCTTTTCTCCTCTGAAATGTAATGTCCTCCATTATATACCAAGTTTCCACATATATATGGGAATGTTTCTATGAGTGCTTCTGTTTTTTGTTTTTTTTTTGTTTTTGATTGGTTAGCTTGTTTGGTTATTTGTTCATTAGATCTTTTTTTCCCCTTTCCTGCACTAATACCATACAAGCTTCTTTGATGATGAAAGCACTATAAGAAGTCAATATAAGGCCCCACTTGTATTTTCTAATTTGTCTGTGCTATTCTCAGACTTTATACATTTCCCGTTTCCACGTTTCTGCATGTGCTCTTCCTTCTGCTTAGAATCCCTTTTCTATCATTCTCCATAATTCCAAATTTGACTCATTCTCTCAGGACAAAGGCCAGCTTCTCCAAAAAGCCTCCCCTGATTGACCTTAAGTTGAAGTGAGTCCTCTCTTTTCTAAACTACCCTGTAACTTAATTTGTATTTTGCTTTCACTTTTTTGTTTTTCAACTCTAGTATATAGCTCTTGGAGAGCAAGATTCATGTTTAACTAATCATCAACTCCTTGAAATTGCTACAGTGCCTCTATACAAAAGCTACTCTATAAATATTGATTTATGCTTCAATACTAAAAGTTTTCTGTAATTAAATTTTTATCATATAGTAATGCAGCAAAATCGTCAGGGTACTTTAACATTTGTAAACCCTTTTCTATTTGCATGTAGTGGGCATTTTCGCCTAACTCACCTTTCATTTCCTCTTTCTCCTTTTTAACTATATTTGGTTCAAGTATGTAACTAACCCCTAAACAGCTTGTGATGCCAAGGAAGCTGGCTCCATTCGCAGCTTCAAGAGAGAGACCTCAAATATTCCAAACCAACCAATGCACAGCTTTCTCTGATAACTGCTACTGGTCTAGGAGTGGGCATAAGACCAAGTTGACTCAATCAGACAGAACAGAAAGACTGTAATTTCATAGTGGAGAATGGTTTATCATAGTTTCATTCTCTTTTCCTCTCTCCCCCCTACACACTGCACATGAACAATGAAACATATAGCAATAGCAATAGTTATCTATTGCTGTATAACAAATCAGCCCAAAACTCAGCGGGCTGAAAAGAGCAATTATTTATCATCTCTTAGAGTGTCTGTGAGTCAAGAATTCAGCAGAGCATAGGAGGGATGCCTTGCCTCTTCTCTACAATATCTGAGACCTCAACTGGGAGACTCCAAGGCTGGGAGTTGGACTTAGTAGAAAGCTTATTCACTCTGGTGGTTGATGCTGGCTATCAACTAAAACTTACTGAAGCTGTTGGTTTGAACACCTACATGTAGCCTCTCCACGCAGCCTGGGTTTTCCCCAGGTGGCTGGGTTCCAAAGGCCAGCATCCCCCCAAAAAGTCATCTTACATCATTGATGAGACAGGCCAAAAACCAAGTGGACTCAGAAAAGCAGAACAGAATGATGGTGTTAACGTGGTCTTGATCACACAGTTAACCTGTGAATCAACCAACATTAATGGCTATCCGTACTGCTGCACTTTCTATATGGGACAATACATTTAAAATAATTTGAGTTGGACTTTCTATTACCTGTGTTCAAAACCATCTTAATTAATGTACTGCATTTCAACTATCAATAACAGGCTAATAGAAGAAACTATTAGGAATGGGGGACCATAAATCATACCACCACATATTCTGCAAGAAAGCAGCTGCATCCTGCATTCAAATGTCTGAGGGCTATCGATTCTGTATATGCCATCTCGTCTTTTTTTCATCTTATTTTTAGTGATATATACCTATACAGTACAGTTAAATTTCCACTGCAATAAGCAAAATTCTAGTTAAAAGTTCTTATGATGCTATCAGGAGCTTCATATCCAGAAACAATTAAGTCCTATTGTGCCCTGAAGCCTGGTAACTTTGTAATTTTGTTGATGATATTCCTTCTGGATACTGAATCTATGCATTATTCAGTTAAACTGATTAGAGAAAAAGCACTACATTGTCCCTATTTTGATTATCTATACTACTATTTTAATTTTCAATCCAGGTCATTATTAAGTAGCTAGAAACAAATTGTAATGCTAAGAATTTGTATCATTATTTGCAGTGTTCATGTATTTTCAAGGATGCAGAATTTGTTCAATCTGGTTTCATCCTAAAATTTTATATATCTAGCTTTAGAACTAAGTAATAATTTGGGGGGGGGAATGAGGTGTTTTCTATAAGTTGAAATGAGCACAGAGCTAAAATATTAATATTTTTGTTACATGATGCTCATATACATTTGAAATGGCTTTTCTTTTTAAAAGGCAATTTGTAGATGATTGGGACATTATATTCACAGATGATGCCACTCGATCCTTTTTTGAGTTTTTCAAGTTGTTTTACTGGAGACCTGTGAATCAGCATGCAGTGTATTGAAGATTATTCAAATTCAGAAACCAAATCTCTTGAGTTTAAAGAAACAAATGACAAAGCAAGCTGAAAATTCTTAAAATGACTCAAAGTGTCAGGATGAAAATCTTTTTCCTTCTCTCCATTTTTTATTATATCATAATAATTAATAACATGTTGTATTTTCCCTTTTTAAAACAGAGAAAATACACAATGCCAAATAATCAGGCTTATCTCTAATGAGCAACCAAATACAAAAACATAAGAAGCCAAATCAATCCCCTGGAAGAAGATGGAGCAGGAGAACTATCAAGAAACACCTTCAATTTCTTAGGACTCAATATAGGTGAACTGTAGGTGAAATGCCATTGAAATGCTCTGAATAAACCTGCAAAATGAACTGTACAACTAATCTCATCTGGGAAATATGAAACCTAGTGGTCCCAGTCATCTAGACATTGGGGTATATGATTCAAAAATAAATAAAAAGAAATGAGTAGATAATAAACATCCTTGAAATAAAAAAGAATGGAGTTTCAAAAGAAGCGGTTACAGAAGAAAAATGTTTTTTGGCAGCATGTTCTTCACAAAACAATCCAGAAAGAACAAAAGCTCCAATTATGAATTGAGGTTTGTTTTTTCTGCAGCAGCCTTTTTTCTCTCTTCAAAGCAGACCCTCTACCCGCACTTGTGTGGCTGTTGCTGAAGATGTTTTTATTGCATAGTGCAATAAATAGTTATATAATATGTTTATTTTTCCATTTCAGTGACTTCTCTCCTCTTTTTTTCTTGAAAATGTCTTTAAGTCATTTTGCTCTCCTTCTTTCTTTTTTCTCTGGAAAGAAAAAATATAACCAGAAAAAAAAAACATAAACATCCTGAATACAGTGCTTAATGCCTGGTAGAAATAAGGCAGAACAAAACAAAATATGTGACTGAAAAGTCAGACAACCTGACTGAGGGAATGCTAGTCTACTGAGCAATGCTATGAAGGAAAATAAAAAAAACAGCAGCCTTTGTGTTGATTGTTAAGAAAAGAGCTCCCAAAATAATAACTATGAATTTCTGGATAATTTTTAGAGTTGTCATCTGTTCTTTCTCTACTGATTGACATATCCACAAGCAGAATCTTTTGTTTTATAATTCTTTGTTTTCTCTCATATATTTTTCATGATGAACAGTTAAATAGCAAAAGAAAGGAGAAACAAAAGGTCTGTCACTAACAAGATGGTATTTTATACTGTAAAATCATTTTGAATTAGACTTAACAGCAAATCCTTAGGCTGACAAATTGTACTCATCTTAGGTACCTACCTTCTTCCCACTCTGTTACAGCCAGGGCCCCTTTTCTCCCACACATATATTTTATCTTCTGTTCTTTCTTGCCTGCAGGTCTTGGCTTATTCTATAGCCCAATCCAGAATGCTACTTCTCAAATCCCTGTTGAGATCTACCCTACAATGTTCCTTCGAATCTCAAATCTAAGCTTCTCTGCCTTAAGCAGGCTTCACCTACTAATTCTACTTCATAATGTAGATTCCTTTTCTTCTAAACAATATTATGTCTATGGCATACTAGACACAGTATCTGGACTAAAAAAATAGCTTTTATTATTATAACTTTGAATTTCTTCAGATGTTACTTTGGCAAATTTACTATCCATCCTAGAATATCATAAAGGTCACCTTCAAGTTAAATTCAAATTTCTCCTTATTTTTACAGTTCTTATCACTCTCTCCTAAGTAACACTTAATGAATTGAGTTATATATTTGGAGCTTCTTATAAATTTATTAAATCAATTCTATCAAGAAGATAGCCAAATAGTCAATTTATGTCCCAGTTCTATACTATTATAGGATATGTAACAATTACAAAAATGTGTCCAGTTGTGTTTACAGCTAAAGACTACATGGAACATAAGAAAGAAGTGAAATCAAATTTTCGAAGGATTTCTACCTACCCTACATCTCTGCAGTTGAATCAGTTGGATGTTTATTGCAGCTGCCTTCCTGTAGTGAATGATCTTTATAATTTGATTTTCCATCTAAATGAAAGAGCATCTCTACCTTCCATTGAATACAATTGTTTGCTTAAAGATCTAATGATTTCAGAAACAGATAGCTTTCATTCCTTTAATTCTCTTTGAATCTCAAAACCTTAAATAAGTTTTCTAAACTTGATTGTATAGTAGACAAGGTTATTTGGGGACAAATTAAGAAACATAGTCAGAGGCCCTTGTCTCTTTAAAATGCTTATAAAATATCTCCCTCCCAAACTCTCTTTTCCTGGAGAAAGGTGAACAACCTCTTGACTGGCTTCCTATTATTTTGATGTTGATAAAGAAACCATGCCTTCCCAGGCATAACAAAATAGGTCTGACAAATTTCTAGACTCATCAGCAAATGGCAAGGATGATAAATGAGATTAGAGTTGTCTGTGAAGCTGTTCTATCTTGGGTGTCTTGCTCTAAGTTTGGAAATGGTATGGTTCGTTTATTAACAAAGTGATTACTAGAAGCCTGAAATATGAATCTACCCTGTTAGACCTTCACCTAGGGTGAGAATTGTGTCTTCTTATACATTCATTCCCATCCATCTGCTCTGTTCTCTCAGTTCGTATCTTGACAGATGGCTGTAACTTACATTACAGATAACTTTTCATCAGATACCATCTAAGCTCCCATCTTACGCTCAACATATTTTTAAGTTAATGCTCTTCCCCTAATCTACATAAATAAACTAGTGTTTTCTCTTTCTCTTTCTTTCTCTCCTGCCCCCATTTCCTCCACACATACAATCTGATTTATACAAATAACTTCCTACTTATCTATAATTTCTATATCTATACCTATATCAAATATATTTACTCATAAAACATTTCCACAGAATTCTGAGCTCAAATTATTTCAAATAGCTGTGGATAATCAGGAGCAGACTCCAATAAATTGAGGCATGTCCCAAAATTTCTCTCTATCAAATTCCTGAAAAATCTCTAAAGTAAAGCATAAATATAATCCTACAGAAGTAATCTGACAGCACATTTTAACCTTCTACTTACCATTTACAACCCATGCAGGAGAACACTGCAGTATTCCTCTCTGATGGTCTGATTTCATAGAATCACAGAATCTTAGCACTTAGGAGAGACTCTGAGTATACTCCACCTTTCCCATATAAGAAAAAGACTATAATTCAAGTCAAATGACTTCTCAGGGTCAAAGAGCTGGTTAGTAACAGATTTTGGACTAGAATTCAAATCTTCTCACTTCAGCCCAATGCTCTTTCTACTATTTTGTTAAGTCGACAATATTCCAATCAAATAAGGAGTTAACTAAAACAAATTCAATTCTGCTTATGAATTCCTCTGAAACACAGCGTCATCCCTGGGAAAGAAAAAAAAATACATAGATATAAATAAACCCTAGTCACAATTGCCAAAAATGCACATAATGTAAGACATTGCCAAGGCTATTCATCCATGTTGAAAATATACAAACACACACACACCATAACAATCCCCTTCAAATCAAGTATCCCATCTTTAGAAAGAAGAGTGAGACAATTCTTGAGAAACTGCCAGGGCTCTGAAGTAGCCTGAGGTCATATATAACCCTGAAAACAAGGACTTGAACAAATGCCATGAGGTGATACCATCATAAATATCTTAGAGAAAAAAGGGTTGACATTTAGTACCTGGAAAAAGGCAAGGAGAATACCTAAGAATGACATGTGGTCTGTTAAAACAACACTCTCCCAATGCCTTACTCTTAAAACAGAGTCAAATTAAACCCAGTGTGTCTACCTTGTCTTCTGTTCCCCTGCCCATATCCTAGGATATAGAAATTTGCTCTCCATGGCCCTAGTAGGGGAGAAATCCTCTTCAGTGCTCTTTTGAAAAGAACGAAAGCATCATCCTCCTCATCAAGTGTTCAGGATCTTCCTGAAAACTTAGTCCCCTCATTTCTGTCATCAGAGAATCAGTCAAGTGGTGATATAGAAGAACTGATTTGTGCCATTTCCTCTCGTATCTGATAGCATGAAACTAGAATCTAGTAGAATCCAAGAGTGTCTGGCCTCATGTGATCTGGGGAAATATAAAATGTCTTCAAGTCACTTTTGAAGAAAAAGGAGGCTAAACTGGTTTATCTTTGAGATCTAAAGTCAATCCTTCCTTTTCCCCTTCTTCCCTCCCTCCTGCCCTCCTTCCATCCTTTCCTCCAAACTTTCCCTTCTTGCCTCCCCCACCTCCTCTTCCTTCCCTCCTGTCTTTCTTCTTTTCCCTCTCCTTTCTTCCTTTTATTTTTATCCCCTTTCGATTACAGGAAGCTCAATTTATAATTATGAATGGGCTACTTTATAAATATTCTCTTCAAAGAACAATATAGTTAACAGAGTGATTAACTTAAACACCAGAAATATCAGGTTCAGAATGGAAAAATGAATAAGATTTTACACAAACATAACTAGAGAGGACATTTTCTCATAGAAACTCATTCATAATGCCCCTACGACACCTCCTATACCCTCTCTGCCTTGCTCAGCTTCCCCTTCCAGCGGGGTCCCCTGGAGAAAAGTATTTTCTACTTTTGTGAACCAAACACCTCTTACACACAGCCATTAAGTGATACATTTCAGTAGTTTCTTCTAACTGCAGAGCAAAATGTAGACATGGGAGTATTAAGACAAGTGTTCCTCCTCTCAAAAAACAATTGTACTCAAAGGAGAAAAGATGCATAAATACCAGTCTTACTGGTTGTGAGATCAGCATTGTAAAAGAAGGCCATGCAAAGGACTGCGGAACCACAGAGGAAGGAGAGGGGCTTTTGTGTGAGAGATTTTGTGGGACATTCTAGAAGACAAGGGAAGACTTATAAACCCAAGGGACTAAAGTCTCTAATGACATAATTTATTCACTTGCAGGTGACAGGGACATAATTTTCAATGTGTGTTTGGTAGGGAGGGGTAGTCTTTCAAAATCTCTCAAATTCTTCTACATTAACATTTAACCTCCATGCCCACCCAGAAGACCAGCCTTAAATTCCACACCCAGAGGGGAATGCAGGTAGGATGCAGGGCCTGGCTCAGAGACACAAGTTTTAGCTTTAGACAGACAGATTTGAATGCCATCTTCTTCCGTCACTTGTTGCATAGGTAGACAAGTTGTTTAACATTTTGAACCTCGGCTTTCTAATTTGTAAAATGGGAAGGGACCAACTCATCTGGTTTTTTTGTTTGTTTGTTTTATAAGGTGTCAGAGATCTGGAACATAGCACACATTTACCAAATCACAGCAGGATTCACTAGATCACAGCAATTATTATAGTAATCCATAAGAATATTTGTTTTACACAAAACTGAGGCATATCTGAAGCATAACAATGAAGAAATAAAATCGTTTTTCACATATGGCTGGTAGAAATTCTGTGTATTTTCCAATGGCCAGAAAATATCCAGGCCTCCAGTGCTCTCTCTCTCTCCCTCTTTTTCTCTCACATATGCACACAATGCATCTTTTATGTTGAACCAGGTTCCCATTTCTCCATCTACAGAACTTGTAGCAGCCAGCAGGATTATCAAACTGCAAGAATAGTGTGTCTAAGAAGCAAGGCAGCTACCTTCTCTGGCATCTATGCCATTCTTAGAACATGATGTTCCTCAGACCGATTTATGAACCATCATCAAGGCAACCCAATTTTCTGACATCAACTCCTTAGAGATCCAAAATTTAAAAAAAAAAAAATCTGTCATCTTCTTCTTCTCCTGGCTCACTTAGAAGTCTCCTTCTGTGAATTCTAACCCCACTGCATTGCAGTATGAGAAGAGGGGGAAAAAATACATCAGTAGGAGACCCAAATAAACAGTTTTTAGCTAGCATATTTTTTCATATTATACTGTATAGATGAGCATTTTGAGTATTTTTGCCCTGACATTTCATTTTGTGGAGTAAGCAACATCTGAAAAATGTTTATGTATAAGAAAGCCTCTTTTTCATCTCCTGGAAAACCAAGTGAAGAATTTTAACTTATCCCATTTTATTTCAGTAGAAGCATTGAGGTAGAAAAGAAAAAGCCCTAGAGTGGAAACAAGAGCCCCTCCTACCATTCATAACTATGTGACCTTGAGACGTTCTCTCTGAGCTGCGGTTAGATTTATAAGACCTGCCATCCATATCCCCTTCCTGAGAAAAACTGCCTACCCACAGCCTCTTAGGACTAAATGACTACATTTGTACCATGTGACCTCAGCCTTACACTAAGCCACAGTGAAATTGATCAAGAATGTGTTTCTTTAAAAACAATATGGCAACCCATCCATAGGCCAGACTTAGATCTTTGGCCTGGTGGGAAAAGATAACCTGAGCCAATCAAATTCCATTCTTCAGAATTCAGCTCTGGGAAACACGGAGTTAAGGCAGCTGGCACTAGCAGCAGAATTTACAAAGGACATCAAGATGGTCATGTGGCAGACAGAAGTCCAAGAGAACACAGAAATGTAACGATAGCTGTGAACTCAATTGTGAGCTGTCCTGGTGTTATGTCCCAGGTTCTCCAGGCCTCTTGCCTTTCCAGAAAAAAAGATCAAAGGATGACGCTGAAAGGTGAGGTTTCATTTAGCATGATGGAAAGCATAGAAAGCTCTCTTAAGAGAGTCAAACACCTGAGGAAGGAGCCCATGCAAACTTCATAGACTGAATACAATTTTAGCATTGCTGTGATTACTCAGAACCATTTGCAGAGCTGAAATCGTTTTTCATGTATATAACACTATTATGAGTGTCCTTACTAGCTCTTTTCTGGCTGAATTATTCTCACTGCTTTAATGTTCCCTCTCAAATCTGTTTCCAATTCTGATTATTGTTATTCTCCAAGTTCAACGCCAGACCTTGGAATCTCATCAAAGTCAGCCTAACATTTTGCTTCATGTTATGCTTTTCAATGATAAATTGAGAGAATGGATAAAGAAATGTCAGGTCTCTAATGTCTCTAATATCACATAATATTACAACTTAAGGCCAGGCGAGGTGGCTCACACCTGTAATCCCAGCACTTTGGGAGGCCAAGGAGGGCGGATCACTTGAGGTCGGGAGTTCAAGACCAGCCTGACCAACATGGAGAAACCCTGTCTCTACTGAAAATACAAAATTAGCCAGGCATGGTGGCGCATGCCTGTAATCCCAGCTACTCAGGAGGCTAAGGCAGGAGAATTGCTTGAACCCGGGAGGCAGAGGTTGTGGTGAGCCGAGATCATGCCATTGCACTCCAGCCTGGGCAACAAGAGTGAAACTTCGTCTCAAAAAATAAATAAAAAATTTAAAAAATACTTCAACTGAAGATATGCTAATCAGCAATGTGATAACTGGGAGGGAACAAAGTAAACAGAAGAAAAAATATATATGTATGTCATTTGGGGCAGTGCTCATGTAAATAGTATTGTTTTTAATTTCAAATGTCACTTGTTAATTGCTGGTATATAGACAAGTGATTAAATTTTGTATATGAACTTTGTATCTGTTTTTGTCTCATATAGTTTGATACTCTGTTGTTAGCCACATACACATTAAGTATTGTTACTACATCTTCTTGGAGAATAGATCTGTTTATCATCATGTAATGCCTCTTTTTATTCCTGATAATTTCCTTGCTTTGAAGCCTGCTCTGTTCTGTCTGAAATTAATATAGCGACTCCTGCTTTCTTCTGGTTAGTATTAGCAGGGTATATTTTTCTCCACCATTTGCTTGTAATCTTTATATG